>NC_000008.11:97589222-98214222 GCF_000001405.40 Homo sapiens
AGTGCAATGGTGCAATTACGGCTCACTGCAACCTGGAACTCCTGGGCTCAAATATAAGCTATTTTTAATTAAACTATTATTTATGAAATTGAACTCCTCTTGCTAAAGAGACCAGTTTAGTAACCTTTTTTTTTTTTGAGGCAGGGTCTCACTTTCTCACTCAGACTGGAGTGCAGTGGCATGAACACAGCTCACTGCAGCCTCAACCTTCTGGACTCAATGGATCGTTTTTTGAGACTCCATCTCAAAATTTTAAAATTTTTTTAAAAATTAAAATAAATGTACTTAAATGGTACCTTTAAATGTAGTTTTTCTGGCTAATGAAATTATAATTCATTTTATTTTTCTTGTACTTTAATGTAATTTTTTTTATTATACTTTAAGTTTTAGGGTACATGTACAAAATGTCCAGGTTAGTTACATATGTATACATGTGCTATGCTGGTGTGCTGCACCCATTAACTCGTCATTTAGCATTAGGTATATCTCCTAATGCTATCCCTCCCCCCTCCCCACACCCCACAACAGTCCCCAGAGTGTGATGTTCCCCGTCCTGTGTCCATGTGTTCTCATTGTTCAATTCCCACCTATGAGTGAGAACATGTGGTGTTCGGTTTTTCGTCCTTGTGATAGTTTACTGAGAATGATTTCCAATTTCATCCATGTCCCTACAAAGGACATGAACTCATCATTTTTTATGGCTGCATAGTATTCCATGGTGTATATGTGCCACATTTTCTTAATCCAGTCTATCATTGTTGGACATTTGGGTTGGTTCCAAGTCTCTGCTATTGTGAATAGTGCCGCAATAAACATACGTGTGCATGTGTCTTTATAGCAGCATGATTTATAGTCCTTTGGGTATATACTCAGTAATGGGATGGCTGGGTCAAATGGTATTTCTAGTTCTAGATCCCTGAGGAATCGCCACACTGACTTCCACCATGGTTGAACTAGTTTACAGTCCCACCAACAGTATAAAAGTGTTCCTATTTCTCCACATCATCTCCAGCACCTGTTGTTTCCTGACTTTTTAATGATTGACATTCTAACTGGTGTGAGATGGTATCTCATTGTGGTTTTGATTTGCATTTCTCTGATGGCCAGTGATGGTGAGCATTTTTTCACGTGTCTGTTGGCTGCATAAATGTCTTCTTTTGAGAAGTGTCTGTTCATGTCCTTTGCCCACTTTTTGATGGGGTTGTTTGTTTTTTTCTTGTAAATTTGTTTGAATTCATTGTAGCTTCTGGATATTAGCCCTTTGTCAGATGAGTAGGTTGCAAAAATTTTCTCCCATTTTGTAGGTTGCCTGTTCACTCTGGTGGTAGTTTCTTTTGCTGTGCAGAAGCTCTTTAGTTTAATTAGATCTCATTTATCAATTTTGGCTTTTGTTGCCATTGCTTTTGGTGTTTTAGACATGAAGGCCTTGCCCATGCCTATGTCCTGAATGGTATTGCCTAGGTTTTCTTCTAGGGTTTTTATGGTTTTAGGTCTAACGTTTAAGTCTTTAATCCATCTTAAATTAATTTTTGTATAAGGTGTAAGGAAGGGATCCACTTTCAGCTTTCTACATATGGCTAGCAACTTTTCCCAGCACCATTTATTAAATAGGGAATCCTTTCCCCATTGCTTGTTTTTCTCAGGTTTGTCAAAGATCAGATAGTTGTAGATATGTGGCGTTATTTCTGAGGGCTCTGTTCTGTTCCATTGATCTATATCTCTGTTTTGGTACCAGTACCATGCTGTTTTGGTTACTGTAGCCTTGTAGTATAGTTTGAAGTCAGGTAGCGTGACGCCTCCAGCTTTGTTCTTTTGGCTTAGGATTGACTTGGCAATGCGGGCTCTATTTTGGTTCCATATGAACTTTAAAGTAGTTTTTTCCAATTCTGTGAAGAAAGTCATTGGTAGCTTGATGGGGATGGCATTGAATCTATAAATTACCTTGGGCAGTATGGCCATTTTCACGATATTGATTCTTCCTACCCATGAGCATGGAATGTTCTTCCATTTCTTTGTATCCTCTTTTATTTCATTGAGCAGTGGTTTGTAGTTCTCCTTGAAGAGGTCCTTCACATCCCTTGTAAGTTGGATTCCTAGGTATTTTATTCTCTTTGAAGCAATTGTGAATGGGAGTTCACTCATGATTTGGCTCTCTGTTTGTCTGTTATTGGTGTATAAGAATGCTTGTGATTTTTGTACATTGATTTTGTATCCTGAGACTTTGCTGAACTTCCTTATCAGCTTAAGGAGATTTTGGGCTGAGACAATGGGGTTTTCTAGATATACAATCATGTCATCTGCAAACAGGGACAATTTGACTTCCTCTTTTCCTAATTGAATACCCTTTATTTCCTTCTCCTGCCTGATTGCCCTGGCCAGAACTTCCAACACTATGTTGAATAGGAGTGGTGAGAGAGGGCATCCCTGTCTTGTGCCAGTTTTCAAAGGGAATGCTTCCAGTTTTTGCCCATTCAATATGATATTGGCTGTGGGTTTGTCATAGATAGCTCTTATTATTTTAAGATACGTCCCATCAATACCTAATTTATTGAGAGTTTTTAGCATGAAGGGTTGTTGAATTTTGTCAAAGGCCTTTTCTGCATCTATTGAGATAATCATGTGGTTTTTGTCTTTGGTTCTGTTTATATGCTGGATTACATTTATTGATTTCCATATGTTGAACCAGCCTTGCATCCCAGGGATGAAGCCAAATTGATCATGGTGGATAAGCTTTTTGAGGTGCTGCTGGATTCGGTTTGCCAGTATTTTATTGAGGATTTTTGCATCAATGTTCATCAAGGATATTGGTCTAAAATTCTCTTTTTTGGTTGTGTCTCTGCCTGGCTTTGGTATCAGGATGATGCTGGCCTCATAAAATGAGTTAGGGAGGATTCCCTCTTTTTCTATTGATTGGAATAGTTTCAGAAGGAATGGTACCAGTTCCTCCCTGTACCTCTGGTAGAATTCGGCTGTGAATCCATCTGGTCCTGTACTCTTTGGTTGGTAAGCTATTGATTATTGCCACAATTTCAGAGCCTGTTATTGGTCTATTCAGAGAGTCAACTTCTTCCTGGTTTAGTCTTGGGAGGGTGTATGTGTCGAGGAATTTATCCATTTCTTCTAGATTTTCTAGTTTATTTGCATAGAGGTGTTTGTAGTATCTCTGATGGTAGTTTGTATTTCTGTGGGATTGGTGGTGATATCCCCTTTATCATTTTTTATTGCGTCTATTTGATTCTTCTCTCTTTTCTTCTTTGTCTTGCTAGCGGTCTATCAATTTTGCTGATCCTTTCAAAAAACCAGCTCCTGGATTCATTAATTTTTTGAAGGGTTTTTTGTGTCTCTATTTCCTTCAGTTCTGCTCTGATTTTAGTTATTTCTTGCCTTCTGCTAGCTTTTGAATGTGTTTGCTCTTGCTTTTCTAGTTCTTTTAATTGTGATGTTAGGGTGTCAATTTTGGATATTTCCTGCTTTCTCTTGTGGGCATTTAGTGCTATAAATTTCCCTCTACACACTGCTTTGAATGTGTCCCAGAGATTCTGGTATGTTGTGTCTTTGTTCTCGTTGGTTTCAAACAACATCTTTATTTCTGCCTTCATTTTGTTATGTACCCAGTAGTCATTCAGGAGCAGGTTGTTCAGTTTCCATGTAGCTGAGCGGTTTTGAGTGAGTTTCTTAATCCTGAGTTCTAGTTTGATTGCACTGTGGTCTGAGAGACAGTTTGTTATAATTTCTGTTCTTTTACATTTGCTGAGGAGAGCTTTACTTCCAACTATGTGGTCAATTTTGGAATAGGTGTGGTGTGGTGCTGAAAAAAATGTATATTCTGTTGATTTGGGGTGGAGAGTTCTGTAGATGTCTATTAGGTCCACTTGGTGCAGAGCTGAGTTCAATTCCTGGGTATCTTTGTTAACTTTCTGTCTCATTGATCTGTCTAATGTTGACAGTGGGGTGTTAAAGTCTCCCATTATTATTGTGTGGGAGTCTAAGTCTCTTTGTAGGTCACTCGGGACTTGCTTTATGAATCTGGGTGCTCCTGTATTGGGTGCATATATATTTAGGATAGTTAGCTCTTCTTGTTGAATTGATCCCTTTACCATTAAGTAATGGCCTTCTTTGTCTCTTTTGATCTTTGTTGGTTTAAAGTCTGTTTTATCAGAGACTAGGATTGCAACCCCTGCCTTTTTTTGTTTTCCATTTGCTTGGTAGATCTTCCTCCATCCTTTTATTTTGAGCCTATGTGTGTCTCTGCACGTGAGATGGGTTTCCTGAATACAGCACACTGATGGGTCTTGACTCTTTATCCAATTTGCCAGTCTGTGTCTTTAATTGGAGAATTTAGTCCATTTACATTTAAAGTTAATATTGTTATGTGTGAATTTGATCCTGTCATGATGATGTTAGCTGGTTATTTTGCTCGTTAGTTGATGCAGTTTCTTCCTAGCCTCGATGGTCTTTACAATTTGGCATGATTTTGCAGTGGCTGGTACTGGTTGTTCCTTTCCATGTTTAGTGCTTCCTTCAGGAGCTCTTTTAGGGCAGGCCTGGTGGTGACAAAATCTCTCAGCATTTGCTTGTCTGTAAAGTATTTTATTTCTCCTTCACTTATGAAGCTTAGTTTGGCTGGACATGCAATTCTGGGTTGAAAATTCTTTTCTTTAAGAATGTTGAATATTGGCCCCCACTCTCTTCTGGCTTGTAGAGTTTCTGCCGAGAGATCCGCTGTTAGTCTGATGGGCTTCCCTTTATGGGTAACCCGACCTTTCTCTCTGGCTGCCCTTAACATTTTTTCCTTCATTTCAACTTTGGTGAATCTGACAATTATGTGTCTTGGAGTTGCTCTTCTCAAGGAGTATCTTTGTGGCGTTCTCTGTATTTCCCGAATCTGAATGTTGGCCTGCCTTGCTAGATTGGGGAAGTTCTCCTGGAAAATATTCTGCATAGTGTTTTCCAACTTGGTTCTATTCTCCCTGTCACTTTCAGGTACACCAATCAGATGTAGATTTGGTCTTTTCACATAGTCCCATATTTCTTGGAGGCTTTGTTCGTTTCTTTTTATTCTTTTTTCTCTAAACTTCCCTTCTCGCTTCATTTCATTCATTTCATCTTCCATCACTGATACCCTTTCTTCCAGTTGATCACATCGGCTCCTGAGGCTTCTGCATTCTTCATGTAGTTCTCGAGCCTTGGCATTCAGCTCCATCAGCTCCTTTAAGCACTTCTCTGTATTGGTTATTCTAGTTATACATTCATCTAAATTTTTTTCAAAGTTTTCAACTTCTTTGCCTTTGGTTTGAATTTCCTCCTGTAGCTCGGGGTAGTTTGATCATCTGAAGCCTTCTTCTCTCAACTCGTCCAAGTCGTTCTCCGTCCAGCTTTGTTCCATTGATGGTTAGGAACTGCGTTCCTTTGGAGGAGGAGAGGCGCTCTGCTTTTTAGAGTTTCCAGTTTTTCTGCTCTGTTGTTTCCCCATCTATGTGGTTTTATCTACTTTTGGTCTTTGATGATGGTGATGTACAGATGGGTTTTTGGTGTGGATGTCCTTTCTGTTTGTTAGTTTTCCTTCTAACAGACAGGACCCTCAGCTGCAGGTCTGTTGGAGTTTGCTAGAGGTCCACTCCAGGCCCTGTTTACCTGGGTACCAGCAGCGGTGGCTGCAGAACAGCGGATTTTCATGAACCGCGAATGCTGCTGTCTGATCGCTCCTCTGGAAGTTTTGTCTCAGAGGAGTACCCGGCCATGTGAGGTGTCAGTCTGCCCCTACTGGGGGGCGCCTCCCAGTTAGGCTGCTTGGGGGTCAGGGGTCAAGGACCCACTTGAGGAGGCAGTCTGCCGTTCTCAGATCTCCAGCTGCATGCTGGGAGAACCACTGCACTCTTCAAAGCTGTCAGACAGGGACATTTAAGTCTGCAGAGGTTACTGCTGTCTTTTTGTTTGTCTGTGCCCTGCCCCCAGAGGTGGAGCCTACAGAGGCAGGCAGGCCTCCTTGAGCTGCGGTGGGCTCCACCCAGTTCCAGCTTCCCAGCTGCTTTGTTTACCTAAGCAAGCCTGGGCAATGGCGGGCGCCCCTCCCCCAGCCTGGTTGCCGCCTTGCAGTTTGATCTCAGACTGCTGTGCTAGCAATCAGTGAGACTCCGTGGGGGTAGGACCCTCCGAGCCAGGTGTGGGATATAATCTCCTAGTGCGCCATTTTTTAAGCCCGTCGGAAAAGGTATTAGGGTGGGAGTGACCTGATTTTCCAGGTGCCGTCTGTCACCCCTTTCTTTGACTAGGAAAGGGAACTCCCTGACCCCTTGCGCTTCCCGAGTGAGGCAATGCCTCGCCCTGCTTCAGCTCGCGCACGGTGTGCTGCACCCACTGTCCTGCGCCCACTGTCTGGCACTCCCTAGTGAGATGAACCCGGTACCTCAGATGGAAATGCAGAAATCACCCGTCTTCTGCATCGCTCACGCTGGGAGCTGTAGACTGGAGCTGTTCCTATTTGGCCATCTTGGCTCGCCCCTCCTAATGTAATTTTATTCTGTATTACATTTGTAATATGTATTATACTTACGAGACAATAATTTTTAATGTTTATACCTTTTGACAACATGATAGCATTTCTAAGAATCTCTCCCCTAAGGAAATAATTTGAAACATGAATATATTTGATGATTGTAGTATTATATATAATAATGGAAAATTGAGACCATTTTGCTCAAGGCAGTTTCCTGAATTGTTTTTGAATGACCTCAAAATGTTGCTACTACAATTTGGAGATGGTGCCACTAGGTGGCACTAGAGAGTCTCTGCCATGAGAGTCCAACTTCAAGGTTAGCTTGCAAACTTTCAGAGCCCAGCCTGACGGAATGTTCATTGAGAATCTTTATCAAAGTGATCTCAAAATGTTACCCAAAAGAACCACAAAAGCCTTTAACCAAGAAACCAGACTTTTAGAGATAAACTACAGAAAATAATAGGACTAAATGAACAAGATGTATGTACATGTATTAGTCTGGGTTCTCCAGAAAAACAGAACCAATATGATATACAGATAGATAGATAGCTAGAAACAGATTTACCATAAGCTGTCAGCTCACATGATTACAGAGGCTGAGAAGTGCCCAAGAGAGCAGATGGTGTAGTTCCAGTCCAAGTCCAAAGGCCCGAGAACCAGGAGAGCTGAGGTAAGCTCCCGCCAGAGTCTGAAGGCAGAAGACCAATGTCCTGGCTGAAAGACAGAAAGAGCAAATTCTTCCTCATGAAGCCTTTTTGTTCTATTCGGACCTATGACAGATTGGATGATGCCCACCTACATTGGGGAAGGCAATCGGCTTTACTCAGCCTACCAATTCAAATGTTCATCTCATCCAAAAGCACTCACGACACTCCCAGGATGTTTTTGTTGTTATTTTTTAAACTTTATTCTTGTTTTTTGTAGAGATGGGGTTTCACAATGTTGCCCAGGTGTTCTCAAACTCCTGGGCTCAAGTGATCTTCCCACCTCAGCCTTCAAAGTGCTAGGATTACAGGTGTGAGCCATCACCCCCAGCCCTTTATTTATCTTTTTATGCTTTAAAATGTGTTTTCAGAATAATGGTTTTTTTCTACTTCTTCTCCTTCTCCTTCTCCTTCTTCTTCTTCTCCTTCTTCTTCTTCTTCTGACAGAGTCTTGCTCTGTCACCCAGGCTGGAGTGCAGCGGCACAATCTCAGCTCACTACAACCTCCTCCTCCTGGATTCAAGCGATTCTCCTGCTTCAGCCTCCCGAGTAGCTGGGATTACAAGAGCATGCCACCACGCCTGGCTAATTTTTGTATTTTCAGTAGAGACAGGGTTTAACAATGTTGGCTAGGCTGGTCTTGAACTCCCAACCTCAGGTGATCTGCCCGCCTCAGCCTCCCCAGAATAATGTTTAACCAAATATCTGCACACCCCATGGCCCAATCAAGTTGACACATAAAATTAACCATCACAGTATACAATAGCAAAAAATGTAAAACAACTTAAATGCCCGTCAGTGGTGGATTGAATGCATACATTACGATACCTTACTAATGACCAAGCTCTATATTTGACATGGAAAGACGTCCATTATACACTGTTGTTAAGTGACTAGAAAGCAGATTAAAGGACACTAACATAGAAGGTAATTTGTTATAACAGCTAAAAGCACACTATCTAGAGCCAAATGGTCTGGGTTCATAGTCCTACTATTAGCTGTGACCTTGGGGAATTTTCTTAACCTCTCTAGGTTAAATGCAAATGATATTACTGTAAAATGAAAGTGATATTACTGCCTCACCACATTGCTGTGGAAATTAAACCGAGTATTACAGGTAAAGTCCAAGAATAGTGTCTGACATACAATAAGCTCTCGGCAACTGTAGCTAGCATTATAATGTAAAGTGTGATCTCATTGTCTTCTTAAACATCCAATATATCTATATTTAGACACATGCATTTTCTAGAAAGACACGTATCAAAATGTTACAATTGTTATATCCCAGTGGTGAGATTGCAGATAGTATTTTGATTAAAGCTTTTAATAATTTGGTGAAAAAAATTCTGATGATGGCTCTATATACTCAAATACAGAGATCTGTAACTATGACTTCCATACCATCTTTCTAATAAAAAATTAAATATGTATGTGTCTGTAATATATATATGTATTCTTTTTTTTTTTTTTTTCCTTTTTGAAAGAGGTGGTCTCACTCTTACCCAGGCTGTAATGCAGTGGCGAGATCATGACTCACTACAGCCTTGATCTCCCCGGCTCAAGAGATCCTCCCACCTCGACCTCCCAAAGCGCTGAGATTACAGGCATGAGCCACCACACCCAGCCCCAGATTAAAGATTTTTATTCAGAAAAATTTTATTTAATAACCAAAAAAAAACATTGTTTTAAAATAAGGTCTAATGTTTTTCCTTTCTAATAATTTTCCTTTTTAAAACAATGTTTGATTCCGTCTCTCATCTCAGCAGAGCCTGTTTGTAATGCTTCTTTACACCGTACCCTAATTGGAGCTTGCGGTGGGGCCGTTCGCCCAGCCTAGAACTGCCCTAACCCCGCAGCGCGGGTCCTCTTACCAGAGCCCTGGCGGGCTAAAATGGGATCCTCCTATTCTACTCCTACTTCTTTCTTCCTACCACAGGGACCCCAAACCATTCCCTGTTTAAGAAAAACTAATTCCTCCAGTTAGATTCCCTCCAGTCAGACCTCTTCTCGGCCTCTGAACCACCGTTTCCCTTTTTGTTCCCTTTAAATAAAGAAGAGCTCCTCTCCTATTCCGCGCACCCCACCCACCCTGTCCAACCTCCTTCCTTTTTCATTGTCTGGTTGCTTTGTGTACAACGTCCCAGCGATGAAACACCCTCCAGCCGCTTCCCTTTTCAACCTTGCCAGTTCCTGCAGAAACCAAGATGAAAGTTTCAAAATCCTGACCTACACCAGAACGTTTTGTTTAGAAAATTGACAGCTAATTAAACTGCTTCTGTCACTGCAATTCATGTCTGCTTTAACTGCACCCCGCTCAATTGCTAACACAAACTTGATGCTGGTTATTGAGTTTTCTCAATTAACTATTTCACCCAATCAATGGCCTTCAAATATTAGCCTCTGCTTTTGAAACTTTGGAAGTAGAAGCCAGCGAATTAATTCTCAGTAGTAGAAAGAAATCAAAACTGAAGTTGACCCCTTCTGCCGATTTAAAAGGGCTGGAGCTCTGCTGACACTGGAATTCGCAGATAACTGACTCTGGCATAACACAATTTTTTGCATTTAGCGATTAATGCAATTAGAAGCAACTGCTACTACAATTTTATCTTATTTTTTAATTGAAGCAAGAAGTAGCTACTACATTTAATTAATGTAAATGTATATTGCAGGTAGGATAATGGTATAATTTTGTAAGGATAAAATACAGTAAATGAAAGTAACTTCTGATTTTACTCCCATCAGCCTTAGACATTTAGATTGGTTCAAGAGTAATTTTTAGCCCTGGTGTGGCTCATACCTATAATCCCAGCACTTCGATAGGCCAAGGCAAAAGGATCACTTGAGCCCAGGAGTTCGAGACAAGCCTGGGCAATATAGCGAGACCTCGTCTTTACTAAAACTTCTAAAAATTAGCCTGGCGTGGTGGTGTACACCTGTGGTCCCAGCCACTGGGGAGCCTAAGGCAGGAGGATCATTTGAGCCCAGGAGTTTGAGGCTTCAGTGAGCCTTGGTGACAAAGTGAGATCCTGTCTCAAAAAATATAAATAAATAAAAAATTTTAAATTAGCTTTATATTGTTTTATATTTAAATCACAAAGTTCTCACAAGGATGGAGGTTGTTTTCTCTTTAATGGAAAACAAAGCTTATTTTGAGGATTTATTCATTCATCAAACATTAACTTGGAATTGATAACTAGCATAGTGTTGGGAGTGTGGTGGGGGAGGGGTTACAGAAAGCAGAAGACAGTTTCCACTTTCAAGTTTATGATCTACTTAGAGAACAAAGTATATACATAAAATCACTCATAGGAAATTTTGATCACCACCATAAGACAGGGGGAGAAAAGCAAAATAAGATAAATAAAAAAGAAAAAAGATTTTAAAGAAAATTTTGAGGCCAGACATGGTGGCTCTTGCCTGTAACCCCAGCACTTCGGGACGCCAAGGCAGGCAGATCGCTTGAGCTCAGGAGTTGGAGACCAGCCTGACCAACATGGTGAAACCCCTTCTCCACCAAAAAAAAAAAAAGAAAAGAAAAGAAAATGTTGAAAGCAACATAATAAACAAGTATAACAATGGGGATTGTTTGTTTTTCATGACCTTTACGACTTGGTTGTCAGGTGAAATACAGGACCACCAGTTAAACTTGAATTTCATAAACAACAAATAATTTTTAGGTTATGTATAGCATGTCTCATGCTAAAAAAGAAAAAAAGTATTCATCATGTATCTGAAATTCAAGTTTAACTGGGCATCTTGTATTATTCTTTGCTAAATTCTGCAGCTCTAAACTTGAGGCATGTGCATTACAAAAAGGATCTTGACAGAGTGGAGTTCATCAAATGAGCTTCCTGGAGAATGTGAGCTTTCAGCCAACTGCTGAGGAAAGCAGTGGCTGGAAACAGAAGACATTCCACATGTGGCCAGTGCATGTTGATGGCACTGAAACCGAGATGAGCAAGTAATTCCTGGCCATGGCAGCAACCAGATCAGCTTTGCAGGAGGGACACAGATGGATAAAAGAACTGAAAACCAGCAATGGGAGTGATCAGTCATCACTGGATTTATTTCTATGGAGTTTGTTTAAAGGCTATTTTCCAATCAATGAGAACTTATTCTTCACTATTTCCTCCATATAAGCAAGGACTACAGGCTTTATTGGTTGGGACTCACAGGATTTAAAGTGTAGAGGGGCCAGGCACGGTGGATCATGCCTGTAATCCCAACACTTTGGGAGGCCAAGGCAGGCAGATCACCTGAGGTCAGGAGTTCGAGACCAGCCTGGCCAACATGGTGAAACCCTGTCCCTACAAAAAAAAAAAAAAAAAAAAAAAAAAATGTATATATATATATATACACACACACACACACAAAAAAAAAATAGCCTGGTGTGGTGTTATGTGCCTGTAATCCCAACTACTCAGGAGGCTGAGGCAGGAGAATAGCTGGAACCCAGGAGGCGGAAGTTGTAGTGAGCTGAGATCGTGCCACTGCACTCCAGGCTGGACAACAGAGCACGACTCTGTCTCAAAAAATAAATAAATAAAGTGTAGAAGTATTTATCTCTAAGGTATGTACATGGGCATTACAAGTGGAGTTTTGTAAGTACACATCTTAAAGATCAAAAATGTCTTTGAGATAGGTACCTTTGGGGAAGAAAAATAAATGTCTTTGAGAGAGAGAGTTATTCCAACTGGCTTCCAACAGTAGGGTTCTGGTATCTGGCAGGTCTTTGTTGCATGGTGCTCAGCAGGGTTGGAGGGAAGAGAATGAGTGAGACTTTACATGCTCTGTACAATGAAAAGAGCAAGCATGAGAGTGAGGAGCTTGTAGTCTAAAGATTGTTCCTGTTGGTGTAGAGAAGGGTTCTGGGGAGAAGTGAAATAATTACAGAAATAATGAAATTAAACTTTTTGTCCTGCTTTCAAATTTTCTGTGTCTAACAGCCCTGTTTCTAGAAATTGATCAAAACCATACACTGGCAAAACTAAAATTAGATATATGCACAAAGCTACTCATTGTAGCACTATTTGCAACAACAACAAACAACTGGGAATAATCTAAATGTCCTTGAATACGGGACTAGGTGAGTAAAACATGGGGCATCCAAACAGTGGAGGACTCCACAGCTGTCAAAGGGAGAGGAGGTCGGGGGAGAAAGGAAAAAAAGCGGGGGAGAGGATACGTTGTTAAGTGAAGAAAGCCAGATCTAGGACAGTGTGTATAGCATGCTCCAGCTACATATAAGAACTGAGTCTAGGCCGGGTGCAGTGGCTCACACCTATAATCCAAGCACTTTGGGAGGCCAAGGCAGGCGGATGACCTGAGGTCAGGAGTTCAAAACCAGCCTGGCCAATATGAAACCCCGTCTCTACTAAAAACACAAAAATTAGCTGGGCATTGTGGCGGGTGCCTGTAATCCCAGTCACTCAGGAGGCTGAGGCAGGAGAATCACGTGAACAGGGAGGTGGAGGTTGCAGTGAGCCGAGCTCATGCTATTGCACTCCAGCCTGGGCGACAAGAGAGAAACTCCGTCTCAAAAAAAAAAAAAAAAAAAAAAAGAACTGAGTCTACAAATTTGTTTATATTTCACACATTTGTATGATTATATTTCTATATTTTTAAAACAAAACTAAAGGATAATTATAAAACAAAAAATCATAACGCTCACCTCTCGGGGAGGGAGGAAATACGGTAGAGAAAAAAGAGACAGAAGGCTGGGCATGGTGGCTCATGCCTGTAATCCCAGCACTTTGGGAGGCCGAGGTGGGAGGATCACCTGAGGTCAGGAGTTCGAGACCAGCCTGAGCAACATGGTGAAACGGGCCTCTGCTAAAAATACCAGAATTAGCTAGGTGTGGTGGTGGGTGCCTATAATCCCAGCTACTCAGGAGGCTGAGGCAGAAGAATCACTTGAACCCAGGAGGTGGAGGTTGCAGTGAGCCAAGATTGCAGCACTGCACTCCAGCCTGGGTGACAGAGCAAGACTCTGTCAGAAAGAAAGACAAAAGAGAAAGAGAGAAAGAGAGAAAGAAAGAAAGGAAGAAAGAAAGAGAGAGAAAGGAAGGAAGGAAGGTAGACTTTGTGTGTGTGTGTGTGTGTGTGTGTGTGTGTGTGTGAGACAGTCTTACTCTATAGCCCAGGCTGGAGTGCAGTGGTGCAATATTGGCTCATTGCAGCCTGTACCTCCCTGGGCTCAAGTGATCCTCCCACCTCAGCCTCTCAAGTAGCTGGGACCACAGGCTCATGCCACGATGCCTGGCTAATTTTTGTATTCTTTATAGGGATGGGGTTTTGCCATAATGCCAGGCTGGTCTCAAACTCCTGGGCTTAAGCAATCCACCCACCTCGGGCTCCCAAAGTGCTGGGATGACAGGTGTGTGCCACCATGCCTGGCTACACTTCTTAAAATGTGCCTCATTGGGTAGATATAACTTTGGGATCATGTAATTATTTAAATAATTTATCATTAAATTATGAAAAAGCAATCCTCAAAATCAAAAAATAAAAGGAAACAAATGAACATGTATATCCAGTTGGTGGCATAACACCAAAGAGGAACCACTTTAAGTGATTTAAAACACAGTAATTTACGGGCATTCCCAATGGGATATACTGTAAGGATAAAAAGAACTGTGAAAAAATAATTTTAAAAATCGTAAAATTATTTCAGAGTTTGTGATGTTGGTATCGGAGATTGATGTATAACTTGGGACAAAGCAAATGAGTAATTATATGATGTTCATTCTCTCATACCCAGAGTCACTGAGACCAGATTCTTGGCATGGGAGGAAGGAAATAAATGATAGAAGAGGTTAACTGAAAATCCTGTAGTCATGAATTTCAGTATGGAGTACCAATATGAACAAATGCAGTATTTTATCTTCAAAACAAAACCAAAAATATTTCCTAGTTCCGTTTGATAAGAAGTCCTAGAAATAACAACAAAAAAGGTAGCAATGAGCACTCTAGTGCCCCAATTGTGACCTTAAATACTATTCCCACTAAAAGAAACAAGACTCTTTAGAAAGAACTAATTCTAGGGGCCAGACAAATACATGACCTTAGAACATCTTGTCATATCAGACAACGAAGGGGCTACCACAGACCACAGGATCATGTCAAAAGGGCTCAGGTGCCAACCTAAAGAGAGCCCCACTGGCAAGAGATGAAACAATTCAAGCATAAATATGAATAATAATAGCAAGAGCTTGAAATATTTCCAATATGTTTACTTTATGAGTTTGCAAAGGCAGTACAGCAAAATATAGCCTAATTGATCACTGTTGCAGGATACTAATGAGCCAGCTTATTATTTTGAAAGCTGATAAAGAGAAAGAATCAAGCATTTATCCTGCCTTCCTATACAAACTATTCCACTGTGTAAACAAATTGTATTCAGCTAGAAAATGAAGAATGAGTGACAGAATTAGAATGTCACCATTCTGCAATCCCTAATGAATTAATGGACCTAGGCATTAACCGTCAATGGCTGCTAGTATCACAGAGAGACAATCACACCTATGGATGGAAGGACTATATAACCTATGAAGTGGTCTCGCTGAAAACTCAAACTTGAAGCTGACAAAGCTTCAAGATCTAACTACCAGGTCACAAGAACCTTAGGAGACAAAGGAACATGCTACACACTATGGGGGTGCAATTAGCAAAATCCACATGACAATGTCATGACATGACAATCTTCGACAATTAAATTGCAAGGGGAAAAAACAAAGAAAGGGTGAGAACAATTATGGATTAAGCCAGACTTAGGAGACACATCAACAATCACAATGTGTGGACATTAATTGCATCCTGAGTCAAACAAGTAAATCAGTTTTTTAAATTATGATCTTTGAGACAATTAGAAACTTGAACAGTGGCTTTAAAAAAAATTTTACCTCTCCCTCTCCCGCTCCCGCTCCCGCTCCCGCTCCCGCTCCCTCTCCCTCTCCCTCTCCAGGGTCTCCCTCTGATGCCGAGCCGAGGCTGGACTGTACTGCCGCCATCTCGGCTCACTGCAGCCTCCCTGCCTGATTCTCCTGCCTCAGCCTGCCCAGTGCCTGGGATTGCAGGCGCGCGCCGCCATGCCTGACTGGTTTTTGTATTTTTTGGTGGAGACAGGGTTTCGCCGTGTTGGCCGGGCTGGTCTCCAGCTCCTGACTGCGAGTGATCTGCCCGCCTCGGCCTCCCGAGGTGCCGGGATTGCAGACGGAGTGTCGCTCACTCAGTGCTCAATGTTGCCCAGGCTGGAGTGCAGTGGCGTGATCTCGGCTCGCTACAACCTCCACCTCCCAGCCGCCTGCCTTGGCTTCCCAAAGTGCCGAAATTGCAGCCTCTGCCCGGCCACCACCCCGTCTGGGAAGTGAGGAGCATCTCTGCCTGGCCGCCCATCGTCTGGGATGTGAGGAGCCCCTCTGCCTGGCCGCCCAGTCTGGGAAGTGAGGAGCGCTTCTTCCCGGCCACCATCCCGTCTAGGAAGTGAGGAGCATCTCTGCCTGGCAGCCCATCGTCTGGGATGTGAGGAGCCCCTCTGCCCGGCCGCCCAGTCTGGGAAGTGAGGAGCGCCTCTTCCCGGCCGCCATCCCGTCTAGGAAGTGAGGAGCGTCTCTGCCCGACCGCCCATCGTCTGAGATGTGAGAAGCGCCTCTGCCCGGCCGCGACCCCCTCTGGGAACTGAGGAGTGTCTCTGCCCGACCGCCACCCCGTCTGGGAGGTGAGGAGCGTCTCTGCCCAGCAGCCGCCCCGTCTGGGAAGTGAGGAGCGTCTCCACCCGGCAGCCACCCGGTCCAGAAGGTAGGGGGCAGCCCCCGCCCGGCCAGCTGCCCCGTCCGGGAGGGAGGTGGGAGGCAGCCCCCTCCCCACCAGCCGCCCCGTCTGGGAGGTGGGGGGCGCCTCTGCCCGGCCGCCCCATCTGGGAAGTGAGGAGCCTCTCTGCCCGGCCGCCACCCCGTCTGGGAGGTGTACCCAACAGCTCATTGAGAACGGGCCATGATGACGATGGCGGTTTTGTCGAATAGAAAAGAGGGAAATGTGGGGAAAAGAAAGAGAGATCAGATTGTTACTGTGTCTGTGTAGAAAGAAGTAGACATGGGAGACTCCATTTTGTTCTGTACTAAGAAAAACTCTTCTGCCTTGGAAAAAAAAAAAAGATTTTAATTTTTTTTCTTGAGACAGGGTCTGTCTCTGTCGCCCAGGCCAAAGTGCAATGGCGAGACCTCGGCTTACTGCAACCTCCACATCCCAGACTCAAGTGATCCTCCCAACTCAGCCTCCCGAGTAGCTGGGAACAGAGGTGCGCATCACCACTCCCGGCTAATTTTTTTTGTATTTTTGTTAGAGACAGGGTTTCATCATGTTGCCCAGGCTGGTGTCAAACTCCTGAGCTCAAGCAATCTGTCCACAGTGGCCTCCCAAAGTGCTGGGATTACAGGTGTGAGCCACGGTGGTGGCCTTTAGGAATTTTTATTAATGTTAATATGTGATAATGGCATTATGGTTATTTTACAACATGAGGCTTTTTTATCTCTCAAAAACATATACTAGGGCTGGGCGCAGTGGCTCACGCTTGTAATCCCAGCACTTTGGGAGGCCGAGGCGGGTGGATTGCTTGTGGTCAGGAGTTCGAGACCAGCCTGACCAACATAGTGAAACCCTGTCTCTACTAAAAGTACAAAAATTAGCCAGGCATGGTGGCAGGCACCTGTAATCTCAGCTACTCAGGAGGCTGAGGCAGGAGGCAGAGGTTGCAGTGAGCCAAGAGCGGCGCCATTGCACTCCAGCCTGGGTGACAGAGTGAGACTCCATCTCAAAAAAATAAATTTTATATATATATATATATATATATACTGAAATATTTATGAGTAAAATTATATGAAATCTGAAATTTGCTTCAAATGGGTAAAGAGTGAGAAATAAGATGAAATAAGATGGTTCATGAACTAATAATCATTGAAGCTGGAAGACCAGTACATGGCAGTTTATTGTACTTTTCTCTTTACTTTTATATACATTAGAAACTTCCCTTAATTTTTAAAAATCTATATTGCAGATTAAAAAACAGCTACAATTTATTGAACAATTAACATAAATCATCATTTTTTTATCTTCACAACACAGTAGTACCTACTGTGAGGTAGGTACTATTACCATAATCTCCATTTTAGAGGTAAGGAAACTGAGGCTTGGAGAGGTTAATTAATGTATCAAAGATCATGTAGCAAAAGACTCAAATCCACATACTAAGTAACCATTGTCTCATAAGTGGGTTTTCTGGAGACTGCATAATGATGCCAAGCCATGTGTCTAGGTTTGCATGAAATGAGAACAGAAGGTGTCCTTGGGGACAGCTGGCATCTGGGTTTCAGCCATTCAAAAACTTTGGCTGGGCATGGTGGCTCACGCCTGTAATCCCAGCACTTTGGGAGGCCGAGGCGGGCAGATCACCTGAGGTCAGGAGTTCGTGACCAGCCTGACCAACATGGTGAAACCCTATTTTTACTAAAAATACAAAAAATATTAGCCGGGCATGGTGGTGCATGCCTTAATCCCAGCTACTCGGGAGGCTGACACAGGAGAATTGCTTGAGGCCGGGAGGTAGAGGTTGCAGTGAGCCAAGATCGCGCCACTGCACTCCAGCCTGGGCAGTGGACAGAGCGAAACTCTGTCTCAAAACAATAAAAATTAAAAAAAACTCTCCAAAATACATAACAAAAATAATTGGGAAAACAATAGCATGTCCAAGCCATGCCAAGGAAAATGTATCACTACTTCTATTCATAGTAAAAAGCCTATTTCAACACTTTACCAAAAAAAGTATTACTGAGCCTTTCAAGGAATGAAAAAGCAGGCAATATACTTGGAGACAGGCAAAAAGACATATGGTCCTCAAGGGAATATGAGTTTGAATGGAAAAATTTGAACAATGGAGAACAGCTTGCCTCTTACTTCCCCTGATGTATGAAGTTTGGTCCATTTCCAATAGCAATCAGAAGCTTCTGGCAGTGGCCCAGCTGGCCTGCCTGTAAGACCATCTGGGAGAAAGGGAAGTGTCCACCACACACTGGTCAGGCTGACACCAGCACTGAACTGTTTGTTCATTTCTGCAGTACCTGCGGAGCTACTATATAAGGCTGGAGTAGTGACATCAACTTCAAATCATCCACGACTCCAAATAAATTAACTTGTCTGATCAAGATATTAAAGGGGACTTTTGGCCAGCCACCGTGGCTCACACCTGTAATCCCAGCATTTTGGAAGGCCGAGGCAGGAGGATTGCTTAAGCCCATGAATTGGAGACCAGCCTGGGCAACATAGCAAGACCTTGTCTCAATTATTAAAAAAAAAAAAAAAAAACTAAAAGGGTCATGCAACGTGGCTCATGCCTGTAATCCCAGCACTTTGGGAGGCCAAGGCAGAAGGATTACTTGAGCCCAAGAGTTCTGGATCAGCCCAGGCATATAGGCAGATCTCCTCTCTACAAAAATACAAAAACTAGGTGTGGTGGCACACACCTGTAGTCCCAGCTACTCAGGAAGCCGAGGTGGGAGGATGACTTGAGCCTGAGAGGTCTAGCCTGAGTGAGCCATGCAGGCCACTGCACTTCAGCCAGGGTGACACAGTTAGACCCTGTCTCCAAAAAAAAAAAAGAAAAGAAAAGAAAAATATAAATAAATAAAGGAGACTTTTCAGAAACGTAATGAATCAAGCTTAGAATAACTTATTACCAAGTTTTTAAAAAATTGGTCTGGAGTTCATCCCTGGTCTAATTAAGACCAATATTATCTTTTCTCCCGAATATAACTCAGGATAGCTATCTTCATTATTCTGCTTGCATCTAATGGCCGAGACATTAAGTCTCTGACTTTAATATATAGCTTTGAGGTTGAAAACTGTTATCTACCCAACACATTCTGTTGTGGGAGGAGATCACTTTTTATGTCATAAGAGATCAGACTAATTCTTTATTCTTTTCTTAGAAACAGAGATAAATATTCACAAGGATTCTTCAAACACCAGAGATAAAATACTGGATCATAAAAACATGATTTTTAAAAATTTTCTGCTAGATTCACAGGTGAAACAAGATGAATTTGAACCATATACAAACAGAGTTGTTTTACCACAAATTTACTGATTCTAAAGGCTTTTACGTAGTAATAAGAGGTAAGAAATTAAAAGAAAGAGTAGAGGCAGGCGTGGTGGTTTATGCCTGTAATCCCAGCACTTTGGGAGGCTGAGTCGGGAGGATTGCTTGAGGCCAGGAATTCGAGACCAGCCTGGGTAACATAGTCAGACTCCGTCTCTATAAAAAATTTAAAAATTAACCGGCTGTGGTGGTGTACACCTGTAGCCCTAGCTACTCAGAAGGCTGAGGCAGCAGGATCACTTGAGCCCAAGAGTTTGAGATCACAGTGAGCTTTGATCACACTACTGCACTCCAGCCTGAGCAACAGAATAAGACTCTGTCTGTTAAAAAAAAAAAAAAAAAGAGAGTAGAGAAAATGCAGAATCAATCACTATAATTAGAAAAATCTAAAATGTTATAGATTTCCTATTTTATCAATTTTTTCCACTGAAGAGAATATGTCAATATTTTGTATGCAATCGGAGAAATAATAGGTGCTCAGTTGTTGAAAAGACATAACTGCAAATCAAGCCCACCACCACACTCTCAGATTACTGATAATGTAGATGCTGTCATCCTCGTTTTCAGTTTTTGAAAGCACTTATTTATCATTCACTTACATAGAAGGGAAACTCTCTTCCCTTCTATAGGTCAAGCAATATAGATTATATGCATATTCATTCATTTAACAAATACAGCAGTAAGTTTGGCAAACTACTGTATTATACGCCAGGCACTGTGCTCAGAACTCGAAATACAACTCTGAATAAAACAGACATGGTCCCTGCCTATATGAAGCTTTGGGAGGGACAAATAACTAAACAGATCATTACAATAGAGAGTAAGAAGATATTAGGAATTAATGTAATCTCAACTATGGTGACTACTAGGAAGGGGAATATAGTGTGCTATGAGAGAATATAAGTGGAGTCTAAATTTGAATGTTTATCATACCAGAAACCTCAATGAAATACTTAATGTTGTTAGAATATCCATATGAACCCTCAAATTTCCCAAACATTCTTCCAAATAGGTAGTCATGTGATTAGTTTGGGCCAATGGGCTGGGTGGAGAAGTGTATCATTTCTAGGAGGAAGCATTTTTTTGTTCTTTTTTTTTTTTTTTTTTGAGACAGAGTCTCACTCTGTCACCCAGGCTGGACTGCAGTGGTGCGATCTTGGCTCACTGCAACCTCTGCCTCCTGGGTTCAAGTGATTCTCCTGCCTCAGCATCCCAAGTAGCTGGGACTACAGGTACACACCACTATGCCCAGCTAATTTTTGTATTTTTCTGTAGAGACAGAGTTTCACCATGTTGGCCAGGCTGGTCTCGAACTCCTGACCTGAAGTGATCCACCTGCCTCCGCCTCCCAAAATGCTGGGATTACATGTGTGAGCCACTGCACCTGGCCAAGGAGGAAGCATTTAAGAGACAGAGCTACTCTCTAGCTCTTTCCGCTTCAGCCACTACAGTCATGGAGGCCACGTATTCGGATGAAGTTTCAAAAGATGGAGACAGCCTAGATTGCTAGGTCACAACAAGGACAGGTACCCTGGAAAGTTGCTGACATTCATCGAATGTCCTGTGAGCAAGAGATGAACTTTGTTGTGCTAAACCACTGAGATTTAGAAGTTATTACCATGACATGGCCTATTCTTCCTTGTCCATACTCTCAAAGGAGTCACATTCACTCTTATGACATCTCTCCATTTTGCCAATGGAGAAATGAAGACAGAAACATTTAGTGAGTTGCCTAAAATTAGTCAGTACTGAAATAGAATATCCTGCCTTCCACGTGAGAGCTCTAGTCAAAAGATCAGTATTTTTCAAAACCAGATTGAGACATACTAACTTTAAAATCAATTTAAGTCACAATTAGGAATTTTTATTTTATTTATTTATGTTTGTTATTCAGTAGGGGTTTTGTGGATATTTTTATTATTATTTTAGGTTCGGGGGTACATGTGCAGGTTTGTTACTTGGTTGTATTATGTAATGCTGAGGCTTGGGCTTCTAGTGAACTCATCACTTGAATAGCAAACACAGTACCCAATAGGTCATTTTTCAGCCTTATACCTCCTCCCTTCCTCCCCCATTTTGGAGTCCCCAGTGTCTATTATTTCCATCTTTGTGCCCATGTGTACCTATCATTTAGCTTCCACTTACAAGGGAGAATGAGTAGTTCTTAATTGTTTATTTCTGAGTTAATTCACTTAGGATAATAACCTCCAGCTCTACCCATGTTGATGTAAGCAACATGATTTCATTCTTTTTTATGGCTGCATAGTATTCCATGGTATATGTGTGCCACATTTTCTTTATCCAAACAACTGTTGATGGGCACTTAGGTTGATTTCATGACTTTGCTATTATGAATAGTGCTGTGATAAACATACAAGTGCAGGTATCTTTTTGATGAAATAATTTATTTTCCTTTGGGTAGATACCCAGTAGTGGGATTGCTGGGTTAAACGGTAGTTCTATTTTTAGTTCTTTGAGAAATCTCCATACTGTTTTCCACAGTGGTTGAACTAACTTACATTCCCACCGACAGTGTGTAACCATTCCCTTTTCTCTGAATCCTCACTAACATCTGTGATTTTTTACTTTTTAACCATAGCCATTCATGTCGGGCGCAGTGGCTCATGCCTGTAATCCCGGCACTTTGGGAGACCGAGGCAGGTGAATCACTTGAGTTCAGGAGTTCGAAACCAGCCTGGCCAACATGGTGAAACTCGTTCTCTACTAAAAATACAAAAATTAGGTGGGCATGGTGGCACACACCTGTAATCCCAGCTACTGCAGAAGCTGAGGCAGGAGAATAACTTGAACCCAGGAGGTGGAGGTTGCAGTGAGCCAAGACTGTGGAGGTTCAGTGAGCCAAGACTGTGCCGCTGCACTCCAGCCTGGGTGACAGAGTGAGACTGTGTCTCAAAACAACAACAACAACAAAAACCATAGCCATTCTGTCTGGTATGAGATGGTATCTCATTTTGGTTTTAATTTGCATCCCTTTGATGATTAGTGATATTGAGGATTTTTTCATGTGTTTGTTGGCTGCTTGTATGCCTTCTTTTAAGGAATGTCTGTTCATGTCCTTTGCCCACTTTTTAATAGAGTTATTTGTTTTTTTCTTGTTGATTTGTTTAAGTTCACCATCAGGAGTTTTTAAAAGATAAATTAGGACACACTAACCTAGGGTAAAAAATACCAGAGTGCATTCCATTAAGTGTTTTGTTTTAGGAAACTTTTGTTAAAAACATATATACATACAAACATATTTATTACATTATACATACATACACATATGTATGCATCAGAGACTTGTCATGTAAAATGTATTTCTTACCGTGTCATAGACAAATAGTTTGAAAAATATTACATTAGACTGCACAATAATTGTTTAAGGAGAGGCATTTAGATAAAGCAATATAAGAATATTAATGAAGTGGCCGGGCGCGGTGGCTCACGCCTGTAATCCCAGCACTTTGGGAGGCCGAGGCGGGTGGATCATGAGGTCAGGAGATCGAGACCATCCTGGCTAACAAGGTGAAACCCCGTCTCTACTAAAAATACAAAAAATTAGCCGGGCGCGGTGGCGGGCGCCTGTAGTCCCAGCTACTCGGGAGGCTGAGGCAGGAGAATGGCGTGAACCCGGGAAGCAGAGCTTGCAGTGAGCCGAGATTGTGCCACTGCAGTCCGCAGTCCGGCCTGGGCGACAGAGCGAGACTCCGTCTCAAAAAAAAAAAAATAAATAAATAAATAAATAAATAAAGTTAAATGTTTAAAATTAAAGTTAAATGTCTCATAATTAATTTAAAATGTAAGAAAATGTTAAGTGGCCAGGCATGGTGGCTCACGCCTGTAATCCCAGCACTTTGGGAGGCCAAGGCAAGTGAATTGCCTGAGCTCAGGAGTTCGAGACCAGCCTGAGCAACATGGCAAAACCCTGTCTTTATTATTTTTTAAAAGTAAATATATATGTATATATATTTATTTATAAGAAAACATTAAATGAATCATTGGCAGCAGGAAAACTAAAGTTAGGATTTGGATTCACTAATTTATCCATCCATTCATCCAAAAAAAATTTATTGAGCACCTGCCAGGTGCCAAATACTGAGCGAGGGTCTGAGAAAATGGCTATGTATAAAACAGAAATGTTTTCTGCCCTTATGGAGCTTATATTCTAAGCAAGGAAGACAAACATTAGATTTTTTTAAATACACATTTAGTTATTGAGCTATGATTGCAGTGAGTGCTAAGGAAGAAAAGAAGACCACGAATGCAGCAGTGTGCTAGTAAATGATTAACAACCTGAGCTCCAAGAAAAAAACTTTTTGTATATCTAGATACATGTGTTTGTTATAAATTTTACTGACATAAAGGATATATAGCACACAATTTTAAAATAACAATAAAACATACAATACTCTATTTTAAATTCAATGCACACAATTGATTCTCATGGAATGTTTTCACAGATTTTTTATGAATTCTTTTATCTGTAGCCAATATATGGTTGCAACTAAGGAAAGATTTAGTTCTAACATAAGTGTTGGTGGATATTTTCATTTATGTTAAAGAGTAAGATGAAAGTGAAACAATACTTCTGTCAGAACTTGACTCAATTGTCAATTAAGTGAGTGACTTTGCAGAATCAGATTAATAGCTTCAAATACTTGAAGGATATTTTCTCAATTTCTCAATCTTTGTGCTAGTCATAAAGGAACTGTTTTAGGCATGAAACACTTTTAGTTTAATCTGCATTACTAACATTTTCTCTATCAGTTGTTTAAGTATAAACAACCAGTAAAACAACAAATCAGATTCCTGCGGCATTTGCAGATTTCCCTGGAGGAAATGTCCATGAGAATACGGTAGCTGATTTCAGCCTCCAAGGTGGCATCACAGGACATGGGAACACAGGGTTTGGAAGAGCTTTCTTTGCGGTAGCACATCATTACATAATGTTTCCATCATACAGATGGAATAAATACAAATAACCTCAAGATCTCAAATAATAGTAACACGTTGTAAAATAATTGGGGAGTGAAGAACTTTGAGTATTTATCTTTGTTTTGAATATAACTTATTTGATTGTAAGGTGTATATAATTTATTTATTATTTATTTATTTATTTGTGGAGACAGGGGGTCTCACTCTGCTGCCCAGGCTGGAGTGCAGTAGTATGCTCTTGGCTCACTGCAGCCTCAACTTCCCAGGTTCAAGTGATCCTCCTACCTCAGCCTCCTGAGTAGCTGGGACCACAGGTGTGCACCACCACACCCAGCTAATTTTTTTGTAAAGACAGAGTTTCGCCATGTTGCCCAAACTGGGAAGGTGTATATAATTTAATTCTTAATTATGGCTGTGTTTGACAACTGCCCCACAAAATTCTTGAAATTTTAACAATAGGTTCTTAAGAACACACCCTGCCTAAACCCCACAAGATTTGAGAAAGAGTAAACTGAAAATGGGGGAGGATCTTTAGGGAGAAGTGCTGCTCTTATGTGTCCTAGGACAGGGAGGGCTGGATATCATGGAAGACATTGGTACAGTAGGACCCAAGCCCACCGATGCCAAGTGTGGCTCCCAGAAATTATTCTCCATCAATAGCAGTAGCCGAGTGAGCTTCTCTCTGGCTTCTCCTCCACAGTAGAGCCAGAGCAAAGACTATGTAGGCAAACAACAAAATATTTTTCTTTTCTTTTTTCTTTTTTTTTTTTTTAACCAGAAGCCCAAACCTCACCAGAACAATGAAATATTTCTAAAATCATTCCTGGCCAGCCGCAGTGGCTCATGCCTGTAGTACCAACACTTTGGGAGGCCGAGCTGCTTGAGCCCAGGAGTTTGAGAGCAGTCTGGGAACATGGTGAAATCCCATCTCTACAAAAAATGAAAAAATTAGTCAGGCATGATGGCATGCCTGTAGTCATAGCTACCCGGGAGGCTGAGGCAAGAGGATCACCTGAGCCTGGGAGGTCGAAGCTGCAGTAAGCCATGATCATGCCACTGCACTCCAGTCCAGGTGACAGAGAGAGACCTTGTCTCAAAAATAAATAAATAGATGCATAAATAAAATCATTCCTCTTTAGCCCCTTCTCATTATCTATTCTCCTTAAAATGGCTGTTGGGTTTTTTAATATGGGGTATATTTCAGATTTTACTTCTCTTACCTCCAACATCTGTCTACCAGCTTGTTGAAATCCCTTTAATGGCACATAAAATATTTTATTCCAAAGTTTAATTTAGGCTGGGTGGGGGGCATGGTGGCTCACGCCTGTAATCCCAGCACTTTGGGGGGCTGAGGCAGGAGGGTCACCTGAACCCAAGAGTTTGAGACCAGCCTGGGCTATAGAGTGAGACCATATCTCTACAGAAAATAAAAACACTAGCCAGGCATGGTGGCAACACACCTGTGGTCCCAGCTACTCAGGAGGTTGAACAGGGAGGATCGCTTGAGGCCAGGAAGTCAAGGCTGCAGTGAGCTATGATCATGCCACTGCACTCCAGCCTGGGCAACAGGGCAAGACCCTGTCTCAAAAAATAAATAAGTAAATAAATAAATAGGCTGGGCACGGTGGCTCACACCTGTAATCCCAGCACTTTGGGAGGCCAAGGCAGGTGGATCACTTAAGGTCAGAAGTTGGAGACCAACCTGGCCAACATGGCAAAATCCCATCTCTAGTAAAAATACAAAAATGCATGTGCCAGGTGTGGTGACTACTCAGGGAGGCTGAAGGACGAGAATCGCTTGAACCTGGGAGGCAGAGGTTGCAGTAAGCCAAGATCGCACCACTACACTCCAACCTGGGCAACAGAGTGAGACCCTATCTCAAAATAATTAATTAATTAATTAAAATAAAATTGAATTTAAAAGACTAAAAGTGTGTTTTTAAGTAACACAGTTATGCAAATAGTCCATACTAAGGGATGGGTCCATCAATAAATAGTGACGCATGAGATCCTTTCCTGTTTGATAGCCTGATGAGAATACTGGGAAATACAAAGACTACTGAGTGGGGTAGGAAGCCAACTCAGAGAGCTAAAGTTGCCACTGTTTATCAACTTACTTGGACCAAATTGAAGATGTTAATGGGGATACTTTTAAATATCATGGCTTGTGGCCAGGCTAAATGGCTCACACCTGTAATCCCAACACTTTGGGAGTCCAAGGCGGGTGGATCACCTGAGGTCAGGAGTTCAAGAACAGCCTGGCCGACATGGTGAAACCCCACCTCTACTAAAAATACAAAAAATAGCTGGGCGTGGTGACATGCACCTATAGTCCCAGCTACTTGGGAGGCTGAGGCAGGAGAATCACTTGAGCCCAGGAGGCGGAGGTTGCAGTGAGCCAAGATCGCTCCACTGCACTCCAGCCTGGGCAACAGAGTGAGGCTCATCTCAATCAATCAATCAATCAATCAATCAATATCATGGCTTGAGACAACACAGCAACATCTCCATAACCCAAGCCTTTGTGTTTTAACATAATCCAGCAAAATAAAGGAGTCTCCTTCTCAGCTGGCAGTAGTAGCTTATGCCTGTAGTCCCAGCTACTCGGGAAGCTGAGGATGAGGATAAGTTGAGCCCAGGAGTTCAAGGCTGCAGTGATCTATGATCATGTCACTGCATTTCATCCTGGAAGAAAGAGTGAGACCCATCTCGAAAAAAAACTAGTCCGTGAATCACTAAAAGGATTCCCTGCAGTAGTTAAGACAAACTTGCATCTCACTAAAAAATTATATGTAATGTTTAAATTACTTTTTAAAACATTACATTGTAATTATTTGTATATATGTTTGCTTCCCCCCAAGAGAAGTAAACTTCTCTTCTAAATTGTGTCTTGGGCTGGGCACGGTGGCTCACGCCTGTAATCCCAGCAGTTGGGGAGGCCAAGGCGGGCAGATCACCTGAGGTCAGGAATTCAAGACCAGCCTGGCCAAAATGGTGAAACCTCATCTCTACTAAAAATACAGAAAATTAGCTGGGCATGGTGGCGGGCGCCTGTAATCCCAGTTACTCTGGAGGCTGAGGCAGGAGAATCCCGGGAGGTGGAGGTTGCAGTGAGCCAAGATCACGCCATTGCACTCCAGCCTGGGCAATAAGAGGAAAACTCTGTCTCAAAATAAATAAATAATAAATTGTGTCTCCCAAAAATTTATATGTTGAAGCCCTAATCAACCCCTAATATGTATGGTTGTATTTGGAGTAAAGAAATAATTGAGGTTAAATGAGATCATAAGAGTGGGGCCCTAATTTGATAGGAGAAACCAGAGGGCTCGCTCAATCTCTCTCCACCATGCGAGAAAATTGAGAAGGCAACTCTCTGCAAGCCAGGAAGACAGCCCACCCCAGGACCCAAATCAGCCAACACCCTGATCTGGACTTCTCAGGCCCCAGAACTGTGAGAAATAGGTTTCTATTGTTTAAGCCCCCCAGTCTATGGTATTTTGTCACAGCAGCTGAGGCTGACTAATCCAGAGGGATTCTATGCTATGTATGTTTCTAGATGTGACACATAGAAGCACCTGGCACAGAGAAGGGACTCACAAAGAGGACCTTGAAATAAGTGAGGAAATGTACATTGTGTCTGTCCTTCATGTTTAAGATCCTCAGACCCTCAGTCCAGCTTGATTCCCTTCTGTCCATAGCACCAGGAAAAATTATCCTTTTCCACTGTTCACAGGAATCTATCTCACCTAGCAAATAACTCAGGACAAATGTTTAAGAGGCCTTCTGTCCTCACTTATTCATTAATCTCCCCGTCAGCCAGATTCACTGTTTCTTGATCCATACCTTCTCTAACACAGCTATATCCCATCCAGCGGTGTGCTGGTAAATGTTTAACAACCAGCTCTTAGGGCAGTGGCGTGGGAGAGAGACCCGATTGGTAGGTAGCACTTGCCAGTTTCAGTGGCATAGATACACTTTCATGAGGGCTGATTTCAAGCTACTAGTGTGACTTCATTAAATGCATATTTGAGAAGAGATGAACACAATAGACTCTCAAAACCCTACTTTAGCTCACCGTTGATTTTCATCTTATCAATAGACAGTGGTTACCAGCATGACCTTGAAGTTGGACAAAGCTGAAATCTAGTCCCAACTCTACTACTGTGTGATGCTGGGCAACTTGTTTAAAGTCTCCAAGCTTCCATTTCCTTATTCATAAACTGGAGATGATAATAGCAACCTTAGTTCATAAGTATTAAATGAGAGAAGGCATATCAAGTGCTTACCACAGTGGCTAGCACATAGTAGGTGCTTTAGAAATATTAGCTACTTCATGTTTAGAAGGCAGATTTTAAAAATAGAGATATTAACTACTATCATCATTATCATCATCATCATCATCATCATCATCTTTATTAACCCCTACCCTCTGAGGTCACCATTCAGCGCTTACTCAGATCCATAGATATCAGCTGCTCATCTGCATGGCTTGGTAGGGGTCACAGGCATCCATACTTCATCTAGTTTATTGTATAAATATTTGCATAAACATTAGCACCCAAAAATCCTGTTATATTTTTGTTACTGAACTTTAAACTAGTAGGACATATGTCTGTAATATTTGCCACTGACCATGAATGAGACTAATTTACTTCCATAACAGGAAGAGAGAAACAGAGCCTGCCATTTGTTAAGTACCTACTTTGTGGCCCACAGGGCCTTGTGCTAGAGATTCTCCCTGTTATCTCAGGTAATCCTCACAACAACCAGGAGATATTAAATCTTCGTCTCATTTATATGGATGAGAAAACTAAAGCTCAAAGAAATTAAGTCACTTGCCTGAGGTCACACAGCTAGTGATACAAACCCAGGACTCTTCTGGCTGATCCCAAAGCCACCCTTGGCAGTGTGCCATGGCACTAACCTCATCAAGAATGCCCAAGTGGTGAGATGACAGGCTAAAGCAATTTAAGAATGCGCTGGCTGCCTGCCACACTGGCCTGTAGAGAAGGTCTTGGACAATTAAGTTCAGATTAAATTGAAGCATTTTTGACAATTATTCTGGTTAGGTTTGAGTTAGCCTGCATGTAACAGAAATTCAATTACAGTGTCTTAAGGAAAGATTTTTCCTATGTAACAAGAAGTCCAGAAGGAGGCTCCTTTCACTTTCTGATCATCCATTTTTTGTGTGTGGCTTTCTTCTTCATGGTCATAGAGAGCTACCCCATCTCCAGGTATTACATTGATGTTCCCGGCAGAAAGAAGGAAAAAGACACCTATTTCTAAATATGCTTTTTTTTCATAAGGGAAATCATCAATCTCCCAGAATTCTCATCTTGTGGATTTTGCTTATATCTCATGGGCTGGAACTAGGTCACAAAGCTGCTCCTAGTTGCAGGGGACCCAGGGAATTATGTCTCCTTAACTGGACATTCTAATTCTCTAAGCACAATTGGAACTCTGTCACAAAGGGAAATGGAGACCACATACAGGAAAAGCAAGCAACAGGGCCTACCCTTGCGTAGATACTCAGAAAAGCCTGGAGTTTTTCAGGGTTCAAAGGAGCATAGAATCATAGGATGAAAATGGAACTTTGTGATTATTGGTCTAGTCCAATTTCTTGCCTAATGAAGGAATTACTTCTTCAACTTCTCTAACAATGATCACCCAGCTTCTGCTGAATACAGATAAAGTAGCAATGTCTGGATGCTTGACTATTATATGCAGGAGAATAGGATTTAGGGACAAAGTGTTAGAGTCACATTTTTCTGTTGTGTCAGTGGAGGCAAGTCGATACATTTTGTCATGTGTCTCCTATGCATCTTTCAGATTTTTATCCTTACTCAATTCATTGCTAAAAAAAAAATTCCAAAATTTTTTTAATTGTTTGTTCCATAAAACTATATTATTAATACTAACATTGATGTGTTTTTGGTTTTTTTTTTCTGAGACAGGGCCTTGCTCTGTCACTCAGGCTGAAGTGCAGTGGTGCAATCACAGCTCACTGCAGCCTTCACCTCCCAGGCTCAAGCAATCCTTCCACATCAGCCTCCCCTGTAGCTGGGACTACAGGCATGTGCCACCACACCCAACTAATTTTCTTAATTTTTTGGAGATGGGGTCTCACTGTGTTGCCCAGGCTACTCTCAAACTCCTGGGCTCAAGCAATCCTCTCACCTCGGCCTCTCAAAGTGCTGGGATTATAGGTGTGAGCCACTGCACCAGGCTTATTATTGTTATTTTTAAATGAATCAATAAAAATATTTTTTAAAATTTCTCAGATTTAATTTCTATTGTAATAAATATCAATAGTTATAACCCATGTAAATAAAAGCTCTTTAGGATTCTCAACAATTTTTTAGGGTAATGGGGTCCTGATGCCTAAAATTTTGAGAACCACTAATCTAATTCAGAATCCAAAGGGGGATTTTGAGAACTAGTAATGCTGGCCTAAGACAGTAAATCTGCTCATTGGATAAGTGACTCTATAACATTAAAATAATAATAAGGATGGTGAAGGCCAGGAGCGGTGGCTCACACCTCTAATCTCAGCACTTTGGGAGGCTGAGGCAGTGGATCACTTGAGGTCAGGAGTTCGAGACCAGCCTGGCCAACATGGTGAAACCCCATCTCTACTATATAAAAATACAAGAATTAGCTAGGATTGGTGACAGCCACCTGTAATCCCAGCTACTTGGGAGGCTGAGGTGGGAGAATCATTTGAACCGGGAGGCAGAGGCTATAGTGAGCCGAGGCTGCAGTCGCGCCACTGCAAGCCTGGGCGACAGCACGAGACTCCATCTAAAAAAAAAGGAAAAAAAAGAATAAGAATGGTGAAAGGATGGTGAAGTAACCAAACCCATGCATTAATTTTGTGCTTAGTAATAAGTTTTATAAACATCAAGAATATCCTCATGAGTTTGCAATTGAAGGTGTTTGGAATTGCTCAAGAGAAACTGACACATTATAGAAACTAACATCATCCTATGATTACTGAAATTTTCCCTTTTTTAACTTATTGCAGAATATGTAACAGAATTTGGTTACATTTATAGACAGTACTTAAATATTTAATATATACTACATTTAGAAATCTATATATTAATTTAAATGCGTTTAGATTCACAAGAGCTGTTTAAATGCTTACAAAGATTTTGCTTGCTTCAAACCTAACATTTGCACTATTTGAGATACCAGCTATATAGTATTTTATCAATTCTAGATGCACATTTCTTCCTCATTTTAGCAAATGTGCAAAATGGATCTGGATATGTCTTACAATCAATATAAGATTGCATTGGTGGCATTTTCCCTTTCTGGTAGTACATAAAATAATGGTGCATCTTACAACTAATGGCAGTTTAGATTTGATGCTGTAGTATGAAACTCGTAAAAGTAGTTTAAAATGTTTAAGAAAACTCAATAAACTACTTTTATTTAGGGAACTTTAATCTGTTAAATTTATAAATTAATGAAACATGGATTTTTTAATGAAAGCAATTTTTCTTAATTTTTACAAAAATGTATAACATTTATTAATAAAATAACAAGTTGCAAATTTGACTAAGAGGCATAAGAAAAACAAAATTCTCCAATTTATAATTCTAATTAGTTGGACATTTATTAAATGTAAGCAAATATAGGCAGCCCTTTCCACGCATAATTTCACCCTCAGATAAAAACTCAAAAGATGTCATAGAATGGCATGCAGAATAGGGGTAACAATCTCCATTGAGAGTTCTTAGTACCAATGGGTTAAGAAACATTATTGGCCGAGTGCCATGGCTCATGCCTGTAATCCCAGCACTTCGGGAAGCTGAGGTGGGTGGATCACTTGAGGTCAGGAGTTCGAGCCCAGCCTGGCCAACATGGTGAAACCTCATCTCTACTAAAAATACAAAAATTAGCTGGGTGTGGTGGTGCACACTTGTAATCCCAGCTACTAGGGAGGCTGAGGTGGGAGGATCGCTTCAACCCAGGAGGTAGAGGTTGCAGTGAGCTGAGATCATGCCACTATACTCCAGCCTGGGCGACAGAGTGAGAATCCATCTCAAAAATAATAATAATAATAATAATAATAATAATAATAAATTAGCTGTGTGTGGTAAGGCACACCTGTAATCCCAGCTACTCAGGGGGCTGAGGCAGAAGGATCATTTAAGCCCAGAAGTTCAAGTGAACTATGATTGTGCCACTGCACTCCAGTCTGGGCAACAGAGCAAGCCCCTGTCTCTAAAAAAAAAAAAAAAAAAAAAAAATATATATATATATATATATATATTTGTCTGTATATGCCTGAATGCCTTAAATATTTTAGTAGCAAACAATTTACCTTTCTCAATGATAAATTTTGAAGTTAATCAATAGGTTAATTATGATTGGCCTTACACAAATTTTTAAACTTTTTTTCCATAACAAAAATGTTATATACAAGGAGTCCAACTGTCCTGGATAATATGTGGTGAGTTTAGAAAGGTTATCCTAGGAGAACACTCATTGTAAGCACTACAAAGACAGAATAAAATCACCTTACTGAGGAAATTCTCTGACTGTAATGATATTACCTGTGAAAGCAAGAAGCAAGCCAATGAGAACACCTTGGTGTGAGCCCCTTGGCTTACCCATAGTTAATAATATTACTGGGGCCAGGTGCAGTGGCTCACACCTGTAATCCCAGCACTTTGTGAGGCTGAGGTGGGTGGATTGCTTGAGGTCAGGAGTTGGAGACCAGCCTGATCAACATGGTGAAATCCTGTCTCTACTAAAAATACAAAATTAGCCAGGCGTGGTGGTGCATGCCTGTAATCCCAGCTACTTGGGAGGCTGAGGCAGGAGAATCACTTGAACCCAGGAGATGGAGGTTGCAGTGAGCCAAGATCGCGCCATTGCACTCCAGCCTGGGCAACAAGAGCCAAACTCTGTCTCAAAAATAATAATAATAATAATATTACCTGCCATTCAGGTAATCAAGCTTGAATCCTTCTCTGTTCTCATATCCAATCAACAACCAAACTTTGGTTCTTTCTTTCACAGAGCTCATCTCTACCCTTCCTATCCCATTCTCACAGCCACCATCACACAATCCAGCCTTTATTCCTTCCCACGAAATGCCTTCTAATTATGGAAACATTTAAAAATTCAAAATCTAAGTGTGACAGGCATCTCTCTCTTGATTATTACAAAATTTAATTTAAATAAAAGGTTTGTTTTGCTTTTTTAAGGCGGTATCTATTTTGTCTTCAGCAGCTCCCTAAAGAACTAATACAGTACCTTTATGTGGAAATACTATCTTAAGAGAGTTCTGCAGTTCTCTTTGCAATGCCCAATCTTTGGTCTCCTGCTGGAATACCAGTCCTTCCAATGTCCATCCGCTGTCCCTTCTAAAGCGTCAGAGCAGACTCAGGCTGCCCTCGCAGTTGCTCTCAGAATGACCAGCTCAGCCTCTCCAGCCAGGGTCAGAACACCCGAACAAGACCTGCACAGCCAATCAGCTGTTTCTTCTGGCTCCCTTTCAGTCCCAATCCTTAGTCTGTTTAAAGGACTGAAAGTTAAATTTGAGCCAAAGAAATAGCTAGAAGGTGACAACAGCTAAGTCCCCAAGGCTTTAAATAGAGTAAGACGTGTAAGGAGAAGCCTCCCCGGAGGCACCTACCCAATGAAAGGGATCTCTCAGGAAAATCACTCTCTGTGCATCACTCATGCGTGCACTGGAGTCAAAGGCCAGGGCACAGCCAATTTAAGAAAAGGATGGAGGCAGCAGTGTCTGGCTTTGCTAGGAGACAGATTACTGTCATTATAATGCACGAGAAACATTCCATTTGTTAAGCCAGAGAAAAAGATATTTCACACAAAAAATAAGAGGAATGTATCTATTGGTCAATTATTTCATCTTACTCCAAGAATTACTGAATTTCAGATAAATGATTCTTCATCATAGAAGATATTAGTTGCCAAAGAGTCCTCTAAAGACAAGGCCGGGCAGGCCCTTCAATGTGTGAAATACAAATGTATAAAATGAAGTTAACAGGCAAGTGCACTCCCACCTAAAGACATTCAGATTTTAAGATATTTGAAAACATTGATCTGGTCATACAAAACCAAAACACAGCTGTATGCAAATCTGGCACACAGATGCTGGCTCTCCTCTCTGGCTCTCAGGTTAAGCAAAGAGATTATTAAAATAATCAAAGATCCGGAAATGTTTTTATTTTTTTCTTAACTACATGGTTTAATTTTAGACAGCATGGGTTGACTCCCTGCTATGAAAGATGAAGTGATTACACTCTTAACAATTTCTCCTACCTACATTTTCCTCCATTTCTCTTCTCATTAATTATAATATATTTTACTTTGCCAGGTTATAAGCCATCACATCATGTTCTGTAATTATGATACCCCTAGTTACTTAGTTTTTGTTCTATTTTTAAAAGCGTCTAATGCTCATTTCCAGTTCTTTTACCACTCCTACATTCTTGATTTTGATTCATTTCTTTGGCTGGATTTCAATGTCCAATGGTTTTGTTCATGAAAGGCTTACTTCTATATCTTTTACACACTAGATTCTAAGTACTACTTTCCCTCTGTCTTTTCATATTTGAGAAAGCTTGCTTGTTGACTTTATAACTGAACAGTTTTGTTGGACTACACTTTTTTTAAACAGGCTTAATTCGCTTTATTTTACTTGTATAAAAACCTTATGTTGTAGCCACAGCTGGAGCCTGGGTCCTCTGCACGTAGACTCTGGCGTGGGTCTTGACAAGGTGGTCAGTGAATTCCTGATAGGGAGACTTGGTGAATACAGTCTCCTTCCAGAGGTCGGGGGTCAGGTAGCTGTAGGTCTTGGAGATGGCATCAAAGGTGGCCTTGGCGAAGTTGCCCAGGGTGGCATTGCAGCTCCCAGCTGAGGTGTGGCAGTCATGGATACCGGCCATCATCAGCAGCTTCTTAGCTACTGGGGTCGAGGCGATGCCAGCGCCCCGGGTGCAGGGATGAGGTGCACCAGCACAGAGCCGCAGCGGCCTGTCACCTTGCAAGGGACCGTGTGGGGCTTGCCGAACTTGTTTCCCCAGTAGCCTCTGCGCACGGGGACAGTGGAGACGTTGGCCAGGATCATGGCCCCTCGGATGGCAGTGGCTACCTCCTCGGAGCACTTAACACCCAGACCGACGTGGCCACTGTAGTCCCCTGTGGCCACCAACGCCTTGAACCTGGTGCACTGGCCAGCACGGGTCTGCTTCTGCACCAGCATAATCTTCAAAACCTCATGCTTGAGAGAGGCCCCCAGGAAAAAGTCAATCATCTCAGACTCCTCCATGGGCAGGGAGAAGAGATAGATCTCCTCCAGGGACTTGATCTTCATGTCTTTGACCAGGCTGGCACGGCTTGGTGATGGGCATCCATTCTTTGTCCTTGGCCTTGCCTCCACTAGCTCTGCGGCCTCAGACACTTCCGCCCCCGCTCATGGCAGCAACCCCGGCCGGGGATGCCACTGCCGCAGCCTCCGCAGAAGACTCCGCGGTTCCCCATCCCAGGGCCCCTTCCTCTCTCGGCTGTCCCAGCGCCATCTACCATTCGGTGTTTTCTCGGAGAAGAAGTGGGCTACACATTTTTGTCCTCAGAAGTTAGTGGATATTGCTCCATTCCCTTCTGTACCACAAGATTTTTCATTAGATTTTTTCATTCGGTTTAGAGGCAGAAGATTTAATCTGACTTTATTTTGCCACTTGCATTCAGAGATTTCTTTGCTTTTTATATTGTCAAACTTTATATACTTATATAAAGTAAGGATGTAAAATACCTAGAGAACTATTACCAATACGTAACTTTTTTAAAAGCAAAAAATCTCCATCCCGCTTATTGCTCTGAAATAAACGTTCCTCAGAACTGCTACTGTATGTTAGTTAAAGAGCCAGCATAGACCTCAGCCCCCAAACTCCAGACCCTGACAGACCTGTATTGGAGATCCCAACTCTGCCACTCACTAGTTGTGGGATACCTGAGCAAGTTACCTAATGCTTAGTTACTTTTAATGGCAAAACACAATTACTTTTGCACCAACCTAATATTAAAAAGGGGATGATAATAATACCTACCTCATCAGTTGTGAGGATTAAATGAAATAATGCACACTAAATGCTTGCCACAGTGCCTGGCATGGAACCCACCTATTTTCTAGGTTTTGCATGCTGCTTCCCCTCTCCGTGACGCAGGCCATGGAAAAGAAATTTTTTGAATTAAAGGAAATTTAAAGGTTATCTTATCCAAGCCTCTCACATCACAAAAGAAGAATTAAGATCATGAGAAATTGCATCAGATATATTATACCTACTCCTCAATACCCTGACACTGGAATTAGATTCTTGATCAATGGGCATGAACATTCTGATCCTTGTGAAGGGGCATTTCTCACTGTAAATTATTAACTAGGTATCCAATTTATTAAAAACACAACAAAATCATTTCAACAGGACCTGTGACAACAACCTGAGACCTCTGAATCTAGGTCCGGTGTACTTTCCACTAATTGACAGCTTCACTTACATTATTAAAGGAACTATCTTCAATCCCATGAAGGATTACAAAAATATTTATATAAAGAAGTGTAAAATTTTAAAAATAAAGAAATAGGCCGGGCACAGTGGCTCACGCCTGTAATCTCAGCACTTTGGGAGGCCAAGGCAGGCGGATCACTTGAGGTCAGGAGTTTGAGACCAGCCTGGCCAACATGGTGAAACTCCATCTCTACTAAAAATACAAAAAGTAGCCAGGCATGGTAGCGTGTGCCTGTAGTCCCAGCTACTCAGGAGGCTGAGGCAAGAGAATCGTTTAAACCTGGGAGACAGAGGTTGCAGTGAGACGAGATCGTGCCACTGCACTCTAGCCTGGACAACAGAGCGAGACTCAGTCTCAAATAAATAAATAAATAGCCAGGTGCAGTGGCTCATTGCCTGTAATCCCAGCAGTTTGGGAGGCTGAGGTGGGAGGACTGCTTGAGTCCGGGAGGACTGCTTGTGCCCGGGAGTTCAAGACCAGCCTGGATAATATAGCGAGACCTTGTCTCTATTAAAAAAAAAAAAAAAAACCTTAAAAACAAAACTTAGCCAAGCGTGGTGGCACCCCGGCAGAAACATGCCTAAGCCCAGGAGGCAGAGGTTGCAGTGAGCAGAGATCATGCCAATGCCCTCCCAGCCTGGGCAACAGAGCAAGCACCCTGCCTCAAAAATAAATAAATAAATAAATAAATAAATAAATAAATAAATAAATAAATAATTTTTTATAAAAAGAAATAAAGAAATGTTATTGGGGTTTTTTAAAACATGTTAAAGTAGATAAGGAGACATATCATTAAATATCCAAACTGTTCAAAAGATACAGGACTCTCACAGAGTTACACTAAGCTTGTGAAGGCTTAGCTACTAAAAAGAAGAAAAAGAAATATATATATATAAAAAGATACACTAAGTAGCCGGGCGCAGTGGCTCACGCCTGTAATGCCAGCACTTTGGGAGGTGGAGATGGGCGGATCACAAGGTCAGCAGATCGAGACCATCCTGGGTAACACAGTGAAATGCCGTCTCTACTAAAAATACAAAAAAATTAGCTGGGCGTGGTGGTGGGCGCCTGTACTCCCAGCTACTCCGGAGGCTGAGGCAGGAGAATGGCATGAACCCAGGAGGTGGAGCTTGCAGTGAGTGAGCCGAGATTGCGCCACTGCACTACAGCCTGGGGGACAGAGTAAGACTCTGTCTAAAAAAAATAAATAAATAAAAAACAAGAAGATACACTAAGGTAATGAAAGTCTTACCTTTGTCCATACCCACTGGTATAAAAGTTTTAATGCAAATTTATAATTCATCATAAGATATGCATTTAAAGGTCACAGTACTAAAAATGTAATGTTGTGATTAGCTCAAAAAAAGTAATGAATCCTTAGAGGAAAAAAATATTTAATATCTTAGACCACAGTGACTTGCACCATCCTAATAATGTACATTGCTTCCAACCCAAACGTTCTTAGCCTAAAAGGCGTTAGAGAAGGAGCAGCCTTGGGGAATACATTTCACTACATAAAGCTCCTGTGCCACTCCAGCTTCTTTGGTGCACCGCCACCAGGCACTCTCCTTCTTGCAACTCAACACCCAAACCCTGCCCTCCTCAGCTCACACCCTAAAAATGGCCCCTGGTCGTTCAGATTGTATTGTTGTTGATATTCTTGTCTCACTATTCCAGCCTGAAATATAGATGCCATTAATTCAAATTTTTCTTACTCCTAATGTGACAACCAGTTAATCAGATAAACAGGTCAGCTTTAAATGGTTAAGAGATAAAGGAAACTAAGGCCAGGCGCGGTGGCTTACCCCTGTAATCCCAACACTTTGGGACCTCAGGTGGATCACCTGAGGTCAGGAGTTCAAGGCCAGCCTGGCCAACATGGAGAAACCTGTCTCTACTAAAAATATAAAAATTAGCTGTAATCCCAGCTACTCAGGAGGCTGGGGCAGGAGAATCACTTGAACCCAGGAGGCGGAGGTTGCAGTGAGCTGAGATTGCACCATTTGCACTCTAGCCTGGGCGACAAGAGCGAAACTTCATCTAAAAAATAAAAAGAGAGAGAGATAAAGGAGACTAGAGATACAACATCCCACTCCCTTCCCCTCTCTGGAAATATATATGAGTAAGACTGAAACTTTCAGAGATGGTGACTTCATCTTTATTGCTTAACCTAAAGAAATGCCTTCAGTGGTTAAAAAAAAAATTATTGCTACAGGAGCCAGAAGAAAGCCATGGCATCCCTTACTTGTTAGAGGTAACTGAGGGCTATAGTAGACTACTACAATAAACACGAGCAGAGCATGGTGGCTCACATCTGCAACCCCAGCACTTTGAGAAGCCATGGTGGGAGGATCCCTTGAGACCATTCTGGGCAACATGGTGAGACCTTGTCTCTACAAAATTAAAAAATTAGCCAGGTATGGTGGCATGCATCTGTGGTCCCAGCTATCAGGAGGCTGAGGTGGGAGGATTGCTTAAGCCTAGGAGGTTGAGGCTGCAGTGATCTGTGACAGCGCCACTGCACTCGAGCCTGGGTGACAAAGTGAGACCCTGTCTCAAAAAAAAAAAAAAAACAAATATAAAGAAATAGAATATGTCTGGGTGAAATTTGGAGTACTCCTCAAAGAAGCCCCAAACATATGGCTACTTAGTCCTGGTCTGTCATCAAACATCCGAAGCCACAGTGGCTCTAGTATTGCAGGAGATGGCCACCCGCAGGCACTCCCTTACCACCTGCTGAGGTTCTGCTGCTCCCAAATGGACCAGAGCAGAGAAGTATCATGTGACATCATTTCCTTGCTGTGCTAGGACCCCTGACATTTCTGATCATCCTTTTCTCTGGGCCACTTGGACCCAGGCTGGGACTCCACGCTTCTTAGCCCTTCACTTGCTCACAGTCTGCACTCTTCTTCCCCTTCCCAGTCAGGGGTGACAATGCTACAACTGAGCATTGGCCAGGAGATTGGAGAATGCTGCTTCCCTCCAGAGCAGCTCTGACTAAGGTGAGCATTGGCATTGCCTGACAGCAATGACTTGCCTGTGCTCAAAGTACTTTCTAAGGCTCAACAGAGATACCCTATTTAGAAAGTATTGAAATCCACTACATTCTACACTTAACTTAAAAGCTGGCCACTCAAAGCCTCTAGCTTTCTCAGAAATGCTGATTCAACCATAAAATTTCAGAACAACAAATAAGCCAGAAATTTCCATACAGATAGGTTGTTCATTACTTTCATATAAAGTTATGTGAATCTTAAGTGAATTCAAAGGCCAAATCTTCGAAAGTCAAGATCCATAAAATAAATAAAACAGTTATTATACTTCATTTACACTTAGTTTTTGACAATATATTTTCAGCATTTGCTGATGATGCATAAGGTTGCTTTTGTTTTCTTCTTCACAATTGAACATGCAGTCAAGCAGCTTAGTCCAACAAGCAGTAATTTGAGACTAAAGAGTCATAACTTTTGGCATGCCAAATTCATACTTCACATATTCCCTTAAGAAATAGAGTTCATAGCCAGGCATGGTGGTGTGCACCTGTAGTCCCAGCTACTCAAGAGGCTGAGGTGGGAAGATGCCTTGAGCCCACGAGGTTGAGGCTGCAGTGAGCCATGATCATGCCACTGCACTCCAGCCTGGGTGACAGAGTAAGACCCTGTCTCAAAAATAAAAATAAATAAAATAAAATAAATAAACAGAACCTGGCTGGGTGTGGTGGCTCACACCTGTAATCCCAACACTTTGGGAGGTCGAGGCAGGAGGACTGCTTGAGGCCAGGGGTTCAAGAACCAGCCTGGGCAACAAAGCAAGACCTCGTCTCAACAAAAAAAAAAAAAAAAAAAATTAATTAGCTGGGCCCACTGGCGAGTACCTGTAGTCCCAGCTACCTGGGAGGCTGAGGCAAAAGGATCCTTTGAGCCCAGGAATTCGAGGTTGCGGTGAGTTATGATTGTACCATTGCACTCCAGTCTATGTGACAGAGTGAGACCCTGTCTCAAAAAGAAGAAAGAAGAAGAAGAAGAGAAAGAAGAAGGAGGAGGAGGAGGAGAAGGAGGAGGAGGAGGAGGAGGGGGAAGAGGAGAGCAGAACTGACATGCAACTTCTGGGTTATGCCCCTTAAATGGATAACATGTCTTTTTATTCTACTTTGCCTTCTCCCATCTTGCTGCCTGGAACTTGGACATGGCAACAAACCATCTAGGACCAAACAGATGAGGCTAATATTTTAGGGACACTTGAACGGCAGCATGGAAGAGCCAACATATCAGCATTATTTGAGAAAGGAATCAGACTATTAAATGAGAAATAAAATTCTTTTTTATTATTTTTAAAACTCTACCCCTGAGTGACATATTAGAGAAATAACATTCTATCCTGTTTAAATTTTTGTTGTCTTTGTTAAAACAGCTAAAACTTTATCATCCTAATTGAAATGTCTTGCAATTTCAATGTCACATTTAGAATTCATGTTTTTGTTACTAATTGCTATTTCATTTTCACTAATTGTTACAGAGTATTTAAGGCAAGGAGCAATAAAACATTCAAAGAATTATACACATTTTTATACAAAGATAGTAACTTTACTAAAATTGATGGGCATTAACATGATGCAGTAGTTCAAAATGGTCATTATATCAGCTAATTATAAAAGTTCTAACCCAGTGAGCAAATCCTTTTCTCAAGGATTTGTGAGTAGGCAGCATTTAAATGCTGCCTACTCATAAAGAACATTAACACAGTCTGGAAGGGGAGTGTGTCTAAACACTGAATTTGGTTTTTGCCCTTTTGGAGCAGCTAGGGCAAAGGCTAGAAGAAAGCATTCCAATCATTCATAATAAGTAATTTCTTGGGGCTAACTCCTATTAGCAGATGTTATCCAGCTACTCTAAATCTATATTTAACAATCTTTTGAGTTTCAGGCTTTGTTTTTTGTTTGTTTTTTGTTTTTGTTTTTGTTTTTTTGAGACAGAGTCTCACTCTGTCACCCAGGCTGGAGTGCAGTGGCTGCGACCTCAGCTCACTGCAACCACCACCTCCCAGGTTCAAGCAATTCTCCTGCCTCAGCTTCCTTAGTAGCTAGGGCTACAGGTGCATGCCACCATTCCTGGTTATTTTTTGTATTTTTAGTATAGAGGAGGTTTCACCATGTTGCCCAGGCTGGTCTTGAACCCCTGACCTCAAGTGATCTACCCGCCTCGGCCTCCCAAAGTGCTGGGATTACAGGCGTGAGACACCACACCTGGCCTTCAGTTTCAGTTTTAAAGTTAGCTAAGAATAGTCTGTTCATAGAGATATGTTCAAAAGAAATGTTCATAAGAGTTATATTCAAAAAGTTCAAGAAAACTGAAATTATTGTAATTATGAGCTCTTTCAGAAAGTAGACTGCCATTAGATGCAAATTTCCATTCATAAATAACTCAGCTAGAGAACTGAGAAAGTTAGTTTTGAGTCATTCTCTCAGGATTATAAATACAAGGAAGAAGTGAAGACAAGAGAAATAATCTTGAAATAAAGAGCACTAGTACCTACAAGTTTCATGTCATTGTGATGCCCAACATGAGCATAATTTCTTTTTCTTTTTCTTTTTTTTTCTTTTTTTTTTTAGACAGAGTCTTGCTCTGTAGCCCAGGTTGGAGTGCAATGGTGCAGTCTTGGCTCACTGCAACTTCACCTTCTGTGTTCAAACAATTCTCCTGCCTCAGCCTCCCGAGTAGCTGGGACAACAGGTGCCCACTACCACGTCCAGCTAAACTTTTGTATTTTTAGTAGAGACAGGGTTTCGCTATGTTGGTCAGGCAGGTCTCAAACTCCTGACCTCAAGTGATCTGACCGCCTTGGCCTCCCAAGTGCTGGGATTACAGGCGTGAGCCACCACGCCCAGCCAATGACCATATTTCTATTTCTACTATAGCTACCACAAATAAAAGAAGTAGTATTACTAGGAGAGGTGGGCGCAGTGTAATCTCACCACTTTGTAATACCTGTAATCTCAACACTTTGGGAGGCTGAGGTGGGAGGACTGGTTGAGCCAAGGAGTTCGAGACCAGCCTGGGAAACATAGGGAGACCTGGTCTCTACAAAAATAAAAAAAATTAGTCAGGCGTCGTGCCATGCACCTGTGGTCCCAGCTACTTGGGCGGCTGAGATAGGAGGATCACTTGGGCCTGGGAGGTCGAGGCTGCTGTGAGCCATGATTGCACCACTGCACTCCAGCCTGGGTGACAGAAGGAGGCCCTCTCTCAAAAAAAAAAAGAAGAAGAAGAAGAAAGAAAAATAAAAAAAGAAATGTGTATTTCTAGCCCTTATAATTTTCTTTGTTGTTGTTGCTTTGAGACAGGATTTTACTCGATTGCTCTATCAGGCTGGAGTGCAGTGGCGCCATCACAGCTCACTGCAGCCTCGATCTCCATGGGCTCAAGTGATCCTCCCATATCAGCCTCCCAAGTAGCAGGGACTACAGGCATGCACCACCTTATCCAGCTAATTTTTTTTTTATTTTGTAGAGACAGGGTTTCACCCTGTTGTCCAGGCTGATCTTGAACTCCTGAGCTCAAGTCATCTGCCCACCTCAGCCTCCCAAAGTGCTGGGATTACAAGTGTGAATCACCTTGCCCAGCCTAGTGCTTATAATTCTCTTTGGGCTACCAAAGTAGGGTAAGAGTGGTGAGAATACAGGGTCCCTGAATGTTGCTGGAGGGGAGAGAAATCACATCTTAGAGAACATTCAGGGAACATCTGGGAGAAGCTATGAGAACATTCAGTTTTACAAATCATGAGTAAGTCCTAAATTAATGACAGTAATCTCATTTCAAAGTGAGGATTAGTAGTAATGAACTAACTTTTCTCAGTTTCTCTATTTTCACTAATAGGACAGTGATCACCAGGTCACTTAGTCACAGAGCATTACACACCCATAGATTCTTCCCTCCACTTTATCCCACTTCTGTCACTACTTATTGCCATTCATTGTCAGCCTTTCTCTTCATTCCCACCACCATTGAATGAATTTAGGTACTTGGGGTACTTCACATCTCAGATCACTGAGATAGCCTTCTTTGCACCCACTTTCCAATACCACATTCACTAATTCATTCATTCAATACATATTTACATGAATAGGCACTGCAGTAAGTGCTGTGAGTACCATATTATACAAGTCAGACACCCTTCCTGCCCCAGTGGAGCATATGTTCTAGCAAGAGATGCTGGCAATCTAGTTTTATTACATACTTGTCCTCAGAGACTATAGAATAGTCCTGGATCTTATCCTATGTTATTAACTGCAGTGTATCCTCCCACTCACAAATTCATATTTTGAAGTCCTAACCCCTCAATGTGACTATATTTAGAGATAGTCTTTAAGCTTAAATGAGTTCATAAGGGTGGGTCCCTAATCTGACACCACTGATGTCCTCACAGGAAGAGGAAGAGACCCCAGGGACCTCTCTGTCTCTCTTTCTCTCCAAGGACACACAAAGGAAAGACCATGTGAGGACATGGTAAGAAGGCCGCCATCTGCAAGCCAAGGAGAGAGGCCAGGAGAAACTAATCCTGGAGGCATCTTGATCTTGGACTTCCAGCTTCCAGAACTGTGAGAAAATCAATGTCTGCTGTTTAAACCACCCAGTCTGTGGTATTCTGTTATGGCAGCCTGAATTAATACATCCTGTTACTCTTGTTCACACCAGACTTAAGCACTATTCTCTATTACCATCCCTCAGCTCCTGTTAAGTAAAATTCTCCAAAGGCAGGCTTTTTCTTCTTCTTCTTCCCCTTCTTCTCCTTCTCCTTCTTCCTCTTCTTTTTTCCTTTTTTTTTTTTTTTTTTTTTTTTGAGACAGCGTCTGGCTCTGTCACCCAGCTGGAGTGCAGTGGCACAATCTTGGCTCACTGCTGCCTTGACCTCCCAGACTAAAGCAATTCTACCACCTCAGCTTCCCAAGTAAGCTGGGACCACAGGTGCACAACACTACCACACCCAACTTAACTTTTTTATTTTTTGTAGAGGCGGGGTTTCGCCCATGTTGCCTAGGCTGGTCCCAGACTCCTGGGCTTAAATGATCCTCCCGCCTCAGCCTCCCAAATATGCTAGGATTCCAGGCATGAGCCACTGTATCAGCCTTTTTTTTTTTTTTTTTTTTTTTTTTTGAGGCAGGGCCTCACTCCATAGCCCAAGCTGGAGTGCAGTGGTGCGATCTCAGCTCACTGCATCCTTGATTTCCCAGGGGCTCAGGTGATCCTCCCACCTCTGCCTCCCCAGTAGCTAGGACTACAGGTGCACACCACCACACCTGGCTAATTTTTTGTATTTTTTGTAAAGACAGAGTCTCCCTATGTTGCCCAGGCTAGTCTCGAGCTCCCGGGTTCAAGTGATCTGCCCTCCTTGGCCTCCCAAAGTGTTGGGATTACAGGTGTAAACCACCATATCCGGTCAATAGGGAGTGTTCTTATTTTAGTTGTAGACAAAGTACACACTACCTGCACTTTGGGAAGCCAAGGAAGGAGAACTGCTCGAGGCCAGGAGTTTGAGACCAGCCTGGGAAACATAGCAAGACTTCGTCTCTACAAAAAATTTAAAAAACTAGCCAGTCCTGGTGGTGCACACCTATAGTCCCAGCTACTCAGGAGGCTACAGCAGAAGGATCACTGGAGCTCAGGAGGTCAAGTCTGCAGTGAGCTGTGATGGCACCATTGCACTCCAGCCTAGGTAAGACCCAGAGTGAGACCCTGTCTCTAAAAAAATAGAAAAAGGAAGGAAATGTGAAGTATAAAGGCCATGGTCCATAGCAATTCTGAAATGCAACTCAGCAAATATTGGAAGTTCTTTGATTAGGTTTCAATGTATGGAAATAATTTTCTGTGGATCTTGGCTCCACCCTCTATGCTCCTGGTTCTGCCTTCTGAGTCTCCCTTCCTTTTTCATGAAAGGTGTAAAGTTTGATGCTCAGTGGTTTTCTTATGCTGCTTCCTGCTAATAGAATTTTGGAAGTTCAATGACTTCTTTTCATTTGCTACTCTTTCTGTCCCTTTCAGTCCAAACTGGCAGTGTTTTTGGTGATGCAATTTTCTTAAAAACTTTGTAGGCCTTCTGTGAATTTCATTGGCATTCACTCCATTGGATAAAAGCCACATCCAAAAATCTCATCTAGGTAAGATCTTTTTCTATCTTGGGCTCCTGTTGATTTTGCTGAGAACAATGTCCTTAAACTTCCTAGAAGACCTGTGGTTTCACTGAAAAGGTCCTTGAGGCACACTCTTAGTCTCTTTCAAGGGCCTTTTATGTAACTGAATACTGATTCGTTCATCTTTCTGAGATTTTAACAAAAGGCTACATAGTCACACCTCCAACATTTCCTCTGCCATTCATTTTTCTTTTTTTCTTTTTTTTTTTTTTTCAGGGTCTCACTCTGTTGCCCAGGCTGGAGGGCAGTGGTGAAATCATAGCTCATCATAGTAATCTCAAACTCCTGGGCTCAAGAGATCCTCCTGCCTTAGCCTCCCAAGTAACTGGGATTACAGATGCTCACTACCATACCCAGCTAATTTTTATTTTTTGTAGAGATGGAGTCTTGCTACGTTGCCCAGGCTAGTCTCAAACTTCTGGGCTCAAGCAATCCTCCCACCTCAGCCTCCCAAAATGCTGGGATTACAGGCATGAGTCACCATGCCCAGCCTCTCTGCCATTTTTCTTGACAGTGCTTGGAAGCCATTTCTTGTTCTAGCATATTCTCCGCTCTGAAGAGACTGAGTATTTTCAAAATCATCAAGTCCTAACTCCTTTTGTTTCATAGTTCTCTCCATTTATTTCTCTCCTCTCATATTTTGCTATAAATATTAAGAAGAAATCTAGTGGGGCCTTCAACACTTTGCTTTGAAATATCCATTCCTACAAAAGCAAACCCAGGACTCACATGTTCTGCTTTCCACATAATTGCAGGAGACATTTGACTACATTTTCTGCCATTACATAACAAAGATATATACCTTCCTCCAGTTTCTAAAAACATGCTCCTCATTTCCTTTTGAACTTGGGAGTGTTTCTAAAGTCCATAAAGTCCTTTAAAGTCTTTAAAGTTTCCATTAACAGTATGTTCAAGCAATTTGGACTTTATCATTCTCCTCAAAATTATTCCACCTTCTTACTATTCCCTGGTTTCAAAGCTACTTCCACATATTTTGGTATTTTTTATAGCAGCATTGCACTCCCAGGTACCATAATACTAAAACCAGTTCTCTCTCACTATGTAACAATGTTACCACAAATTTAGCAGCTTAAAACAAACGCACATTTACTATTTCATAGTTTTTGTGAGTCAGGAATATGGGAACAGCTGTGCCTGCTCCTTTCTTTTCGGGTCTCTCAGAAAGTGTTAGCCAGGACTGGGGAGTCATCTGATGACCAACCAGGTAGTGATCTGTTTCCAAATGCATGAGGTTGCCAGCGGGATTCAGTTCTTTCTGGGTCACTAGGCTGAGGGTCTTTCTTCCTTGCTGGCTGCTGGTAGGAGGTCACCCTCAGTTCTTGCTACATGGGCCTCTTCTGATGGATATTTACTTTGCCAAAGCCAGCAAGGGAAAGAGAAAAATAGTCTACTAGCAAGATAGGAGCACCAATTTTATGTAACATCATGATGGAAGTGACATCCCATCTCCTTTTGCCATATTTTATTGGTTACAGCAAGCCACAGGTTCCTCACCTATGCATGGGGACAGGATTACACAAGGATATAAATACTAGAAGGTAGGGGTAACTGGCAGAAATCCGAGAGTCTTTCTGCCACAAGATACTAACTGATGGCCGGGTACGGTGGCTCAGGCCTGTAATCCCAGCATTTTGGGAGGTTGAGGCTGGAGGATCACCTGAGGTCGGCAGTTCACGACCAGCCTGACCAACATGGTGAAACCCCGTCTCTACTAAAAATACAAAATTAGCTGTGCGTGGTGGCACATGCCTGTAATCCCAGCTACTCGGGAGGCTGAGGCAGGAGAATAGCTTGAACCCGGGAGATGGAGGTTGCAGTGAGCCAAGATCACGCCATTGCACTCCAGCCTGGGCAACAAGAGCTAAACTCCATCTCAAAAAAAAAAAAAAAAAAACTAATTGATGCATTAAATTAGAGAAACAGCTTTACGCCATGTGTAAATAGCTATTAGTCTTTTTTATTCACATTAACATTAATATAAACTATTCTTTCAAATATATTCTGAGCACCTACCAGGTGCTAGGCATTATGCTAAGTATAGGATATGGTACAAAGGTGAGCAAAAACAGACACAGTTCCTGTCCTCATGAAAATTCTAGTCAGAAGGAGAGAGAAAATAGTTACGTGAATAAATGTGAAATTATGATTTTGACAAATACTATGAAAGTTTATGATACTATGAAAATCCATAGGATGAGGAAATGACCTGATCTAGTGGTTGGGCACAGCTTCTGGGAGAAAATGACATTTCATTTGAGATATAAAAAATGAGCAAGAACAAACTAGAAAAAGCAAGGAAATAAATTCCATGCATTCAGAAGATCATGTAGGTACTGCAAGAGGCAGTACCCCCAACTCTGATCACCACTTTGGGGTCTACACACATACATCCATCTGCTTATTTGTACTTCTCAAAATCAATGTGTAGAAAACCAATCTTGGCTTGTAAAACTTAGTTCTTTCCCAACATTCCCTACTTCAGTGAAAGACACCACCATCTGTAAAACTGGAAGTGAGAAACCTAGGAGTTATTCTTGACAGTTCCCTCTTCTTCACTCCCTCACCAAATACTATGCACTTTATTACTAGTTACACAATAGGTCTCTCATAATCCAGACATACCACGTTCTCTCCTGTTCCCCAAGCCTTTGCTTTTGCTGGTCCTATGCTTGGAAATTCCTCTCCATCCTCACCTCCTTCTCTTCTTAGCAATATCCTAATTCATCCTTCAAGACGTAACCCAAACATATTGCACTTGGCATTCTACTACATCCATGCGTAAATAATAACCTCTCTCCTCAGTGATATAATACACTTTTCAAATACCTCATCACCCCTGTTACAGGTTGGTTGTCTGGGAAGCAGACTTTCAGGCAGATCGGCAAGCAGGACAACATTAGGAAGTGCTCCTGGAACCAATGCCAGTGGAAGGAGAAGGAACTAGGATTGGGCAGAGGGAGAGCTGGGTTGAGATGTACCAAAAGTCCTAAGCCAAGCAGTGCTCTGGGCTGGGATGGTCCTTGGGATCTTTCCAAATTGAGTTAAGAAGGCCAGGACTTTAAATCCTCCTCCCCAGGATGATCAGTCCATTGGATGCGAGTTATCCCTGGAAGGAGGCATGACTTTGGCTGAAGAAGTTTTCCTCAGTAATCTCCCCCAAAGTATGACAGCTTAGGGATGTCTTCTGGATGTTTCCCAGAGTTAGAGAATAAGTCTTTCATTCCTGAAGAGGGATCCAGGAGATGCACTGCAGCATCCACTATGATCCCTAGGCTCAAATCAGTTTACTAGAACCACATTCCCTTGTGTTAAGGAAGGCTCCATTGCCCTCACTAGGTATTTTTTTGGTGTGTGTGTGTTTTTGTTTTGTACGTGTGTGTGTGTGTGTGGTTTGTGGTTTGGTTTTCTTTTCCTTTTTCTTTTTTTTTTTTGAGACTAGATCTCACTGTGTTGCCTGGGCTATTCACAGTGGCTATTCATAAGTGCGATCATAGCATACTACGACCTTGAACTCCTGGACTCAAGCATTCCTCCTGCCTCAACTTCCCAAAGAAGCCTAACTAGTTTTTGAGACATTTGCTTCCTTAAAGAGTTGGGATTTAATAGAAATCTGGTAAAGGAATTACTGAATAAATGACCCAAGGCGACTGATTAACCAAAAACACAGGACCTTACTTGAAAAAAACAGAGTAAACCCGGCAGGGGGCTCACACCTGTAATCCCAGCACTTTGGGAGGCCGAGGCAGGTGGATCTCTTGAGGCCAGGAGTTCGAGACCAGCCTGGTCAACATGGTGAAACCCCGTTTCCACTGAAAATACAAAAATTAGCCAGGGGTGGTAGCTCATGCCTGTAATCCCAGCTACTCAGGAGGCTGAAGCAGGAGAATTGCTTGAACCCGGAGGCGGAGGTTGCAGTGAGCTGAGATTGTGCCATTGCACTCCAGCCTGGGCAACAGAGGGAGACTCCATCTCAAAAAAAAAAAAAAAAAAAAAGAAAAGAAAAAGAGAAAACAATGCAAAACAGAGTGCAAATATCCTTTTTTTTTTTCTCCCAGACAAGGTCTCACTCTGTCGCCCAGGCTGGAGTGCAGTGGCAAGATCTTGGCTCACTGTACCCTCGACTTCTCTGGGCTCAGGTGATCCTCCCACCTCAGCCTCCCAAGTAGCTGGGACAACAGGAGTGTACCACCATGCCCAGCTAATTTTTCTACTTCTTATAGAGACGGGGTTTTGCCATGTTGCCCAGGCTGGTCTTGAACTCCTCTGCTCAAGCAATCTGCCTGCCTCAGCCTCCCAAAGTGCTGGGATTACAGGCTTGAGCCACCACACTCAGCTGTCATTTAATTTTTGTCACTTAAATTTAATTACAAAGTATTTTAGGCATACAAAAAGTAGAGATAAGGAGTACCCGTGTATTCATAACTCTTAACCTAGTTTAAGAGATAAAACATTATATATTTGTAGCTCCCTTGTATAGTTTTCACTTATCCCATTTCTCTCCCACTCTTCCTAGAAATAATCACTATCTCAAATTTGGTGTTCATTATTCCCATGCACGGTTTTATATTCTTACCACATATGCATTCTACTGAATGAGTATACCATAACTTTCACTTTTGTTATCACTTTCACAGCCTCCATGCTTCCCCCAGCCCCCACCCTGATGTTCCCTTGAGGTACAATTGATAAAATCTAATTTTTAGTTCCATACAGATTCTTAGCTTATCTTCTGATCTCCTAAAGGAAACATCTTGGCCCTTGCAGCAACACATTTACAAACTAGCTTAGGATTCTGAGCATACTTCTGCAGGCAGCTTAGTTATTTACTAATTCTTCCTTTATTCTGAGAATAACCCTTTCCGGACTGTGTCTTAAAATTCTTGGCACACTCATCTATAGTTCCCTGCTTTACCATAAAATCATTCTCCTAGGTGTGTAACTCTGTGACCTGGTCGTTTACAATGGCAAGAATCTACATTGTGAAGAGACCCAAGCCATCATGTTTCTTTCACCAGCCATCACATAAGCTGTTTCTGCAACCAGGAAGAGGGCTCTCACCAGAACCCAACCAGGCTGCCACGTAGCTTGGACTACCAGCTCCAGAACTGTGAGGAAAAAAACCTTCTGTTGTTTAAATCACCCAGTATGTGGTATTTTGTGATGGCAGCCCCAGCAAACTAATATGCACACTAATCCCAATAACTGACTGCACAGTATACTGAAAAAGAGGAGTGATCAAGTGTCAAGTGCAGTGGGAGGTCTGAGTTCCTGTTTGGGCTCTGTCACTCAGACTCTAGGGCATAACACTTGACCCTTTGAAGCTCACTTTTCCTCATCTATAAAATGAAGGGCATTAAGTAGCACTTCATGTCCCCGAACATTTTCAAACTGAAAGTATTTAATTCACAAATTGTGAGCTATGGCTCAGGCAATTATAGCACAGCACCACTACTCCATCTCAGGAGGTAATCATGGATATTCACAAAGATTTAGTTACAAACATATTCATGACAGAACTGCATTTAATGGCAAAAAAAAATCCTGTCAATAATCTAACTATACAATAAAGTATGTTAAATCAGAGACAGACAATATCTCGCCATTATAAGTGATACTTTAAGTGAATATTGTGCAAACTCATTAAAAAATGTTTTTGTGGCCAGGCGCTGTGGCTCACGCCTGTAATCCCAGCACTCTGGGAGGCCCAGGCAGGCGGATCACCTGAGGTCAGAAGTTCAAGACCAGCCTGGCCATGGTGAAATCCCGTCTCTACTAAAAATACAAAAAATTAGCCGGGCGTGGTGGTGGGCACCTGTAATCCCAGTTACTCGGGAGGCTGAGGCAGGAGAATCGCTCAAACCTGGGAGGCAGAGGTTGCAGTGAGCCAAGATCATGCCATTGCGCTCCAGCCTAGGCAAAAACAGTGAAACTCCATTTCAAAAAAAAAAAAAAGTTTTTGTTAATGAACATCAAGGATATAGTGTTGAGAAACCTTGTTCTTTAAAATCATAGTTTGGCAAAAACTTTGAAATCTCATCATTGAAAATGGAACATCTCACTCTTGTAGGATCTGAGTCCTATGAGTCATTTTATTTTTAAATTTTTTGGGGTACATAGTAGAAGTATATATTATAGGGTACATGAGACATTTTGATACAGGCATACAATTCATAATAGACACATAAAGGTAAATGGAGTATCCATCGCTTCAGCATTTATCCTTTGTGTTACAACCCAATTATATTTTTATTTTTAAATGTACAATAAATTGTTGACTATAGACACTGTTGTGCTATCAGATGCTAGATCTTCACTCTAACTATACATGACTTTTTAAAATCTTTTTTTGAACTGCTTTATTCAAGTATGACAGACACGAATTAAACAATACTTTATATAATTTGATAAATTTTGAAATATATGCCCATAAAACCATTACCACAATCAAAATAATGCACATATCCATCACACCCATGGGTTTCCTGGTACCCTTTAGTAATCCCTCCCTCTCTCCCATTTCTCCTTCCTCCCACCACCCTCCACCCCCATCCCCAAGGAATCACTGATTTGCTTTGTCACTATAGATTAGTTTGCATTTTCAAGTTTTATGTAAATGGAATCATACACCATGTACTCTTTTTTATCTGGCTTCTTTCACTCAGCATAATCCATGTTGTTACATGTATTCATAGTTCATTCCTTTTTATTTCTGGGTCGTATTCCACTGTATGGGTCACTCCCAGAAAAAGCAGTCCTTATTTCCAACCCGGTGCAGAGCTGCAGGTAAACGGTTTCATACACAACAGCTTAACTTTGTCATTTACAAGAAATTAGAATTCCCACTTTAGGCCAGACTTGATTTTAACTTCTTTACATATGGCACCACTTCAATTTAAAGGTTTTTTTGTTTTGTTTTGAGACAGAATCTCCTTCTGTCACCCAGGCTGGAGTGCAGTAGCACGATCTCAGCTCACTGCAGCCTCCACCTTCTGGGTTCAAGTTATTTTCATGCCTCAGCCACCTGAGTAGCTGGGATTACAGGCGTGAGCCACAGCACCAGCCATTATTGTAATAGTTTAATTTGAAAATTCACAGGTGGGCCGGGAGCGGTGGCTCACGCCTGTAATCCCAGCACTTTGGGAGGCCCATGCGCGCGGATCACGAAGTCAGGGCGACTGCAGCCTCGGCAACACAGCGAGACTCCATCTCAAAAAATAAAAAATAAAAAATTCACAGATGTTTATCTAGAATGGTCAGAATAGTCAGTGGAACTTCTTAGGAAAATCATGACCCTTCACATCTCTAGAACCAAAACACGTGCAGAAATCTTATTTCACAAATATAAATGGAATTTGGAAACTTTGAGTTAAAGCAGATCCCAATAACATTTGCTAAGTTTTTGGCCTCCTAATTTAATTTAGTCTTTAATCATAAGTCTTGGCAAGTGTAGTATGCTTTTATTATTTATTATTTACAAAACTCCCTTCCACACATGAATCACAATATGCATTACGACACTGTTGCAAAATAGGTCAAAATACATTTTTGGTATTTGGTGGTTATTAATATTACCCCTGCTGTATTCCTTGAGAAAGCCTGTATTTAGTTCACTTAAGACAGTTGCTTACACGCTAATGATCATTTACCGATAAAATACAGAGTTTCCTTATAGCAAAATATAATCTTAAAACCCTAAGGCAGCCTTCAAGCATTTCCCTTATAATTAAAACCTGAAGGCCTGGCGTGGTGGCTCACGCCTGTAATCCCAGCACTTTGGGAGGCTGAGGTGGGCGGATCACGAGGTCAGGAGATCAAGACCATCCTGGCTAACACGGTGAAACCCCGTCTCTACTAAAAATACAAAAAATTAGCCGGGCGTGGTGGTGGGTGCCTATAGTCCCAGCTGCTCGGGAGGCTGAGGCAGGAGAATGGCTTGAACCCAGGAGGCGGACCTTGCAGTGAGCGGAGATAGTGCCACTGCACTCCAGCCCGGGCGACAGAGCGAGACTCTTGTCTCAAAAAAAAAAAATTTGAAAAGGCAGTTCGTTTCCTTCTATAGCTGCATCCCAGAGATGGTCAACATAGCATATAAAAATGGAATTTTTGCAAACCCCTTTTGCAGTGTTGTAGAAAAGCTTAAAATAAAACGTAACGAGAAAGCTCCCTCCATAAGTAAATACAATCTAATGTGCTTCCCCTTATGTGTTATTAAAGCTACAAATTAGTAGGAAAAGAATAGTGCCGCCCACGGGCTTTCCAACTTTTGAATTCTGGGGACTAACAACAGAGAGCAAGAGTGAATGAGCCAAACGACGCAAACGTGCCCTCGCCAGGCTGGCAACTGGTAGGCACGCAGTGTATTAGTTGCCCTGGAGAGAAACACCCTGGAGAGAAATACCCAATTTGTGAACTAAACCTAGGTCCCGGAAGAACAGTGTTCGGCGTCAGACTCCGTTGAGCTCATTCTGGAAGGATCCAACTGGCGCCACCAGGGAGAAAAAGCGATTCCACCTCAATAACACTCCAGAAAAAGGCATGAAGAGCCCTATACCTGCCAGGGCGACTTTGACCTAGACCCGGTGACCCGGTTCCTAGCGCTGCAGCCCTACCCGCCCCCCGCCCGCCCCCGCCTTGCACGGAGCCCCTCCTCTGTACTCATTCGTTGCGCCACGTCTCCTAACTCTGCGCCACCAGCCACCCCGCGAAGGCGTCCACCAATTAACCCCTCCCAGCTTCTGGTCTACAGTAACGGGTCCCCAACGCCGCGTCTTAACCAGGCCCGAACCGACCACCGCCAACCTTCCCTGACACGCCTTTGCCCCACCCGACCCCGCCCGCCCCCACGTGACGCCCACGCCCCGCCCACTGGCGCCCACGTGACCCACGGTCGTCCCCGCGCGCGGCGTGGATCGCGGCCCAAGCCGCCATTGTTCCGCCGAGGGAGGACAGCGGGGCCTGGCGCTGGCGCCGAGACGCCGCTTAGCGGCCGCCACTGGAGACACTCCCTCCCGCCTCCCGGGTCTCCTGGCGGCGGCGGAGTGAGGCTGACAGCGGGGAACCTGGGAGACCCCTCCGCCCTCCCCGCGGTGGCAGCGGCCGATCCCCGGCTCCGGCGCGAGGGACGGCCGCGATGCGCTCGGCCTGAGGTTACCCGGCCCGGCCCTTCCTCGCTTCCCTCGACTATTCCACTGCGTCTCCGCGCCCCGGCGTCATCCTGCGAGTCCCTCTGACGGGAGGGAAGATGGCTGCACGGAGCTGGCAGGACGAGCTGGCCCAGCAGGCCGAGGAGGGCTCGGCCCGGCTGCGGGAAATGCTCTCGGTCGGCCTAGGCTTTCTGCGCACCGAGCTGGGCCTCGACCTGGGGCTGGAGCCGAAACGGTACCCCGGCTGGGTGATCCTGGTGGGCACTGGCGCGCTCGGGCTGCTGCTGCTGTTTCTGCTGGGCTACGGCTGGGCCGCGGCTTGCGCCGGCGCCCGCAAAAAGCGGAGGAGCCCGCCCCGCAAGCGGGAGGAGGCGGCGGCCGTGCCGGCCGCGGCCCCCGACGACCTGGCCTTGCTGAAGAATCTCCGGAGCGAGGAACAGAAGAAGAAGAACCGGAAGAAACTGTCCGAGAAGCCCAAAGTGAGTATGGGATGAGCGGCAGTAGAGAACGGGCGAAGGGCGGGCGTGGAGACCCTCGAGCTTGGGGGAGGCCGCGCCCCAGCCGGGAAGGAAAAGAGTGCTTAGTCGAAAGCCGAGAGGCAGCACTCCCAAGTGGAGGAGGAGGTGATAGGTGGTCATGTTATTTGGGGAATGGGGGGAACTCAGGAAGTATAGGACGAGTGGGGAAGCCCAGTTTCGAGGAAGGAAGTTAGGAGGTCTGGGGGTCCGTTCAGATAGGCGCCCAGAGGTCAAGCCATCTTTGGGAACCGTCACCGCTAGAATAAGCACAGCATCCTTCCTTGAGGCCTGCAGAGTAGGCTGCATGTGGAGCGTAATGGGACCTTAAGGTGGTGTTAGGAAGTTGTATAAAGACTGCGCTCGGAAGACAGATGTCTATCTCAAGTCACATTGAGACAGTAGGCAGTGGAAGAAGTGCGGTGACCTAGAAATTCTGGGGCTTACACAGGATTAAAGGTGTCCAGGTCTAGACGCGCTTCCATTTTAGTTGGGACTGTTAAAGGGAAATGGTTGCCCATTCTTGTTCTGGCAAATGTGGCCAACAGAGGCCGGAACGGGAGCAAGGCAAGAGGGGGTCGGTTACCTAATACGCTTTGAGGTGTATGGTCCTGTGAGAAAGAGCTAAGGCGAGTTCAACGAACGAGTCTGTTGCACACTCTGTGGCGTGGTAGATTTGTGAAATAGAGTAAAGGGAGATGACAGGGCAGAATGGTGAAAGCCGAGAGAGGAATTCAGGCACCGATTTACTGGGCCACGTGTGGAAGTTGCAGAGGGCATCACGTCTGTCTTAGGCCTTCATGTTTTACGTTTACATTCTTTATTGCCATTCCCATGGTTCTCCCATTATATCTTTCATAGTTTTATGTATTTTTAAAAATATTTTACATTTGAGCAAATTGAGACTATGGAGGGTATGCAGAGTTAGAAACAGCACCTAACCTATTTTTATATCCAGCGAATTAAGATCTTCACCTTTTCAGTACAATTCAGTAAGCCAGTACGAAGGCCCTACCATGTGAAATTTGCACTCTGGTGTTTGGAGGGCAGTGCAAGGTATACACGTAGAGTCAGTGTTGGAGAGTAGTGGAGACAGATTCATAAATAATTAGAATTTTGCATAGACTGATAGGTGTTAAAGAGGTTTTAACTGAGTGTTAATGAGGTTTGGAGGGTAGGAGACATTTCACTGGAGGGCTTTAGGAAAGTTGTTGGAGGAAATGGGGTTTGAGTTCCAACTAACAAGAGTTTTGTTGGTAACAAACTCTAATCTCTAGATTAGAGATGTGACAGGTCACAGTTAGTGCATTATGAGGCCTGGATAGGCCTTCACGTTTTGCCTGCTGATTAAGAGATGCAAGATACATATGAAACCTGGAAAAGGCACAACTTTGTCAATGTGAATACTACCATAAGTTAGGAGAGGAGAAAATAGAACTGATTTGGAACATAAATAATTTAAAAATTTGTGGAGACTATCAAGAATTACCAATTATCAAAGTAATGTTATGGTGAAAATAGAGAACCTTGCTCCAAGGTAAGGAAAGAAGGTGATCTTGAAAGAAACACATTCAGCACAAACCCATGTGGATGAAGCACATTGTGAAAATTTCAAAGCCCTATTTGGGACATCTAGAAATTTCAGATAAACTTGAGTTGAGAGAGACAGGTTCTCCAAGAACCCATCCGACATGCGTTATAACACTCAAATGACTCATCTGAAAGAATACAGATTCCGGCGAATGCTTATACATTACTGTGAAAAATGCTCAGTAGACTTAAAAGACTTACCCCCTCATTTTCATTCGAGTTAAGGAAGTGGGGAGTAAATAAGTAAACCTAGCGTTAGCTTTGAGGAGTGGAGAATGGGAAGACTGTATGGCTGAATGTTAATTGGGTGAGGAAGTATCCTTATCTACCAAATATTGAAGATGTATTCGAGAAGTTTAACCAACATTTACAAAATTGTGACTTTCAAGCTTTTCTGACTGCAACCCACAATAAGAAATACATTTTACATTACATTACACACATAAAACTGTTCTGTTTTTCTTTAATGTTCATGACCCACTAAATTCATTTCACATTTGACTGTGAGGCATGACCCACAGTTATGGGGTAGCTTTACAGGGCAAAGAAGTACAAGCTGCCGTTTGGTACTCATTAGATACCTTTAACTGTGCTAAGTATTGAAGAAAAGCAAGATACTGCTTACAAATTGAAGGCGGTGAAAAGGCATACAATATGGGCATATCTCTCTGTGACAGGGATACAAAGGTTAAAGCTCAGTTTCTCCCCAGGGAGCTTTTTGTTTCAGTCGTGGAAAAAGATATACTTAAGAAATTAATGATACAACTGGATGTGGACCCAGGTGGGCGTGAAAGGCCTTGTCACAGAAGCTGACTTTGAAAGTGGGTAGGAGTCCCCCAGGAATTCAAGAACGACCTGGGCAATATAGTGAGACCTCATCTCTACAAAAAATTTAAAAAATTAGCCCAGTGTGGTGGTGTGCACCTGTAGTCCCAGCTATTCTGGAGGCTGAGGTTGGAGGATTGCTTGAGCCAGGAGGTGGAGGCTGCAGTGAGCCAATTCGAGGCCCTGTCTAAAAAAAGGGGGGAAGGGAGGGCAGTAAGAGCAAGATAATGTGAGAGGCCTGAGAAACAACAAAGGCCCAGGATTGAAAGAAGACAACTCTGTCAGCCTGGCAGGAATGGGAAACTCTAAACTTGAGTAAGGCATTTCACCTTGCTCTGTTCAGTGTATCTTGTTTACAAATTGGAAATCTTAGTTGAGTTAAAACACTGCAGTATTCTTCAAAGTGTTATCCCTGGCTACTTGCAATGAGTCACTTTGAATGCTTGTGGAAATGCTTGGGCCAGGCACAGTGGCTTATGCCTGTAATCCCAGCACTTTGGGAGGCACTGTTGGGAGGATCACTTGAGCCTAGGAGTTTGACGCTGTGATGAGCTATGATCAGGTGACTGCACTCCAGCCTGGGCAACACAGCAAGACTCTGTCTCCTAAAAGAAAAAAAAAAAAAAAGCTTGTAGATTCCTGATCTCTGATCTTTTCGTTCCATTATTTTTAGCTTTCTCTTAAATCACTCCAAATTTTGCGACTCCTGTTTTCAAATTTTTCATTTGTAGAGTAAATAGTGGCGAAATCTGTATTTACCTCAACCTGTTTATAAGCAATTTCTGAAATTATTTTATCAATTTGTTTTTTATCCCCTAATAAAACCATGCCATAGATCTTTTAGGGTATGAATTACAGTTTGTTCCCTAATTAAAAGTGAGGGGGGCCACTTTTTACTGGGCTCAGTTCTTGGCATTTTTTCTTTTCCCCCCCACCCCTGTTCCTGGCATTTTTGGAAATTATTATCTTGTATGTATTTTTCATGACATCTACCTCAAAGTCTGTATTAAATGGGCACTCAAGTATTTTTTCACTTGATTTTTAATCTGAGTAATGACTTAGATTGAAGTGAAGTCTGCGAAAACTGGTCTGTAACAATTGGCTTTGAATTTCAACTGGAAGCACATAATCAGGATTAATATCAAAGAAAATTGTCTTTTTTTTTTTTTTGAAACAGTCTTGCTCTATTGCCCATGCTGGAGTGCAGTGGCGGTTATAGCTCATAGCTCACTGCATCCTCAAACTCCTGGCCTCAAGCCATCCTCCCACTTTGGCCTCCCAAAATGTTGGGATTACAGGCATGAGCAACCTCACCCAGCTCAAAAATTTATTTTAGTGGACAAGTTATTTGCATATTAGTGTAGGAATGTTTATAAAGATTTGCTATAGTGTAATTGCCATATCTCTAAGCTCAATGAATAAAATAATAGTGTTTCCTTTTGTTTGCTACCAGATAGCCTTGCACAGTGCTTGGTACTCAAAAATAATTATTGAATGCATAATATAGTAAGATGTCCAACAAAAGTATTTATACAGCTTACTCCTATTATTCATGCTTGGTAAATACCTATGTGAGCCCCCTTTTTCTCTTTAAGTGGAAAGTGGCTGTTTGCCTCATCTGGCTGTAATTTTGTGAGGTGAAGCACTGCCTATATAATGACCCCATAAGATTATGATATTGTATTTTTACTATACCTTTTCTATGTTTAGATACACAAACACTTACCATTGTGTTACAGTTGCCACAGTATTCAGTACAGCAACATGCTGTACAGGTTTGTAGCCTAGGTTTGTGTCAGTATACTATGTGATGTTTGCACAAAGATGCATTTCTCAGAATGTATTCTCATTAAGCAGTGTATGACTGTATTCTAATAGTATGCAGTGTCTTTTGTAGTCATTACTTCTGTTCCAGTTTCACTGCCACTGCCCTACTTTAGGACTTTATTACCTTTTGTTTAGACTGTTCTAACATCATCCTAACTAGTTTTCCTGCTTCCAGTTTCTTTTTTGCCAATCTTTTCTACCCACTCGTGTGAGTAGAGTCTTTTGAAGCCCAACCCTGATCATGTGACTTTGATGTTCACATCCTTTCAGTAGTTTCCCCATCACCTGTTGAATAAAATGCAAAATTCATGACATGGCACTCGAGTCTCTTCATGATCTAACCCTACCTTAGGCTTGTCTCTCACCATTACTCCTAAGACAAGAAATAATTCTGCTTAGCTAGATTTCTGTGTCTCTTTATTTATGATTATTTTCATTTTTGTTGTTGTTGTTTTTGGAGACCAGAGTCTCACTTTGTCCCAGGCTGGAGTGCAGTGGTGTGAACACAGCTCACTGCAGCTTCCACTTCCCAGACTCAAGCATTCCTCCCACCTCAGCCCCTCGAGTGGCTGGGATTACAGGTGCACGATACCACACCTGGTTATTTTTGTACTTTTTGTAGAGATGGAGTTTCACCATGTTGCCCACGCATGGACTCAAACTCCTGAGCTCAGGCAGTCCACCTGCCTCAGCCTCCCAAAGTGCTGGGATTACAGGCATGAGCCACTGCCCCCGGCCATTATTTTTATCTATTAAAAGACCCTTCTTTCTATCTCTCTACCAATTTCTTTTCTTTTCTTTTCTTTTTGAAACGGAGTGTCACTCTGTCGCCCAGGCTGGAGTGCAGTGGTGCGATCTCAGCTCACTGCAAACTCCACCTCCCGGGTTCACGCACGTTCTCCTGCCTCAGCCTCCTGAGTAGCTGGGACTACAGGCGCCCACCACCATGCCCAGCTAATTTTTTGTATTTTTAGTGGAGATGGGGTTTCACCGTGTTAGCCAGGATGGTCTCGATTTCCTGACCTCGTGATCCGCCTGCCTCAGCCTCCCAAAGTGCTGGGATTACAGGCATGAGCCACCAGGCCCGGCCAGTTTCTTTTCTTATTTTTATTTTTAAATTTCTTTTCGAAACAGGGTCTGGCTGTGTCAACCAGGCTGGAGTGCAGTGGCGTAATCTTGGCTCACTGCAACCTCAACCTCCCAGGCTCAAGCGACTCTCCCACCTCAGCCTCCTGAGTAGCTGGGACTACAGACGCACACCACCATGCCCAGCTAATTTTTGAATTTTTTGTAGAGATGGCGTTTTGCTATGTTGCCTAGACTGGTCTTGAACTGCTAAGCTCAAGTACTCCACCTGCCTAGGCCTCCCAAAGTGCTGGAATTACAAGCGTTAGTCACTGTGCCCAGCCTCTCTCTACCAATTTCCACCTGTCCTTCAAGGCCCAGCTGCAGTGCTGCTTCAACTGTAAAGCCTTCCCTAGCTCCTCAGCTAGAGTTATATATTGTAACACCTAGCATAATGTTTCGTGTTTAGTGGAAACTATGGAATTGCCTTTTAAAAATTTATTTATTTATTTATTTTTTGAGCTGGGGTCTCACTGTCACCCACGCTGGAGTGCAGTGGTGTGATCTTGGCTCTCTGCAACCTCCGCCTCTCAGGCTCAAGCGATCCTCCCACCTCAGCCTCCCGACTACCTGGGACCACAGGCACACACCACCACACCTGGCTATGCCATATTGTTTAGATTAGAATGGTCTAATATCACCATTTCATTTGGTTCTAATAGTCATTCAGCAAGTATCTGAGTGTCTGCCCATTATCCATATTAGGAGCACAAAACGCATTACTAGTGGTCACACACATAAAAGGTATGTTATAAATAGTACTGGAACAGATCAGCATAGTTGATTTTCTTTATCTGCAGAAGTTCTATAAAGTTCCCACTGAATTAGCAAGTACTAAACTAGTGCTCCTAGGGAAAGTGCAAAATTAGGTCCAAGCCTCTGGTCACAATATTTTCACCAATACCATATACAATACATGGTCTTGTTTTATGAGTGTTTCTGTTTAAAGACATTTAATTTAATTGATTCATATCATTGAACTCACGGCCAATAGCACTAGAACTCATGCCTGAACAAAGCTTATCTAATGCATTATTTTCTTTGTAAGGTATATCACAGCCTTCTTATGCTTAGGAATGCTCAGCAGCACTTCAGCACTACAGTTGGGGACCATTATAAACAGCAAAATCACTAACAAAAAGCACCCAAAAAATGCAAAATATGTGACACTAAATAGTCCTCAGAAAGGATACTTATTTACAGTGATGAGAGCTGAAATAAGAAGGTGGAGGCTTGACCTCAGCTGGGAATGTGCCTGCAGAGTGACTTTGCAGCTCTGTGCATGTGCGTGTCCAGAAATGACCGTGAAAGTACCTCAAGTATTGATTTTGGAGTAACAAATAAATTTTAGTGAAAAGATAAATTCACCAATACAGAATCCATTAATAATGGGGAACAACTGTATATTAGTCCCTATCTGTATCTAGACTGTTCTGTCATCTCCAGAACCTCATGTCTACATGTATGCTTGATTTCTCTGATTGGGAGTCTGATACGTATCTCAAACTTTTTAAAAATTATCTCAAACTTTTAACATCTCCAAAACAGAACCTATTATTTCTTGCCTTCTCCCAGTCTTCCCTATTTCTGTAAGTGGTAAATTACTCTACCATCCATTCAGTTATTCAAGCCAAAAATAGAAGAATCATCCTTGATTCTAATCTTTTTCTCACCTCTTCATATCTTCCTCACCTTATATCTAACCCATCAGCAAAGTACCATCAATTTTATCTCCAAAATATATATTCAATCTGACTACTTTTTCTAGTGTCACCTTAGCTCCCCTAACCTGCAGCAGTAGCCTTCCTTTTACTGCATCCAGTCCTTTCTCAACGCACTAGTAATGAGTTTTTTCAAAGCAAATCACTATGCTGCCTAAAACCAACACTTAGTAGCTTTTGCATTTAAAATCTAAATCTCTTTCCATGGCCCGTATGGCCCAGCACCTGCTTTTCATTCTAAGCTGAATTTGTGTGAGTTTCCTGTCATTTGCTGTTCAGTTCTTGAAACTCTTTCACAACCCAGCGCCTTTACATGAGCTATTATTAACACTTTTGGAACAATCTTTCCCCCACTATTCTCCTCAGCCTTTAGTTTTCACCTTAAAAGTCACCTTCCCCGAAAATCCTTTCCTGATCACCCTATGTGAAATAGACATCCCTTTCTATTTTCTGTCTCAACCCCTTAGATGTTTCCTTCATAGTGGTTATTACAGTTTGTACATTATTTGTTTACTTACCCATTTACTTTTTTGGGTTCTCTCCCTCCCCAGATTGTAAACCGGTGGCAAACTGCCTGGCGTATAAGTGCCTTTGGTAATTATTTGTTGAACTAAAAGCTGAACAAAGTGACTAAAATAACATCTCACAGTTAATTGGATAATCTGTTATTGAGTTAAATAAATTTATCTCTTAATATATTCCCAGTAGAATTGTGTTTTTTTATTCTTAGGTAATAGTTTTGCTGGTAATATTAAAAAAGTTATATCACTTGCCACCTATAGAGTTTTCTTTTTACCTTTAAGTCACTCTTTGTCAGTTTTAATTCTTAAGAGAATAATCAGCCAGGTGCGGTGGTTCACACCTGTAATCCCAGTACTTCGGGCGGACCACCAGGTCAGGAGATTGAGACCATCCTGGCCAACATGGTGAAACCCCATCTCTACTAAAACTACAAAAATCAGCCAGGCATGGTGGCGTGCACCTATAGTCCCAGCTACTCAGGAGGCTGAGACAGGGGAATCGCTTGAACCCGGGAGGCGGAGGTTGCAGTGAGCCGAGATCGCACCACTGTACTCTAGCCTGGCGACAGAGCGAGACTCTGTCTCAAAAAAAGAAAAAAAAAAAAAGAATAATCATTTGCTCAAAAAAATCCAAATTATAAGTAAAACAAATATTCATGATTTTACAGAAGAGAAATCTTGAGATTCAGAAAAATTAACTGACTTATTCAAGGTCATAGGACAAAGGAGTTTAAAAGGCAAAACAATATCCTAATTTCTAGTCTAAGAACTTTGTTATTTCCACTCTACCTCTCTGGTTTCGATGGCATGTTCCAGGATATTAAATTGCATTCAGAGAACAAATAGAGTTTTCCCAGTGAGTTATGGCTTTATTGCTTTTAAAATTTCGAGTCAGAAGTTTCTGCTGAAAATTATAATGACCTTACAAAAGCTCCAGAATTTTGGCTCCATTTGTTTGGTTATGTGACAGGATTTTTTCATCTTTTCTTTTCATTCTGCCAGAGGCCTAACGTAAAAGACCTTTAACAGTTCTGACAGAAAAGACCTTTAGTAGTTGTGCCCATCTTAGATACCAAGAACAACAATAAACCCTATGAACATTCATTTTTGTTGTGCTTTGGCATTACTGGTTAGTGTACTATTTCTCAAGGCTGTAAAAGCCTTGAGAGTATTTTTAAATTATTATTCAAGCAAAATTCAGAGATATAAGTGAGGAATTGGTGTTATTTGATCAGTTTTAAAATGCACTTGTTTTTCTCTCCAGCTATGCTAGTAGTTTTCAAACTGCTCCATGGAATGCCAGGCTTCCCAGAAGGCATCCGTCAGAATGTCTTAGACATTTTTCTTCTAAGAAAGAATTATACAGATGTGTATTTGCTGTATCATTTGTAGTCCTTATCATACCCATCAGATGTAAAATATTGAAAACCAATGCTTGTATTTAGTTTTTCAGAAATCATCTTTGGCATATCTTGGCCATGTGACAGTTATTACCATCTCCCCATCTCATAAAGGTAACCCTGAGCATCCCTGCTGTAGTCAACAAGGAGACAGTTTGGAATCCTGAGTTGAATTTTTGGCTGTTTAGAAAGCACAGGGATCTTTACCACTAAAGGAAATATCTCAGTATATAGTGAGATTTTGCAAATTTGAACCATAGGTTATATTTGTAAGATTGTTCTCTCAGTTATTAAGAGTTTGAAATTGGGGTTGAACTGTGTCTAAAGCTATGGTTTATGTGTATGTTTAGTTTATGTAGTTGCTGTGTGCATAACATTTGGCAGGGGAAAATGTTTTTACTTTCAAACAAACTGACAAGAAATTGTTCCATCTTGAATTTGTGTAAGAACGTTTCAGAACTAAAACAAACTTACCAAAACTAGGTCTTGTCCATTAAATGAGATAATGCGTGTAATGTGTCTAGCAAGTACTTGGAAATTATTATTGTTAAGACTGTCTTATAGTCTAACTTATCAACTACAATGATGCCTCTTCTGAATTTCCTAATTTCTTGCCTTTATCTTTTTTTTTTTTTAATTATACTTTAAGTTCTGGGATACATGTGCGGAATGTGCAGGTTTGTTACATAGGTATACATGTGCCATGGTGATTTGCTGCACCCATCAACCTGTCATCTAGGTTTTAAGCCCCACATGCATTAGGTATTTGTCTTAATGCTCTCTTGCCTTTTATCTTTTTTATGATGAGGATTATATATATACACACACACACACAATGCCTCCTGTATGCTCAGTATCACTTTTAGCCAATAAAATTGAGATTCTGGCCAGGCACAGTTGCTCACACCTGTAATCTCAGCATTTTAGGAGGCCAAGGCAGGTGGATTGCTTGAGCTCAGGAGTTTGACACTAGCCTGGGCAACATGGCAAAACCCTGTCTCTACAAAAAATTAACTAGGCATGGTGGTGTGTGCCTGTAGTCCCAGCTACTTGGGAGGCTGAGGTGGGAAGATGGCTTGAGCCTGGGAGGCGGAGGTTGCAGTGAGTCGAGCCGAGATCACACACCACTGCACTCCAGCCTGGGCAACAGAGCCAGACCCTGTCTCAAAAGAAAAAAATAAAAATGAAATTCCAGTGTTTGTCCAGGGTGAAACACATTTGGGATCTCAATCCTGGTCTCCCAGCCTGCTTTCAAAACCTGTACTCTTGAGAGTGTGAGGGAGAGTATACCTTTTGTTTTGTACTTTACTATATGTTATTGTATACCTGTCTTCCTTTACTAGGTTCTAAGCTTCTTGAGTGCAGGCATTGAGCCTTATCTTTGTTTCAAGGTGTTAAGAGTTCTGCATAGCACTCTACTGAGTGAATATTATGTAATTTTCTTGGAAAACAGCAGTTTTTTAAAAAGAAAGATAACATTACAATGCTGCCTCTAGAGCAAGCCTGGACTATTTTAAGCCTCTGAGAGGATATATTTGCTTATTATTTTTAATCCATTAACTTCCCAAAAGAATTTGCATCTGGAGCATTGGACCTGATGGATGCCTGTCCAGGCCCTTTTGACCACCAGGACTTAACATTCATCTGAGCTTGTTAATATAAAAAAATGGCCCAAATGCTTGAACGTGGGAATAAAGGGCATAGGCCATCATAGCTTTGGAGAGAAAAGGGTAGACGGGCCAGGTGCAGTGGCTTATACCTGTAATCCTAGCACTTTGGGAGGCCAAAGAGGGAGGATCACTTGAGCCCAGGAGTTCAAGACCAGCCTGGGCAACATAGCAAGACCTCATCTCTACCAAAAATTTAAGAAAAATTTTAAAAAGAAGGGAAAAACTGTTTCTGGAGCAGGTATGCTTTCACATGCTCTGTCACTTGGTGTAATTCAAATGTAAATGTGTAAGACAAAGTATATATTTTTCTCATATTTACAAATGATGAAATCAAGGGTTAAGTCAAGGAAAATGGTTAAAATCACAGTGATTAAATATGGAAGTTAAGCCTTAATCCCAGGTTTGTCAAACTCCAAAGCCCATAGTCTTCTCATATTCCATTTTTTGGGGGAAGTTGGTAGACTGCCCTTCTAGTTTCTAAACCTAAGAAGTTTCTAGGTCATTTGAATCATGATCTTTACATGTTGTGGCTAGAAATACAGTTTACGTAACTAAGTGAAAGTAGGGTTCTATGTGATTTCATTTTAGAAGTCAGTGTTAAACCTTATATATGCTTACCTCAGATACAGGTTCTTTTGCAAGTTGGAATCAGTTTTAACAAGTTAAGAGTGCTCAAATGACATCTGTTATTAAGCATACTTTTTTTTTTTTTTTTTTTTTTGAGACAGAGACTCGCTCTGTCCCCAGGCTGGAGTGCAGTGGCGCGATCTCAGCTCACTGCAACCTCCGCATCCCAGGTTCAAGTGCTTCTCCTGCCTCAGCCTCCCGAGTCTGGGACTACAGGTGCTTGCCAGCACACCCAGCTAATTTTTGTATTTTTAGTAGAGACGGGGTTTCACCATGTTGGCCAGGATGGTCTCGATCTCTTGACCTCATGATCTGCCTGCCTCAGCCTCCCAAAGTGCTGGGATTACAGGCGTGAGCCACCGTGCCCGGCCTATTAAGCATACTTCTTATTCTGAACTTTAAAACTCCTTGAGGCAGAAACTCCATTCATATGTCCTTGTTCCTACAGTCCTTAGCCTGATGCCTGGTACTTGAGTACCAGGAATTGAGGCCAGGTGCGGTGGCTCACACCCATAATCCCAGCACTTTGGGAGGCTGAGGCAGGCGGGTCACTTGAGGCCAGGAGTTCTAGAACAGCCTGGGCAGCATAGCGGAACCCGCTCTCTACTAAAAATACAAAAATTAGCCAGGCATGATGACATGTGTCTAATGCTGAGACACAGGAATCACTTGAACCTGGGAGGTGGAGGCTGCAGTGAGCCAAGGTCATGCCACTACACTCCAGCCTGGGCGACAGAGCAAGACTGTGTCTCAAAAAAAAAAAAAAGTTATGGAATTGTATGAAATTAATAAATTGAAGATTGACTAGTCTGCTATGTGGCCCCCTCTTACATTCCATTTTCCCCTGATATATAGATATCCTCATTCTGGTTTACTACCACCCCTGCCAGCACATACATACAAAGTGTTCCTTTGTGCATGCATTTTAAAAAAAGAAAGATCCAGGTGTGGGGGTCGAAGAAAATTATAACAAGAAGGTAAACATGGTGATGTCTACAAGGAGTTTATCCATCAAAATAAAATGATTCTATCATTTTTCTGTTACTGGTTGATTTTCAACAAATTTGAAAGATATCTTTGGTCTAACTTAAAACATAGATTGTAAGCTATATATGAAATAACTTTGATTGGCCCTGGTGGGGAAGACCTTAAAGTTCTTGAGAGAATTTTAAACTGGGGTACAATGAGAGGCCCATGTAATTGCTAATCTGTAGAAAGCCACCATATAGATTAAAGTTCCATGATCAGAGAAAACTACTTTTTTTTTCTTTTGTATTTTTTTTTCTTTTCTTGAGACAGGGTCTCACTTTTTTGCCCAGGCTAGAGTACAGTGGTGCAGTCACAGCTCACTGCAGCCTTGACCTCCCAGGCTGAAGTGATCCTCCCATTTCAGTCCCTCGAGTAGCTGGGACTACAGGGGCATGCCACCACACCCGGCTATTTTTTTAAATTATTTTTTGTAGAGACAGGGTCTGTCTATGTTACTTGGGCTGGTCTCGAACTTCTGAGCTCTTGCTGATCCTCTTGCCTTGGCCTCCCAAAGTGCTGGAATTACAGCCGTGAGCCACTGCACCTGACCAACAACACTTTCATGTAAAACCCATATTGACAATCACAAGGGTAGACACATTGGATTTGAAGTTTTGGTTTGTAATTAGTTACTATTCATGTAAGTAGATCTATATAATATGCTCCCATTTAGGGATTTGCTAATTTAAGTATGATTAGTGATTTTCCAGGGCAAGGCCTTCTCGACCAGCTGTTGGCAAAATGAAAGGACACATTGGCTCTGCTGTATGAAGGAGAATCACCTCAGTGTATTCTTTTTTCCAGCAACCCAAGAATTATATTGACTTTACTTTTGGGATAGGAGGCTTATTGTTTCATGGCATCAGGCATGTGTGGGAAGTTGCTGATGACTTCTGGAATCCCAGTAATGATGAAAGCTATATAAATTCTAAGAGTTTAGTGGAAAATTGGGAGATCTACACAGGTCAGAGAGAACAGCTGCGATTAGAGCTATTATGTAGATTGATGTTGCAAAGAAGGAACTAAAATTGGCACAGATAGGAGCGTATGAGCACCTTTGGCTTGCTGATCATTTCAGAGCCTATGGAAATGGGAACTGAATGTTCCTGAATCTGTGGGAATGCAGTTGGTCACTTTCAGACTTTGTGTTGTTTGAAAGAAAAGAATGTTTCATATTTCATTTGGGAGGCTACATCAATATTGTTTGCAGTTGTTCTCACATAAATGGCATTGAACTTGTTGGTGAGTTTTTAAGACAGTTTTTGACCGAATAATTTCTAATCTTCCTAGTATTTAGTAAATAAATCCCAATGACTCAGTGTCATGTAAATGAGTAAAATGAAGGTGGTATATGGCAGTATATAAGTGATTATGATGGAGAGTTTCCTGAAGGGATTAATTAAATGAAGTTTAGCAGATATAAGTTTTGTGAGTTGCCAGTTGAAGAGATAGGAGACTATAGAACTGAAGCTGCAAGATTGTTCAGTTGGTATAAGTCTTACATGGAAAAGTGTGGCCACAAGAAAATCAGAAAAGGCAAGTTTGGCCAGAGAAGATAGCATGAACTAAAAGTAGCATATAAGAATAAGATGATGATATTAGAGGCCGGGTGTGGTGGCTCACACCTGTAATCCCAGCACTTTGGGAGGCTGAGGCGGGCGGATCACGAGGTCAGGAGATCAAGACCATCCTGGCTGACACAGTGAAACCCCGTCTCTACTAAAAATACAAAAAATTAGCTGGGCGTGGTGGCAGGCATCTGTAGTCCCAGCTACTTGGGAAGCTGAGGCAGGAGAATCGCTTGAATCCAGGAGGCAGAGCTTGCAGTGAGCTGAGATTGCGCCACTGCACTCCAGCCTGGGCAACAGAGCGAGACTGCGTCTCAAAAAAAAAAAAAATGATGATATTAGAAAGTAAAATTAAACAAAGTTTTGTATTCCTGATGTAGATACGGCCCTAAGTCCACATTCCATTTTGAGGTTTCTTACCTTTACCCACGTACTACCTCCCTCTTCCTTCCTTCCCCCATATGCATAAATAACAGAAGAGGGATTAGAAGAGGCAACATTAGAAGTGGCAAGACAGCATAGAAGAAAGAAAACCAAATCAAGAGTAAGAAAACCTGGTTTTAGCATTAGCTGTCTGACTTTAACAAGTTGCTTCAGACCCAGCAGATTATATTTGGGTTAATTAGGAATTTAACCAGCTAAAAGACAGCTTTTGTTTTGATTTTCTGCCACAGATCTTTGTAAAGCCTACAAATTGAATTTGAGAATATAAATGGTCTCCTTTTCCAACTTTGTATCCCTGATCATTGTTAACAAATGCATGTTAAGTCATATTATAGAAACTTGGAACACTTTGTATTGTTTTCTTGAGTATAGCTCTGCTGTAATGACTAGGTAGCTGATAAAAGTGTGTTCTGTAAGAACTGAAAATAAAGCCATTGAAACTAGTATATTGACTTACTAACATGTTGAATTTGAGGGGAATGCATAAGTGAAAAGATGTTGTAGGATCCAGAAAGACGGTTAGAGTACAGATACCTAGGCCCCATTCTCCAAACTTCTCAGTCTGGTGATGGGGCTCAGAAATTATTATTTAAAAAGTAAAAAAGAGGCTGGGCACGGTGGCTCACGCCTGTAATCCCAGCACTTTGGGAGGCCAAGATGGGTGGATCACCTGAGGTCAGGAGTTCAAGACCAGCCAGACCAACATGGTGAAACCCTGTCTCTACTAAAAATACAAAAATTAGCCGGGCGTGGTGGCATGCACCTGTAATCTCAGCTACTCAGGAGGCTGAGGCAGGAGAATCACTTGAACCTGGGAGGCAGAGGTTGCAGTGAGCCGAGATCACACCTTGGCAGTCCAGCCTGGGCAACAAGAGCGAAACTCCGTCTCAAAAAAAAGGTAAAAAAAGAATGATTCTGGTTAAAAGCCAGATTTGGGAATCACACACTTGAGTCTACTCATGAGCATCTCTAAGTGCTATCCATCATTTTATTTTAGGAATGTTAGGAAAGCTTTTGTAGCCTTTTGTAGGCTGTGGCAATGGGTCGGAAAGCTTCTTACTCCCAGAACAGTAGAGCCATGAAATTACAGAATTAGAGGTTCCATTAGAGATTGCCTAACATTCATTTGTTTATGTATCATCTATGGCTGCTTTTATGCTACAATGGAGGAATTATGTAGTTGCAACAAAGACATATGGGCCAAAAAATAAAAATAAAGAACAAAGATATATGGCCCATAAAACCTAAAATAGTTTCTGTTTTGTTTTGTTTTTGCTGAGGACTGTTGATGGCAATCAATAAAATATTTTTTTCTGAATTTTATTTTGCCATACACCCTGAATATGTTTATAAATAAAATATTTTCTATCTGGCTGTTTACAGAAAAAGTTTGCTGACTTTTGAGTAGATCATACCTGTCACTTTATAGATGTAGAAATAAGGCTCGGAGACAATGAGTGAAATATTCTGAGATTACACAGTTAATTGGTGGTCAAATTGCAAACACAGTTTTGTTCTCCTTTTAACTGCTTCCATTCCATTATTTTTGTTAGAGGGACTGATACCTTGGTGAGATAAGAAAATCTGTGGTACAGAATTTTGCTTATGAATTTTATATATATATATATATAAACACTAGGGATAATCTATCAACTCTTAGATAACATTGGTGTACAAAAACTTTTTAAATTTAGGTACAGAGGTAGGATTTGATTGTAGTATATATGGTTTCCTGCGTATAAATCTTTGCACTGATCTGCTAAGCAGTTTGATAATATGATACTTTTTGTTGCCTGTGCAGCCAAATGGGCGGACTGTTGAAGTGGCTGAGGGTGAAGCTGTTCGAACACCTCAAAGTGTAACAGCAAAGCAGCCACCAGAGATTGACAAGAAAAATGAAAAGGTAAGTTTGGGAGCATATGAAATTGTATGCAAGACTCTTAATAGAATGACATATAAGGATAATGCTTTTCTGTTTCATAAGATTGTATGTATACCTCTCATTTAAACAAAACTCAGAAAATCTGAATTAACCATAGTGGATGGGTGGTAAAAGTTTAACTGAGTTGTTTTTGTTTTTTTAAAGGAAAGTTGCATCACCAAATATTTTAAACATTGCTGTGGCAATACTAAATATTCATTATACCAAAAACAATTCATTCACAACTTGAACATCTTGTGTAAGTTTTCAGATATATAACATATATACCTTTTATTCAAAAACAGAACTGTGGAATTGTGTTACCTTTGTTAGTAAGACACATCTAGCATGAAAACCTTAGCAAAATCGTTCAGTGATGTTTAGTGTTGAAATAGATTTCTGTTGTGTTGGAAACATAATTGTCTATTTACTAGACATAGATTAACTTCATTTAACAAAAGAAAATGTGGGCCAGGTGCTATGGCTCATGCCTGTAATCCTAGCACTTTGGTAGGCCGAAGTGGGTAGATTGCTTGAGCCCAGGAGTTTGAGATCAGCCTGGGCAACATGGCGAAATTTTGTCATTACAAAAAATACCAAAATTAGCCAGGTGTGGTGGTACGCACCTGTAGTCCTAGCTACTCAGCAGGCTGAGGTGGGAGGATTGGTTTCAGTGAGCCAAGATTGTGCTAATTCACTCCAGCCTGGGCACCCGAGACCCTGTCTCAAAAAAAAAAAAAAAAGAAAAAAGATATAGATGTGCACTTTGATTTGGATGTGAGATTTTCCAAGTAAGACAATCTATCATACCACATAAATGGTACATTCCTGAGATTTTATTAATTTTCCAGTTGCTTGGCATTAGAACCGACTCATTTTTACTTGACTTAATCTAGCTTGGAAGTAGGCAAAATGAATAAGAAATTCTTAACAGTGGTTCCTTCTACTGTGAGAAAAAGACTTTTCATTCAGTTCCCTTTTGTGCATCGAATTACCCTCCCTTTCCTTTTTTTTTTTTAATATAGAGACAGGGGTCTCACTATGTTGCCCACACAACATAGTCTTGAACTTCTAATCTCAAATGATCCTCCTGCCTCGGCCTCCCAAAGTGCTGGGATTACAGGCGTGAGGTACCACATCCAGAGCCCCTCCCCCTTTTTAAAAAAAAATCCTGTCTATGCATAGCCCCTTTTCAGGAAAAAAAAAACAAACAAAAACAAAACAAGACAGTCACTGATCGGTAAGTGGTTTCTGGGAACCACAGTGCAGCAGCTCTAGCTTCTTGGAATAGTGGTATGAAATGGTTGCTGCTGGCTGGGTGTGGTGGCTCACGCCTGTAATCCCAGCACTTTGGGAGCCCAAGGCAGGTGGATCGCCTGAGGTCAGGAATTCGAGACCAGCCTGGCCAACATGATGAAACACTGTCTCTACTAAAAATACAAAAATTAGCCGGATATGGTGGCACATGCCTGTAATCCCAGCTACTCGGGAGGCTGAGGTAGGAGAATCACTTGAACCCAAGAGACAGAGGTTGCAGTAAGCAGGGATTGCGCCACTGCACTCTAGCCAGGGCGAAAGAGCGAGACTCTGTCAAAAAAAAAAAGAAAGAAAGAAAGAAAGAAATGGTTGCTACAGTTTCTTAATGCTTCCAATTTCAAAATGTCTTTGAAGAAGTGGCTAAGTCACTTCTTCAAAGACATTTTGAAATTGGAAGAACCAAGACAGCTGCAGGTAGAATAGCTTAAAATGAAGGATAGTTTTGGGAAATAATTAAATTTATGTCTGACTTTGTCTTTGGCAGAAAAGTAATGACTTGTGTTAACAAGTAAGCATGTAACATAAGGAGTGTGAGTTTATAGAGTGACTAGTTGATATGCCCAATATAGATTTACACATCTCTGACCTAGTGTTTTCTTTTTTCTGGGCTTTCTCTCTATTAGTGAGTAATGTATACTTACTCCTGCTTCTACTCCCTGAATTGCCCTGAAAAATTTGTAGTTGCAGTAATTGAGGAACTACCATTAACCTCTTAGTGATTAATTTATATAAATTGAATGTGACAGGGTATAAAATCACAGTTTAAAGTTTATCATCATTACTTTGAAATGTCTTGTGGTGGGAAATAATTATAATAGTTGACATTTACTTACTTAAGTATAATATGGCAGGCACCATGCAAGGTGAGGTATGTTTGTATGTGTAAATATACTTACATATCTAGTAGGGACAGCTTATTGAGTACTTACTAGATATACTTTTAAGACTTTATGGTTGTTGCTGGGCGCGGTGGCTCACGCCTGTAATCCCAGCACTTTGGGAGGCCGAGGCGGGCAGATCACGAGGTCAGGAGATCGAGACCATCCTGGATAACATGGTGAAACCCCGTCTCTACTAAAAATATAAAAAAATTAGCCAGGCGTGGTAGCGGGCGCCTGTAGTCCCAGCTACTAGGGAGGCTGAGGCAGGAGAATGGCGTGAATCCAGGAAGTGCAGCTTGCAGTAAGTGGAGATCGCGCCACTGCACTCCAGCCTGGGCGACAGAGCAAGACTCTGTCTCAAAAAAAAAAAAAAAAAAAAGACTTTATGGTTGTTTAAAAAAATAATTTATAGATATTATTTCCTTATTTTCACAAGGGCTTTGAGGTGGTAGTATTATATCCATCTTACAAATGAGAAATTTGAGGCTTATGTTACCTGAGCTATTGAAAGTATAGTCAGTTCTAACCCAAATCTATCTGACTTCAAAGTCTTTACTTTTTACTGCCTTGTATTATTTCTAATCCTCTCAGAAACTCTGCCAGGCAGATAGTTATAGCCCCATTTTACAGATAAGGGCTCCAGTGCCTAGAAAAATTTTGTGATTTAATTAATTTGATACAGTTGGCCGGGCACAATGGCTCAAGCCTGTAATCCCAGCACTTTGGGAGGCTGAGGCAGGCAGATCACCTGAGATCGGGAGTTTGAGATCAGCCTGGTCAACATGGTGAAACCCTGTCTCTACTAAAAATACAAAAATTAGCTGGGCATGGTGGCGTGTGCCTGTAGTCCCAGCTACTCGGGAGACTGAGGCAGGAGAATCACTTGAACACAGGAGGTGGAGGTTGTAGGGAGCTGAGATCGTACCATTGCACTCCAGCCTGGGTGACAGAATAAGATTCCATCTCAAAAAAAAAAAAATGGATGCAGTTTCTGGACTAGGATGTGAACGCAGCTTATTCTGATTCGAAAAAGTTCTTTTTATCATTTAACAGTGCCACCTTTCAGTTGCTGTTGCTTTTTCAGTACAAAGTTTCTACCTTTGGTTTCTTGCCTATTCTATTTGACTTTTCAAATAATAATACATGCTACAACTCATGGCTGGTGTTCTGTTTTTGCCATCCCGTTTTGCATTTTGAATTTATGCTTTTTAATGTGGTCAGGTCTAGGTGACTCAGTTAATTTTTTGTGGTATTGCACTATGTGTGTATTGCGCTTTGTGTTTTAAATAGTTGGTGTTTTTTAGACTTATTTTCTTTCTTTCTTTCTTTTCTTTCCCTTCTTTCTTCTTTTCCTTCCTTCCTTCTTTCCTTTCTTTTTTTTCTTTCCTTTCTTTGTTCTTTCACTCTTGTTGCCCGGGCTGGAGTGCAATGGCACGATCTCAGCTCACTGCAACCTCCGCCTCCCAGCTCAAACAATTCTCCTGCCTCAGCCTCCTGAACCACTGGGATTATAGGCACGCACCACCACGCCCAGCTATTTTTTGTATTTTTAGTAGAGACGGGGTTTCACCACATTGACCAAGGCTGGTCGCGAACTCCTGACCTCAGGTGATCTGCCTGCCTCGGCCTCCTAAAGTGCTGGGATTACAGGCGTGAGCCAGTACACCCGGCCTGCCTTTCCTTATAAAGAAATACATCTTTGATCTTATGCACCTTTATATATATTATCATATTTTTGTTTTTGCTCTCGGAGCCATATCTTGGGCACTTTGAGAAGTACAATTTTTGTCTGTAGAGTAATTGTACTCCTAAGCTGTGATATTGATTACCTTGCCATATCACTTGAGTAAGCCTTGTAGATAAAAGTTTGCCTAGAAACTGTATATGACAAGATCTTAGGTCTATAAAGCAGGTTAAACTGCTATAGTTTTCTAGGTCCTTATTTGGGTTTGAAAGTCAGTGTTTCATTAGTACTAGTCTCTAGTAGACTACACATAGGACGATTAGCCAGACTGAATGCATTGTGCTAATAGATGCTAAAGATAATAAAAATGTAAGATGTACTTACCCTCAGATTACAGGCTAGTTAAGGAAAGGCAAGCAAAGAGAAGATATCTAGTAATACAAGGCATTAAGTGCTGGATATTCAGAGGAGAAAGGTTATCCTACTTGGGTAGCCATAAAAAGATTGACTTAATTAGTCTCTTAAGTATAGGAATGGTATTTTCAGTAAGTAGGCATATGGAGACAAGTTTTAGAAGGGAAGAGAAACAAATGAACACAACCTGACATTATTTAGATTAAACAAATGGACATATTCAGACATAAGGGGAAGCCTTAGACAAGTTTGACTGGTCAAGATAGGGTAGGGATGTGATAAAAACTTAGATATTTTCAACTGGCAGCAACATTGATGATTAATGAATCAGTTTTGCATCTCTGATTGTAAAGATCTGGCCGGGCGCGGTGGCTCACGCCTGTAATCCCAGCACTTTGAGAGGCAGAGGCGGGCGGATTACGAGAGGTCAGGAGATCGAGGCCATCCTGGCTAACACAGTGAAACCCCGTCTCTACTAAAAATACAAAAAATTAGCCGGGCATGGTGGCAGGCGCCTGTAGTCCCAGATACTCAGGAGGCTGAGGCAGGAGAATGGCCTGAACCCAGGAGGCGGAGCTTGCAGTGAGCCACGATTGTGCCACTGCACCCCAGCATGGGCGACAGAGCGAGACTCCGTCTCAAAAAAAAAAAAAAAAAAAGATCTGAATTAATGTAGAAATGTAAAGATTGCTAGTGAGAGAAACAACGGAAACAAAATGTGTAAACTTTTGTCACCACCAAGTTGTTAGGATGAAGTCAGCGATATCCACTAAACCCTGATATCATTTATTACAAGTATTAATAAGGTCTTAAATTTTTATGATGCTACACAATATACAAAATATTTGTACAAAACATTTTCATATCTCTTAATCCTGATGAACAACTCTGAGGACATTATCATTTCTTTTACATAGCTCAATAAAGAGTTTTGTGAATTGTCCAGGAACACATAGCTGATAAGGAATGCTCCTTCAGTTTCTCTAAGGCAGCAGTTTTTGAAGCATGGTCAGTGAACCCCTAGGAAGGGACCCTAGTGACCCTTTCATTAGGTCCCTGAAGGCAAAACTATTTTCATAATAATTAAGACATTATTTTCCTTTTTAACTATGTTGATGCTTGCACTGATGGTGCAAAAGCGATAATAGGTAAAACTGCTGGCTCCTTATCATGAACCAAGGCAGTGGAACCAAACTTCCACTCATTATATTCTTGTTTTGTTTTGTTTTTGAGACAGTCTCACTCTGTCGCCCAGGGTGGAGTGCAGTGGCACGATCTCACTCACTGCAGCCTCCACCTCCCAGGTTCAAGCAATTCTCATGCCTCAGTCTCCTGAGTAGCTGGAATTACAGGTACCTGCCACTACCCCCGGCTGATTTTTGTATTTTTAGTAGAGACGGGGTTTCACTGTGTTGGCCAGGCTGGTCTTGAACCCCTGACCTCAGGTGATCCACCTGCCTCCGCCTCCCAAAGTGCTGGGATTATAGGTGAGATCCACCGTACCCTGCCATTTTGTTTTGTTTGAAGAGACTCTCACTCTGTTACCCAGCCTGGAGCGCAGTGGCACAGTCATGCTCACTGCAGCCTCGACCTCCCAGGCTCAAGCAATCCTTCTACCTCAGCCTCCCAAGTAGCTGGGACTGCAGATGCACACTACCATGTGCCCAGCTAATTTTTTGTAGAGACGCTGTCTTACCATGTTGCCCAGGCTGTTCTTGAACTCCTCAGCTCAAAGCAGTCCACCTGCCTTGGCCTCCCAGAGTGCTGGGATCACAGGCATCTCATTGTATTTTTTACTGCCATCTACTCACAGTTAAAAAAAAAATGCTAGTTTCACTTGAGTGTCCTTAATGAAGCAGCAAAAATTATTATTAGCTTTATTAAATCTTTATTAAATCTCAGTTCTTAAACACATGCTTTTTAATCTGTGTGATGAAATGGAATATATGCATAAAGTTTGCTGCAAAATGAAGACTGATGATTGTCTTGAGGAAAAACACTTATGCAATGGCTTGTGTGCCAAATTAGCCACTTATTCATATTACTCTTTTTTTGCTTGAAAGAATGACTGATAGACAAGCCGTGATTATTCAGATTTGCATATTTGCAGACCTTTTCTCAAAAATGAACAAGGCTATCTTGTCGCTTAAAGGAAGCTGGTAGTATTTGTTGCAAATGATAACATGACTTGTTGGCAAGTGAAAATTAGAAATTTGGAAAATTTGCTGGTGCAGTAGCTCACACCTGTAATCCCATCACTTTGGGAGGCCAAGGCAGGAGGATTGCTTGAGCCCATGAGTTCAAGACTAGCCTGGGCAACATAGCGAGACCCTGTCTCTATATTAAAAAAAAAAAAAAAAAAAGGAAGAAATTTGGAAAATTTGTGTCTGCTACCATGAGCTTGACAACTTACCAGTACATAAGGAATTTCTAATGACGTTAGTTGGTATATTAACAAATGTAATTTTAAAAAATATATGTTGTTTAATGGAATGTTTTAACATTTTGGAAGATCTACCGCCAGGCGCGGTGGCTCACGCCTGTAATCCCAGCACTTTGGGAGGCCGAGATCAGTGGATCACAAGGTCAGGAGATCAAGACCATCCTGGCTAACACGGTGAAACCCCGTCTCTACTGAAAATACAAAAAACTAGCCGAGCGAGGTGGCAGGCGTCTGTAATCCCAGCTACTCGGGAGGCTGAGGCAGGAGAATGGCATGAACCCGGGAGGCGGAGCTTGCAGTGAGCCCAAATCGCATCACTATACTCCAGCCTGGGCGACAAAGCTAGACTGCATCTCAAAAAAAAAGAAAAAAATTTTTGGAAGATCTTTATAACTCAGTGAACAAATAATTTTCCAGTGGACCAGTGCTTGCATGTTACAAAATCATGCATAAAAGATTCATGCACATTGCAATATAGGGGCACATGTTCCCAGGATCTCCTGAGGGCTGTGTCATGGGCCAAAAAAAAAGAAAGAAAAGGAAAAAAATTGCAAGATAGACCAATGGATTTTAATGTAATAGAATATGGAAAGTTCATTGATGCAATTTCAGATTCCACACTGTAACAACTTTTTTTTTTTGAGACAGAGTCTAGCTCTTGTCACCCAGGCTGGAGTGCAATGGCACAATCTCGGCTCACTGCAACCTCTGCCTCCCAGGTTCAAGTGATTCTCCTGCCTCAGCCTCCCGAGTAGCTGGGATTACAGGCGCCCACCATGACGCCTGGCTAATTTTTGTATTTTTAATAGAGATGGGATTTCACCATGTTGGCCAGGCTGGTCTCGAACTCCTGACCTCAAATGGCCCGCCCACCTCGGCCTCCCAAAGTGCTGGGATTACAGGCATGAGCCACCGCGCCCGGCCATGTAACAACTTTTATAAAGTTATGATGTGATGAGTTTTGGTGTAATGTTTTTCCCTCCTCTACCTAAAACCCTTCATGCCTTCCCATTGCTCTTAGAAAACACTCCCCAATCTGAAACATGACCTAAAAGCCCCCTGCCTTGTCTCATCTCCCACTTCTTACCCTCTCTGAACTCCAGCCACATTGGTTTTCTTTCCCTTTTGTTAAACAGCTTTATTTTGAGATAAGCCATTAAATTTACTTGTTTTAAATGTGTGATTTAAATGTTTTCACAGAGTTTTACAGCTATCACCACAATCTAATTTTTTTTTGAGACGGAGTCTCGCTCTGTTTCTCAAGCTGGAGTACAGTGGCACGATCTCCGCTCACTGCAACCTCCACCTCCCTGGGTTCAAGCAATTCTCCTGCCTCAGCCTCCCTAGTAGCTGGGATTACAGGCACCTGCCACCACACCCAACTAATTTTTGTATTTAATAGAGACGGGGTTTCACCATGTTAGCCAGGCTGGTCTAGAACTCCTGACCTCAAGCGATCCACCTGCCTCAGCCTTCCAAACTGCTGGGATTACAGGCATGAGCCACTGCGCCTGGCACCACAATATATAATTTTAGAACATTTTCCTCACCCCAAAAAGAAATCTCGTGTCCATTAGCAGTAACTTAATATTTTCCCCTCTCCGCCACTTATCCCCAGTCCCCCTGCAACTACTAATTTCTGCTATAATATCAAGGAGGAGTGAGACCCAGAATTATGTGAAGAAGCTCTTAAAATACTACTCCCGCCAATCACAGTGGCTCATGCCTGTAATCCCAGCACTTTGGGAGGCCGAGGCAGGTGGACCATTTGAGGTCAGGAGTTCGAGACCAGCCTGGCCAACATGGTGAAATCCCGTCTGTACTGAAAATACAAAATTAGCTGGGCATGATGGCACACGCCTGTAATCCCAGCTATTTGGGAGGGTGAGGCAGGAGAATCACTTGAACCTGGGAGACGGAGGTTGCAGGCGGAGTGGAGCAGAGATCGCACCACTGCACTCCAGCCTGATCAACAGAGGGAGACTCCATCTCAAAAAAAAAAAAAAAACTACTCCCTTTTCTACTTGCGTTTCTGTGTATATGTAGCCTGGATTTTTTTGCCTTGTGTTAGCCCTTTCTCTCACCGCTATAAAGAAGTACGTGCCTGGGCGCCGTGGCTCACGCCTGTAGTCCCATCACTTTAGGAGGCTGAGACATGTGGATCACTTGAGGCCAAGAGTTTGAGACCAGCTTGGGCAACATGGCGAAACCTCGTCTCTATTAAAAATACAAAAATTAGCCAGGCACGGTGGCACGCCGCCTGTAGTCCCAGCTATTTGGGAGGCTGAGGTGGGAGAATCACTTGAACTCCGGAGGCGGAGCCTGTAGTGAGCTGAGATCGTGGCACTGCCCTCTAGCCTGGGTGAAGAGTGAGACCCTGTCTAAAAAAAACAAAAACAAAACAAAAGACCAGCTTGGTGGCTCGTGCCTGTAATTCCAGCACTTTGGGAGGCTGAGGTGGATGGATCATGAGGTCAGGAGATTGAGACCATCTTGGCCAACAAGGTGAAGCCCCGTCTCTACTAAAAATACAAAAAGAAAATTAGCTGGGTGTGGTGGCGTGTGCCCGTATAATCCCAGCCACTTGGGAGGCTAAGTCACGAGAATCACTTTAACCCAGGAGGTGGAGGTTGCAGCGAGCTGAGATCGTGCCACTGCACTCCAGCCTGGTGACAGAGCGAGACTCCGTCTCAAAATAAAATAAAAAATAAAAATAAATGCCTGAAACTGGATAATTTATAAAGAAAAGAGGGTTCAGTTGGCTCACAGTACCACAGGCTGTACAGGAAGCATAGCAACATCTGCTTCTCAGGAGGCCTCTGGGAGCAACCCATGGCAGAAGGTAAAGCATGAGCTCTCTCTGTTGCCCAGGCTGGAGTGCAATGGTGCAATCTCGGGTCACTGCAACCTCCGCCACCTGGGTTCGAGTGATTCTCCTGCCTCAGCCCCCCGAGTAACTGGGATTACAGGCGCCCACTGCCACGCCTGGCTAATTTTTTTGTTTTTTTTGTTGTTGTTGTTGTTTTTTTTTTTTTTTTTTTTTTTTGAGACGGAGTCTCGCTCTGTCGCCCAGGCCGGACTGCGGACTGCAGTGGCGCAATCTCGGCTCACTGCAAGCTCCGCTTCCCGGGTTCACGCCATTCTCCTGCCTCAGCCTCCCGAGTAGCTGGGACTACAGGCGCCCACCACCGCGCCCGGCTAATTTTTTGTATTTTTAGTAGAGACGGGGTTTCACCTTGTTGGCCAGGCTGGTCTTGAGCTCCTGACCTCAGGTGATCCTCGTGTCTCGGCCTCCCAAAGTGCTGGGATTACAGGCATGAGCCATAGCACCCGGTGGGGGATAACATTTCAGTATGAGATTTGGGTTCGGACACAGATCCAAACCATATCGTGCCTCAGTCAAAATAATGTGTTGCAGTAAATTGAATACAAACACAGATATATGAATCCAGCTGTCTTAAGGTAGACATTAAAGATATTTGCAGAATATAAAATCTGCCACTGTTCTCGCAAATTTTTTTTTGTTTTGAAAAATATATAGGTATCATTATATAACGTATAATTTATGATTATTTTGTTATAAATTAATATATCTAAACAATTTCTTAAGTTTGTATGATAGATATAACCCACATAAACAAAGGCTCTTGGCCAGGCACAGTGGCTCAGACCTGTAATCCCAGCACTTTAGGAGGCCAAGGTGGGAGTTCAAGACCAGCCTGGCCAACATGAAGAAGCCCCATCTCTACTAAAAATACAAAAATTAGCTTGGCATGGTGGTACGTGCCTGTAGTCCCAGCTACTTGGGAGGCTGAAGCACAAGAATCACTTGAACCCCAGGAGGCAGAGGTTGCAGTGAGCCGAGATCGTGCCACTGCCCTCCAGCCCGGATGGTAGAGCAAGACCCCATCTCAAATAATAATAATAATGGCTCTTAATGACATCCTTAATACATTTTAGGAATCTAAAAGAGTATCGTGTGACCCAGAGGTTTGAGAATTGCTCTGGGAGAGATCAGTGTCTAGAAAGTCAAAAACAAAATAATTTTGAGGTAACATGCATTTAAACAAGTATAAGCTAAAACAGCTCTTAGCAAAACAGAATATCTGCATGCCCAAAGAGTTTATACACATGTGTATTTTCCCTCCATAATGCATCTTAGAAACTATAGTTTAAAACCATAGGTTGGCAAACCATGGCCAAATCTAGTGCTCTGCCTGTTTTGTAAATAAAGTTTTATGGAAACACAGCCACACTTATTTATTTATCATTGGCAGTTTTTTACTATAGCAGTGGAGTTGGATAGTTTCAACAGGAGAGACCTTATGATCTGCAAAGCCTAAAATATTTACTGTCTGGCTCTTTTTTTCCCCCTTCCTGAACCTATTAAATTCTCATTGTAGTCCTTTGGAGTCTTTAAATGTTTTATCTGAGTGCTTTGATATGTTCTCTGAGCCTTGGACTATTAACCTTTTGGGTTCTCTTGTGCCACAGAATTTATAGTTTCATGATTTCTTGGGTTCCCACCCAAGGAATTAGTTTTCAAGTTTCCCTTTAAGGTAAACAAAGCTACAAAACTGTTTTTCTGTAAAAAAGAATACCATACCAGGAAAACCATATTTATCCCTCTAGACTTTTCTGTCTGAACTGCAAATGGCCAAATGGAGACCAGAACCAGGATTTCTGCCCCAGTCAGTCATTTTTCCACTATACCATGGTTTTACCTTACACAGGAAGTGGCAAGAGGGGATTGAAAAACGGTGAAATGGCAAATTTGGTTTTAAACATGCTTAGATTGTGGCGAGAATGGGATCTCATACTGAAATTAATTTATTAGTTTGTTGGGAATGTGAGAACCGTATCTGGGGAAAAGTTCAAAGCTAGATAAAAGGCGTTCTTAAGAGAGGTTTCTTGTAAATGTCTTAGGATTGTGAGTTTAGCCATGTTGCTTGTGCCGTGTGCTATGTCCTATGAGCCCACTCCAGACATATTTAAATAATTTAATGACTTGGACGATGGATCATGTATACAAATATAGTAGCTCAGAGGTTTTATTTGAGTGGAGGGACCGAATAAGAGTTAGGTAGACACGGCTGTATGTAATTCAGTCTAATTTTAGGCTCTTTCATTGGTTACTCATAAATTAACTGAATACCTTCTGCGTACAAGGTACTACTGTAGGCATTAGAAATACAACAGTTGATAAAACAAGAGCCCCTACTCTTGTGAAACTTAGTCGGGAAAACAACTAAAAATATAAGCATATTCTCTACTGTCTGGTGGTAAGTGCTATGAAAGAAAACAATTAGGCCAGGCATGGTGGCTCACATCTGTAATCCCAGCACTTCAGGAGGCCAAGAAGGGAGAATCTCTTGAGGCCAGGAGTTCAAGACGAGCCTGGGCAACATAGTGAGACCCCACCTGTACAAAAAAATTTTTAAATTTAGGCCAGGCACGGTGGTTCACGCCTGTAATCCCAGCACTTTGGGAGGCCAAGGTGGGTGGATCACCTGAGGTCAGGAGTTCAAGACCAGCCTGGCCAATATGGTGAAACCCTGTCTCTACTAAAAATACAAAAAATCAGCAGGGCATGGTGGCTGGCGCCTGTAATCCCAGCTACTTGGGAGGCTGAGGCAGGAGAATCATTTGAACCCAGGAGGTGGAGGTTGCAGTGAGCTGAGATCGCGCTGTTGCACTCCAGCCTGGGCAACAAGAGCAAAACTCTGTCTTGGGCGGGGCGGGGAAGGGGGGGCACAGGAATTGGCCGGGTGCAGTGGCTCACACCTTTAATGCCAGCACTCTGGGAGGCCAAGGCGGGCAGATAGCTTGAGCTCCAGAGTTCAAGACCAGCTTGGGCAACATGGCAAAACCCTGTCTCTACCAAAAATATAAAAATTAGCCAGGCATGGTGGTGCATGCTTGTATTCCCAGCTACTTGGGAGGCTGAGGTAGGAGCATTGCTTGAGCCCAAGAGGCGGAGGTTGCAGTGAACCAAGATCGTACCACTGCACTCCAGCCTGGTCAACAGAGCGAAACCCTATCTCAAAAATCAGTTAATCAAAAAAAATTTTTTTAATTAGCCAGGCATGGTGGCATGCACCTGTAGTCCCAGCTACTCAGGAGGCTGAGGTGGGAGGATCACTTGAGCCCCAGAGTTTGGGACTGTAGCAAGCTGTAATCAAGTCACTGGCACTCCAGCCTGAACAACAGAGACCCTGTCTCTGAAAAGAACAAAAATGAGAAAAAAAATCAAGCACGGTAAGGAGATAGAGATAAAGTGCAGGTTGTGGGCACTTCCCTGCACCTGCAATTCTCCTACTTCTTCCATTTAGGAAAATAACAATAGTACCAAGTGGAATAACCTTGAATCTCCTTTAAGTTAAACCCCACCAAAAGGGGGGAAATCAATTGCAGACTTTTCTACTCTTAAGGAGATTTGTGACAGTTTTCACACTCTCATCCTGATATTGTATCACAAGGTTACTAAGATGGAGAACTGCTGGTATAGGCAAAATAGTGAAATATAACTAGTATGCTTCTTGGATAATCCATGCTTTCCCATTTAACCATGCCCAGTTTGTATATATATTTGGGACAAGTGAGAAAAATAAATAGTGCCAAAATGTGAAGCAATCTAAAGTAGGAACTTGCCATATTTGGCCAGAAAGTGGGTGAAATTGACTCTAAAGCAATTTTAATTTTATCAAGTGCATTTTAAAAAACATTGTTAATATTACAAAAATGAAAATGTTGACACAATAGAAGTAGAAAAAACAAAAATCTCAGAAAATAGAACACTTTTTTCCATGAGGTAGTTGAAAACCTTATACACCAGTCAGTAGTCTGCAGACCAAAACATCATAGCAAGAAAATACTCAGCATTCTTTTTTTTTTTCTTGAGACAGAGTCTTGCTCTGTCACCTAGGCTGAACTGCAGTGGCATGACCAAGGTTCACTGCAACCTTGCCCTCCCGGGCTCAAGTGATTCTCCCACCTCAGCTTCCCAAGTAGCTGGGACTACAGGCATGCACCACCACACCCGACTAATTTTTTATTTTTTGTAGAGATGGGGTCTCACCATGTTGCCCAGGCTGGTCTTGAACTCCTGGGCTCAAGTGATCCACCTGCTACGGCCTCCCAAATTGTTGAGATTACAGATGTGAGCTGTTGTGCCCAGCCAGCATTCCCTTTTATTCATGCTCTCATTCCTTTATCACTTCTGGCATTACCATGAAAATCTTTAGATGTTTATAGGGCTATAAATATTAAAGATGTCAGTTCACCAAATTTTTAAGGACCAGTACATCCAGAATAGAGAATTAATAAATTGAGTAAGAATTACATTCAGGGCTGAGCACAGTGGCTCACACCTGTAATCCCAGCACTTTGGGAGGCTGAGGTGGGTAGATCACCTGAGGTCAGGAGTTTGAGACCAGCCTGGCCGACATGGCGAAACCCAGTCTCTACTAAAAATACAAACATTAGTTGGGTGTGGTGCCATGCACCTGTAGTCCCAGGTACTCGGGAGGCTGAGGCACAAGATTGCTTGAACCCAGGAGGTGGAGGTTGCAGTGAGACGAGATCGTGCCACTGCACTCCAGCCTGGGTGACAGAGCAAGACTCTGTCTCAAAAAAAAAAAAAAAAAAAATTACATTCAGGGCCAGGCAAAGGGGACTCATACCTGTAATCCCAGCACTTGGGAGGCTGAGGTGGGCAAATTGCTTGAGCTCAAGAGTTCGAAACAAGCCTGGGCAACATGGCAAAACCCTGTCTCTTCAAAAAATACAAAAATTAGCCTGGTGTGGTAGCGTATGCCTGTAGTCCCAGCTCCTTCGGAGGCTGAGGTGAGAGGATGGCTTAAGCCCAGGAGGTAGAAGTTGCAGTGAGCCGAGATCATGCCACTGCACTCCAGCCTGGGTAGCAGAGCCAGACCCTGTCTACAAAAAAAAAAGAATTTACATTTAGAACCTGGCTACCTACCTTGTATAAATGGCTAGTTGCAAATAGGTTTTTTTTTTTTTTTTTCTGAGATAGGGTCTCACTCTGTTGCCCAGGCTGAGTGCAGTGGTACAATCATGGCTCACAGCATCCTCAATCTTACGGGCTCAGGTGATCCTCCCATCTCAGCCACCCAAGTAGCTGGGACTACAGGCGTGCACCACCATGCCTGGTTAATTTTTGTATTTTTTGTAAAGACAGGGTCTCACTGTATTGCCCAGGCTGTTCTCGAACTCCTGGATGCATGTGTTCCTCCCACCTCTGTCTCCCAAAGTGCTGGGATTACTGGCTTGAGCCATTGCACCTGGCCACAGAAGGTGTTTTATTTTTATTTACTTATTTTTGCTTTTATGGTTTGTCTCTGGGATGTAGAAAGTATCTTAATGATAAGAATAGTGTCACTTAAAATTTGTACGGTATCCCCCTTGTGATAGTTTTGATACTATACAGATAATAGATTATACTCCTTAAATTGGTCTTTTTGGCATGAATTGTACACTATGCCTTTCTTTGTACTTTGCAATTCTCTGTCAAAATCTGCTAAGGGGGCAGTTAGCCATTTGAATAGCTCTACTCTTGCTGCCAACATGTACTTTTTGCCACTCTAATAAGTGATACCACTTATTGTTTGGGTATTGTCTAATATTAGAAATACTCAGCTGTGTGTGGTGGCTGACGCCTGCAATCCCAGCACTTTGGGAGGCCAAGGTGGGTGGATTGCTTGAGCCTAGGAGTTCGAGACCAGCTTGGGCAACATGGTGAAACCTTGTCTCTACAAAAAATACAAAAATTGGCCAGGTGTGGTGGCTCATGCCTGTAATCCCAGCACTTTGGGAGGCCCATGTGGACAGATCACGAGGTCAGGAGATCAAGACCATCCTGGCTAACATGGTGAAACCCCCTCTCTACTAAAAAATACAAAAAAATTAGCTGGGCGTGGTGGCACATACCCGTAGTCCCAGCTACTCAGGAGGCTGAGACAGGAGTATTGCTTGAACCCAGGAGGTGGATGTTGCAGTGAGCTGAGATTGTGCCATTGCACTCCAGCCTGGGCGACAGAGTGAGACTCTATCTCAAAAAAAAAAAAAAAAAAAAATACAAAAATTAGCCAGGCATGATGACGCATGCCTATAGTCCCAGCTACGTGGGAAGCTGAGGTAGGAGGATCACTTGAGCCCAGGAGGTCAAGGCTGCAGTGAGCCTTGATCACACCACTGCACTCCAGCCTGGGCAACAGTAAAAGCCTGTCTCAAAAAAAAAAAAAAAAAAAAAAAAAAAAAAAGGCCGGGCGCAGTGGCTCATGCCTGTAATCCCAGCACGTTGGGAGGCCGAGGCAGGTGGATCACAAGGTCAAAAGTTCGAGACCAGCCTGGCCAAGATGGTGAAACCCCGTCTCTACTAAAAATAAAAAATTAGCCGGGCATGGTGGCAGGTGCCTGTAGTCCCAGTTACTCGGGAGGCTGAGGCAGGAGAATTCCTTGAACCTGGGAGGCGGAGGTTGCAGTGAGCTGAGATCATGCCACTGCACTCTAGCCTGGGCGACAGAGCGAGACTCCATCTCAAAAAAAAAAAAAAGAAAGAAAGAAAGAAAAGAAAAAGGAAGTGGACACTATTATTTCTAGTAAGAACTCTATCAGCTACATCACCATGAAGTTATGATGATTTAATCAGATGTTATATAAATTGATCCAGATAGTGAAATCATCAAGAAGGGGTTTTGAAATAACAATATGTTTATACTTTTGGTATTTAAAATAAAAACTTTGCCTAATTATACTGTGCCTTGAAATTTTAGCTAATGGTATTCTGAAACTATTCTAATTTAGCAAGATATCTAAGCATTCAGAATGTAAAAACTGGCATTTCTAGTTTTTTTGGAGGTATTTATTTATGCATTATTCTATATGACAAAATTTTACTGAATTTAATTATAAATGACTGGATGCATTTCTTGAGGGTTTCTTATTTAAATAGAGAAAGAAATACTATGGGGAAACACTTGTTCCTCTGCCATGGTAATTAGCAAAAAACAATATTACAGCCAATCAAAATGCATTCATTCATTAGCATATACTGTTTGATGCAGCATAAAAATGTTGCTAATGATATTAAATAAATTAGTACCAGAGCAAATTTCCCAGCCTGGTAGGGATAATGTACAGATGTTTCTAACATTAAAGCTTGGGAGTACTTGCTAGATTCTATTTCAGTAATGAAACACATGAAGAACCACTTTTGTGAGCAATTAAAGAGATATCCACAAAGATATATTCTCAACTGTAAATCACTTATTTAACTTTTTTGAATGTTTGTGGAAAAACTAAACAAAAACCACTGATGGACGGCTTTGACTGGAATTAAAAAAATAAATGGAGAGTTAGGGAGAGATACCACCATGTGTGAAATTTATTTACTACATTATTTCTAGAAAACTATGATGACAAAAGAGATTAATGCCAGATGGCAAATTGGAAGACCTTCAAATTACAGTAAGGGTGAAGGTGATAATCATCTTTTATGATGCAAAGATTTTACAAGAGGATTCATTGACTCTATTATAGCAAAATACTTTGATAAAGCTGAACAACTTTTAAAAGCGAGTCATACATTTTTTCTCCTTTCTCCCTCTTTCTCTCTCTGTTTCCTTTGCTTCCTTCCTTCCTTCTTTTTTTTTTTTTTTTTTTTTTTTGAGAGAGAGACAGAATTGCTTAGTCACCCAGGCTGGTCTCGAACTCCTGGCCTCAAACAATCCTCCCACCTCAGCCTCCCAATATTTCGGGATTACAGGCATGAGCCACCTTGACTGGCCTATTTTTCTTTTATGAAAAATGAAGTGTTCCAAGTCTGTTTATCTTTTTTATAAAGATAAATGGTTGTCTGCTTACCAGATACTTTTACAAAGAATTTATACTGAATCTGCCCCTTCACGCTTAAGGAAAGCTTACTTAACAAGATGTCAGAAAATAGCCAATTTTTGAAAGAAACTCATGCAATGAAGAGTGTATTCTGACAAACTTACATCATTGCATGATTTGTTATTAAAGAGCGTTTGTACGTTAGATGTGAAAATCCTCATATCTGCCCAGCTTGGGAGCAATTTTCTAACAGAAAAATAGCCTAACAGCCCAGATTCCAGAGCACGAGTACATGGGATCCAATTCCAGTTCTAACACTTGACTAATGATGTGATTTGGGGGTTGGTTAGTAATCACTTGTGCCTCCCTTTTCTTATCTACAAAATGGATAGAATAGCATTTACCTAGGGTTACTTTGAGAATTTAAATGGAACTATGTAAGTAATAGCTATAAACCAGATGTAAAATTTTGTCTTTTTAGTGAATTCACTTGTTAAAAATACAAAAAAAAATTATCTCACCCATGGTAATAACAAGAACAAAATGATGATGATGATAATAGTAATAATAATAATAAAGTAGAAAGTACCAAAAACTGTAGAACTTTCTGATCTACAGTTCAATACAGAAACAATGTATTGATGTTAAAGATTAAAATTTACTGGCTGAATTTTCACAAAAACTTTTGCATAGTTGGAGAATTAGGTTGAAAAATTAGTGTCGTATTTCAGTAAGCATGGCCAATCATGTGTCTTCCATTTTGATCTTCTTACTTTTTCAAGTATAACAATATTTAATACCAGATATTAAAATGAATGCATTTAGAAGATATTCGAAAGAATGAAGCATGTGCATTGATATTGCTATCACTAAAAATAGTTATATTTTACAAATGTATACACTATCAGTGTAGTAGAATGTGTATAAAATTTATAAACAAATATCTTGGGGTATATGCTCAATTTTTTCCCATGGAAGTATGAGAACAACAAGCTTATTTAACCCGCTGTTACAAGAGTGATAGCAGACCCCTTTATCTGGCATATTTACTCAGGTATTTAAGTGAGTTACCATATGTTCCATATATTGATTAGCAATTGAGTATTGGCACTGCTTATTTACTTATTTTGAGTAACTCCTAATAAGATACTAGAATTTTTGGAACTTATTCGTCATAATTTCCTAAGGAATTATCAATCTGTCTTATTCAGTATATATCTTTGGCAGTTTTAGAAAGTTGTAATGGTGGATCTAATGATTATTTATCAAAGCCTTTTCGTCATCTAGTTTTTTTGTTTGTTCGTTTGAGACAAGGTCTTGCTCTGTCGCCCAAGCTGGAGTGCAGTGGTGCAATCTTGGCTCACTGCAACCTCGACCTCCTGGGCTCAAGTGATCCTCCCACCTCAGTCTGCCGAGTAGCTAGGACTACAGGTGTGCACCACCATGCCCAGCTAATTTTTTATTTTTTGTAGAGACACAGTTTTGCCGTGTTGCCCAGGCTGGTCTCAAACTCCTGGCCTCAATCGGTCGGCCCACCTCAGCCCCTCCAAAGTGCTGGGATTACAAGCATGTACCACCGCACCCAGCTCATCATCTAGATTTAAAAGAATGGAGCCATTTGCTGTTCCACGTGCAAATATTGTTTGTAGTCCCAATGAATATGTATTCATTGTCATTTAACTCATTCCTCTTTTAGGAGTGTTATGGTGTGTGTATGTATACATGCACATACATGTGCACACATGCCTATACATGTACTTAACATATAACACAAAGATTTTTTTCTAATGGGACTATACTATAGCCTACTTTGTTGGTAATATCTGTATTATGTATATGAGATGGAAAGAAGACATAATGTGAAATTTAGTGAAAGCTAATAGGAAAATTAACATACAGATTTTTTGAGATGACTTCTGATACATTGAGTGATGTCTGTTTTGAATAATTTCAGAGGTTTTGGGTTAAAGGTCGTTAGTTTCATGCAGTATCTGAACCCCTGCTAATTTCAAATGCTAGACAGGCTTCCTCAAAAGCGTATTTCTATCAGTGCTGATCATGAAGCATTCAAATAAAGGGAAGTAGAGATTCTGTTGAGAATATAATGAAATATCTCTTGTTCTTTTGCTTTTAAGAAGCTTATTATTAGAAAACTGGGAACACTTTAACACATGGAAAGGTATAGCCATACTGGAAATGTCCCAAGGAAGTTTGTGACAAATGACCAAATCTTTTTCAGTTTTAAATGTTTTGAGATGCAAGATTATATGTATTTAGGGGAAAGGAAAAGGGGGACAGTGGTAGAGATAAAGCAAATGGAGTGGAACGTGAGCTGGGTCAGAAAAAAAAAATGAGTACAGGCCATTTCAGGCATTGAACATCGGTAGGGGAGCAGATGATTCAGGTGCAAAGAAAATCACTCCAGCACTTTGTTCTGAGAAAAAATCCACAGTCAGTGCAGCTTGGTTAAAAACAGGAATGTTCAAAGAGGTACCAGTCTTGTAGGAATCAAATGCTCATATGTATGAATAAAGGAATGTAAGGTTGAGATCAATTTGTGGAAGACATCATATGTCATGTAAGGAAGTTAGACCTTGTAAAAGGTAGGAAATATCTGCAGCGGTTTTTTTTTTTAAAGTAAGAATGAAAATTAATTGGATTGATAAGATATATTGGGAAGGAAACTCTTGAAGATAAGAATTTTTTCTTTTTTTTTTTTTTTTTTTGAGATGGAATTTCGCTCTTGTTACCCAGTCTGGAGTGCAATGGTGTGATCTCAGCTCACTGCAACCTCCGCCTCCCGGGTTCAAGCGATTCTTCTGCCTCAGCCTCCCGAGTAGCTGTGATTACAGGCATGCACCAGCACGCTTGGCTGATTTTTGTATTTTTAGTAGAGATAGGTTTTGTTATGTTGGCCAGCCTGGTCTCAAACTCCTAACCTCAGGTAATCCGCCCACCTCAGCCTTCCAGGTGCTGGGATTACAGGCATGAGCCACCGTGCCCAGCCAATAAGAATTTTTCCTAATGTCTCACTTGCGTGTCATCCTCCTATTAGATGATAGCGCAGTTGCTATCAGTAAAGACTTGTATTTAGTTATGTATACTCGGCTCCTAAAACAGTGTCTGACACATAGTAGTTATTTTATAAATCTTGGTTGTATGAAGACCATTTAAGAGAAGACCAGTTTAATTATCCACTCAGTTCTGTGGTGGAGCCTGACAACAAGTTAGGGAAAAAAGAACTGTGGTAACAAGGAAGCCAGAGCTTTATGCTACCAGCTTCCTTCAAAAGTCTTAGCTAAAGTGGAGCTGCTAAGAAGTAAGATGTTTGCTTCAGTAGTATGGCCAGGGCAAATAGCAGTATATATCACATATTTATTTTAAAGTTTTTCATAAGCTATTATTTTATTTAATCTTATCGGGATGGGTGTTCTTGTTAATTACTTTATATATATATATATATATATATATATATATATATATATATATATATATATTTTTTTTTTTTTTTTTTTTTTTTTTTTTTTTTTTTGAGATGGAGTCTTGCCCTGTCGCCCAGGCTGGAGTGTAATGGTGTGGTCTTGGCTCACTGCAACCTCCGCCTCCCAGGTTCAAGCGATTCTCCTGCCTCAGCCTCCCGAGTAGCTGGGATTATAGGCGCCCGCCACCACGCCTGGCTAATTTTTATTATTTTTAGTAGAGACAGGGTTTCACCATGTTGGCCAAGGCTGGTTTCAAATTCCTGACCTCAGGTGATCTGCCTGCCTTGGCCTCCCAAAGTGCTGGGATCACAGGCGTGAGCCACCGCACCTGGCCTTTTGTTAATTACTTTTAAAGGCAGTAGTAATATCAAATAATATTTAAGCCTAATCTAAGATAATCTTTTTCTACAGATTTTTAGTTACAAATCCCCAGATATTTCCTTGTAAACATAATTTCTATTATTTTTTCAAAGTCTCCCTTCTTAAAAAAAAATCTTATTTATATATACTACTTTGTCGTTAACAGACTCTTTTCACCTTTTGTTTTAATTCTTAAAATAACCTTATATGAGGTTAGTAGGAATTTTTGTCCATATGACGGGTGGGGAACAGGGTTTAGAATGATTTAGCCCAAAGTCACATAGCTAATGTATGATTAAATTTGTATTTAGAGTTAAATGTGGGGAGACTAAATAAGAGGTTATTTGCAAGGGTAAAGTGGATCAGAACTGGAATTTAGTCCTAGTTTCACCACTTTACCCTATGATGCTCTTAGACACTTTTTTTTTTTTTTTTTTTTTTTTTTTTTTTTTTTTTGAGATGGAGTCTCTCTCTGTCACCCAGGCTGGAGTGCAGTGGAGCGATCTCAGCTCACTGCAACCTCTGCCTCCCAGATTCAAGCGATTCTACTGCCTCAGCCTCCCGAGTAGCTGGGACTACAGGCACGTGCCACCACACCTGGCTAATTTTTTGTATTTTTAGTAGAGATGGGTTTCACCATGTTAGCCAGGATGGTCTCGATCTCCTAAGCTCAGGATCTGCCCGCCTCAGCCTCCCAAAGTGCTGGGGTTACAGGCGTGAGCCACCACGCCCAGCCTCTTAGACACTTTTCTTTGTTTTTTGTTTGTTTGTTTTTTGGAGTTTTTTTGAGACAGGGTCTCACCCCGTTACCCAGGCTGGAATACAGTGACATGATCACAGCTCACTTCAGCCTCAACCTCCCAGGCTTGAGTGATCCTCCCACCTCAGCCTCCCAAGTAGCTGGAACCACAGTTGCATGCCGCCACCCCCACTGATTTTTTTTTTTTAAGAGAGAGAATCTCCCTGTGTGTTGCCCTGGCTGGTCTCATACTCCTGAGCTCAAGTGATCCTCCCACCTCAACCTTCCAAATTGCTGGGATTACAGGTGTAAACCACCGCACTCAGCAATCTTAAACACTTTTTATGGCCTCAGTTTCTATGTGTAAAATGGGGATACCTACTTTAGTTCCTGTGGACCTGCACTGTCCAGTATAGTGGCCACTTGCCACGTGTGGATATTGAGCACTTAAAATGTGACTAGTCCGGCCGGGCGCTGTGGTCACGCCTGTAATCCCAGCATTTTGGGAGGCCGAGGCGGGTGGATCACCTGAGGTTGGAAGTTTGAGACCACTCTGACCAACATGGAAAAACCCCATCTCTACTAAAAATACAAAATTAGCTGGGCATGGTAGCGCATGCCTGTAATCCCAGCTTCTCAGGAGGCTGAGGCAGGAGAATCGCTTGAACCCAGGAGGCAGGAGAATCGCTTGAACCCAGGCGGCAGAGGTTGCGGTGAACTGAGATCGCGCCATTGCACTCCAGCCTGGGCAACAAGAGTGAAAAACTCCTTCTCAAAAAAAAAAAAAAAACGACTAGTCCAAATTGAGATTGCTGTTAAGTGTAAAATACATGCCAGATTTCGAAGACTTACTTTGTTTTCTTTTACATACTATCTTATTGTGTTGCTTTTTTTATATGAGTTCCATGTTGAAATGACAGTATTATAGATACGTTGTGTTAAAATTGTCACCTATTTTAACTTAAAAATGTGTCTACTAGAAATTTTTAAAAATATATATGTGGTTTGCATTATATTTCTGTTGGCCAGCACTGCTCTAGACCAAGGATAGCAAACTCTGACACCCCAAATCCAGACAGATGCCTGTTTTTGTAAATAAAATTTTATTGGAACATAGTCACACCCCTTTGTTTATAAATTGTATGTGGCTGCTTTCATGCTATATGAGCAGAGTTCTGTGGTTGCTCCAAAACCCTGTGGCTTGCAAAGCCTAACATATTTACTATTTGATCCTTTGCAGAAAAAGTTTGCTGCCTCTGCTCAACTGTAGTTGACAGATGTTCAATATGTTACCTTTACTTAAGAGCGGCTATGGTAAAGACAAAGACAGAAAGTAGAATCATGGTTGCCAGTGAGAAAAGAGGAGCTGGGAGTAAACGCTAATCATTACAGAGTTTCTTTTTGGGGATTAAATAATAATTTTGAGGCTGGGAGCAGCTCACGCCTATAATCCCAACACTTTGGGAGGCCAAGGCGGATCACTTAAGGTCAGGAGTTCGAGACCAGCCTGGCTGACATGGTGAAATCCCATCTCTATTAAAAATATAAAAATTATACAGATGTGGTGGTGGGCACCTGTAATCCCAGCTACTCGGGAGGCTGAGGCCGGAGAATTGCTTGAACCTGGGAGGCAGAGGTTGCAGTGAGCTGAGATCATGGCACTGCAGTCCAGCCTGGGTGACAGAGCGAGACTCCGTCTCAAAAAAAACCAAAAAATAATAATTTTGATAGTTGTGCAACTTCAGATATACTAAAAACCACTGAATTGTGTACCTTTAAAAGGGTGACTATTATGGTATGTGGATATCTCCACATATCTTTTTTTTTTAAGTGGATATGAGTCTAGTTTAGTACATGTAATAAAGCAGTATATTAATTATACATACTGTAATAAAACAGTGTATTAAACATACATGTTAATGATAATGAGAACATGCAGCAAAATGAACAATGCAAATCAATTATGAGGTCAGTAAAAAAAATTTATTTTTTTAATGTAATCTCTTGTCAAAGACAATTTTTAATCACTTTGAATAGATCATGTCACTTGAGCATATATGCAGGTTTTTTATTGGTAGGAAAAGCAGTTTTCTGTCATTGCTTACTCACTTGCTCAGATTCATTTACTGCCTTTAAGATAGTGTGCAGTACTTTGAGAGGCCACGGCGGGCAGAGCACAAGGTCAGGAGTTTGAGACCAGCCTGGCCAACATGGTGAAGCCCTGTCTCTACTAAAAATACAAAAATTAGCCAGGCATGGTGGCAGGTGCCTGTAATCCCATCTACTCCTGAGGCTGAGGCAGGAGAATTGCTTGAACCCAGGAGGTGGAAGTTACAGTGAGCCGAGATCACGCCACTGCACTCCAGCCTGGGTGACAGAGCAAGACTCCATCTCAGAAAAAAAAAAAAAGATAGTGTGCAGTAGTATATACATAGCTGATCTCAATAAATAGCTAAATAAGTGAATACAAAGTATAAAAATACTATTTTATAAACGTTAATTCTCTTTTGGAAGCACTTATTGAAATACAGAAATTATGGCTTATTTCGTTTTTAGCAAGCTTTTGAAAGGATAGAATAATATTAGGAGAAGGGAATTGGAATATCATTCGAAAACAGCCATAACTTGTATGCGTATAGGTATTTTATCTGGATTGAAGTATTAAACATCTGTATACAAATCCTAGGTATTTTCACATTGCTTTGAAACTGACAAAATATTACCTGCTATGTACAATTGACTCATTAATTTGTTATACATAGGATACAGCAACAATCTGCTTTATGCAATCCAAAAACTGATAATCACCACATAATTTTTCATCTGAATATGTTGCAATAGGTTTTAATTTTATTGCTTTGAAAACACCGTATTACAGTACTGTATTTATGACGTAACTTATATTAGCATGATGTGGAAGGGCACAGGCTTTGGAGCCAGACAGACCTAGTTCCTAATTATGACTTAGTTTACTAACAATATGATGTGGTAACAATTTAGTTAATATTTAACATCTCTAAGTTTTCATTTCCTCATCTCTAAAATGGGACTAATACCTTCTCCAGCAAGTTTCTTTTAAGGAATAAATAAGAAAATGAGTACAGAATACTTAACACATAGTAACCACTCACTCAATGGTAACCTCATATGATTATTTTTGCCACTTAATATGTTAAGTTTTTTAAATCAAACATTAATTTTTTTTTAGTTGTCAGCATCATACATTTCATTATGTATTTTACTGACTCCTACTTATTCAAAAACATAACAAAATATTAAGTAACATTCTATTTTACTTTCAGTCAAAGAAAAATAAGAAGAAATCAAAGTCAGATGCTAAAGCAGTGCAAAACAGTTCACGCCATGATGGAAAGGAAGTTGATGAAGGTACTTGAGCAAGGGAAAGGACTGTAGAAAATTTTTTAATCCTTTTTTATCAAAGTGTATTATATAAAAGCTGCATTTGTTTTACTTAATTTTGTGTTTAGCTCTTCTTTTTTATTACTGTAGACCTTAATATATAGAGCTGTGACACTGTTAGGAAACGCTTTTGTTAAGGATCCAGTAGTGCTTTTTCTGAAGGGAACTGCCCTGAAATTTAAAGTCAAGCTCAGTATTTTGAGCAATTAAAAAGTCATTCATCTTGTCTTTGTCTCCTGGAATTATGGTTTGTTTGTTTTTCCCCCGTGGTTCTTAAATATACCATTTATTATCACCACCTAATAAACCCATTTATTAGTGATTATATATAATACTCCTGTCACTTCTACCTAGCAAGATAAAAAAAGATAGACAAGATGACTTATATATATCACTTTTTCTAAACCATAGATGACAGATTTGATAAAAATTACCAGAATAAATAATAACAGTTGCCTAAAACAACATAATGAAATTAGAAAACATTCTTAGGATGAGTTAATATAATCAACACTCTTGGTTTTAGCTTAACATCTAAATTTATCATGATATTTTATGTGCTCCACCCCATATTCTCCCCCAAAACTATAACTTTTTTGTCTTCCCCTTACTGAATAACATTTTTTTTCTGGGGCTATGTCAGGAGCCTGGGAAACTAAAATTAGTCACAGAGAGAAACGACAGCAGCGTAAACGTGATAAGGTGCTGACTGATTCTGGTTCATTGGATTCAACTATCCCTGGGATAGAAAATACCATCACAGTTACCACCGAGCAACTTACAACCGCATCATTTCCTGTTGGTTCCAAGAAGAATAAAGGTATATTAGTGGAACATAAGACAGTGGTACATCAAATCAAACTCCTTTTATTCGGATGTACAAAATATCATTATGTCAAAATCTGACTATTTTGAATGCTAACATCATTGTGCTGATATACCCTTCTTCATGAGAGTATTGTGAACCATGTATCGGTTTACCGAATACCAGCAGTGTTACTTGTTACGTATTGCCTAATGACTGGCCTATTAAATTAAAATTTGCCTTTCTGCCTTGAGTCATATGAGAAAATGATGTTGCCACTTTTCTAGTGCGTATCACTTTGCCCCAACTCCCTTGCATCTCTGTTCCTTAGAGTGGATAAGACATTTATTAAATGAAATGATTTATCACCATTTTGCATGTTGAGAGCTTTCATTCCAAGATGAATCATGCATGTTCTGGTGAGTGCAGGTTGTGTCTGGATTTCTTATCACCCCACCTTTTTGAGAATATTATAGATGTTTGATAGAGCTAGACCAGAACTTCAAAGATTGAGCTAATGTTCTTTCTCTCAAGTATTAATATTTCAGATGTTCATACTATCCAATACTGGTGGCTTCTTGGTAGCCCACTCTTTAAATTACCGTCATTTTTACCCTGGAGACACCAGTCTGCAAAGTGATACTGTTCAATTTGCTGGAAGGCATTGGCGTATCTTCCTTGTCTTTTTGTTAATGACCTTCCCACCTCCCCACACCTCAGTTGTTTCCAAACCATTTTCTTAGCCTTGTTACCTTTTATTTTTTGCTTGATAACTTGGTGGAATTTATTGCCATGGTACAGCAATGACTTCTACTTACCCATTTTCACTGTTACATATTAGCTATGCTTTAGTATTTTTGTTGATTCTTTTTCGCTGTCTTGTGCATGCCATCCTTGCTAGCACAATCCTATGTCATGCTGGTTTTTTTAAACATTGTGATCATTATGCTTTTTAGTGTCAGAGAAATAGTATTTTTGTGTTATAATGTGTATTCTCACCTCTTGCCATATTTCCTAAGTCCTGGTCCCAAATACTGGCAAAGTTCTTCATAAGGTGATGTGTTTGCTTCCAGGATTGTTGAAAAGGCAGCGGGTGTTGTTGAGAGGTGGCAAAGTTGAATCCAATTACAGAGCCCAATACTGCAGTTCATACTTAAAATAATCTTGATAACTGTTGTAGAATAGCAAACTCTGTCTGTACATAGGCAGTTTTCCAGGTTCTTTTTGGCATTTTAGTTGACTAAGAATATGGTAACCAGAAAACTCAGTTCCTTACCAACAAGTGAAATGTGTTGTAAAATTGACTTTTTTCCAGTGGAAGAATTTAGCACTTGAAGGAGCAATTTATAATAGATAATAATTAAAAATTAATTTATGTGTTACTCCTAATTTAATGTGCATAGTGCCCTATTTAGTATTAAATAAATTTTATTTCTATTTTAACCAGGTGATTCTCATCTAAATGTTCAAGTTAGCAACTTTAAATCTGGAAAAGGAGATTCTACACTTCAGGGTGAGAGAAATTACATGTAACTTAAATTGAAGGCCCATCAAAATAGAAATTTATATACATACCTCTTTCCTCAAATGAATGACACAGAAGGAAAGAAAAAAGTCTTAAAATGATTTTTAATTAATAAAGTAACATAATCACAGTACAGAGATTTTGGAAAATAAATAAAAAGAAAAATCACACCCACTTCTAACGATCTTTGATATGTTCTAGTCTTTTTCCCCCATATATAAAAACATTCAGTAGTCGCTTATATTGCAACTTTGAACCTTGTCACTTAAGTCAGTAGAGAAGAAAGATTTTTGTTGGGCTTGGGTTTAATATAGCATATATCGGATAAAATACTTGATGCTTGTATGTTAAAAAAAAAAAAAGCTTTAGTTCCTATAATGTTTTAACTGCTTCCTTGACAGTCAAGTATCAAATATTTCACAATGGATTATAGGCTAAAGTTTTTCATTGCTTTATAAATAGAAAATATGTTTTATTTACTCATTTATGATAAAGATTGAATTAAGTAGAGTGTTATGCCTGACCTGAAAACAAAAGTGTTGTAGTAAAATAAAATTGGAAATGAAAAAAGCACCTTCTTCTTTCAGGCCTTTTTTTTTTTTTTTTTGGGAAATGGAATTTCACCCTTGTTGCCCAGGCTGGAGTGTAATGGCATGGTTTTGGCTCACTGCAACCTCCACCTCCCGGGTGCAAGCAATTCTCCTGCCTCAGCCTCCCGAGTAGCAGGGATTACAGGCGCCCACCACCATACCTGGCTAATTTTTTTATTTTTTAGTAGAGATGGGGTTTCACCTTGTTGGCCAGGCTGGTCTCGAACTCCTGACCTCAGGTGATCCACCCACTGCAGCCTCCCAAAGTGCTGGAATTACAGGCATCAGGCTTTTTTTTTTTTTTTTTAAAGACAGAGTTTTGCTTGTTGTCCAGGCTGGAGTGCAATGGCACAATCTCGGCTCACTGCAACCTCCGCCTCCTGGGTTCAAACAATTCTGCTTCAGCCTCCTGAGTAGCTGGGATTACAGGCACTTGCAACTACGCCTGGCTAATTTTGTGTTTTTAGTAGAGGCAGGGTTTCACCATGTTGGCCAGGCTAGTCTTGAACCCTTGACCTCAGGTCATCTGCCTGCCCCCAGCCTCCCAAAGTGCTGGGATTACAAGTGTGAGCCACTGCGCCCAGCCTCATTTCACACTTTTCAGTGCTTGTTCTTAGCACTGTCAGCTTCCTTCATGCCCATGATTCTCAACCCTGGCTACACATTAGTTATCCAGGAAGCTGTAAAAAACAACATGTACACACATATATGTAAAAAGAAACAGGTACTTATCTATACACACACCTATGTGTATTTGTGTGTGTGTACATACATACACTCTACATATATAATGATACCTGGGCTCCACCACAAAGATTCAGATTTTAATTGGTCTGGGCTGAGGCTCCAGGGTCTATTGTTAATAAATTTTTCAGTTAATTTTAATGTGCAGCCAGGTTTTAGAATCATTGCTTGATACATAATGTAATATATATAAATAAGGAAAGAACATGTAACTAAGGAAATGTCTTCATATTCTTAGTGGGTGAGTATTCAGAATATGTGTCATTTTCCTCTTTGCTCTGTTGTACTTTCTTTGAGCAAGTTATTCTGCTGTGAACAACTTTGTTAGTATATATGTTATGTTCAAGCCTCCTGTTTTTAAATTAAGGCAATCCTTGGTGATCAAAGGATAGTAGGGGAAGTGAGTAATAAATATAAGTCAAGCAATCATAGAAATGTGAAAATATCCCAGTTTTAAGAAGTCATGTACCTGTTTTTTAATATTCATTTTCTTTTCTTTAAGTTTCTTCAGGATTGAATGAAAACCTCACTGTCAATGGAGGAGGCTGGAATGAAAAGTCTGTAAAACTCTCCTCACAGATCAGTGCAGGTGAGGAGAAGTGGAACTCCGTTTCACCTGCTTCTGCAGGAAAGAGGAAAACTGAGCCATCTGCCTGGAGTCAAGACACTGGAGATGCTAATACAAATGGAAAAGACTGGGGAAGGAGTTGGAGTGACCGTTCAATATTTTCTGGCATTGGTAAGAAGTGTTAGAAAAATTTAACTTTATTTAAAATTACTAATCTTGTACATTTTTAATTTTTCAGAAATAGAAAAAAAAACTATGAATAGAAAAATAAGTACTGCTCTGCAGAAATAATAGTAATAATTAACTCATCTCACATCCTTTTTGTAGAGCAAGGTGGGAATTAAATAAGTAAATAACATCATTTACTCTTTACATAGTGCTTTCACATACTTTATCACATTTGATTATCAACATAGCTAACTGGTGTAATTATATATTCTTAGTGATGTGATACATGTAATGTGTGGGTAGACTTTTTGATTAATTTCAACAATTCTGTTGAGTCTAAATAAAAATAGTAAATGGAAGTACAGTTGATAACATCCACTTATATTTTACAGTCTGCATGGTGCCTATTTATAATTAAATTTTCCTCCGGATTTTAATATAAAGACCAGTAGTTGAGAAGTTTATTTCTGTTGAGAGCTATCAAGTTAAAAGCAGCTTAATTTGTGTGTGTGTGTGTTTGTGTGTGTGTGTGTGTGTATTATAGAAAAGAAATCCACATTACATGTGGGCAATTGCAAAATGATAAGGAAAATCCCAAAATGCCACCTAGTGACAACTGCTGTTATTTATATTTCTTCTCCCTCCCTTTCTCCTGCCCGCAACTGTATATAGTGTTTTTTGTTGTTTTTTGTTTGTTTGTTTGTTTGTTTTTTTAATGGAGTCTTGCTCTGTCTCCCAGGCTGGAGTGCAGTGGCGCGATCTCAGCTCACTGCAACCTCCACCTCCCGGGTTCAAGCGATTCTCCTACCTCAGCCTCCCGAGTAGCTGGGATTATAGACATGGCATCACCATACCTGGCTAATTTTTCTATTTTTAGTAGGGACGGGGTTTTGCCATGTTGGCGAGGCTGATCGTGAACTCCTGACCTCAGATGATCTGCCAGCCTCGGCCTCCCAAAGTGCTGGGATTTACAGGCGTGCGCCATCGCACCCGGCCTATAGTTTTGCTTTAGTGTTTTTGTTTTTGATGTAATTCAAGTTGAATATGCATGTTTATGTCTCCCCTAGTCCCCACTTAACATTGTAACATAAACATTTTCCTTACTTTTTGTAAGTATATTTAATGGCCCTATAATGTTTAAGGATAGCATAACTTACTTAACTATTCCCATATTATTCAAGAAGTAATTTTCCTTTTTTTTTTGAGATGGAGTCTCACTCTGTCGCTGTCACGCTGGAGTGCAATGGCATGATCTCGGCTCACAACACCCTCTGCCTCCTGGGTTCAAGCAATTCTCTTGCCTCAGCCTCCCAAGTAGCTGGGATTACAGGCATACGCCACCAAACTCAGCTAATTATTTTTTTGTATTTTTAGTAGAGACGGGGTTTCACCATGTTGGCCAGGCTGGTTTCAAACTCCTGACCTCAAGTGATCCACCCACCTCGGCCTTCTAAAGTGTTAGGATTACAGGCCACGGCGCCCAGCCAATTTTCCTTTTTTTAACCATTGTAGATAATGTTTCACGGAATATATTTGTTTGGGATTTTTTTGTTGTGGTTTTTAAGATGGGGTCTCTCTCTGTTACCCAGGCTGGAGTGCAGTGGCATGATTTCAGCTCTCTACAACCTCTGCCTCCTGGGTTCAAGCATTTCTCATGCCTCAGCCACCCGAGTAGTTGGGATTACAGGCGCACACCACCACACTTGGCTAATTTTTGTATTTTTTTAGTAGAGGTGGGGTTTCACCATGTTGGCCACACTGGTCTAGAACTCTTGACCTCAAGTTGTCTTCCTACCCCAGCCTCCCAAAGTGCTGGGATTACAGGTGTGAGCCACCACACCTGGCCATGTTTTGCGGTTATTTCTTAAGGACAGAGTCTTGTGAGTGATATTGGATTAAAGGGAATATGGATGTTTGTAATGCTCTACTACATAGTGCCTAAGTATTTTCTAAGAGAGTTGTTCTAATTTATACTCAAAGCATCAGTATAAGTGCCCATTTATCATATGCTTACCAAGGTTGGGGATTTTTTTTTTCCGCCTTTTCTAATTCGATAAGCAAAAAGTACGTAAATTATTTTGGTTAACTTTTTGAAATCACTGATGAGATTGAAAAGTTTTCCACAACTTTCTTGGTCATTTCTTTTTTTGTTTGCTTGTTTGTTTGTTTGAGACGGAGTCTCGCTCTGTCGCCCAGGCTGGAGTGCAGTGCAATCTCAGCTCACTGCAACCTCCACCTCTCAGGTTCAAGTGATTCTCCTGCCTCAGCCTCCTAAGTAGCTGGGATTACAGGGGCCTGTCACCACAACCGGCTAATTTTTGTACTTTTAGTAGAGACAGGCCATGTTGGCCAGGCTGGTCTCAAACTCCTGACCTCATGATTCACCTACCTTGGCCTCCCAAAGTACTGGGATGACAGGCGTGAGCCACCATGCCCAGCCGTTTCTTGGTCATTTCTATTTCTTTTATGAATTGTCTGTTCTTGTTATTTTCCCATTTGTCTAATGAGCTCTTCATGTTTTTTTGTTTTGTTTTGTTTTTAATTTTTTGAGACAGGGTCGTACTCTGTTGTCCAGGCTGGAGTGCAGTGGTGTGATCATTGCTCACTGCAGCCTCGACTTCCAGGGCTCAAAAGATCTTCCTGCCTTAGCCTTCTTAGTAGCTGGGACCACAGGCATGTGCCACCACACCTGGCTAATTTTGGTATTTTTTTGTAGAGACAGTTTCGCCATGTTGCCCTGGCTGGTCTCAAACTCTTGGGCTCAAGTGATCCACCTGCCTCGGCTTCTCACAGTGCTGGGATTACAGATGTGGGCCACCACATCTGCCTACTATTTTATTTTTTAAATCTAGTTATACTTTCTTGTGCATTAAACATACGATTTTTTCTCTTGTGCTTATGGCAGATATTTTTATCTGCTCTAATTTGAGGGAGCAATAGATACTAGAAACTTTTTAGTTTTAGTATGTAAGTAGAAAAATATTTCTTCCTTTGTTGTTAGGCTTTTTCTGGAACTTTTTTTTTTTTTTGAGATGGAGTTTTGCCCTTGTTGCCTAGGCTGGAGTGCAATGGCACGATCTCGGCTCACCACAACCACCGCCTCTCGGGTTCAAGCAATTCTCCTGCCTCAGCCTCCTGAGTAGCCTGGATTACAGGCGTGCGCCACCACGCCTGGCTAATTTTGTATTTTTAGTAGAGATGGGGTTTCTCCATGTTGGTCAGGCTGGTCTCGAACTCCCAGTCTCAGGTGATCCACCTGCCTTAGCCTCCCAAAGTACTGGGATTACACGTGTGAGCCACCAACACTGGCCCCTCTCTTTTAAAGCTAACACCCTCAAAAATCAAACACCAGATCATTTAATTATATTGTTTTTAAGCTTGCTCTCCCTTCCTCCCCATTATATTGAAAAATTGTGTAGCGGTATCAAAACTTGTTTGAAAGAGACATTCCCTTGCCTGGGCATGGTGGCTCATGTCTGTAATCCTGGCACTTTGCAGGGCTGAGGCTGGCAGATCGCCTGAGCCCAGGAGTTCCAAGACCAGCCTGGGCAACATGGTGAAACCTTGTCTGTACTAAAATACAAAAAAATCGCTGGGCATGGTGGCACGTGCCTGTAATCCCAGCTACTCGGGAGGCCGAGACGGGACAATTGCTTAAACCTGGGAAGCGGAGATTGCAGTGAGCCAAGGTCGAGCCACTGCACTCCAGCCTTGGCAACAGAGCGAGACTCCCTCTCAAAAAGAAAAAAAAAAAGACCTTCCCTAAATTCCCACTCTCATTTTTAGCAGAGAAGAAAGCATTAATTTCTGTGCTATAAAGCATCCTTTCATATTTGGTAAAAGAAATGGTTGAATTTTATGGAGTAATGTTAGGAACCGTGTGACCTTTTGGGATATTTACAATTTGCAATTTGCTGCTGCCTTTTTTTTTTTTTTTCTTTAAGATGGAGGCTTGTTCTGTCACCCAGGCTGGACTGCAGTGGCACAATCTTGGCTCACTGCAACCTCACCTCCCGGGTCCCAGTTCAAGCAATTCTCCTGCCTCAGCCTCCTGAGTAGCTGGGATTACAGGCACGTGTCACCATGCCCAGCTAATTTTTGTATTTTTAGTAGAAATAGGCTCTCACCATGTTGGCCAGGCTGGTCTTGAACTCCTGACCTCATAATCTGCCCGCCTCGGCCCCCCAAAATGCTGGGTTTAGAGGCATGAGCCACTCCGCCCAGCCTACAATTTACTTGTAAAAGTTATATAGCATTTCATAATTAGGACATAAATTAGATGGTATTTGCTTAATGTTGTTACAGATAATATTAAACAGCAAATTAGAGTTCCTGCCTAGATAGACTAGGACTTTTATGGAAAATGAAAGGGAACTATATTAAATTAGATTTGTAATGGGTCACTGGAAAGAGACAGATGTGACTCGTCTCATGGAGGTTTACGTTCTTTAAAATAAGAAATGTCTTGAAAATATTGAGAAAGTAGCATGGTATAGAGGAGTGAACAGGGACTGGTTCAGACAGATCTATTAGGTATGAATCTCTATTCTTCTACATGATAGCTTTTATGGACATTCAGGCTAGTTATTTAACCTGTATGAACCTCATACTTATGTAATTGTGAGGATTTGTTGTAATGAAAGTCAAGTACCAAGTTCAGTGCTATCCCAAAGTAGTTGCTTAATTATGATAAATAATAATGCAGCTTGGTATAGTGGAAAAGAGCATAGGCTTTGGGAATTGACTTAAGCTGCATTCGTGGCTCAGCTGTTTTCTAGCTATCAGCAAGTCACTTAATTGCTCCAAAACTGCCTAGCAAAGTTTCTGTAAGGATTAGAAGTGGTTGGTGTAAGGGGCCCAGCTACGTAATAAATATTCAGTAAATAGTAGCTATTACTATATTAAGTGGTTCTCATTTCTAAGGTTATCTTTAAATAGTCTCATAGTTTTAAATCTTTACATATCTTTCAAGTCTGATGCAAGTTGAAGGTTCCAAGTGATGTTTTTTATTTTAACAGCTGCTTGGTCTAGTGTGGATAGGGGAATGAATACCTCTGAACAGAATTCTGCTTCTTTTGCATCTCTCACACTTAACTCTGCTGTTTCTGGTATGTGAAAAACAGTCTTTTGTTCAGCTAACAAAAACATTTGTTTAATTTTAGTGCTTGTTATTTGAAAAACTAATCAACATCAAGTACTGCTATCAATATAAATAGCAGGTATTATAAAGTGGCAGAGGCCTTTACAACAGGAAGAGAAGACCTAAATTCTTATGTGCAAATGGCTTAATTCCCCTCTCTAGGGGAGTAAGGATTCTGTAGCTTGAGATCACTGACAGTGTATTGGCACACAGACAAATACACATGCAAGGCCTTCCATTCAGGTTCATATTCTTCTGTTGCTAATGTAGTCCTGCCATACTTTTAGTTACAATTTGACATTTTACTTCTGTTCACCGTTACTCATCATGAGTTTAAAACTAACCCTTTCAGGTTATGGATTCCCACATAATAACTATAAGTATCTGTAGATTTATAAAATACATGATTACTAATAAACTACTGTTAATTCTGCATTACTTAAATGGATATATGTTTTATTAATCATATAGAAACTACATGTATTTAACAAATATTACATAAATATGGGAGGCCAGGTGTGGTGGCTCACATCTCTAATCCCAGCACGTAGCGAGGCTGAGGTGGGAAGATCACTTGAGCCTAGGAGTTCAAGACCAGCCTGGGCAACTACATCACCACATAAAGTTAAAGAAAAATTAGCCAGGCATGGTGGTATTTGCCTGTGGTCCCAGCTACTCAGGAGGCTGTGGTGGGAGGATCGCATTAGTCCAGGAGGTTGAAGCTACAATGAGCAATGAGCCATGATTGCTCCACTGCACTCCAGACTGGGTGACAGAGTGAGACTCTGTCTCACAAAAAAAAAAATATATATATATATATATATATTTTTTTTTTGTGGACCCAGTTTACTAATTTTGTAGTTCCGCAGCGTCTGGAATCACTAACCTAGAAAGGGGGTCAGCAAACTTTTTGTATAAAGGGACAGATAGTAAACATTTTAGGCATTGTGGGCCGTGCAGCCTCTATTGCAGTTACTCAACCCTGCTGTTGTAACAGGAAAGCAACCTGAGACAGTAAGCAAATGACTTTCTGGTTCCAAAATATTATTATTTCGGTTTTTTTTTTTTTTTTTTTTTTTGAGACGGAGTCTCGCTTTGTTGCCAGGCTGGAGTGCAGTGGCGCAATCTCGGCTCACGGCAACCTCCGCCTCCCTGGTTCAAACGATTCTCCTGCCTCGGCGTCCCATGTATCTGGTACTGCAGGCACGTGCCACCACACCCGGCTAATTTTTTGTATTTTTAGTAGAGACAGTGTTTTACCGTGTTAGCCAGGATGGTCTGCATCTCTTTACCTCGTGATCCACCTGCCTTGGCCTCCCAAAGTGCTGGGATTACAGGCATGAGCCACCGCACCTGGCCTGATTTTTTTTTTAACCATTTAAAAATGTAAGAACTATTCTTGGCTCATGGACCATATAAAAACCGGATGGTTGGATTTGGTCTGTGAGTCATAGTTTGCTAAACTCTGGTCTCATAGACTACATTTCATTTCCAGAGGTACAAGTTTATTGCTTCCTCATTTGGTGACTCTGTACAACACACATGCTATTCCCTTCATATATGCAGAGAAAGCCGTGTGGGCTGCCAAAGGAATAGCACCAGTGTTACAGTACTGCTTCTAAGCAGCTAATATATTAATACATGTGAATTTTATAGGGTTACTCTGTTTATAGGGTTACTCTGTTAAAGTTTACATTAAAATATACATATTAAACATACATATAGAGAGAGTATATCAAGCAGATAATATATTAGTGGAATGCTGCTGGTAAGATCATCTGTAACCAAGAAGAAATTTATAAATTAGTAGTAAGGACTCACGTGGGAGGACGTGATTGTATGTAACACTTTTATACTAACCAAGTATCTTTTCTTCCTAACCATTTCTTTATACAGTGGCTCTGAATCCAAAATACATATCAGAGTCATCTAAGGACTCCAGTACACATGTAAATTCCAATTCAGAAGGGGTGTATGTGTGTGTGCGCACGCCTGATGGAAAACCACTGCTTTACATTTGCATCCTAAAGTGAATTTATATCTATAAAGCAAGGGGTTTGACCTGGCATCAGTGAACTCATATGCCCCCAAAACTATATGCAGAATTTTGTGTTAAGCTCTGGATAGTAGACTGCCACAGCTTTCATCAGGTTCCTAAAAGACTATGTGAACCCACTCTCACCCGACCTACTACCCTCACCTGAGAAAAAACAAAAACAGACAAAACTTATGAGATAATATTTTGTTTTCTTTAAATGCACTTGAACTTAGTCTCTAGACCTCCTGCAACTCTTCTTGTCTCTTTGGCTTCTCTCTGCCTCACCTCTCTAGATAACCACCTATTTCTCTAATGTTTCTTAGCCAAAAGATGCTAGCTAACTCAGACATTTTCTAGTTCCCTCTTTCAAGGTTCTGAGGATACATAGCCCTGAAACATCCAGGACTAAAATGATCAATGGCAGAGATTTCTATTGTGTTTTATTTTCCATTAAGAAGAAGGAAAAAACAACTTTTTTTGACTTCTTGAAATTTGTAGGCAGGGCACAGTGGTTTATGCCTGTAATCCCAGCACTTTGGGAGGCAGAGGAGGATCCCTGTAGACCAGGAGTTCAGGACCAGCCTGGGCAACACAGGGAAGACCCTATCTCTACGAAAAATTTTTTAAAAATAAGCCAGGAGACCAGGCAAGGTGGCTTATGCCTGTAATCCCAGCACTTTGGGAGGCTGAGGCAGGAGGATCACTTAAGCCTAGGAGTTCAAGACCAGCCTGGGCAACATGGTGTAAAACCCCATCTCTACAAAAAATACAAAAATTAGCTGGGTATGGTAATGTGTGCCTGTAGTCCCAGCTACTTGGGAGGCTGAGGTAGGTGAATTGCTTGAGCTGAGGAGGCAGAAATTGCAGTGAGCCGAGACTGTGCCACTACACTCCGGCCTGGGCAACAAAGTGAGACTCTGTCTCGAAAAAAGAAAAAAAGCCCAGCATGGTGGTACAAGCCTGTGGTTCCAGCTGAGGTAGGAGGATCTCTTGAGCCTGCGAGGTTGAGGCTGCAGTGAGCCACGATCATGCCACTGCACTTCAGCCTGGGTGACAGAGTGAGATCCTGTCTCAAAAAAAAAAAAAGAGAGAAATTTATAGGTAACTTACCAGTTGGTGTATAATACAAAACACAAAATCTAATGGATTGGTGCTAGGGAAAACATAGATTTCTGATCATTGAATTAGATCAAGTGATTATCATAGTTAATCTAAAATTACCCTCAATTCTACTTTTCCTTTTAACTTAATTCTTTTTCTAATGTCTGAATTTTTCCTTTTAGGAGAAATTTTAAAAATAAAGTCTCCGTGTCAAAGTATAGAACTATTGTTATGAAACATCATTAGGAAATTCCATTTTTAATTTTATTGCATTCGTTTTTCATTTAAGGGTCTACTGCTGAGCCAGTTTCTCAGTCTACCACTTCTGATTATCAGTGGGATGTTAGCCGTAATCAACCCTATATCGATGATGAATGGTCTGGGTTAAGTATGTCCTTTTAAAAATTATCAGTTATTTTTTTTCAGAGTTTTCTTTCTAGCACCCTGAATTCATGCTTTATGTTTTAATTTTAATTCTAATTTCTCACCTTTAAAGGTCATAAGAATATAATTTAATACCAAATGTACTACTTGAAACCTGATTATTGAATACCTGTAGAATTAAAACTGAATTTTCGTAATTGAGGCAATATTTAAACAAAGTTTTCTTCTAGTTGCTCTGTAGTATTTCTAGTTTTTAAATTTTTTGTTTTAAATGAATGTCTGTTTCTCCTCCTAGGTAGTATAATAGACTGAATTAAATATACAGAAATGGCTTTGTATTTGTGAAGTATACACACATTTTTGTGCCGGTAGAAAACTACTTTCTTAACCCAGTTGCCAGTAGAAGTTTAGTTAAAGGAAGACATTTTAGAAGGGAAGAATATGGTTTGTATGTTCGGAAAGCTCATGCCGTCTTCATTTAAAAAAAAAAAATTATGAGTTTTTTTTCCTCACAAACCTAAATCTCAAAATGTACTTTGTCTGAATTTTTATTTCACATCCTTTTTTACTATTTACTGTTTTCTACTGTTAGCACTTATATGTTCCCTGTGGGGTTTTCCACCATTTTTAAGCATATGTTTTCCTTCTCCAAGTAGAGTTAAGAACTCTCTGAAAATGGGGACTAGCACTCTTTCATACACTCAGGACCTAGTGCAAGCCTTTATACATAGGTGTTCGGTGGTAATAATAATGACAATAAAAACACTGGACTATGTGCCAGGCACTGGTCTTAGTCTTTTGGATTTTATTATCTCATTTAATGCTTAAAACATTTCTATGTGGTAGGTTTTATTTGTTTCCACACTTTCCAGATGAAAAAGTTGTGACAAGGGAAAGTTATCTAGCTTTTCCCAGGCCACACAGTTAGTTAAATGGAGGAGGGTGGTATTCATACCTTGCTAGTCTGGCTCTAGAGTTCATGCTCTTAACCACTATCTGGTACAGCCTTGGTGATGATAGTAATCATCAAGGTAAGCTGGCGACACAGTGGTTAAAGCACAGTTCTTACAGATTAAGGGAGATGAGGAGAGAAAGATCAGGGAGGACCATATTGTGAAATGCATGCCTTGAATTGCTGGCTAAAGGTTAGGGGGCTGGGGGTTTTCAGTACTAGCTTAGACAGTAGATACGAATTTTAGTCCCGACTCTAAAATGTAGTAGTACCTCATATGGTTAGGGCTTTGTCACTTGTCTGGGAGCTGTAAAATCGAGCAAATAATGTGTCATATCTGTTTTCATAGGTTGTTGTGAGGCTTTAATGAGATAATGGGTGAACATGAAAGCTCTGTAAATTACAGTCATCTCTCAGTATCCATGGGGGGTTGATTCCAGGACCCCCCTCAGGTACCAAAATCCCCAGGTGCTGAAGTCTCCTGTGATAAAATGGCATAGTATTTGCATATAACCTACATATGTCTTCCCATATATTTTAAATTATCTCTTGATTACTTGTAGTAACTAATACAGTGTAAATAGTTGTTATACTGTATTGTTTAGGGAATAATGACAAGAAAAAAAAGTGTGTACATATTCAGTACAGACACAGTTCATTCATTTTTTTTCCTGAATATTTTTGAACCCACAAATGGAAAACCCATGGATACGCAGGGCTGACTGTGTATGAAGTATTTAAATCCAAGGTTTTACAAGGATGTGAAAGCACTATTTTTGGGGAAAAAAATAAACAGTATATTTGTGCTTTAGGAAGAATTATCAGCTATATGCAGAATAGAATTGAGGATGATTATAACAATGATAGGAGTGACTATAGGAAAATAGCAGTAAGGTATCTTGGGCTGCTGTGGGTTGAGGCAGAGGAAAATTGAGTGGACAGGTCTCCAGGCTTTCCTGCTTGGACAGAGTAGATGCACTTTTTATTTTATCCATATTAAGATACTTTGAATATGAAAAACATGATTAGCTGCTAAAATAAAAGATTTTTAAAACATGTATCCACAGGATTCTATACTTAATCAAAGTAATATGTATCAGAAACACCATCTTCCTCAAGTTTGTTATGCTGTATTGGCAGTCTTTTTAAGTCCAGAGTTTCTCTTTAACATTTTCTCTGTAAACTTTATTTTCTGTGTCACCATCTTTAATGCAGCTCTATTTTTGGTGCTCAGTGAATTTAGTTATTACTTCTGAATTTCTAAAATGAATGATTTAGTATTTTAGATTACAAATCCACAAAGTATATTACATTAGATTTACATTTACAGTATGATATAATTAACATATTGGCCCTCCAGTTTGAAGACATACATTAATCTATTACTATCTTGACCATAAAGGAACAGCATTATTGTAACCCATGTAAAAAGTCAGATGTTGAATAGAACTTTTTCTTGGCACACAGGGGTGAATGAATTCGCTTCAGCATAATGGAGTGGTTGAGAGCATGAGCTTTCAGGACAGACTACCTGGGTTTCAATCTTAACTTCCCTGCCTTTGCCCATATGCAGGTTACATGATTATTCTATGCCTCAATTTCCTTCTCTGTAAAAATAACAATTCCTCCCAAACAGTACGGCTGAGAAGATTAAATGAGTTAATACATATAAAGCTCTTAGAACACTGCCTCACATATAGTAAATATGCAGTAAGTACTGCTGTTGGTATCCTTCTAGTGGCAAAATTAGTCTAACCAATGTGGTTAACTAACCCAATGTTGTTAACACTGGAGAATGTCTAACATAATTGTTTTCTTTTATTAAAAAGTTATTAAAGTTTACATTGAATTAAGTTCTGACAAGAAACAGCTGACAACCAAATAAAGACCAGCAATGAGATGCTTAAACCTAAAACATTATTCCATAAGTGAATTAAATGGAGAGACAAATTCTTTACCCTTTTGAAAAGAAAACCAGTATGGCTCTTTGAAAAGAATTAAGTTCTGACAAGAAACAGCTGACAACCAAATAAAGACTAGCGAAGAGATACTTAAACCTAAAATGTTATTCCATAAGCAAATTAAATGAAGAGACAAATTCCTTACCCTTTTGAAAAGAAAACCAGTATGGCTCTTTGAAAAGACATTGGCAGACTAATGGAAAACTTTAGCGATAAGAAATTATAATTGAAGCAAACTATACTGTGAATCATTTTTAAGGGAACTATGTCTAAGAAGTTTTTTGGTACATTAGGCCTATGAATCTTAAGAATTAGTTACCCAGGCCGGTGCCATGGCTCACACTTGTAATCCCAGCACTTTGGGAAGCCAAGGTGCAAGGATTTCTTGAGCCCACGCGTTCAAGACCAGCCTAGGCAGCATAGTGAGACCCCATCTCTACAAAAAAAAATTAGCTGGGCGTGGTTCGCATGCCTGTAGTCCCAGCTACTCAGGAGTCTGAAGTGGAAGATCACTTGAGCCTGAGAAGTCTAGGCTACAGTGTGCCATGATCTTGCCACTGCACTCCAGCCTGGGCAATAGAGCGAGACCCTGTCATAAAAAATACTTTTACTAAGCATTTTACTCGATTTTTATTTTTCACCTCCACCTCCTACCACATGTATTAAGAAAATGGGTGACATGTTGGTATATTGCCCACTCAATTGCCTAAACTTTCTTCTGCTTAATAGTTTCTTTTCTGGCAAGAAGTCTTAGAGACATGGCTTATGGACGGCAATTTTCAAAATCTGGGTTTCTTATCTGTGAGATTTAAGCAAAGCCACTGATAGCTTGGTATGTGAACCTCCTAAAGTATTATTAATGAATGGTTGGTATAAGATGAGTAGTTGGTTCCAGACATCTACTAGACTGAATTGAAGTATATCTTACATATGAAGTATATCTTAATGAGAGGTTCATCAGAATTGTGAGAAATAAATTTTTAACTATACATGCCTTATAGATTAGAAACTGGTTTTAATATCATCAGTGATAATAAAAACAGTAGCTACCATTTATTGAGCGCTTACTGCATTGCCATGAATTGCTTTACATGTATCTCATATAATCCTCTCAGCAATCCTATGAAGTTGATAATAGAGCCCATTAAGAAACTTGACCAAAATCATCTTGTTATTAAGTGGTAGAACAATATTCAAATGTATATTTGTTTGACATGAAGACCCATGCTCTTCGCCTCTGTGCTACTATGTAATACTGACTCCAGATACTTGCTCATGGTGGTGAATTTAGAAATACAGGAAGGAACTTCCTTTTTTATAACACATTTCACACTTGTAATCACCTGTTCCATGTTTTTCCTCCACTAGGCTATAAATTCTTATGTTGTCTCTCCCTGTCCTCCACTAGCTTAGCTCTTCTTTGTTTCCACAGCCCCCATGGCAGAATCTGTCACTCTGTATTTAATAGTTTGTTAAGCTTACCTATCTTCACCCCTGAATAGACAGACTACAAGCTGCACGTGCAGAAGGATTCTATTTTACTTGTTTTTCTATCTCTAGTACCTACCTAGCTCAAGTTCTAGCACATAGTAAGTGCTTAATAAGGATTGGATAGATGTAATTTCACTATTAAAATATATTTATTATTCCAACCTGGGCAATATAGTGAATCCCCTTCTCTACAAAAAGTTTAAAAATTAGCCAGGCATGGTGGCACATGGCTGTGGTCCCAGCTGCTCAGGAGGCTGAGGCAGGAGGATCACTTGAGCCCCAGGAGGTTAAGGCTGCAGTGAACTATGATTATACCACTGCAGTCCAGCCTGGGTGACAGAATAAGACCCTGTCTCTTAAACTAAGAAAATATATATATATTATATACATATAATGTTTTATTTTTTTCTGTCTCTTCCTCATAAATTTGAGATCATACTGTGTAGACAATTTTGTCTATGATTTTTTTTCTGTGAGCGTTTTCCCAGATTATTATATATTCTTCCAAAACCTAGATTTTAAAACTTTCATAAGAATGTATTATATATTCCTGTTAAACAAAAACAATAATAGAGTTCACCTGGAAAAATAAGACTAGCAGAAAGTAAATAGGAGTACTAAATAAGAGTAATGCAAACAAATTTGTCCTTCTAGATATAAAAATGTATTGCAGAGTTATGTATAGCACTGTCCCAGGAATAGATCAGTGGAATAGAATAGAAATTGCAGAAACAGACTGAAGTGCATATAAAAGAATTGAGTAAGGCCGGGCACAGTGGCTCACGCCTGTAATCCCAACACTTTGGGAGGCTGAGGCAGGTGGATCAAGAGGTCAGGAGTTCGAGACCAGCCTGACCAACATGGTGAAACCCTGTTTCTACTAAAAATACAAAAATTAGCCGGGTGTGGTGGTGCACGCCTGTAATCCCAGCTACTTGGGAGGCTGAGGCAGGAGAATCGCTTGAACCCGGGAGGCGGAGGTTGCAGTGAGCCGAGATCGTGCCACTGCACTCTAGCCTGGGTGACAGAGTGAGACTCCATCTCAAAAAAAAAAGAGAATTGAGCATTGCTGGGCGTGGTGCCTCACGCCTATAATCCCAGCACTTTGGGAGGCTGAGTCAGGCAGATCACGAGATCAAGAGTTCGAGACCAGCCTGGCCAACATGGTGAAACCCTGTCTCTACTAAGAATACAAAAATTAGCCAGGTGTGGTGGCGCATGCCTGTAATCCCAGCTACTCGGGAGGCTGAGGCAGGAGAATCACTTGAACCTGGGAGGCAGAGGTTCCAGTTAGCTGAGATCATGCCACTGCACTCCAGCTTGGGCGACAGAGCAAGACTCCGTCTTGGGGAAAAAAATAAAGAAAGAATTGAGTGTTTGATAAGAGTAGCATTAGGTATTAGTGGGAAATGATTGGATTTTTCATTTAAGCATTGTTGGGACAACTTGTTAACCATTTGGAAATAAAGCCTAACCTTTGTCATCTTAAACCATTGTAAATGAAACCTGACTATAAGTAGATTTACAGGAACATATATAGGAGTATATGATGTGCAGGGAGAGAAGGGAAGAATTAACTTTGAGAGCTACTTATTTAATCTGGTTAAAGGCAAAGACTGGTTTCTCCTTTTAGAATAAGTCATTGATAGCTTCCTCAAGGAGTTAAAAATTCAGTGCATCCTATAGTGAAATAAAGGGATCTGGAAGTGTAGAATAAAATTTATTTTTGATAATAAATGATGATTGAAGCCCTGAAAGTTATTCAAATGTTTTTGAAATGATTGGATAAAAAGCACATTGAATGATCTGAAAAATATAAGAAAGTACAGGTTAAGTATTTAAAAAGGGGGAGAAAAATAAGAGGTTGAATATTGTCATGACTTGGTGAATTTGAAGAAACTAATTTTGAAAAGCTCATAAGGATAGGAGAGGTGTAGTATAAAATGACAGGTAGGGATTGTAACTTTGGTACTACTGTTAAGAATTAATTCCAAACCCTAGACAATAAATCAATTACAAAAATGTTATAATAATCAGGGGAGAAAACAACCAGGTCCTAGACCAAGTTAAAAATGGATAGAGAAAAGAAATTCAGGAGATTGATAACAAAGGAAGCACAGAGAGTGGAATCAAATGGCTAATAAATTTTCTGGAATTTCTTAGAAATTCCATTTAACCATATGATATGCTTAGCAGAAATTGAATAAAGATTGTTACCTTCATGTTATTTTTTTTTCTGGCTCTTAAAATGTGCTTGGGAGACAGAACAATAACTTAAAATTACAGCTTAGTTGAACATAAGGAATTTTTAGTTTTTGCCTTTTAATTTATGGCAAAAATGATAGACGCCTAATTCACACTGTTAAATTTTAGATGGTCTGTCTTCTGCTGATCCCAACTCTGATTGGAATGCACCAGCAGAAGAGTGGGGCAATTGGGTAGACGAAGAAAGAGCTTCACTTCTAAAGTCCCAGGAACCAATTCCTGATGATCAAAAGGTGAGTATAAGAGATTCCTGGGTGTTTATTTGTTAATGAAAGAGACAGGCTGGGCACAGTGGCTCACGCCTATGATTCCAGCACTTTGGGAGGTACTGTGGGAGGATTGCTTGAGCCCAGGAGTTCAAGGCCAGCCTGGGCAACATAGCGAGACCCCATCTCTATTTATAAAAATAAAATAAAGCAACTGAAGGAGAATTCTGGGTCACAGAGGCTGACACCAATTGAGAGCCTCAGGGAGACAATAATAGCATCAGAAACAGCAAACCCAAGTTTTGATAGGACTGGAGGAGAGATAGTGGATAATAGCAACACGTGGTATCAGGAATGGTTTTGCTAGGGTTGGGGTGTTGTATTTTAATGATAGGGAGATTTTGGTATAGGGTCAGCAGTCTTTTTTTCTTTTTTTTTTTTTTTCGGAGACAGATTCTTGTTGTGCTGCCCAGGCTGGAGTGCAGTGGCATGATCTCAGCTCACTGCAACCTCTACCTCCTGTGTTCAAGCAGTTTTCCTACCTCAGACTCCTGAGTAGCTGGGATTACTAGCCCGACACTATGCCCGGCTAATTTTTGTGTATTTAGTAGAGATGGGATTTCACCATGTTGGCAAAGCTGGTCTCCAACTCCAGACCTCAGGTGATCCGCTCACCTCAGCCCCCCAAAGTGCTGGGATTACAGGCGTAAGCCACCATGCCTGGCCTTTTTTTTTTTTTTTTTTTTTTTTGAGATGGTGTCCTCAAACTCCTGGCCTCAAGTGACCCTCCTGCCTCAGCCTCTCAAAGTGCTGGGATTACATGTGTAAGCCACTGTGTCTGGCCTGCACAGTCTTTATTAAAAAGCCATACATTCTGATACAGCTAGTCAATTATATAGCAAGTAGCCATAGATGATATGGAAATGAATTTTATTTGTAGGAACTAATGCTGGGCTGTATTTGTAATTTGCCAACCCCTGTTTTAGCATGTCTGTCAATACAAAGGGAAAGGATCCGGAATAAACTAAAAAGTTAAACATAGGCTGGGCACAGTGGCATACACCTGGTAGTCCCAGCTATTCAGGGGGCTGAGGCAGGAGGATTGTTTGAACATAGCAAGACCCCATCTCTTAAAAAAGAAAAAAAAAAAGAAAAAGTTAAATGAGAGGGAAGATTTGACTGATAAAGTAAGGTGCCAGAAGAGGATCAAGAAGCCTTTAACAAGTGGATGGATTGGTCTTTTTTTTTTTTCTTTTTCTTTTTGAGATGGAGTTTTGCTCTGTCACTCAGGCTGGAGTTCAGTGATGCAATCTCAGCTCACTGCAATCTCTGCCTCCTGAGTTCAAGCAATTCTCGTGCCTCAGCCTCCCAGTAGCTGGGATTACAGGCACCTGCCACCATGCCCGGCTAATTTTTGTACTTTTACCATGTTGGTTTCACCATGTTGGTCAGGCTGGTTTCGAACTCCTGACCTCAAGTGATCCACCTGCCTCAGCCTCCCAAAGTGCTGGGATTACAGGCATGAGCCACCATGCCAGGCCTTTTTTTTTTTTTTTTTTTTTTTTTTTTTTTTTTTGAGATGGAGTTTCGCCCTGTCTCCCAGACTGGAGTGCAGTGGCACGATCTCAGCTCTCTGCAACCTCCCCCTCCCAGGTTCAAGTGATTCTCCCTCCTCAGCCTCCTGAGTAGCTGGGATTACAGGCACGCATCACCATGCCCAGCTAATTTTTGTATTTTTAGTAGAGACGGGTTTTTGCCATGTTAGCCAGGCTGGTCTCAAACTCCTGAGCTCAAGTGATCCACCCACCTCGGCCTCCCAAAGTGCTGGGATTACAGGCATGAGCCACCATGCCAGGCCTTTTTTTTTTTTTTTTTTTTTTTTTTTTTTTTTTTTTTGAGATGGAGTTTCCCCGTCTCCCAGGCTGGAGTGCAGTGGCATGATCTCGGCTCTCTGCAACCTCCACCTCCCAGGTTCAAGTGATTCTCCCTCCTCAGCCTCCTGAGTAGCTGGGATTACAGGCATGCATCACCATGCCCAGCTAATTTTTGTGTTTTTAGTACAGACGAGTTTTTGCCATGTTAGCCAGGCTGGTCTCAAACTCCTGACCTCAAGTGATCTGCCCACCTTGGCCCCCCAGAGTGCTGGGATTACAGGCGTGAGCCACTGCCCCCAGCCAGGATTGGTCTTTAAAACAGGATATAGGCCGGGCACAGTGGCTCCCACTTTGCGAGGCCAAGGTGGGTAGATCACAAGGTCAGGAGTTCAAGACCAGCCGGGCCAAGATGGTGAAACCCCGTCTCTGCTGAAAATACAAACATTAGCTGGGCATGGTGGCGGGCACCTGTAATCCCATCTACTCATGAGGCTGACTGAGGCAAAGAATTGCTTGAACCCGGGAGGCAGAGGTTACAGTGAGCCAAGGTTGTGCCACTGCACTCCAGCCTGGACAACATAGCGAGACTCCATCTCAAAAAAAAAAAAAAAACCACCAGATATAATACTAATGGTAGAAGGAGGGGTAAATAAATGTAGAGGAGGACAGTTAACAGGCAATGTGAAAGTCAACAGTGGGGAAAGGGGTTTTAGATTGGACCTACAAAAAGGCTTCTTAGAAGTACAATATCGTAATATATAATACCTTAATACATAGTGATCATTCACATGTTTGTTGGACATTTAACACAATAGAACCCATGAATGGAATAAAGACTTTATCCTACATCATAGGAATTCTTTTTCTGAATATATTCAGAGATTACCTTTTACATTTCTAAGCAAAAGTGAGCTGTCATCAAAATGTTCATCAGTTGGGGAATGGAAAGATGTGATATGTTTATACAATGGCATATTAGAAGTTAAAAATGAACTAAAGCTACATTGTTAGCATTATGAATGGAAACTCAACATGCTGAATGATGAGCAAGTTATAAAAAGATAGAATATGTCATTTATGTAACTTTTTATATGTGGATACAAATAAATTTATAGAAAAATTGATTGGATAGACACAGAAGTTGTTCACAATTTTGGTTACCATTAGGAAGGTACTGTGAAAATGGGATTGGGAAGCGGTATAAAGGAATTTGAAATTTATCAGTAATGTCCTTTTTATTTAAAGATTTAAAATACATTTATCAAAATCTCAACTCTTTCATGGGAGTTAAAAGTTGTAGAGTTGATTTCAGCATCTTCCCATTAACAAAAATAGTATTTTGCCGTGGGAAACTACATTTCTTGTATGATTGGATTATAATGAAGTGATAAGCTGACTGAAGAAAGTCCTTGTGACCTGAGTATCATTCATGGCACGTATCTATTCATATGGCATTTTAATCATTACAAGACCTTGAAACAGCTTGTGGTGAAAACTTCTAGGGATGTTTCTCCACAACTTGTAGCCAACCAGCCTAGACTGAAAATCTCTTAGCTAAGTTTGTGCCAGATTTTGTTTTGTTTTTCCATCTGCTTGTAATTTCTGTAAACTGTCTGGTAGTTCGTGAGACCACCAAAATCATTATAATGACTATAGTGCTGAGCAGAGAAATAGCGGTTACTAGAATCATCTCTTCCTGTAAAGATAGTCTAGGAATCTAGGTTGTCATTTGTGAGAATAAACAAAAAGCATTTTTCCATAGAAAGTTAAACTACAGTGCTTACTTCAGCAGCACATACACTAAAATTGAGGCCAGGCGTGATGGCTCACATTTGTAATCCCAGTACTTTGGGAGGCCGAGGTGGGCGGATCACCCGAGGTCGGGAGTTTGAGACCAGCCTGGCCAACATGGTGAACCCCGTCTCTACTAAAAATACAAAAAAAAAAAAATTTAGCTGGATGTGGCAGTGTGCGCCTGTAATCCCAGCTACTTGGGAGGCTGAGGCACAAGACTCGCTTGAACTGGGAGGCAGAGGTTGCAGTGAGGCACTTCACTCCAGCCTGGGCAACAGAGTGAGACTATCTCAAAAAAAAAAAAAAAAAAAAAAAAAAATAGATAAGGCCGGGCGCGGTGGTTCACGCCTGTAATCCCAGCACTTTGGGAGGCCGAGGCAAGTGGATCACCTGAGGTCAGGAGTTTGAGACCAGCCTGACCAACAAGGTGAAACCCCATCTCTACTGAAAATAGAAAAATTAGCCGGGCATGGTGGTGCACACCTATAATCCTAGCTACTTGGGAGACTGAGGCAGGGGAATTGCTTGAACCTGGGAGGTGGAGGTTGCAGTGAGCCAAGATGGCACCATTGCACTCCAGCCTTGGCAACAGAGCAAGACTCCATCTCAAAAAAATAAATAGATAGATAGATAAGATACAGAGAAGATTGGCATGGCCTCTGCATCATTATGAATACTAACATAACAGTGCTAACTTGATAGGTATATTTTTGTCCTGCAGAATGCTATTTTCAATGACATGACCTCTCAAATTCAGTTTTTTAAATTAAACCTTTTATTTTGAGATAATTGTAGATTCAAATGCAGTTATAAGAAATAATATAGGCCAGGCACGGTGGCTCACGCCTGTAATCCCAGCACTTTGGGAGACTAAGGTAGGAGGATCACTTGAGCCCATGGTGTTTGAGACTAGTCTGTACAACATAGCAAGACCCTATCTCTAATTAAAAAAAAAAAAAAAAGAAAAATCAGCCTGTAGTCCCAGCTCCTCAGGTGGCTAAGGCAAGAGGATCAGGAGGTCAAGGCTGTGCAGTGAGCCTTGATTGCACCACTGTACTCCAGCCTGAGCAACAGAGCGAGACCCTGTCTTGAAAAAAACAAAACAAACAAAACAAGGCAGGAATGAAACAGAGTGATCCCCTGTACCCCTTTTACCCAGTTTTCCCCAGTGGTAACATGTTAAAAAACCATAATACTGTACAGTAGCACAGTAGCCATCCCCACCGCTCCCCACCTCCACTTATACACGGGATACATTCCAAGACTCCCAGTGGATGACTGAAACCACAGATAGTGTCAAACCCTAGGTATACTATGCTTTTTCCTATACATAACCTCTGATAAAGTTTAATTTGTAAATTAGTAAAGGATTAACAACAGTAATCATAAAAGTTATAAAATTTACTGTAATAAAAGTTATGTGAATGTGGTCTCTCTCACTTTCTGTGTCTTTCAAAGTACTTTAATATCAGACTGAGGTTGACCGCAGGTAACTGAAACTGCAGAAAGCAAAACTGCAAATAAGGGGGAACTACCTTTTCACAGCTGGCGTGTTTGCATTGATGCAATCAAGATACAGAACATTTATCGTTTCAAGAATGTTTTATTAATGGAATTATAATATATATAACCTTTTGCTATGGTTCTTGTTTGTTCATTTGATTGAGATGGAGTCTTGCTCTGTTACCCAGGCTGGAGTGCAGTGGCATGATCTCGGCTCACTGCAACCTCCACCTCCCAGGTTCAAGCAGTTCTCCCATCTCAGCCTCCTGAGTAGCTGGGATTACAGGCGCATGCCACCAGGCCCAGCTAATTTTTTTATTTTTAGTAGAGATGGGGTTTCACCATAGTGGTCAGGCTGCTCTTGAACTCCTGACCTTAGGGGATCCACCCGCCTTGGCCTCCAAAGTGCTGGGATTGCAGGCTTCAGCCACTGCTCCTGGCCTTGGTATGTTTTGTTTTTTGTTTTTTTTCACTCCACATAATTCTCTGGAGATTCATCCAGGTTGTTGTATGTGTCAGTAGTTGTACCTTTTTACTGCTGAGTGATATTCCATGGTCTGGATGTACCTCAGTTTCTTTAACCATTTACCTATTGAAGGACATTTGTGTCCTTTCCAGTTTGGGACTATTATGAATAAAGCTGCTAAATGTGTAGGTTTTCAGAAGTCTCTGTCTAAACATAAGCTTTCATTTCTCTAGGATAAATGCCCATATGTACAATCGCTGGGTGTTATGATAGTTGCATATTTTAGTATTCTAAGAAACTGGTTTTTCTGTATCCTCACCTAAATTTGCAGTTGTCACTGTTTTTTATTTTAGCAGTTCTGATAGGTGTACAGTGATAACTCATTGTGGTTTTAATATGCATTTCCCTAATAGCAAATGGAGTTGAGCTTTTTCCCATGGTTTCTTTGGCATCTGTGCATGTTCTTGGGTGAAATGTCTGTTCATGTCTTTTGCATATTTTCTAAGGGGATTTTTTTTTAAACTTGAGTGTTCCTTGTATTATATTGTACAGATACTAGTTCCATGGATGGAACCATATGGCTTGCAAATATATTCCCCCATTGTGTAGCTTGTTATTTCATTCCTTAACAGGGTCAAATAAATTTTAACGCAAATTGCACTACATTTGAACTTCAAAATAAAGTAGAATTACCTATTCAGTGAGTTTTTAATTTTTTATTTTTATTTATTTATTTATTTTTGAGACGGAGTCTCACTCTTTTGCCCAGGCTGGAGTGCAGTGGAGTGATTTCGGCTCACTGCAAGCTCCGCCTCCTGGGTTCACGCCATTCTCCTGCTTTAGCCTCCCGAGTAGCTGGGACTACAGGCGCCTGCCATCACGCCCGGCTAATTTTTTTGTATTTTTAGTAGAGATGGGGTTTCACCATGTTAGCCAGGATGGTCTCGATCTCCTGACCTCGTGATCCGCCCGCCTCGGCCTCCCAAAGTGCTGGGATTACAGGCATGAACCACCGTGCCCAGCCTCAGTGAGTTTTTAAAACACTAAAGTTTACACAGCTCTCTACTTAGGTTGTAGTGAGTGATGGATGACGTAGACACACTGAGAGAATGAGGTTCCATGTATTTTGTTATTTTTTAAATATGTAGTTCTTGATCCATTGTATTACTTATTACTAGTTTTTATTTAGATTTTGGGAAATGAAGACTGTACCTAATGAATGAAATTATTTCATAATAATTTTCTAAATAATGGACACATAACCATTTGGTTCTCTTTAATATTTTTGCTTTTAACCTAAGGTCTCAGATGATGATAAAGAAAAGGGAGAGGGAGCTCTTCCAACTGGGAAATCCAAAAAGAAAAAAAAGAAAAAGAAGAAGCAAGGTGAAGATAACTCTACTGCACAGGTAAAATGTCAGAACAACAAGCATTCATTAAGCGCCTCCGGCTTAAAATGTGAAAAGATTATGTACAGATGTTAAAAATACATAGAGATAAAAGACAGTATGAGACATCATTTATTTGAAAAATCATAGACTGTTTTACATATTCAATACATTATATTGTAATAAAAATGTTATTGCTCAAAAAATTCGTGTTAAAGGTGTTGCTAAACTCAAAAATAAGTAAAATTCCAAATTATTCATGCATTTTTTTATTATATAATGGTGAAATGGGAAAAGAGATACAGTATTTTACACATACAAAAATTCCTTTTGAGTAACTGGAAGGTAACATTTAGCACACATAGAAAAACCATGTGTATAACAAGTGGAGTCTTTCACTTGACTTTGAGTTTGCTGGTTATTTCACTTAGAAGTATCCTTTCCTGCTTTTTTGGCATCTACCCAACAGACATTTTCTCTTTCCATCACTCATACATTTCCTTTTCTTTCTTTTTCTTTGCTCTCCTGTCTGGGGGAAAAAAAGTAAATTATAATAAAAATGAAGTCAGAGTTGAAATTTTAAGCTGGGCACAATGGCTCATGCCTGTAATCCCAGCACATTGGAAGGCTAAGGCAGGAGGATCACTTCAGTCCAGGAGCTTGAGACCAGCCTGGGCAACATGGCAAAACCCTGTCTCTACAAAAATTAGCTAGGCACGGTGGCATACGCTTGTAGCCCCAGCTACTGGGGAAGCTGAGGTGAGAGGATCACTTGAGCCCGGGAGGCAGAACTTGCAGTGAGCCAAAAATCACACTACTGTACTCCAGCCTGGGTCACAGAGTAAGAACCTGTCTCAAAAAAAAAAAAAAGATATTTTAATTTCAGATGTATCAGATTATTAGAAACATGCATAGGTTTTTTTAAAGCACTAATACTGTTACATTACAACTTCTTAAAATATTTGTATTCCTTACTATAACTATGTAATTAATTGTTTAAATGTAGGAGACAGGGAACCGCAATTTCTAGGGTTAGCCCACATAGTAATTTTTCCTACTTATTGTTCTATTTGTTTATCTTTTTTTTTTTTATTTGAGACAGAGTCTTGTTCTGTTGCCCAGGCTGGAGTGCAGTAGTGCGATCTCAGCTCATTGCAGCCTCTGCCTCCCAGGTTCAAGCGATTCTCCTGCCTCAGCTTCCCAAGTAGCTAGGATTACAGGCATGTGCCACCACGCCTGGCTAATTTTTGTATTTTAGTAGAGACAGGCTTTCGCCATGTTAGCCAGGCTGGTCTCAAGTGATGTGGTCTCAAGTGAGCGGCCCAACTCAGCCTCCCAAAGTGCTGGGATTACAGGCGTGAACCACCACGCCCAGCCTTATTTATTTATTTATTTTTGAGACAGAGTCTCACTCTGTCACCCCGGCTGGAGTGCAGTGGCATAGTCTCACCTCACTGTAACCTGCCTCTCCCAGGTTCAAGTGATTCTCCTGCCTGAGCCTTCCAAGTAGCTGGGATTACAGGCATGAGCCACCACACCCAGCTAATTTTTGCATTTTTAGTAGAGAGGGGATTTCACCATGTTGGCCAGGCTGGTCTCAAGTGATCTGGCCTCGAGTGATCTTCCTGCCTCAGCCTCCCAAAGTGCTGGGATTACAGGTGTGAGCCACCACGCCCAGCCACTTACTGTTTTTGAAAGAAGTTTCTACATGGCTTTTTAAGGAAATATGTATTCAGTTATTTTTTATTGTGGGAAGCACAAACCCTCATAAATGATACAAGCTTATTATCAATACTTGCTTGCTTTTTCAGTAGTCAAAATGAATGGGCATTAAGGTTGTAACATAGCTAAGATCAGTGGATATGAACAAACTAACACTCTATAATAGGTATGCTTTTCTTGTTAGCTGGAGCTGGTAGATGAGAAATGTTACATCTATCCTTTGTTAGTAATACTACCTGAAAACCATTTTAGCCAAGTTTTTCTTGAATTTCTTTGACTTTGAGTATTTACTAATAATGATTTAGTGGATTGTGGATTAGTGGAGCTCCTTTTAAAATAAATTTTGTAGGATAGATGTATTCTGAAATGTTTAACGTATTGGCAAAGGTCATTAACATGTGACTGTTTCTTTGGCATTCTGATTATCCTTTTAAAAATGTTCACTGTGTTTTTAAAAATATAATGAATAAGTATTCTAGGTTTAGAGTCAGATCTATATTCTGAATCTTGTTCTGTCATTTTTTTTTTTTACCTTGCACAAGTTACATAATTGCATAGGTTGTTTTGAGAATTTGATATCCATGAAGTTCTATGCTGAGTACATAGCACATATATCCTATTAATAAAAGGTTATGGCTGGGCGCGGTGGCTCACGCCTATAATCCCAGCACTTTGGGAGGCCACGGCGGGTGGATCACCTGAGGTCGGGAGTTCGAGACCAACCTGACCAACATGGAGAAACCCTGTCTCTACTAAAAATACAGCATTAACCGGGCATGGTTGCATGCACCTGTAATCCCAGCTACTCGGGAGGCTGAGGTAGGAGAATCACTTGAACCCGGGAGGCGGAGGTTGCGGTGAGCCAAGATCATGCCATTGCACTCCAGCCTGGGCAACAAGAGTGAAACTCCATCTTAAAAGAAAGAAAAAAAAAGTTAGGCCGGGTGCGGTGGCTCATGCCTGTAATCCCAGCACCTGTGAGGCCGAGGCGGGTGGATCACAAGGTCAGGAGTTTGAGACCATCCTGGCCAACATGGTGAAACCCCGTCTCTACTGAAAATACAAAAATTAGCCGCACGTGGTAGCTGGCGCCTGTAGTCCCAGCTACTTGTGAAGTTGAGGCAGGAGAATCGCAGGTTGCAGTGAGCCAAGATTGTGCCACTACACTCCAGCCTGGACAACAGAGTGAGACTGTCTCAAAAAAAAAAATTATATTGTTTTTTCTCTTTTTGTTTTGTTTTGTTTGTTTGTTTTTTGAGACATTCCACTCTGTGGTCAGGCTGGAATGCAGTGGCTCCATCACAGCTCACTGCAGCCTCAACCTCCTGGGCTGAAGGGATCCTCCTGCTTCAGCCTCCCAAGTAACTAGGACTACAGTTTTTTTATTTTTTTGTAGAGACAGAGTTTCCCTATGTTACCCAGGCTATCCCAAACTCCTGGGCTCAAACAGTCCTCCTGCCTTGGCTCCCAAAGTGCTGGGATTACAGATGCAAGCTACCGCACCAAACCCAAAGTCCTTTTTGGTGTTCGTGTGTGGCTGATGGGGTCTTTCACTGTTGAGTTCAACTTGGGATGGAAATAAATTGATGTCTTCTGACTTTGTAAGATTGCAAAACTTTGAAAAACTTTGTAAGATTACAGACTTCACCCACATACTTCCAAAGCTACCTGCTCAGCCTAAATATATAGAAAATTTTGACTATCTAAACCCACTACTATACTGAATAACTATCATAAAATAGAACATCAGTGTCAGAAGAACATTAAGATCATCTTAGCCATTTGTTAAAAAGAACGGCCATTTTATATGGATGCATTTGCCAAAGAAAAATACAGTAATCCTTCTATTTAATATATTCTAGTTCATGTTTACTTTACATATAATTTACTAAGCATATAATGTGCTCTAGAATTATTTTGCTGAAACTTCATAAAAGTTTGAAAGTCTAAGAATGGAAATCTTGCTGCCCTGATGTCCTGTGGTGTTTGGCATGTGCCCTCCTGTCTCCTGACTAATCAGAGTGGCATGAGGCCCACGCCACCCAAACCTTTCACTTTCCAAAGAGCTAGCCATCCTCCACCCTGTACCATGGTGTCCTAGCCTGTCTGCGTTTGTTAGTGGTGATATTCTTTATGTATAATAAATTTTTATCCCCCCCCCCCCAAAAATGGAAATCTTAAAGCTTATGTGAGTTTTTAGAAATTATTAGGGCAAATTTTACTTTACAGTTGAGGAAACAGGCTTAGGGAAACTAAGTGACTTGTCCCTGAGATTGTTTGTTTGTTTGTTTGTTTTTGAGACAAGGTCTCACTCTGTCACCCAGGCTGGAGTGCAGTGGCACGATCTTGGCTCACTGCAACCTTCATCTCCCAGGTTCAAGCAACTATCATGTATCAGCCTCCCAAGTAGCTGGGATTACAGATGTGTACCACCATTACCAGATAATTTTTGTATTTTTAGTAGAAACAGGGTTTCACCATGTTGGCCAGACTGGTCTTGAACTCCTGACCTCAAGTGATCCACCCACCTCAGCCTCCCAAAGTGCTGGGATTACAGGCATGAGCCACAGCACCCGGCCTAATTTTTGTATTTTTAGTAGAGATAGGGTTTCACCATGTTGCCCAGGCTGGAGTGCAGTGGCGAGATCTGCAACCTCCGCCTTCCAGGTTCAAGTAATTGTCATGCCTCAGCCTCCCAAATAGCTGGGATTACAGGCGTGCGCCACCACACCCAGCTAATTTTTGTATTTTTATTACAGACAGCGTTTCACCATGTTGGCCAGGCTGGTCTCGAACTCCTGACCTCAGGTGATCTGCCTGCCTCAGCCTCCCAAAGTGCTGGGATTACAGGCGTGAGCCACTGCCAAATCTATCCCTGAGATTTTGTAGCTAGACTGTGGCATGGCCAAAATTGGAATTTTCTGTCTATACCCTTTCTACTATGTAAGCTTAATTTATCTAGAAAATTAACTTATGTATAAACATTTTATTCCTTGAAGTTGTTAAGTGAAGTGTTTTTTGTGGGTTTTTTTTTGTTTTTGTTTTTGTTTTTTTTGTTTTTTTTTTGTGAGACAGAGTTTTCCTCTGTTGCCCAGGCTGGAGTGCAATGGTGCGATCTCGGCTCACTGCAACCTTCACCTCCCAGGCTCAAGCAATTCTCATACCTCCTCCTGAGTAGCTGGGATTAAAGGCATGCACCACCATGCCTGGCTAATTTTTGTAGTTTTGTAGTTTTGGGTTTTTTTTTTTTCTTTGAGACAGAATCACCCAGCCTGGAGTACAGTGGTGTGATCACAGTCTACTGCAGCCTCCATCTCTCAGGCTCAAGTAGTCCTCCCTGCTCAGCCTCCTGAGTAACTGGGACTACATGTATACACCACCACATGTGACTAATTTTTGTATTTTTGTAGAGACAGGGTTTCACCATGTTGCCCAGGCTGGTCTCAAATTCCTGAGCTCAAGCAATTCACCCACCTCCGCCTCCCAGAGTGCTGGGATTACAGCCATACACCACCATAGATTTTAATTAATGAAGAATGAATGCTTTATATAATCTAATAGGTTATTTTTCTCTATAGGACACAGAAGAATTAGAAAAAGAGATTAGAGAAGACCTTCCAGTGAATACCTCTAAAACCCGTCCAAAACAGGAAAAAGCTTTTTCCTTGAAGACCATAAGCACTAGTGATCCAGCCGAAGTACTCGTCAAAAATAGCCAGGTAATTTTTAAGAATAATAAAGTTGCCGGGCGCAGTGGCTTACGCCTGTAATCCCAGCACTTTGAGAGGCCAAGGTGGGCAGGTCATGAGGTCAGGAGTTCAAGAGCAGCCTGGCCAACATAGTGAAACCCCGTCTCTACTAAAAATACAAAAATTAGCCGGGCACGGTGATGGGAGCCTGTAACCCCAGCTACTTAGGAGGCTGAGGCAGGAGAATCGCTTGAACCTGAGAGGCGGAGGGTGCAGTGAGCCGAGATCACTCCACTGCACTCCGGCCTAGGCAAGAGAGCAAGACACTGTCTCAAAAAAAAAAAAAAAAAAAAGAATAATAAAGTTTTGTTGACTCAAGTATTTTATCATAAATAATGTTTTAAGCACTGTGCTAAGCATTTAAAATATAATGACTAATTTAGTCTTCAAAACAATCCCGAGAGAAAGGTGAGACGCATTTTATAAATGAAGCTAGAGAAGTTGAATAACTTGCCCAGAGTCATATAACTATCAGTAGTGAAATCAAGAACCACACTGTACTGTATTTTCTCCTGCTAAATATCTAGGCATACAAGGGATAGACAGCTTAGACATAGAGAAAATATGAGTGGTTTCATTTTCCCCCAATATATGTACATAATATGACTATGGTTCAGCCTCCCAAAATGGAACATTTGTTTAAAACTTGGTTATAGGCTCTTGAATGATGTGCCTTCTATGGAAAGTATCTGTATGGCAGAAGGGACCATTTTACAAAAGGCCTAGGTTGGTGACACAAAATCTGATTTCTAATTGGGTAAATTAATTACATCATATAAATTCAGGGCTGGGTGTGGTGGCTCACGCCTGTAATCCCAGCACTTTGGGAGGCCAAGGTGGGTGGATCACAAGGTCAGGAGTTCGAGACCAGCCTGGCCAAGATGGTGAAACCCTGTCTCTACTAAAAATACAAAAATTGGCCAGGTGTGGTGGCAGGCACCTGTAATCCCAGCTACCCAAGAGGCTGAGGCAGGAGAATCACTTGAACCCAGGAGGCAGAGGTTGCAGTGAGCCAAGATCACGCCACTGCACTCCAGCCTGGGCAACAAAGTGAGACTCCATCTCATAAATAAGCAACCAGGTGCAGTGGCTCAGACCTGTAATCCCAACACTTTGGGAGGCCAAGGCAGGAGGATCACTTGAGTCCAGGAGTTTGAGACCAGCCTGGGCAACATGGCTAGACTCAGTATTTACAAAAAGCACAAAAATTAGCTGGGTGTAGTGGTGTGTGCTTGTAGTCCCAGCTACTCGGGAGACTGAGTGGGAAGATCACTTGAGCCCAGGAGGTCGAGGCTGCAGTGAGCTGTAATTGCGCCACTGCACTCCAGCCTGGGCGACAAAGTGAGACTTTGTGAAGAAGAATATATATATATTTATTTATTTATTTATGTGTGTGTGTATAATAAATAGCAAAGGGTCTATTTGACTTTTTTTTTTTTTTTTTGAGACAAGAGTCTTGCTCTATTGCCCAGGCTGGAGTGCAGTGACGCAATCCGCAATCTCGGCTCGCTGCAACCTCTACCTCCTGGGTTCAGGCGATTTTCCTGCCTCAGCCTCCCAAGTAGCTGGGATTACAGGTGCACGCCACCACCCCTGGCTAATTTTTATATTTTTAGTAGAGATGGGGTTTCACCTTGTTGGCCAGGCTAGTCTCGAACTCCTGACCTCAAGTGATCCGCCTGCCTCAGCCTCCCAAAGTACTGGGATTACAGGCACGAGCCACCACGCCCGGCCTCTGTTTGATATTTTTATATTAAATCATTTTCAGAAGCCATCTTATGAAGAAGATTTGATCCGTTCTGTGACTTAATGTAGATAAGTGAGAGAACAAAGGGGAAAAGGAGATTAAAAATAAGTAACAATAAAACTTCTGGATATGAAATAAATACAGGGAACACTAAGAAAGGTAAAGAAACTAGGCAACATAAATACAACCTCAGGGCCAGCCATGGTGGCTCACGCCTGTAATCCCAGCACTTTGGGAGGTTGAGATGGGTAGATCACTTGAGCTCAGGAGTTCAAGACCAGCTGGGCAGAATGATGAAACCCCCGTCTCTACCAAAAATACAAAAAAGTAACTGGATGTGGTGGTGTGCACCTGTGGTCCCAGGTACTTGGGGGACTGAGGTGGGAGGATCATGTGAGCCCAGGAGGCAGAGGTTGCAGTGAATGAAGATCACACCACTACACTCCAGCCTGGGTGACAGAGTGAGACCCTGTCACACACACACACACAAATACAACTTCAGATACCTGGAATAGGAAGAAGGAATCCTAGTAATTACTTGGGCTCACACCATTTCCTCTTGTATCCTTATCCCATTTTGCTTTCTCGAATCTATGGGCCCTGGAAGAATAGGGGCAAGAGAAGCATTACTTACCCTTCTTTCTATGTTCAGGATAATGATCACAGATAGAGCTAATAGGTGAAATGATCTACTCATCTCTCACAACCCGAAGGCACTCCAAATTACTGACGTTCTTATCATTACCAGGTCCTGATCATTTATTAATGGATATGCTTCAGTGAGGCAAATCAGTTAGTTTACCTCCTTTCTGCTTCCAGGCTGTAGAGAAGTAAGGCTCAAGAATCTAGGCTCTGCCTTAAGCATTCCAATTTCACTACCAGACTGGATAAAACACTGAAAATTTGTACCTGAGTGTTACCAGTTGCTTGAGTCAGTAGGACTGGTAACCACAGTGTGCTTGTAGGAAACAGAAGCTGTTGCTGCTGCTATTTGAGAAATTCTTACCTGTTGGGAAGGAGATTAGGAGTTGTCATCTACTGGTAGTTCAGAAGTTAGCTATTTTCCTTCTGTTTTTCACAAAAATTTTTGAAGCGTTCTGAGTTGGTGGAAATGGACAACAACCAATGAATCACTAACAAGTATAAAATCAGCCAGTCTCAGTGGTTCACGCCTATAATCCCAGCTACTCAGGAGGTTGAAGTGGGAGGATTGCTTGAGCCCAGGAGGTCAAGGCTGCAGTGAGCTGTTTTGTGCCTCTGCACTCTAGGCTAGGCCATAGAGCGATACTCTGTCTCAAAAAAGAAAAGCATAAAATCATCTTATTTATATGAAACTTAAGAATATAAAAGTTAGGCCGGGCGTGGTTGCTCATGCCTGTAATCCCAGCACTTTGGGAGGCTGAGGCAGGCGGATCACGAAGTCAAGAGATCGAGACCATCCTGGCTAACACAGTGAAACCTTGTCTCTACTAAAAACACAAAAAAAATAGCTGGGCGTGGTGGCACACGCCTGTAGTCCCAGCTACTCAGGAGGCTGAGGCAGGAGAATCGTTTGAACCCGGGAGGCGGAGGTTGCAGTGAGCCAAGATTGTGCCACTGCACTCCATCCTGGGCAACAGAGTGAGACTCCACCTCAAAAAAAAGTTAATGAAAAATTATTCATTTCTATTTGAAATTCAGTAGACATTTTATAATTTCATACCTTCATTTTTATCTCAACATATATTCATAAATGTTGTAGGTGATGATTGATTTGGCTGTATCACTAGAGGGCAGGTATGAGTTACATTGTTTATCTGGAAACCATATTAGTATTGAATTGCTGCTAAACCACCTCTTGGTATTACTGTGATATTTAAACTTTATTTGAAAATTTCACCAAAAAACCTGAGATGATTTTTTCCTAAAATAGCCTATCAAGACTCTTCCACCTGCTACTTCTACCGAGCCATCTGTAATCTTATCAAAAAGTGATTCTGACAAGAGCTCTTCCCAAGTGCCGCCAATACTACAAGAGACAGATAAATCCAAGTCAAATACCAAGCAAAATAGTGTGCCTCCTTCACAGAGTAAGTAATCCTCATTTTTTGTTCCTTTGTACTGTTTACATTTTTCATGTGTTAAGGTTCTGATCTTAAAAGTCTAATGGAGGCCAGGCGCAGTGGCTCACGCCTGTAATCCCAGCACTTTGGGAGGCCGAGGCGGGCAGATCACGAGGTCAGGACATCAAGACCATCCTGGCTAACATGGTGAAACCCCGTCTCTACTAAAAATACAAAAAATTAGCCAGGTGTGGCGGCGGGTGCCTGTAGTCCCAGCTACTCGGGAGGCTGAGGCAGGAGAATGGCGTGAACCCGGGAGGCAGAGCTTGCAGTGAGCCAAAATCGTGCCACTGCACTCCAGCCTGGGCAACAGAGCGAGACTCCGTCTCAAAAAAAAAAACGTCTAATGGATTAATAAGAGTAGCCCTTTCTTCCTTTGAAAATGCTAAATTCTGCCGGGTGCGGTGGCTCACGCCTGTAATCCCAGCACTTTGAGAGGCTGAGGCGGGCGGATCACTAGGTCAGGAGATCGAGACCATCCTGGCTAACATGGTGAAACCCCGTCTCTACTAAAAATACAACAGATTAGCCGGGCGTGGTGGCAGGCACCTGTAGTCCCAGCTACTCGGGAGGCTGAGGCAGGAGAATGGCGTGAACCCGGGAGGCGGAGCTTGCAGTGAGCCGAGATCATGCCACTGCACTCCAACCTGGGCGACAGAGCAAGACTCTGTCTCAAAAAAAAAAGAGAAAATGCTAAATTTTTTGGACGTTTGTCTACTTAAGTTGTGAAGGCCAAGTTGTTAAAATAACTAAAGGAGGCTGGGTGCCGTGCCTCACACCTGTAATCCGAGCACTTTGGGAGGCTGAGGCGGGTGGATCACTTGAAGTCAGAAGTTCAAGACCAGCGTGGCCAACATGGCGAAACCCCGTCTCTACTAAAAATACAAAAATTAGCTGGGTGTGCTGGCCGAACATCTGTAATCGCAGCTACTCGGGAGGCTGAGGCAGGAGAATCGCTTGAACGCGGGAGGCGGAGGTTGTAGTGAGCCAAGATTGCGCCATTGCACTCCAGCCTGGGTGACAGAGCAAGACTCAATAAATAAATGATCAATCTATCTATCTATCTCTGAAGGAGAGAATACATTGCTGAGAACAGAGAGGGAGAACTTTCATGCCTGCCTGCTTGTCTATGTGGTCCCTCTCCCTTTTTCTCTGCACATGTTCTTGAGGCTACAAATTATTCTATGCTTTTTTTCCTCCTTTACTCTCTTCAGCTACCTTTAGTATCCATTTTACCCATTTTTCTCTTTTATTAGTTAGGTTGAGCCATATTAAATAACAGTTTTTTTGGGTCAAAACTGGTTGAATATCAGCAGTTCCATATAGTTCAACCTAATAATACCATTGAAAGGAAAGGAGGGAAGAAGACATAGAATAACTTAAAATATATAACGAGGGCTTGAAAACTTAAACATAAAATTTGAGTATTTTAAAACATTGTTTCATAGTTACTACTTTTATATTATTGAGACGTAACAGTATTTACCATCCTCCTAATTTTTTTCTTCGTTTTCCCCCTTTTCTTTTTTAGCCAAGTCTGAAACTAGCTGGGAATCTCCCAAACAAATAAAAAAGAAGAAAAAAGCCAGACGAGAAACGTGAAATTTTTTTTCCTGAATTGGACATGTGTTTGCAAACACTTGTCTTGAAGATTATGCTGTTTATGCAATAATTTGTGAACATGTACAGAGTTTTATATAAATTTAAACCAATTTTTAAAACAAAACTGCGGACACCACCATAAAAATGGAATCAAAAGAAAGTTAATTTATGAAATTAAGAGGTCAGCAGAATATACTCAGTGATGGAAGACACTTGGGAAAGTCTTTTTAATAGAACAAGAACGATCTTAATTTAAGAATATTATCCTGGTTTAACAACAGTGCCCTGTTTACAACAGATTGTGCCCTATCTCATCTGCAGCCGAGGAATAAAGGATTCTGATTAGAAAGAGGGTTGCCTACAGATTAGTAAGCAATTCCTTGGATCTTATGCACAGAACTTGTACCATTTGAATCTGTTTTATGCTTAAATCAAAGTGCTTTGATCAAATGCATAACCTGCCATATCTTTACATATTTGTTGGTAGCAATTTGTATTAAAGAAATCACAAGTGCAAATAAAAAGTCATTTATCATTTGTTTAACTAAACTGTCATGGTTTAGTTTACAATTTTTAAAAAGTTCTTAAAATACTGAAAATGCAGTTGACACTTGTGTATGGCTTATGAAGTTATTTTTGATAGTCTTACATTACTTGAATTGTTCAAAGTACAGTATATTTTAAATTAAGAAAAGTGAACTATATGTATTTGTTTTATACATTTAAGGCTTAGACTCATAAATAATGCTATTGTTTATGATTTGAAAACTTTCAGGCAAAATCCAATTTACATTTTTCCCTTCCCTAGCAATTACTTTTTTCCAGCTTCAACTCTTCTTAGTTACTAATACTTTGTTGACTTTAAAAATGAAATCATTCACAAACTTTTGGTATATGATGGAGAATGAAAAACTAGAGTCAGACAGCTTTAATTGACATTGTCAACACCTCCAGTTATCAGGAATACATTTTTTTACTGCCTTAACCTGTAGTGCGTAGAATATGCATCAATTTCTTGAAGGAGATTCATGTTTTTATAAGAATTTTCATGTAATTATTGCAATTGTGGTCAAATAAGGAACGTTTCCTGCTTGAAATTATATTGATTTAAATGATGTGTGAGATGTTTCACCATTTTCAGGCACTGTGTAATTCTATTGTAATAAACTGGCAGGTATCTTTGTAACTATAAATAGTGCATGCTCAGCCATGTACACTGTAAATAGCCTTTACCAAACGTGTTTGACAAGGACCATAATTAACATCACTTAGTGAATTGTGATAAAGAAAAAAAAGCCATGATTTATTCGATGTGATTGGCTTGTTTTTATGTGGCGCCAAGAACGAACCTGTTTAACAGCTGTAACCAATGGTACTGATCTATCCATCCAATGTTGTCATTATATTTGACTGTGGTTCAACAGTATTGCGTTGTCAGACTAGGAAAGCTAAACGAACAAAATGGTTTTAGTTTTGCTGAAGACTGGCCTTATTAATGGACAGCTTTCCTAACAAGAGATTATTAACTTTTATCAGGTGTTAACATCTGTTTCAGGAACATGGCAGTATGTTTACATGTCAGAAGTTTTGTTTAATTCTATGGTATTTCTAAATTGACTTGTTTAAATAAATTCAGCAAATGGATAGCATTGTTTTTTATTTGCTTCAATATGGGGGTAGATAATAGCTAAAGAGCCAAGGATGAATTTCTTCAAATGACTTTATTCTGTTAGCTTTACATAGGTGTTGGAGGATTCCTAAGGTGTCAGCATTTTGTAAAGGTACCACAAAGGAGAAGTTGATAGGGAATCTAATTTTAGAATGTGCCAAATGGTCTGTGCTCAACAATATAATTGAACTCTCTCAACTCTACCTCACCATTTCTTTATCTCAAAATTCTGTTGGCTTTGTCAAACGTTGGATTTTATTTCTGCAGCCTAGTATCTCCCCATTCTACCACCTATGCCAGATGTTAAAGACAGCAGATGTTTTGAGGAGAATGGCATTGTGGAGATGCAGAGATGCGTTGCTAAGTTGAGGTGGATCCAGTATAGAGATACCTCTATTTCTTCTTTATGGCTCAAGAGCTAGGACTTGGATTTTGTTTTAAGAGATGGCAGCTGGCCGGGTGCAGTGGCTCACGTCTGTAATCCCAGCACTTTGGGAGGCCGAGGCAGGTGGATCACGAGGTCAGGAGTTCAAGACCAGCCTGGCCAAGAGGGTGAAACCCCATCTTTACTAAAAATACAAAAAAAAAAATTAGCTGGGTGTGGTGGTGGGCTCCTGTAATCCCAGCTACTCAGGAGGCTAAGGCAGAGAATCATTTGAACCCAGGAGACGGAGTTTGCAAAGCCAAGATCGTGCCACTGCACTCCAGCCTGGGCAACAGAAGGAGACTCCGTCTCAAAAAAAAAAAAAAGATGGCAGCTATATAAATGATAAAATTAATTACATTCTCTTTCACATGCATGAGGTGCAAACTCTGTCACAAAGTATTTTAATTACCTTTTACCTTGTTTCATAGATCTTTATGTGACATAAAAACAGTTTCTGGCACGGTGGCTCACGCCTGTAATCCTAGCACTTTGGGAGGCTGAGGCAGGTGGATCACCTGAGGTCAGGAGTTTGAGACCAGCCTGGCCAATATGGTGAAACCCCATCTCTACAAAATTTGCAAAAAGTAGATGGGTGTGGTAGTGGGCGCCTGTAATCCCAGCTACTCAGGAGGTTGAGGCAGAGAATCGCTTGAACCCGGGGGGTGGAGGTTGCAGTGAGCTGAGATCGCACCACTGCACTCCAGCATGAAAGAGCGAGACTCAATCTCAAAAAAAAAAAAGTTTCTGGCACCTGAACAGGAACTGGTTTCCATCATCAACTCAGAAAGCACTAAAATCTAGGTGGTGATTCAGGGAGGAGCAGGGGAAGACAGCCTCCTATGGTGGCATGAATAAGATGCTTCCAGAACTAGTAGGGAAATAACTAACCTCTTCAGGCTTTATCAGGCCTGGAGGGGAACCTTGCTCATGTTAGCAAGAAAGGTATCCTAGAGAAGCCACTCAAAAGGCTCCCTAATCCAGCCTGTCTCCACATACATACTGAAAATTCTTCCCTACTCTGAGGCAGGGTGTAGTGGTTTAGGGGTTTCTCCAGACTGGAATCCTACCTATCTGTACCGACAATTGAGCAAACAACAGTTGAGAGAGTCCAAAAAAAAAAGTATTAAAATGTGATTGATGTAATTTACCATGTTTACTTTATGCATGCATTTTATTGGGGAGGGGAGGTCAGAATAATTCACCCAAATCTAGTGGTCTTATTTCATAGGCTAATCTGGTTTATATTTGCATTAAAGATACTGGAGGGCAATATTTACAGAGTTTAGTTTTTCTTAATTAAAAACAGTCCTCTATTAATATAGTGTGAAATATCTTTCAAAATTTAGAGTTTAGGTTTAAGATGTCTACTAGATATCTTTAAGATTTTCCTGTAAACTCACTGCACAAACTGGAATTACTTTCCAAAAGACTTAGGGAATGCAAATATGTTACTCATAAGATGCATTGAGTATTGTAAATAAAACAAACCATTTTTGATTTGTTTAAATTGCTCGTTACAGTTCTCTTGTGGGGAGGGACTTTGTCAGTCATTTTGCATCTTAAGCTAGACTAAACTTTTTGTTGTTGTTTTCCTAAAACCATAGGTGCAAGCTTTGCCGCTGGGAAGTCATATTGAATTAAGCACTTTTGAAAATGTCACTGTTTGTGACACACAATGTTCTCTACAGAAAACTTCTTCTATCTTATGTCATTTTAGCAGTAGATGTAGCTGCCTGCCACCAGGTGCAATATGTCATTTGCATCAGCCTTTTCAGTTAAGGAAATTAAAACTTGGCATGCATTAGTTCATATGTATGAGGTTGGCTGTGTCCCCAAACAGCAATTGCTTGTACAAGATAGAAGTTTGCTTCTCAGCTGGGCATGGTGGCTCATGCCTGTAATCCAAGCTCTTTGGGAGGCCAACGCGGGAGGATTGTTTGAGCCCAGGAGTTTGAAACCATCCTGAGCAATAGAGAGACCCCCATCTCGACAAAAAAAAAAAAAAAAAATTAGAAACAAAAAAAAGATTGTTTCTCTTTCATATTAAAGTTTGGGAAGGCAATCCAGAGCCCATATGACATTATGCAGGGTCAGGGATCCGGGTTCTTTCTATATTGTTCCTCCCCATTCTCAACCTGTAGCTTTTTTTTTTTTTCTTTTAATGAGATAGGGTCTCACTCTGTTGCCCAGGCTGGAGTGCAGTGGCACACTTCTGGCTCACTTCAGCCTGGAACTCCCGGGCTCGAGCTATATTCTCCCACTTTAGCCTCAGCCTCCAGAGTACCTGGGACTACAGGTACACACCACCATGCCTGGCTAAATTTTTTTTTTTTTTTTTTGGTAGAGATGAGGTCATTGCTATGTTGCCCAGGCTGGCCTTGAAGTCCAGGGCTTAAGTGATCCTCCTGCCTTGGCCTCCCAAAGTGCTGGTGTTACAGGTGTGAGCCACCACACCTGGCCAACATGTGGCTTTCAGTTCTTACTTGAAGACAGCTGCTCTAGCTAGAAACTTCCTATCGGCATCTGAGCCAGCTGGTAGAGGGCATTACCTCCCCCACCCCCAAGAACACTTCTTGGAAGTTACACACAATACATAAACTTCAATTTCAAACAGTTGCTTGGTCCCACTAGCCATGAAGCTGGATGGGACGTAATATTCTATCTGGGTTGTCATGGGCCAAATTAACATTTTGAGATTCTGTTAGGAAGATGAGAATTGGATAATGGGCACCTCTAACAGTGTCTGTCAGAGTTGACATACATTGTGTATCTCCTGCACCAAAGCATTTTTGAGATCAAGTGTTCTTCCAGCTGAGCAGAAATTTGGAAGGCTATTCAGTGCTGCTTAGTGTAGCAGCTAATAATGTTCCAACTTCTATATGATAGTTTGCTTTTTGTTTTTTGTTTTTTTCTAGAGACAGAGTCTCGTTGCCCAGGCTGGTCTCCAATTCCTGGGTTCAAGCAATCCTCCTGACTCAGCCTCCTAAATGCTGGGATTACAGGCATGAACCACTGTGCCCAGTCTATATATAATAGATTTTAGAAGAAATTTCTGCCACTCAGTGACTGCTTTAAATTCTAGAGACAGAGGCTGAGAGAAACTTAGTAGCCTGCCTGCGCATACTGCAAGTACAGACTATATAACAAGTTGAAAGAGAATCACCCTGGTATATAATATTTTAAAACATGAAAAAGGCATTACTATTGTTCTGGTCTAAGTACTCTAACAGGACGATGATTTCTAACCCTAGCATCATGACATGTATATAGTGTGTTGTAAGACATTTGCCAGCTAATAGTTACAGTACTGAAGCTTGTGAATACGTTAATTGAGAAAACTTTAAGCAGGTTCAAAGTTATCCCATGATAGTGGCATTCTTATTTGTATATATGTGCTTTCCTTTTTTATTTGTATCAAGGCATTTAAAATGAATATATGTAACATGTACCTAAGTTTTAAAAGCATAATAAAATGAACACATCTGAAACCACCATTCTGCTCAAGAAATATAACATTACTCAAGAAATACAGTGTTACAAGGGGATACTGGGAACCAGCTTGACTTGTAACAGGATTAGAGGGGGAAAGGCTTGGGTGAAAATGACTGTTCTCAAGTGCCTCACCTGGCACAGGCCCTTTTTGGTACCAACTGAGGCTTGCAGTCCCAGGAAACATCTAGCCTGATCTCAGAAAGGTTTAATGGCAACTTCATTGCCACTCCTCCCTCAAGACATTTCATGATACCTTGGGAAATTGTTTTAATAAGTACACAGGGGCACAATGACTATGAATGTGAATGGTGCCCCAATTTGTATAGTGCACAACTCTACATGGCAGCCTTTCCCTGAGGAAGGGGGATAGATCACAAGATAGATGTCACTTCTAGACAGCTTTGCCCCACTCAGAAAAGCAGCAAGTGCCCTATAGGCACTTAGAGTGAGGGTTCCTCTGAGGTTTGTTGTGGGGCTGGAGACTCTTGACAGACACCAAAGGAGGTCTTATGGCAAACAGCTATTAGTAACGGGATAGTGAGATTACCAGAATTTTTTTTTTTTTTTTTTTTTTTTTGAGACGAAGTGTCGCTCTGTTGCTCAGGTGCTCAGGCTGGAGTGCAGTGACACGATCTCGGTTCACTGCAACCTCTGTCTCCCAGGTTCAAGTGACTCTCCTGCCTCAGCCTCCCGAGTAGCTGGGGTTACAGGTGCACGCCACCAGGCTTGGCTAATTTTTTGTATTTTTAGTAGAGACGGGGTTTCGCCATGTTGGCCAGTCTGGTCTCAAACTCCTGACCTCAAGTAATCCGGGTGCCTCTGCCTCCCAAAGCGTTGAGATTACAGGCATGAGCCACTGGGTCTGGCCCATTTTTTTTTTTAACAGACAGGAGCTTCCTCTGTCTACCAGGCTGGAGTGCAGTGGCACAATCACGGCTCACTGCAGCCTCAAACTCCTGGGCTCAAGCAATCCTCCTGCCTCAGCCTCCTGAGTAGCTGGGACTACAAGCACCCACCATCACACCTGGATAATCCTATCTTTTATAGAGACAGGGTCTTGCTTTGTTGCCCAGGCCGGTCCCAAACTTCTGGGCTCAAGCAATCCGCCCACCTCAGCCTCAAACTGCTGAGATTAACAGGCATAAGCCACTGTGCGCAGCCTGAATTTTTTAAAAACACCTCAAAGATCATGAAAATAAATAATTTAGGCCAGGAGCGGTGGCTCACACCTGCAATCCTAGCACTTTGGGAGATCAAGGCAGGAGGATCACCTGAGGTCAGGAGTTCAAGACCAGCCTGGCCAACATGGTGTAACTCCATCTCTACTAAAATACAAAAATTAGCTGGGCATGGTGGTGGGTGCCTGTAATCCCAGCTACTCGGGAGGCTGAGACGGGAGAATCGTTTGAACCTGGGAGACAGTGGTTGCAGTGAGCCAAGATGGTGCCACTGCACTCCAGCCTGGGTGGCTGAGCGAGACTTCGTCTCAAAAATAAATAAACAATCTGAGAAAGATCAAGTAAGGAAAAAATAGTGGGCAGTGGTGGGAAGGAGCAGAGGGCTAGACTTAGGAATAAAATAGTGGAATAAAATATAAAACAGCTTGCCTCAGTAAGTATTCTTTGTTCTAAAACCCAGAATCTGCTCTGGCAAGTTCAAGCTGAAAAGGAATCTAGCAGGACCAGAGATCCAGGCCCTTTCACCATCAAGAATAACACCTAAGACCAGGTGCGGTGACTCACTCCTGTAATCCCAGCACTTTGGGAGGCCGAGGCAGGTGGATCACCTGAGGTCAGGATTTCGAGACCAGCCTGGCCGACATGGCGAAACCCCATCTCTACTAAAAATATGAAAATTAGCCAGGTGTCTGGCATATGCCTGTTATCCCAGCTACTCAGGAGCTGAAGCGGGAGAATCACTTGAACCCAGGAGGTGGAGGTCGCAGTGAGCCGAGATCACGCCACTGCACTCCAGCCTGGGCGACAGAGCGAGACTCTGTCTCAAAAAGAAAAAAAAGGAAAGAAAAGATGGGGCCGGGCGCGGTGGCTTACGCCTGTAATCCCAGCACTTTGGGAGGCCGAGGCAGGCAAATCACGAGGTCAGGAGTTCGAGACCAGCCTGGCCAACATGAAACTACCCCTCTACTAAAAATACAAAAAATTAGCTGGGCATAGTGGCAGGCGCCTGTAACCCCAGCTACTCGGGAGGCTGAGGCAGGAGAATCGCTTGAACCTGGGAGGCAGAGGTTGCAGTGAGCCTAAATCTCACCATTACACTCCAGCCTGGGCAACAGAGTGAGACTCTACCTCAAAAAAAAAAAAAAAAAAAAAGAAAAGAAAAGAAAAGAAAAAGAAAAAATGGGCCAGGTGCGGTAGCTCACGCCTGTAATCACAGCACTTTGGGAGGCCAAGGCAGCCAGATCACGAGGTCGGCAGTTTGAGACCAGCCTGGGCAACATGCAAAACCCTGTCTCTACAAAAAATAAAAACATTAGCCAGACGTGGTGGGGTGTGCCTGCAGTCCCAGCCACTCAGGAGGCTGAGGCACGAGAATCACTTGAACCCAGGAGGCGGAGGTTGCGGTGAGCCGAGATCACGCCACTGCATTCCAGCCTGGGTGACAGAGCAAGACTGTCTCAAAAAAAAAAAAAAAAAAGGAAAAGAAAAGATGGCCATATTTAACTGTATACAATTTTTTAATTATTATTATTATTATTTGAGAAGAAGTCTCGCTCTGTCGCCCAGGTTGCAGTGCAGTGGCGCAACCTCGGCTCACTGCAACTTCCACCTCCTGGGTTCAAGGGATTCTCCTGCCTCAGCCTCCTGAGTAGCTGAGATTACAGGTGCCAGCCACCAACACCTGACTAATTCTTGTATTTTAGTAGAGATGGGGTTTCACCATGTTGGCCAGGCTGGTCTCAAACTGCTGGCCTCATGTGATCCACTCACCTTGACCTCCCAAAGTGCTGGGATAATAGGCGTGAGCCACCATGCTTGGCAATTTTTTTTTTTTTTTTTTTGGAGACAGAGTCTCACTCTATCTCCCAGGCTGGAGTGCAGTGGCACGATCTCAGCTTACTGCAACCTCTGCCTCCCGGGTTCAAGCAATTCTCCTGCCTCAGCCTCCTGAGTAGCTGGAATTACAGGCGTGCACTACCACACCCAGCTAATTTTTGTATTTTTAGTAGAGACGGGGTTTCACCATGTTGGTCAGACTGGTCTCGGACACCTGACCTCATGATTTGCCCTCCTCAGCCTCCCAAAGTGCTGGGATTAAGATGTGAGCCACCACGCCCGGCCATGCCCAGCAATTTTTTATAAACTTTTAAAATGTTTTATTTTGAAAACATTAGAGGCCAGGCACTCCATTGCTCTCCAGCCTGGGTGACAGACTAAGACTCTGTCTCAAAAAATAAGTAAGTAAATAACATAAAATAAAATAAATAAAATAGAATGTGCAACACCTTTGATAGATTACAAGCTAATACTTTCTAGAATACATAAAGATAACTGACAAAGGGGAAACAACACAAGAGAAAAATAAGCAGATGAGAATAAGCAGTCCAAGAATAAACAATACAAAATGTTCATCAAACATATTTTTAAATGTTTAAACTTACTAGTACCAAGAAAATACAAATTAAAGTTAGAATGAGCCAGCTACCACTTCATGCCCATCAGACTGGCCAGAGTTTCTAAAAAAAAAAGCTGTAACTCCAGCTGCTAATAGGCATACAGAGAAAGTGTATTCATTCACTGCAAGTGGCAGGATAAATTACTACAATCCTTTGGGAGTGCAATCAGCTACCCTTTTTTTTTTTTTTTTTTTTTTTTTTTTTTTTGTTAAGATGGAGTCTCGCCTGTCGCCCAGGCTGGAGTACAATTGCAAGATCTCAGCTCACTGCAACCTCCACCTCCAGGGTTCAAACGATTCTCCTGCCTCAGCCTCCCGAGTAACTGGGATTACAGGCACCCGCCACCACACCTGGCTAATTTTTGTATTTTTAGTAGAGATGGGGTTTCACCATGTTGGCCAGGCTGGTCTTGAACTCCTGGCCTCAGGTGATCCGCGTGCCTCAGCCTCCCAAAATGCTGGGATTACAGGCGTGAGCCAACGTGCCTGGCCTAATCAGCTACCATTTTAAAAATTAAAAGTAAGGCTGGACACAGTGGCTCACACCTATTATCCCAGTGCTTTGGGAGGCCTAGGCGAGTGGATCACCTGAGGCCAGGAGTTCAAGACCAGCCTGGCCAACATGGAGAAACTCCATCTCTACTAAAATACAATTAGCCGGGTGTGGTGGTGCATGCCTGTACTCCCAGCTACTTTCGAGGCTGAGGCAGGGGCATCACTTAAATCTGGGAGGTAGAGGTTGCAGTGAGCGGAGATCGTGCCATTGCACTCCAGCCTGGTCAACAAGAGTGAGACTCTGTCTCAGAAAAAAAAAAAAAATTAAAAGTAACAGGTCAGCGCAGTGGCTCACACCTGAAATCCAAACACTTTGGGAGGCAGAGGCAGGTGGATCACTGGAGCCCAGGAGTTCAAGACCAGCCTGGCCAACATAGGGAGATGCCGTACCTACCATAATAATAATAAAATTAAATTAAAAATGAGTCAGGCATGGTGGCACAGGCCTGTGGTCACTGATACTCGGGAGGCTGAGGCAGAAGGATTGCTTGAACCTCAGAGGTCAAGGCTGCAGTGAGCTATGATCACCCCCAGTGCACTCCAGCCTGGGCAACAAAGCAAGACCAGGACTCAAAAAGAAAAGGAAAGAAAGAAAATAAAAGGTAATAGGCCGGGCATGGTTCATACCTATAATCCCAGCACTTTGGAAGGCCAAGGCAGGCAGATCACGAGGTGAGGAGTTCGAGACCAGCCTGGCCAACATGGTGAAACCCTGTGTTCTGTGCAGGAAATGTGCAAGAGGAAAGAAAAGACACTCTCTCTCTCTCTCTCTCTCTCTCTCTATATATATATATATAAAAGACACTATATATATATATATAAAAGACATACATATATAAGACACATATATATAATATATAAGACACTATATATATATATATATATACACACACACACACACATACATATATATATATATGCCTCCAGACTGTGGAGGATTCATCACCACATCGGGAAGCAATAGCCTGGGCTCCAGAGTCGGCCACCTGTCTGTGTACGTGTCTCTCCAAATGAGGAGAGGTCTCATGAAGCTTTAGCAAGGTCTGGGACCCTAGCCCTTTTTGTAACAAGTTGTTTGGCATGAGGTCCAGTCACGAGGGCCCTTCATGATTGGGCTCAAGGAACACAAAAAGGTCAACTGTTTTTGCGATTGTCTGTTGTTTGTCAATAACTAATATATAGGAATGGATTGAAATAGAGATTTCTCTGAAACATTGTTCGATGAATGCCTCAAGGGGCTCACGCAACCTGTTCCAGGACTTGGTGACCATTTTTTGTGTCCATGTTCTTTTTAGTTCAAATTTAATATTTAACTTTTCCTCCACACCCTGTCTCTACTAAAAATACAAAAATTAGCCCAGTGTGGTGGCCTGTAATCCCAGCTACTCCAGAGGCCGAGGCAGGAGGATCACTTGAACTGAGGAGGCGAAGGTTGCAGTGAGCCGAGATTGCGCTGCTGTACTCCAGCCTGAGGACAGAGCAAGACTCCGTCTCATTAAAAAAAAAAAAAAAAGAAGAAGAAGAAGAAGAAGAAGGACCAGGTTCAGTGGCTCACACCTGTAATCCCAGCACTTTGGGAGGCCGAGGCCGGTGGATCACAAAGTCAGGAGTTCCAGACCAGCCTGGACAATATGGTGAAACCCTGTCTCTACTAAAAATACAAAAATTAGCCAGGTTTGGCGGCGCGCGCCTGTAGTCCCAGCTACTGGGGAGGCTGAGGCAGAAGAATCGCTTGAACCCAGGAGGCGGAGGTTGCAGTGAACCAAGATCCTGCTACTGCACTCCAGCCTGGGCAACGGAGGGAGACTGGGCGACGGAGGGAGACTGGGCGACAGAGCGAGACTCCGTCTCAAAAGAGGAGGAGAAGGAGGAAGAGGAGAGGGAGGGGGAGAGGGAGGGTGAAGGGAAGGGGGAGGGGGAGGAGGAGAAGGGAGGGGGAGGAGGGGGAGGGGGAGGAGGGGAGGGGAGGAGGGGGAGGGGGAGGAGGGGGAGGAGAAGGAGAAAGGAGAAAGGAGAAACCTTAAGGAGAAATCTGAAACCACCACAAGGTGGCGACTTGAACATGGGCCATTCTCCCCACCTCCCCATCCCCTTACTACCATTTTTCAAATAAGAAAAATGCAAGCTAGAGATTGAGCACCAATTTAAGTTGCACAGCTGACAAGTGGCAGAAACTGTATTTAAAGCCACGTCCCCTGTCCCCGAGTTCAGAGCTCTTTTCACTCTCCCAATCGCTGTATGGCCACGTGCAGATGCCCCTGCCTGCTCCCTGTATACTACCTGTGAATATTTGCCTGTGTTTTTCTCTCTGAGAATCTCTTTCTCTCTACCTCCTTGTACCTTTATGTCTCTTTGTCTCTCTCTGTTTATTGCTGTCCTGTGTATCTTTCCTTTTCTCTTATTCTAATCTCTGTCTCCATTTCCCCAGCCCCCAAATTCATGTTCTCTTTTCTCTCCCTCCCTCTTTCCTCTCCTAGTGACTGGACTAAGCATGCATCTGAAATATAACACTCAAAGAACACTTTTAAGTTGTTTACTAAAATAGAAGGATTTTATTTGTTGTATTTAAATAAATTACTTCTGATTTGTAAATAATAATTGCACAGAACTAGTGTAAGGTTTCCATTATATTATGTCATATATTATATTACACTTCTATCCATACAACAACTCAGTGAGGTGTTACTATTATTCCCATTTTACAGATGAGGAAACTACGAGGTTAAGTAGCTTCCCAGGGTTGAGGAAGCTAACACACTACAGAGTATACCTTTTTTTTTTTTTTTTTTTTTTTTGAGACAGTGTCACTCTGTTACCCAGGCTGGAGTGCAGTGGCATGATCTCAGCTCACTGCAAGCTCCGCCTCCCAGGTTCAAGCGATTCTCATGTCTCAGCCTCCCAAGTAGCTGGGACCAAAGGTGTCTGCTACCATGCCTGGCTAATTTTTGTATTTTTTGGTAGAGATGGGGTTTTGCCATGTTGGCCAGGCTGGTCTCCAACTTCTGACCTCCAGTTATCCACCCACTCAGCCTCCTAATGTGCTGGGGTTACAGGCATGAGCCACCATGCCCAGACCTCATTTTGTATTTAAAAGAAATTACGGCCAGGCGCGGTGGCTCACGCCTGTAATTCCAGCACTTTGGGAGGCTGAGAGGGGCGGATCACCTGAGGGTCGGGAGTTCCAGACCAGCCTGACCAACGTGGAGAAACCCCATCTCTACTAATACAAAAAATTAGCCGGGCGTGGTGGCACACGCCTGTAATCCCAGCTACTCGGGAGGCTGAGGCAGGAGAATCGCTTGAACCCGGGAGATGGAGGTTGCAGTGACCCGAGATCACGCCATTGCACTTCAGCCTGGGCAACAAGAGCGAGACTCCGTCTCAAAAAAAAAAAAAAAAAAAAAAGAAAAGAAAGAACTTACTTTTGCTTAATTTAGCCCCAATAAACTCTTTCCTTGCTACCACGGATCAGAGCTTCGTCAATTAAAAAATAAAAAGAGTTCTGTACTATTACCAGGCTAAACACTGGCAATCATTCAGGTAGGAAATACTCTGGACTAAATCTCATGGATTTACTCTAACAGCAAAATAAGAAGGGAGATAGAGGCTGGGCGCAGTGGCTCATGCCTATAATCCCAGCACTTTGGGAGGCCCAGGCTGGCGGATCACGAGGTCAGGAGTTGGAGACCAGCCTGGCCAATATGGTGAAACGTCGTCTCTACTAAAAATACAAACATTAGCCAGGCGTGGTGGCGGGCGCCTGTAGTCCCACCTACTCGGGAGGCTGAGGCAGGAGAATTACTTGAACCTGGGAGGCGGAGGTTGCAGTGAGCCGAGATCACGCCACTGCACTCCAGCCCGGGCAACAGAGTGAGTCTCCGTCTCAAAAAAAAAAAAAAAAGAAAGAAAAAGAAAGAGAGAGACGGGACGGGAGATAGAATTTACACAGATCAATGGGTTGAGATTAGTAACACTCTAGAAATGCGCAATGAAGGACAGTTCAGAGTCAAACTATATCAAATATGACTCTCTTCATGTCTCTTATTATCATGTATGCATATTTTAACTTAATCCTTTGAGTTGGCAATGCATGTGCTTCAAAATTCAAAATCTATCAAACAGAATACAATAAATATGTCTTCCTCTCTTTTTCTCTTTTTTAAATGTTTCTTTTTGTTGTTTTTGTTTTTTGTTTTTTTTTTTTGAGACAAACTCTCGCTCTCGTACCCCAGGCTGGAGTGCAATGGCGTAATCTCGGCTCACTGTAACCTCCGCCTCCCGGGTTCAAGCGATTCTCCTGCCTCAGCCTCCCCAGTAGCTGGGATTACAGGCACCTGCCACCACACCCGGCTAATTTTTGTATTTTTAGTAGAGACAGGGTTTCGCCATGTTGGCCAGGCTGGTCTGGAACTCCTGACCTCAGGTGATCTGCCCACCTCAGCCTCCCAAAGTGCTGGGATTACAGGTGTGAGCCACCGCGCCTGGCCCCATCACCCCATTTTATCACAACATTGTGCCTCATTAAATGAATATACTGTAATTTACTTAACCATTTCCCTATTGGTGAACATTTAGGTTTACACAAATTTTCTGCGTTACAAGCAATGCTATACTGAATAATAATTCACCTGTTAGTTTTCTTCATGTATGAGTATAGCTGAAGATAAAGTTCTCAGTTATAGACTTGCTAAGTCAAATGATATGCACATTTGTAAATTTGATAAATATTACCAAATTGTCTGAGAGTTTGCACCACGTACACGAATGTCTGTTCTCTTACACCATAGCCTATACAGGTTGTTATCAAACTTCATCTTTGTCAATGATGAAGTCAGTATTTCTCTCATTATAAGTAAGGCCAAGTATCTTTTCCTATGTTTGAGTTATTTACACTTCTATCTGTTCACATACTTTGCTGTTTTTCTATTTGTTTATCCTTTCTTATCAATTTTTTCTCTATTAAGGAAATTATGTTTTCTGTTATGAATTATTGCTATTTTTCTAGGTTTGTTTTGGCCTTCACTTTATTATTTTTGTTTGTTTGTTTCAGACGGAGTCTCGCTGTTGTCACCCAGGCTGGAGTGCAGTGGTCCAATGTTGGCTCACTGCAACCTCCGCCTCTGGGGTTCAAGAGATTCTCCTGCCTCAGTCTCCCAAGTAGCTGGGATTACAGGTGCCCGCCACCATGCCCAGCTAATTTTTGTATTTTTTAGTAAGACGGGGTTTCGCCACCTTGGCCAGGCTGGTCTCGAACTCCCAATCTCAGGTGGTCCACCCGCCTCGGCCTCCCAAAGTGCTGGGATTACAGGTGTGAGCTACTCGCCCAGACTGTTTGTTTGGTTTTTTGAGTCTTGCTCTGTTGCCTAGGCTGGAGTGCAGTGGTTCAATCTGGCTCACTGCAACCTCTGACTCCTAGGTTCAAGCAATTCTCCTGCCTTGGCCTCCAAAGTACTATAGACCTCTGCTGCTGCTTCAGCCTTCCTAGTAGCTGGGAGTACAGGTGCCTACCACAACGCCCAGCTAATTTTTTTGAATTTTTAGTAGAGACGGGGTTTCACCACGTCAGCCTGGCTGGTCTCCAACTCCTGAACTCAGGTGATCCGCCCACCTTGGCCTCCCAAAGAACTAGGATTACGGGCATAAGCCCTTGTGCCTGGCCTATCACCCCTCTCACCCCCCTGCCTTTTTTTTTCTTTTTGAGACGGAGTCTCACTCTGTCGCCCAGGCTGGAATGCAATGGTGAGATCTCAGCTCACTGCAACCTCTGCCTCCCGGATTCAAGCGATTCTCCTGCCTCTGCCTCCACAGTAGCTGAGATTACAGGCACCCGCCACCACACCCAGCTACTTTTTGTATTTTTAGTAGAGACAGGGTTTCACCATGTTAGCCAGGCTGGTCTCGAACTCCTGACCTCAGGTGATCTGCCACCCACCTTGTACCATTACACCCGGCTGAATTTTTTTTTTTTTTTTTTTTGAGATGGAGCTTCGCTCTTGTTGCCCAGGCTAGAGTGCAATGGCACGATCTCAGCTCACTGCAACCTCCGCCTCCCGCGTTCAAGTGATTCCCCTGTCTCAGCCTCCCAAGTAGCTGGGATTACAGGCTCATGGCACCACGCCAGGCTAATTTTTGTATTTTTAGTAGAGATGGGGTTTCATCATATTGGTCAGGCTGGTCTCAAACTCCTGACCTCAGGTGATCCGCCCACCTCAGCCTCCCAAAGTGCTGGGATTACAGGTGTGAGCCACTGCGCCCGGCCTGATTTTTCTTTTTTTTGGTATTTTTTGTTGAAATGGGGTTTTGCTATGTTGGCCCGGCTGGTCTCGAACTCCTGACCTCCAGTGATCTGCGCCCCCCTCGCCTCCCAAAGTGCTGGGATTAACAGGCGTGAACCACCGTGCTGGCCTACTTTATTTAGGATAGTTTTTTTGTTTTGTTTTGTTTTTATCTTGTTTTGTTTTGTTTTTCTCTTGTTTTGTTTTGTTTTACAGATGAGGTCTTACACTGCCACCCAGGCTGGAGTGCAGTGGCACAAACAAGGCTCACTGTAGCCTCAACCTCCTGGGCTTAATTGATCCTCCCACCTCAGCCTCCTGAGATCCTGGGACCACAAGTGTGTGCCACAACGCTTGGCTAATTTTTTCTTTTTTGTAGAGATGGTGCCCAGGTTGGTCTCAAATTCCTGGGTTCAAGCAATCCTCCCACCTCCCAAAGAGCTGAGATTGTAGGTGTGAACCACCAGGCCCAGCAAATTTATAATTTAATTTAATTGTATTGTATTGTATTTAAATCTAATTTTTTTTAAAAAAATTATTTTCTCTTGGCTGGGCGCAGTGGCTCACACCTGTAATCCCAGCACTTTGGGAAGCCAAAGTGGGTAGATCACTTGAGGTCAGGAGTTCGAGATCAGCCTGACCAACATGGCGAAACCCCATCTCTACTAAAAATACAAAATTAGCTGGGTGTTGTGATGGGCGCCTGTAATCCCAGCTACTCTGGAGGCTGAGGCAAGAAAATCGCTTGAACCAAAGAGACAGAGATTGCAGTGAGCCGAGATTGAGCCATTGCACTCCAGGCTGGGCAACAAGAGCAAAATTCCATATCAAAAAAAATATACATATATTTTCTCTTTCCTCTTATTTTCTAGCCATTCTTTAAATATAATAAATCTAGGCTAGGCACGGTGGCTCACACCTGTAATCCCAGTACTTTGGGAGGCCGAGGCAGGTGAATCACCTGAGGTCGGGAGTTCGAGACCAGCCTGACCAACATGGAGAAACCCCCCCCCCCCGTCTCTACTAAAAATATAAAAATTAGCTGGGCATGGTGGTGCATGCCTGTAACCCCACCTACTCAGAAGGCTGAGGCAGGAGAATCACTTGAACCCAGGAGGCGGAGTTTGAGGTGAGCCAAGATGGCACCATTTGCACTCCAGCCCAGGCAACAAGAGTGAAGCTCTGTCTCTCAATAAATAAATAAATAAAATGTAAATTTTTTTTTTTTTTTTTTTTTTTTGGAGACAGAGTCTCACTCTGTCGCCCAGGCTGGAGTGCAGTGGCATGATCTCGGCTCACTGCAAGCTCCACCTCCCGGGTTCATGCCATTCTCCTGCCTCAGCCTCCTGAGTAGCTGGGACTACAGGCACCTGCCACCACGCCCAGCTAATTTTTTTTTTTCCTTTTTTTTTAAAGTGGAGTTTCGTTCTTGTTGCCCAGGGTGGAGTGCAATGGTGCGTCACTGCAACCTCTGCCTCGCGGGTTCAAGCGAATCTCCTGCCACAGGCTCCCGAGGAGCTGGGATTACAGGCATGCACCACCACACCCGGCTAATTTTGTATTTTTAGTAAAGGTGGAGTTTCACCATGTTGGTCAGGCTGGTCTTCAACTCCTGACCTCAGGTGATCCGCCCACCTCAGCCTCCCAAAGTGCTGGGATTACAGGCATGAGCCACTGCGCCCAGCACGCCTGGCTAATTTTTTGTAGTTTTAGTAGATACAGGGTTTCACCGTGTTACCCAGGGTGGTCTCGATCTCCTGACCTCGTGACCCGCCCACCTTGGCCTTCCAAAGTGCTGGGATTACAGGCATGAGCCACTGCGCCCAGACTAAATTTTTTTTTTTTTTTTTTTTGAGATGGAATCTCACTTTGTCGCTCAGGCTGGAGTGCAATCATGTGATCTCGGCTCACCACAACCTCTGCCTCCTGGATTTAAGAGATTCTCCTGCCTCAGCCTCCCGAGTAGCTGGGATTACGGGTATGTGCCACCACGCCCAGCTAATTTTGTATTTTTAGTAGAGACGGGGTTTCTCCACGTTGGTCAGGCTGGTCTGAAACTCCTGACCTCAAGTGATCCGCCCACCTTGGCCTCCCAAAGTGCTGGGATTACAGGTGTGAGCCACCACGCCCGGCCCAATAAATCTAAATTTAAAGAGCCACATAGGCAATCACTTTAAGATCCAACTTAAATACCATCTCCTCCTGGACAATTCCCTTGATCTCCAGTCTTCATTCCTAACTCTTCTACGTGCAGACACACACACAGACATACACACACTCAGAGGCTCCTGCCCCTCTGCACAGCCCTGCCTGCATCTGCTCCTCTCCAAAGATATCTATTGTACTCCATAGTAGGGCAGTAACGCTGCCCTACTTTGCTCAGTATACTCTGTAAATTCCTTAAGGCAGGGTCTGTCATCTTTCCGCAGCACCACAGTGTTCTGCGGTGCCTTTCAACTAGTGGGAATGGAAGAGCTATTTGTTGGGTTTTAAGTGTTACGGCAATATTTGTTAATGTCCAAACAGAAATTGGCCTATGTGCAAATTTTCAGATATACATGTAAATTTGATACTTGCATTAGCATAGAACTCAATTCTGAGCTTAAGAAACAAGAAAGTTAATTGAAAGTTCATTTTTAGAATTTATCGAGAATTTACCTAGGTTATTTTCATTTTATGCTGCACCAATCCTCGCACTGATTTCTGGAGGATGCTGATACCAAATTGTTTTCTGGATAACAGAAGTGATTTTAAAGTTTCTGGGGCTGGGCGCGGTGCTCATGCCTGTAATCCCCAGCATTTTGGGAGGCCGAGGTGAGCACATCACTTGAGACCAGGAGTTCAAGGCCAGCCAGGACAACATGTGGAGACCCCGTCTCCACAAAGAATACAAAAACTTAGCCTGGTGTGGTAGTGCGCACCTGTAGTCCCTAGCTGCTCAGAGGGCCTGGGGCTGGAGGGATCACCTGAGCCCCAGGAGGTTGAGGCTGCAGTGAGCTGTGATCTCACCACTGCACTCCAGCCTGGGCATGGAGTGAGACCTTCTCAAAAAAAAAACAAGTCAAAAAAGAAATCTTTCGGGAAGCCTGCAGTCCTATTTTGCAATGTTTGCCATTTTCCAGCAGGAGCCAATGAAAACTTTTCTTTGCTCTATAATCATCTATCAAGTATAAAGAACTGCTTGCCATGTAGTATCTTCAACTAAAAGCAAAGCCTTTTTTTTTTTTTCTTGAAACAGAGTCTCGCTCTTGTTGCTCAGGCTGGAGTACAACAGCATGATCTTGGCTCACTGCAACCTCTGCCTCCCCGGTTCAGTGATTCTCCTGCCTCAGCCTCCCAAGTAGCTGGGATTACAGGCACCCGCCAAAACACCTGGCTAATTTTTAATACTTTTAGTAGAGACGGAGTTTCACCATGTTGGTCAGGCTGGTCTCAAACTCCTGACCTCAAGTGATCCACCCACCTTGGCCTCCTAAAGTGTTGGGATTACAGGCATGAGCCACTGCGCCCGGCCTTTTTTTAAAAAAAAAAAACAAAAAAAAACAAGAGTGTGTCCCCCAGGCTGGAGTGCAGTAGTGTGATTTTGGCTCACTGTGACCTTTACCTCCTGGATTCAAGCAATTCTCCTGCCTCAGCCTCCCAAGTAGCTGAGATTACAGGTGCCCGCCACCAAGCCCAGCTAAGTTTTGTATATTTAATAGAGACAGAGTTTTAACTATGTTGGCCGAGTTGGTCTCGAACTCCTGACCTCAAGTGATCCGCCTGTCTCAGCCTCCCAAAGTGCTGGGATTACAGATGTGAGCCACCATGGCTGGCCAAAGCAAAGCCTTTTTGAAAAAATAAACTTTTTTTTGGCCAAGAGCGGTGGCTCACGCCTGTGATCCCAGCACTTTGGGAGGCTGAGGCGGGCGGATCACCTGAGGTCAGGAGTTTGAGACCAACCTGACAAACATGAAGAAACCCCGTCTCTACTAAAAATACAAAATTAGCCAGGCGTGGTGGCGGGCACCTGTAATCCCAGCTACTTGGGAGGCTGAGGCAGGAGAATCACTTGAACCCGGGAGACGGAGGTTGCAGTGAGCAGAGATTGCATCGTTGCACTCCAGCCTGGGCAACAAGAGCAAAACTCCATCTCAAAAAAAAAAAAATTTTTTTTAAATAAACGTTTTTTGGGCTGGGCAGGGTGGCTCACGCCTGTAATCTCAGCACTTTGGGAAGCCGAGGCAGGTGGATTACCTGAGGTCAAGACCAGCCTGACCAATGGGGTGAAACCCCGTCTCTACTAAAAGTACAAAAAAAATTAGCCGGGTGTGGTGGTGCATGCCTGTAATCCCAGCTACTCAGGAGGCTGCAGCAGGATAATTGCTTTAACCCAGGAGATGAAGGTTGCTGTGAACTGAGATCACGCCACCGCACTCCAGCCTGGGCAACAAAGGGAGACCCCGTCTCAAAATAATAATAATAAACTTTTTGTCGGGGAGGGATGGGGAGATGTTACTACAAGGATGCAAACTTTCAGCTAAACAGGAAGAACAAGTTTAAGAGATCTATTATATAACATGGTGACAATGGCTAATAACAATATATTGTATTATTTTTATTATTATTATTAGTTGAGACAGTGTCTTGCTCTGTCACCCAGGTTGGAGTGCAGTAGCATGATTACTGCTCACTGCCGCCTCGACCTCCTGGGCTCAAGTCATCCTCCCACCTCAGCCTTCCAAGTGGCTGGGACCACAGGCACATGCCACCATGCCTGACTAATTTATTTTTTAAATTTTTGTAGGCCGGGCATGGTGGCTCACACCTGTAATCCCAACACTTTGGGAGGCCAAGATGGGTGGATCACGAGGTCAGGAGTTTGAGACCAGCCTGGCCAACATGGTGAAACCCCGTCTCTACTAAAGATAAAAAAAATTAGCTGGGCGTGGTGGCGCATGCCTGTAATCCCAGCAACTCGGGAGGCTGAGGCAGGAGAATCGCTTGAGCCTGGGAGGTGGAGGTTGCAGTGAGCTGAGATCATGCCATTGCACTCCAGCCTGGGCGACAGGGTGAGACTCCATCTCAAAAAATAAATAAATAAATAAATTTGTAAAGACAGGGTCTCCCCATGTTGCCCAGGCTAGTCTTGAATTCCTGGGCTCAGGCAATCCTTCTGCCTCAGCCTCCCAAAGTGTTGGAATTACAGGCACGAGCCACTGCGCTCAGCTAATATATTGTATTCTTGAAAATTATAGGTCAGGCACAGTGGCTCACACCTGTAATCCCAACACTTTGGGAGGCCAAGGCAGGCAGATCACCTGAGACCAGCCTGGCAACATAGGGAGACCCCATCTCTACAAAAATACAAAAATTAGCCAGGCATGGTGGCACGAGCCTGTAGTCCCAACGACTCGGAGGTTGAGGTGGGAGGATCACCTGAGCCTGAAAGGCTGAGGCTGCAGTGAGCCATGATTGAACCACTGCACTCTAACCCAGGCATCAGAATGAGACCTTGTCTCCAAAAAAATAATAATAATAACTAAAAAAAAAAAGCCACTGGGGAAATGTACTTACTGACAGTGCCACGAGTAAGGGTTTGATTCTATGTCTATGAACCTCAGATTTTTTCAATGAATAGCTATCATTTATGGAATATCTAGAGTAGATGTTTTATGAGTATTATCTGAGATGCTCACAAAAGCTCAGGAAGTTAAGTTTTAGCCCCATTTCATAGTCCCAAATCCCAGAGAGGCTGTGCAGCTGGAAGGTGGCAAGGAATAGAACCAGGGTCCCAGCTGTCTTTCTAACTCAACATTTTTCAACCTGTATTCCACGACACATTTTTGGGCATTCGTATTACTTGTCTCAAAACTGTGCTCCAGAGTCAAAGAATGCCAGTGAACCATTTCCTCTCACATGAGTTTACCCTTCACATCAGCAAATTTGCATTTTAGAGAAGCCCTGCATCAAAGAAAAGCATTTATTTCATTTAGTTGTTTCCAAATACATTTGGATTTGGAACTATCTGTTCAAGGGATGCCTAGTAGCATCCTGGAAACTTGTACAGATGTTGAGTTGAGTTTTCCCCTTGCTCTGCAACTGAGGCCTTCAGCTGAGGAAAAAGGGGGCATTAAGTACCCCACATTCTAAAGAGAAATACCACCACTGGGGCATCATCCTGGTCCATGCCCTCCCATCTTGTCAATTCCCAACCCCTACCTGAAAAGACTGGGCTGGGGAGATGGGAAGGGAGTCACAAGAGCAGAATGTTGTTGGCCATGCATGGTGGCTCATGTCTGTAATCCCAGCACTTTGGGGGGCCAAGGTGGGCAGATCATTTGAACTCAAGAATTTGAGACCTGTCTGGGAAACAAGGTGAAACCTCATCTCTACTAAAAATACAAAAAAATTAGCCGGGCGTGGTGGTGCGTGCCTGTAGTCTCAGCTACTCAGAAGGCTGAGGGGGAAGGATCACTAGAGTTTGAGCAGTGATCACTTGAGGTTGCAGTGAGTCCAGATTGTGCCACTGTACTCCAGCCTAGGCGACAGAGTGAGACACTGTCACAAAATGAAACAAAACAAAAAAACCCTTCACAGCAACATCTATGTTACAGGAAAGGGGGTCTAGATCCAGACTCCAAGAGAAGGTTTTTGGATCTCACGCAAGAAATTCAGGGCGAGTCCATAGAGTAAAGTGAAAGCAAGTTATTAGGAAAGAAAAGGAATAAAGAATTGGCTGGGCGCAGTGGCTCACGCCTGTAATCCCAGCACTTTGAGAGGCCAAGGTGGGCAGATCACCTGAGGTCGGGAGTTTGAGACCAGCCTGACCAACATGCAGAAACCTTGTCTCTACTAAAAATACAAAATTAGCTGGGCGTGGTGGCACATTCCTGTAATCCCAGCTACTCCGGAGGCTGAGGCAGGAGAACCGCTTGAAACCGGGAGGCAGAGGTCGCCGTAAGCCGAGATCGCACCGTTGCACTCCATCCTGGGCAACAAGAGCAAAACCGGCTCATAATCAATCAATCAATAAATAAATACAAAGAATGGCTACTCCATAGACAGAGCAGCCCCAACAGCTGCTGGTTGCCCATTTTTATGGTTATTTCTTGATATGCTAAACAAGGGGTGGATGATTCATGCCTCCCCTTTCTAGACCATATTTGGTAACTTCCTGACATTGCCATGGCATTTGTAAACCATCATGGTGCAGTGAGGACAACCAGAGGTCACTCTCTTGGCCATCTTGATTTTGATGGGTTTGGGCCGGCTTCTTTACTGCAACCCGTTTTATCAGCAAGGTCTTTATGACCTGTATTTTGTGCCAACCTCCTGTCTCATCCTGTGACTTAGAATGCCTTAACCATCTGGGAATGCAGCCCAGTAGGTCTCAGCCTCATTTTACCCAGCTCCTATTCAAGATGGAGTTGATCTGGTTCACGTGCCTCTGACATCTAGACTGATGTCTGACCGAACAACTGAGTCCCACAGCCTGGCCAAGTTGACACATGAAATTAGCCATCACAACATCCAAGAAGAAAATAACCTTCAAGTTAGAAAAAAGACTCTCCCGCCTGGGTATCCTAACACATCAGAGAAACTGGAGTACAGAAGCGCAGGAGTCCCTATGGTGGATCCCAGGGCTCCCTCCTAACCCTCCCCACACACATGCGCTAAGATGGAATAGGGAGAAAATGGAAGGGCAGAGCAAGCACACCCCCGCCCATGCCCACGCCACAATCCTGGCCAATGCTGCGGGAGGGTTTACTCGGGAGTTATAAACAGGACTGGACTTCTCTTTCTTTACTTCTTTTCTTTTTTCTTTTTTTTTCATTTCCCATTAACTTTCCATAATTAATAGTCCAGTCCAAGCCCAGGAGCAGGGGCTCACGCCTGTAATCCCAGCACTTTGGAAGGCCAAGGTAGGTGGATCACTTGAGCTCTGGAGTTTGAGTCCGTCCTGGGCAACATGGGGAGACCCCATCTCTAAAAAAAAAAAGTACAAAAAATTAGCCTGGTGTGGTGGTGTGCCCCTGTAGTACCAGCTACTTGGGAGGCTGAGGTGGGAGGATCACTTGAGTCTGGGATGTCGAGGCTGCAGTAAGCCATGATTGTGCCACTGCACTCCAGGCTGGGCAATAGAGTGAGACCCTGTCTCAAAAAAAAAAAAAAAAAGTAAATAAAAGAAAAGAGGTTTTTTGGCTCACAGTTCTGCAGGTTGTACAAGAAGCATGGCACCAGTCTCTGCTCAGCTTCTAGTGAGGGCCTGAGGCTACTTCCACTCATGGGGGAAGGTGAAGGGGAGCCAGCATGCGCACAGACTGCCTGGCAAAAGAGAAAGCAAGAAAGAGCGGCGGGGAGGCACCCAGGCTGTTTTCCGCAGCCAGCTCTCGTGGGAACCAGTAACGGCGAGAACTCACTCACCCACCCTCATCCAGGGTGTTAATCTAGTCAAGAGGGATCTGGAAAACTAAATAAATAAAAGAAAAAAAAATAAACGAAAAAAAGAGGAATTTGCTCCCAAGACCCAAACACCTCCCATTAGACCCCACCTCCAACTGGGGATCAAATTTCAACATGAGTTTGTGCGGGGACAAACTACAGCATCATAAAAAAGGCCCGGCACGGTGGCTTATGCCTGTAATCCCAGCACTTTGGGAGGCTGAGGCGGGTGGATCACCTGACCCTAGCAGTTGGAGACCACCAGGCTGACCAACACAAATACAAAATTTAGCCAGGTGTGGTGGCGTGAGCCTGTAATCCCAGCTACTTGGGAGGCTGAGGGAGAATCCCTTGAACCCGGGAGGCGGAGGTTGCGGTGAGCCGAGATGGCACCACTGTGCTCCAGCCTGGGCAACAGAGCGAGACTCCGTCTCAAAACAAACAAAAAAGTGTGTGATTAAAAAGTAGAAAAATATTATTTTTATTCCTATCTCTAATTGGAAATGGACTTTTTTTTTTTTTTTTTTTGAGATGGAATCTCTCCCTGTCACCCAGGCTGGAGTGCAGTGGGCGAGATCTGGGCTCACTGCAACCTCCGCCTCCCGAGTTCAAGATATTCTCTGCCTCAGCCTCCTAAGTAGCTGGAATGATTACAGGAGTTTGTTACCACACCTGGCTAATTTATTAAATTTTTTTGTTTTGTTTTTGAAATGGAGTCTTACTCTGTCGCCCAGGCTGGAGTGCAGTGAAATAATCTTGGCTCACTGCAACCTCCTCCTCCTGGGTTCAAGCAATTCCCTGCCTCAGTCTCCCAAGTAGCTGGGATTACAGGCGTCCGCCATCACGCCCAGGTAATTTTTGTATTTTTAGTAGAGATGGGGTTTCACCATCTTGGCCAGGCTGGTCTCGAACTCCTGACCTCGTGATCCACCCGCCTCGGCCTCCCGAAGTGCTGGAATTACAGGCGTGAGCCATCGTGCCCGGCCTGGAAATGAACTTATTTTCTCAGATATCAAGCTTAGGGAAATACGTCTTTTGAAGAATCTTTACAGAAATTCGTGATGGTAGCTGGGTCTTTCATGTTACACCAGACTTTTAATGCTGCGAACTTGTGACTAGGAAAGATAACTCTACGTGATGCTGTGTATCTCAGCTGGCTCTGAAAGCCTCTTTTGCATAAATTTCTACAACATGCAGAGTTCAAAGGAAAGTAGTATAGAATGTTACAAAGCTACATTCCCGGAAAATGAATTAGAATTTATATCCAACATTTATTAGCCAATTGTTCATTTCCTTGGGGCTATAAAACTTAAAAGGGAAGAATGGCCAAGTGACATTTTTAAAGAGGAAATTGGGATGGTAATGAGGACATTTAAAATCGCTCACTCTGTCCTTATTTCAACCAGTGTCTCAATTGAGATTTATTGAATACTTACTGTAAAAAGCACAAAATTAAAGCTTCTCTGAAGGAAAAAGGAAGGTGAACTCAACAAGGCTTAGATCTGCTGCCAGGAATTTATTCCAAACATAGTACTGTATAAAATAGCCTGCCGTTTGAGTTTACCACTGTATCTCTGGCACCTATAACTAGCCTGATTTAGGTACTAAAAAAATATTTATTTGGCTGGGCCCCAATGGCTCACACATGTAATCCCAGCACTTTGGGATACCGAGGCGGACAGATCACTTGAGGTCAGGAGTTCAGCACCAGCCTGACCAACATGGTGAAACCCTGTCTCTACTAAAAATACAAAAATTAGCCGGACATGGTGGTGCATGCCTGTAATCCCAGCTACTCAGGAAGCTGAGGCAGGAGAATCACTTAAACTACCAGGAGGCGGAGGTTGCAGTGAGCTGAGATTGCACCATTGCATTCCAGCCTAGGCAACAAAAGCGAAACTCCATCTCAAAAAAAAAAAAAAATTATTTAATGAGAACATAGGCCAGGCATGGTGGCTCACACCTGTAATCCCAGCATTTTCGAAAGCCGAGGCAGGCGGATTACCTGAGGTCAGGAGTTCAAGACCAGCCTGGCCAACATGGTGAAACTCCGTCTCTACTAAAAATACAAAAATTAGCTGGGCATGGTGGCACACGCCTGTAATCCCAGCTACTCGAGAGGCTGAGGCAGGAGAATTGCTTGAACCCAGGAGATGGAGGTTGCAGTGAGCTGAGATCGTGCCACTGCACTCCCGCCTAGCTGATAGAGCAAGACTCCATCTCAAAAAAAAAAAAAAATGAGAACATAAATAAATAGATCCATGCCAAATGTGTTGCCCATTTTATAAAGAAGGTGTGCTTGGCCTGTCATGGTGGCTCACACCTGCAATCTCAGCAGTTTGGGAGGCCAAGGTGGGAGGGTCTCTTGAGGTCAGGAGTTTGAGACCAGCCTGGGCAATATAGTGAGATCTTGGCTCTACAAAAAAAAAATTTTTTTATTTTTTAATATATGGTTTATTTATTTATTTATTTATTTGAGACAGAGTTTCGCTCTGTTGCCCGGGCTGGAGTGCAGCAGCGCGATCTCAGCTCACCACAACCTCTGCCTCCCGGGTTCAAGTGATTCTCCTGCCTCAGCCTCCCAAGTAGCTGGGCTTACAGGCATGTGCCACCACGCCCAACTAATTTTGTATTTTTAGTAGAGACGAGGTTTCTCCATGTTGGTCAGGCTGGTCTCGAACTCCTGACCTCAGGTAATCCACCTGCCTCAGCCTCCCAAAGTGCTGGGATTACAGGTGTGAGCCACCGCGCCCAGCCAATATATTCTATTATTTTCAAGACAGGGTCTTGCTCTGTCTCCCAGGCTGGAGTGCTGTGGCAAAATCACCAATCACTGCAGCCTCCACTTCCCCAGCTCAAGCAACTCTCCCACCTCAGCCTCCTGAGTAGTTGGTACTACAAGTACACGCCACCATGCCTGGCTACGTTTTGTACTTTTTGTAGTGATGGGGTCTTCTTGTGCTGCCCAAACTGGTCTTGAACTCCTAGGCTCATGTGATCCTTCTGCGCTGTACTCCCAAAGTGCTGGAATTACAGGCACCAGTCACCACACCCCGCTACGATTTTTTTTTTTTTTTTTTTTAATTAGCAGAAGGTGGTGGCACAAGCCTGTAGTCCCAGCTACTTGGGAGGCTGAGGTGGGAGTATTGCTTGAGCCCAGGAGGTTGATGCTGCAATGAGCTGAGATCATGCCACTGCACTCTAGCCTGGGCAACAGAGCAAGACCTTGCCTGTTTTTTCTTTGCCTCAAGAAAAAAAAAGAGATGTGCTTGATCTAACCTGTTGTGTTGCCTCTGTTCCTAACTTGAAGGCCAAACAGCTACCCTTTCCTTTTCCAGTATTGAGTACCTGCTGTGTTCAAGCTACTGTGTTAGGTGCAGGGATACAACAGTCAACAAGGAAACATGACAAGCCAATCTTTGTACTGACTTGCTCTTAGAGGGGTAAGAAGGTAACTCTGGGAAAGAGGATAAATGCCAGGATAAAGAAGGTAGGATGCCAAGATAGTGAACATTAGGGTCATCACAAGGGAACCCTGACTTATTTGGGTTAACATTGAAGGCTGCTAGCCTCTTCTAGAGCCAGTTGGGAGGAGGAGTCTAGTTATGGCTGGATGCTGCAGACTTGGGATGATGGCCATATGGGAAGGGCTCTAACTCCCTCTGCCTGTGATGTGGAGGTGAGAGTGGATACAGTCAGCCTGGACCATGAGGTGACACACAGAACAGAAGTCTGTGCTTGGGCCGGGCACGGTGGCTCAGGCCTATAATCCCAACACTTTGGGAGGCCGAGGTGGGCAGATCACCTGAGGTCAGGAGTTTAAGACCAGCCTGGGCAACATGGTGAGACTCTCGCTGTTCTTTTTTTTTTTTTTTTTTTTTTGAGATGGAGTTTCCCTCTTGTTGCCCAGGCTGGAGTACAGTGGCACTATCTCAGCTCACTGCAACCTCCGCCTCCTGGGTTCAAGCGATTGTCCTGCCTCAGCCTCCCAAGTAGCTGGGATTACAGGCGCCTGTATTTTTAGTACAGATGACCTCAGGTGATCCACCCACCTCAGCCTCCCAAAGTGCTGGGATTACAAGCATGAGCCACCGCGCCCAGCCTCTGTATTCTTTAAAATAAATAAATAAAATTTTAAAAAAGAAGAAGAAGGAAGAAGGAAGGAGAAGGAGAAGAAGAAGGAGGAGGTCGGTGCCCAGATATGAAAGAAGAAGAAAAGGAGCCAGGACTGTCATGACTGTCAAGCTGTCGTACCACGCTGGACTCTGTTTCCACATTCATTTAACATGAGAAATTCAGTTTCTGTCTTGTTAAGCCACAGTTGTCACTTCTCTGTTATGAGTAGTCAAAAATTTCCCTAAGGGATACCAGCACCTAACTCAAGGGAAGTTGGAGAAGACTTGGCAAAGGACTTCACATCAAAGGTGAGACCTTGGCAGACAAATCAAAGAGGCGGAGAAAAGTGTACAGGTTAGAGGGACCAGCGTGAGCACAGGAGGCCTGGGGATGGAAAGTGTGCAAGGTCTGGAATTCACTGCAGCTGCTCCCTGCAGTGCCGTTGGCTGGGGGAATCAGGCAGCGTGGGAGGAGGAAGATGATGCTGAGTGATGAAGCCAGGAAGGACAGCAAGGACTGAATCTGAAAGAAGACCATGTATGCCGGGCACGGTGGCTCACACCTCTAATCCCAGCACTTTGGGAGGCCAAGGCAGGTGAATCACTTGAAGTCAGGAGTTTGAGACCAGCCTGGCCAACATGGTGAAACCCCATCTCTATTAAAAATACAAAAATTAGCCGGGCATGGTGGTGCGCACCTGTAATCTCAGCCACTTGGGAGATTGAGGCAGGATAATTGCTTGAACCTGGAAGGCAGAGGTTGCAGTGAGCTGAGATTGCGCCACCACTATACTCCAGCTGGGCAATAGAGCCAGACTCCGTCATGAAAAAAAAAAAAAAATCAGAAGAAGAGGGGACCCAAAGATAAACATCCAAATCATGCAAAGTCAATTAGTGAATATTACAGATTATACTTAAGCTGCCAGTCCAATCAGGAAAGCAAGACGTAGAAGTTAGATCAGGGAGCAGCCAGAACCCTATAAAGAGTTGTAAGAAGGACATAAGGTCAAGAGGAGGCAAAGCAAAAAACGAGCAAAGCCAGAGGGTGAGGGGAACACAATTCATGGAGATCTTGCTCCGTTTTGAAAGAAAAATTTGAGCTTCGGATTCCTACATTAATTTTCAAACTAGAGTTGATTTAAACTTTGATCGACAATGTCTATTTGGGGGATATAAAACTAGTTTTTGTGACCTATTTTTGTTTTGTTTGTTTGTTTGAGACACAGTCTTACTCTATTACCCAGGCTGGAATGCAGTCGCGTGATCTTGGCTCACTGCAACCTCCACCTCCCAAGTTCAAGCGATTCTTCTGCCTCAGCCTCCCAAGTAGCTGGGATTATAGGCACCTGCCACCAGGCCCAGCTAATTTTTTGTTTGTTTGTTTGTTTTTTGAGAGGGAGTCTTGCTCTGTCGCCAGGCTGGAGTGCAATAACGAGATCTCAGCTCACTGCAATCTCTGCCTCCCAGTTGCAAGCGATTCCCCTGCCTCAGCCTCCTGAGTAGCCACCTTGCCTGGCCCAATTTCTGTATTTTTTTTTTTTTTTTTGGTATTTTTTTTTTAGTAGAGACAGCGTTTCAGCTGGGTGCGGTGGCTCACTCCTGTAATCCCAGCATTTTGGGAGGCTAAGGTGCGCAGATCACAAGGTCAGGAATTCCAGACTAGCCTGGCCAACGTGGTGAAATCCCACCTCTACTAAAAAAATACAAAAATTAGTTGGGCATGGTGGCATGCACCTGTAATCCCAGCTACTCCGGAGGCTGAGGCAGGAGAATCTTTTGAACCTAGGAGGCAGAAGTTGCAGTGAGCTCAGATCACGCCACTGTACTCCAGCCTGGGTGACAGAGCAAGACTCTGTCTCAAAAAAAAAAAAAAAAAAAAAGTAGAGACAGGGTTTCGCCATGTTGGCCAAGCTAGCCTCGAACTCCTGACCTCAAGTGATCTGCCCACCTCGGTTTCCCAAAGTGCCGGGATTACAGGTGTGAGCCACCATGCCCAGCCAACAATCTGTTTTATCCAGTGTTATGTTTGCACAGTATTGGGAAACAGTATTATCTCAACCTTGAAAGATTTAACATGGTCATGAAATTTCAGGCCAGAGAGAGCTTGGAGCCAACTAGAACTAGTGTCTTCATTTTACACTTGAGAAATTGAGGCAAGAGAGGTGAAGCAACTTGCCCACAGGTACACAGGTAACTAGTGGCAGAGCTACAGCATTACATAGTATTACCTTCTAAAGCCAGTAAGGAAGACGGCCTTTGGAGGGGAGGACCAGCTCTCTATCAGTGCCAAGTCCATAGGCAACTATTGGAAGTGTGAGAAGAATGATCCCGAGGTGTTGCAGGTTGTGGCATGAAAAGGGAGTTGGGCAATCATGTGGAGCTTGGACACCTCAGGAAGTCAGGACATGGTTGGTGACTGTATCCCATCACCGTTACTTAGCTTTATGGTTTTCTGAAAGCAGGTTGCTGCCTGCTGGGATCACCTTGACAACTAAGAGCTTCTCTTGCAGGTGAAACTTGCCTAAGTACTTGGTAAGGTCTGCAGGGAAATTGAGGGCTCCAGGAAGGTGGTAAGGTGCGAGAACACCTTCACTGCCTCTCCTCCCTCTCCCCTTTTTTTTTTTTGAGACAGAGTCTCGCTCTGTCACCCAAGCTGGAGTGGCAGTGTGATCTCGGCTCACTGCAACCTCCACCTCCCAGGTTCAAGCGATTCTCCTGCCTCAGCCTCCCAAGTAGCTGGGATTACAGGCACCCGCCACCATGCCTGGCTAGTTTCTTTCTTTCTTTTTTTGAGACGGAGTTTCACTCTTGTTGCCCAGGCTGGAGTGCAATGGCACAATCTTGGCTCACTGCAACCTCTGCCTCCCAGGTTCAAGCGATTCTCCTGCCTCAGCCTCCTGAGTACCTGGGATTACAGGCATGTACCACCACACCCAGCTAATTTGTATTTTTTAGTAGAGACAGGGTTTCTCCATGTTGGTCAGGCTGGTTTCAAACCCCTGACCTCAGGTGATCCACCCACCTCAGCCTCCCAAAGTGCTGGGATTACAGGCGTGAGCCACCAGGCCCGGACTAATTTTTTTTGGTGTAGACGGGGTTTCTCCATGTTGGCCAGGCTGGTTTCAAACTCCTGACTCAAGTGATCTGCCTGCCTCGGCCTCCCAAAATGATAGGATTACAGGCGTGAGCCACCACACCCTGCTCTCTCCTCTCTCTCTGGGACTAAATCATCCATGAGTATTGTTGTTTGTGTGTGGTGGTGTTGTTGTTGTTATTGTCTAAGGGAGGTTTTCTGTCTGTTTTTTGAATGGGTTCATTTAAATAACAATAAGAAACAAAGAATGCATTTAAATTTTGTTTCCTTCTTGAAATGTGGGATTAGTTTAAGGATATACCGGGAGAAATATTCACAAGGGTATTTTAATCTAGTCAGTCATTTTAGATTACAAGAAGCAATCCCTCCTTACTTGTGCCAAGTCCCTTGCTACACAGAGGATTTAACACATTCCTGGGATGTGCTTTAAACAAGGCTGAGGGCACTTTGTTTATGGAAATGTTTGGCAGCCTTTCCTGTTTTCCCCATGGGGAAATGTTTGCACTTTTAAAAATGAACTTGGCTGGGAGAGGATCACTTGAGCCCAGCAGTTTGAGGTTACAGTGAGCTGTGATTGCACCCTGCATTTTAGCCTAGGTGACAGAGAGAGAGCTTGTCTTAATTTTAAAACAAAAAAAACCTTTTTTTTAACAAAGGGCTCAGTGGCTCACACTTGTAATCCCAGCACTTTGGGATGCTGAGGTTGGAGGATTGCTTGAGCTCAGGAGTTCAAGACCAGCCTGGGCAACATAGTGAAAACCGTCTTAACAAAAAATACAAAAATTAGTCTGGCTTGGTGGCCCCCCATATGGCCCCAGCTACTTAAGAGGCTGAGGTGGGGGGAACACTTGAGTCCAAGAGGTTGAGGGTGCAGTGAGCCAAAATCACAGCACTGTACTCCAGACCCAGTCTCAAAAACAAAAAAGGAACTGGAACTATGTTAACATCCAGAGGTCCTTACTGATACAAATAAAGGATTGAATAAAAACTAAATAAATGCAGGTGAAGAGACAAATCCCCCATGAAGAAAAATTTCAAATAATTAATGTAGACACTTTGTCCTCAAGGAGGGGAAGCACAACTCCTCACTCCTTAGGTGTGGGCTCCCCAAAGTCACTTCCTTCACAGAGCACTGTATATAGTAAGGGAGGATCAAAAGAGCATCTTTACAGTGGGGAAACCTGCTTGCCTTCAAAAATAGGTGAGGGCAGGGCACGGTGGCTCATGGTGGCCTATAATCCCAGCACTTTGGGAGGCTGATATGGGTGGATCACTTGAGGCCAAGGGTTCAAGACCAGCCAGGCCAACATGGCAAAACCCTGTCTTTACTAAAAAAAAAATACAAAAATTAGCTGGGCGTGGTGGCACAAGCCTGTAATCCCAGTTACTTGGGAAGCTGAGGCAGGAGAATCGCTTGAACCTGGGAGCCGGAGGTTGCAGGGAGCCAAGATCACATCACTATACTCCTGCCTGGGTGACAGAGTGAGACTCCATCTCAAAAATAAATAAATAAATAAATAATACAAATACCAAAAAATTAACCAGGCATGGCCGGGCGCAGTGACTCACACCTGTAATCCCAGCACTTTGGGAGGCCAAGGCGGGCGGATCATGAGTTCAGGAAATTGAGACCATCCTGGCTAACACGGTAAAACCCCATCTCTACTAAAAAAATACCAAAAAAAAAAAAATTAGCCGGGCATTGTGGCGGGCGCCTGTAGTCCCAGCTACTCAGGAGGCTGAGGCAGAAGAATGGCATGAACCCGGGAGGCGGAGCTTGCAGTGAGCCGAGATCACGCCACTGCACTCCAGCCTGGGCGACAGAGCGAGACTGCGTCTCAAAAAAAAAAAAAAAAATTAACCAGGCGTGATGGCATGCACCTGTGATCCCAACTACTCCAGAGGCTGAGGCAGGAGAATCACCTGAACCTGGGAGGCGGAGGTTGCAGTGAGCCAAGATCATGCCACTACACTCCAGCCTGGGCAACAGAGTGAGACTCCATCTCAAATACAACAACAACAACAAACCCAGAATGTAGCCACCAAATATTGTCCTGTCTTTCCCTCAATTCCCTCCTCTGACTGGCTGGCATTTCCAATGATTGTCTGACATTTACATGTTGATATAACAAATTGTGATTACAGGCATGTTGGCACGTGCCTGTAATCCCAGCTACTCGGGAGCCTGAGGCAGAAGAATCGCTTGAATCTGGGAGATGGAGGTTGCAGTGAGCCCGGATTGAGTCACTGAACTACAGCCTGGGCGACAGAGCAAGACTCCATCTCAAAAAAAAAAAAAGACTATGAAACAAAAATGGCAAAATCTTAGGATGTGATGAAATCTGAGTAATGGAATAAAAAATATTGTTAATTATATTATTCTCAACATTTTTCAGAGGCAGCACAGAGAAGGAGCCAGATTATCTGGTGAACCTGATTAGTAACGCAATCCACCACACAGTCTTCAGGAGCATTACTTCTGCTGAATTTGAACTTTCATCTCTCAGCTGACAACCATTCTCATATCAACCATCTTACCTGCTGATACTGCCAATTTCAGCAGCATCGCCCTCTTAAGGACTATTTGTACAAGCCTTTAAATATTTCATTGCATTTTAGCCCTTATTAATTTATAACCATGGATGGAAAATGGAAAATTAAAGTGCTGATATGAGTCATAGTCATAAGAAACATAGGTCTCATAAGCCGGGCGCAGTGGCTCACGACTGTAATCCCAGCACTTTGGGAGGCCAAGGCGGGTGGATACCTGAGGTCAGGAGTTTGAGACCAGCCTGGCCAACATGGTGAAACCCCATCTCTACTAAAAATACAAAAATTAGCCAAGCGTGGTGATGCACGTCTGTAATCCCAGCTGCTCAGTAGGCTGAGGCGGGAGAATCGGTTGAACCCAGGAGGCGGAGGTTGCAGTGAGCCGAGATCGCGCCACTGCACTCCAGCCTGCGTGATACAGCGAGACTCCGTCTCAAAAAAAAAACAACAAACAAACATAGGTCTCATAAACTTAAAACACATAAGACGATTCCTTGGACATGCCAGAGGCTGTATCTGTCTCAATCAGAGTTTCCCCAGGCAGTCTAAGCTAATGGACTCTGCTCAGTTGTGAAGGAAGCAAATTAAGAAACTTGTCTTAAAAAAAAAAAAAAAAAGGTAAAAAAAGGCCGGGCGCGGTGGCTCACACCTGTAATCCCAGCACTTTGGGCGGCTGAGGTGGGTGGATCACCTGAGGTCAGGAGTTCGAGACCAGCCTGGCCAACACGGTGAAACCCCGCCTCTACTTAAAATACAAAAATTAGCCGGGCGTTGTGGTATGCACCTGTAATCCTAGCTACTTGGGAGGCTGAGGCAGGAGAATCGCTTGAACCCGGGAGGCAGAGGTTGCAGTGAGCTGAGGTGGTACCATTGCACTCCAGCCTGGGGGATAAGAGTGAGACTTCATCTTTAAAAAAATAAAAGAAAGAAAGAAAGAAACTTGTAGTAGCCACGGTGAGTGCCTGTTGTTCCAGCTATTCAGGAGCCTGAGGCAGGAGGATCACTTGAGCCCAAGAGGTGGAGGCTGCAGTGAGCTGTGATCCCACCACTGCATTCCAGCCTGGGCAACAGAATAAGATCCTGTGTCAAAAAACAAAAACAGAAACACCAGACTGGGCATAGTGGCTCACGCCTGTAATCCCCGAACTTTGGGAGGCCGAGGCAGGCGGATCATCTGAGGTCGGGAGTTCAAGACCAGCCTCACCAACATGGAGAAACCATGTTGAAACTACAAAATTAGCCGGGCATAGTGGCACATGCCTGTAATCTCAGCCACTTGGGAGGCTGACGCAGCAGAATTACTTGAACCTAGGAGGTGGAGGTTGCGGTGAGCTGAGATTGAGCCATTGCACTCCAGCTCGGGTAACAAGAGCGGAACTCCATCTCAAAAAAAAAAAAGAAAGAAACTTGTAGTACCCAAGGTGCGTGCCTGTTGTTCAGGCTATTCAGGAGCCTGAGGCAGGAGGATCACTTGAGCACAGGAGGTGAAGGCTGCAGTGAGCCGTGATCACACCGCTGCATTCCAGCTTGGGCAACAGAATAAGATCCTGTGTCAAAACAAAACAAAACAAAAAAAACAGGTCAGGAGCAGTGGCTCACGCCTGTAATCCCAGGACTTCGGGAGGCCAAGGCCAGCAGATCACCTGAGGTCAGGAGTTCAAGAGCAGCCTGGCCAACATGGTGAAAGCCCATCTCTACTAAAAATACAAAAATTAGCCAGGCGTGGTGGCATGCGCCAGTAGTCCCAGCTACTCCTGGAGGCTGAAGCAGGAGAATTGCTTGAACCTGGGAGATGGAGGTTGCAGTGAGCCGAGATCGTGCTACTGCACTCCAGCTTGGGCAACAGAGTGAGACTCCGTCTCAAAAAAAAAAAAAAAAAAAAAAATTCGGATGTAATTAGAAAGATTTTTAAACTCTCTGGGAACAGAAACTCTGCGGTGTCAACTTGCGGACATTCTGGTTTCATATTTATTTCCAGGAACACATTATGTAGAAGCTACCCATATTTGGCTGACTTTTTGTTTTTTTTTAAGACAGGGTCAGGGCTGGAGTGCAGTGGTGCATTTGTGGCTCACTGCAGCCTTGACCTCCTGGGCTCAAGCAATTCTCTTGCCTCAGCCTCCTGAGTAGCTAGGCCTACAGGAGTGTGACACTATATTGGCTAACTTTTTTTTTTAATTTATATTTTTTTGTAGAAATGGGGGTCTTACCATATTGCCCAGGCAGGTCTTGAACTCCTGAGCTTAAGCGATCTGCCTGCCTGGGCCTCCTAAAGAGCTGGGATTACAGGCTCGAGCCACCGTGCAGGCTGGGGGTATTGTTTTCTGAGCTGCAACACAGGCTTTAACACCCACAATGAACATAAGTGTGCTGTTGTCTTCCATCTTCTTGGCTGACTAAGGGGGCCCGCAGAACATGCTGATGGTGCAGTGGTCAAGCTCTGCCGAGGAGACTTGGGCTGCCTCAGGAGCTGCAGGGTCTTGGGCTGCTAGAAGCTGGGTGACTTGAGGATCTTCTTTTTCCCTGTGGCTGTGGATGCCTTTCAGCACTGCCTTCTTCGCCTTCAAAGCCTTTGCCTTAACCTGGGCTTTGGGAGGAGCAGGACCTTCCTTCTCCACCTTTGACACAATCTTCAGAAAAGCCTGAAGAGGCTTTCGTTGGTGAGACAGGACACAGTGATGCTGGGCTGGGTGAAAGGCAGAACTCTGTTACTTACTTCTCCAAAGGAGAGAAGGCTGCCACACAGGACCACACAGGAGCTGCACCAGGAAGACTAACAGCAAGCTGGAAGTGTCTGAGGTGGCTTCTGTAATGCAAAGGAGGTTTTAGGGCTTCCTGGAGTTTGGGTATTTTGATAATTCTGTGACCAAACAAGAAAGGGCCATTCCTGAGCAAAAAGTACCTGGGGGCTCTGGCCCTGAATCTGTGCATATTGTAAGCCAGGGGTGTTACCGCCTGATAAGGGAAATAGTTGGGGTGAGGCCTTAGCAAACTGCCTGTGATGGGAATTAAGAATTTTTAACCATGGCTTCAAAACTCGGTCAAGATGACACTTGATTGCATTCCAAATCTTAAACATTGATAAACTATATTGATGCCATAATGTGATACCCTACCTTGTTTTAACCTGATTGACTCTCTCTTAGCTGAGAGAGCTGGACAGACTCCATTTTGGTTTCTTTGCTTGCAGTCCCTTGTCCCCCTCCCTTAAGGACATAACTGGTGCAAGCTGACTCCAAGCACATCCAAGAATGCGCTTACTGGTAAGATACTGAGGCAAGCTGTACCAGCAGCTCCTGGGAACGTGCTCGGTTGATGGCACCCAAAGCCCCTGCGTTTATCACTTTGTGAGAATTTAAGCCCCCGCACCTGGGACTGTTTATTTTCCTGTAACTGTTTCTGTAACCATATATCTTTTAACTTTTTGCCTGTTCTGCTTCTGTAAAAAAACTGCTTCAGCTAGACTCCCCCTCCCCTAATCAGACCAAAGTATAGAAAGAAGTGTAGCCCCTTCTTCGGGGCCGAGAGAATTTCAAGCTCTAGCCGTCTCTCAGTCGCTGGCAATAAAGGATTCCTGAATTAGTCTCAGAGTGTGGCGTTCTCTCTATAACTCGCTCGGTTACAACAATAATATCACCATTAATCAGAATACTGTTTTTTGTTTGTTTGTTTTTACTGTTAGCTGCACAGATCTACCACTAATGACTGCATCTGCCCATCTTTGTCTCTCTTATTGTCAGAGGCGTTGGAACCACAGTGACTCCATCTTGAATAGGGGCTAGGTAAAATGAGGCTGAGACCTACTGGGCTGCATTCCCTGGAGGCTAGGCATTCTGAGTCACTGGATGAGATAGGAGGTCAGGACAAGGTGCAGGTCATAAAGACCTTGCTAATAAAATAGTTTGCAGTAAAGAAGGCAGCCAAATCCCATCAAAACCAAGATGGCGACAAAAGTGACCTCTGGTCGTCCTCACTGCTCCTCATACGCTAATCATAATATGTTAACATGCTAAAAGACACTCCCACCAGCACCATGACAGTTTCCAAAGCCATGGCAATGTCAGGAAGTTACCGTATATGGTCTAATATGGGGGGGAGGAACCTTCGGTTCCAGGAATTGTCCACCCCTTTCCTGGAAAACTCATGAATAATCCACCCCTTGTTTAGCATATAATCTAGAAATAACTATAAGTATCCTTAGTGGAGCAGTCATGCCACCACTCTGTCCATAGAGTAGCCATTCTTTATTCTTTATTTTCTTCCTTTTTTTGTGGGGGGGGGTTGGGAAAGAGAGTCTCTCATCCATCTCGGTTCAATGCAACCTCTGCCTCCGGTGTTCAAGCGATTCTTCTGCCTCAGCCTCCCGAGTAGCTGGAATTACAGGCACATGCCACCACACCCGGCTATTTTTTTTGTAGAGACTAGGTTTCACCATGTTAGCCAGACTGTTCTCCAACTCTTGGCCTCAAATGATCCGCCTGCTTTGGCCTCCCAAAGTGCTGGGATTACAGGCATGAGCCACGGTGCCTGGCCCTCTTTACTTTCTTAATAAACTCTCTTTCACTTTACTTTATGGACTTGCCTTGAATTCTTTCTTGTGTGAGATCCAAAAACCCTCTCTTGGGTTCTGGATTGGGACCCCTTTCTGGGAACATTGTTATTTTGAGTTTCTTGGAGGCAGGGATTGTGTCTTAATGTACTCTGTCTCACAACCCCAGTCCAGAACCTGGCCAAACCCCAAGTGTGCTTTAATAAATATGTGATTAATTACATGGATCTCTGAGAGCGTATCAATCATAATTCTCGACTTCCTCCTTGGCTGCAATTCAAGAGCGGAGCCAGCTCCACATTCTGACCTTCACAGCCTGACCCTGGACAAGAGCCAGATTCTTTAATGAATCATCTGGCATACTACTTATTTTCGTCCTCTCACTCCTGTGAAACTCACAATTATCATGGCCTCCGGGAAGCAGTTCCTTGTGTTCTGACAAAAATGAGAGAGCTCACAAAATTTTCTCTTGTTTACCAACCAGCCTGGGCAACATGGTGAAACCCTGTCTCTATCAAAAAACTCACAAAAATTTGCCAGGCGTAGTGGCATGTATTTGTAGTCCCAGATACTCTGGAGGCTGAGGTGAGAGAATTACCTGAGCCCAGTAGGCAGAGGTTGTAGTGGGCTGTGATTGCACCACTGTACTCCAGCCTGGGCAACAGAGCCAGACCATGTCTCAAATACACATATATATCTATATAGATATATATCTATATCTATCTATATCTATATCTATCTATCTCTCTCTCTATATATATATTCTGTTTAGTTTTAAGTTCTAACAGAGATATGAAGCCTATCTCCAGGGCCAGCTTCATGGGCAGTGTGACCTGAGCAGTGGGACCTGGGCAAAGTGACCTAGACATGTGACTTGAGCAGTGTGATCTGGGCAGTGTGACCTGGGCAGTGGGACCTGAGCAGTGTGATCTGGGCAGTGTGACCTGGGCAGTGGGACCTGAGCACTGGGACCTGGATAATCTGAATGTGTGACCCGAGCAGTGTGATCTGAGTGGTGTGAGCTGGGCAATGTGACCTGGGCAGTGGGAACTGAGCAGTGGGACCTGGGTAATCTGGATGTGTGACCTGGATGTGTGACCTGAGCAGTGTGATCTGGGTGGTGTGAGCTGGGCAATGTGACCTAGGCAGAGTGACTTGAGCAGTGGGACCTGGGCACTGTGACCTGGGTAATCTGGATGTGTGACCAGAGCAGTGGAACCTGAGCAGTGGGACCTGGACAGTAGAACTTGCTAGATACTTGTGCTTAGAAGGACTGCATGCTTCATTTAATGTCCTACTGTTGCCATCTTGAAATTCTTAATACTTTTTCAAAAATAGGCCTCAAAATTTCCTTTTGCACTGGATCCCACAAATTATGTGGCTAATCCTGCCTATCTCTTTGGTACGTACCTTAAGCCTCCTGTGACATGAATTTATCATCAAGTCATGTGGGTTTTAGTTATGAAACCTCCAGTAGTTCTGTAGCTCCCCACTTTCCTCAGGAAATATACTCCAAACAGGGCCGGGTGCAGTAGCTCACGCCTGTAATCCCAGGACTTTGGGAGGCCAAGGCAGGCAAATCACAAGGTCAGGAGTTCGAGATCAGCCTGACCAACATGGTGAAACCCCATCTCTACTAAAAATACAAAAATTAGCTGGGTGTGGTGGCACATGCCTGTAATCCCAGCTACTCAGGAGGCTGAGGCAGATAATTGCTTGAACCCAGGAGGTGGAGGTTGCAGTGAGCTGAGATCACGCCACAGCACTCCAGCCTGGGCAACACAGCGACACTCCGTCTCAAAAAAAAAAAGAAAAGAAGAAAAGAAAAGCCTTTTACCTTCTGTTACCTACCCCCACACACACTGACACCCCTTACCTCACCTCTCTCAGCTCTGTCCCTTTTTCTTTCCAATGTGAACCCTCAGTTATTGTGCTCCTTGCTGTTTGTAACCTTGCAGGCCTGCCAGCTGCCCATCCCATGTGCGTCCTGTTTCCATCCTGCCCTGGGTAGTCCTCTGCTTCTCTTTACCTGGCCAATTCCATCTTATTCTGTAAGTGTGAACTTAGATGTCACCACCTCTGGGAGGCCCTCTCTGATCTACCCCAAACTAAGATAGTGCAGTGGCTCACTCCTACAATCCCAGCACTTTGGGAGGCCGAGGTGAACAGATTGCCTGAACCCAAGAGTTCAGGACAAGCCTGGGCAACATGGCGAAACGCTGGCTCTACAGAAAATACCAAAATGAGTGGGGCATGGTGGTGCACGCCTGTTATCTCAGCTACTCAGGAGGCTGAGGTGGGAGAATCGCTTGAACCTGGGAGGCAAAGGTTGCAGTGAGCCAAGATTGCACCACTGCACTCCAGCCTGGGTGACAGAGTGAGACTCTGTCTCAAACAAACAAACAAACCACACATTCAACAGCACCATGTGCATAGGTACATGAATTTCTTTTCTAACACATGTAGGTTTTCCTTTGCAGGGGAACTACCTACATGTAGCTCTGAATTTCTCAGCCATTAGAGGGGTCCTGAGGTCTCTCTTGAGATAGACCCTCGCCCAGGTTATGGAGGTAGTTCAGATGAAACCTTCCCACCCCCAAAGGACCTTCTGGTCCAATCCAATTCCTGAAGCATGTCTCTTCCTTCACCTTTTGTGGTCTATTCACCCTTCACAAGACCCAACTAACTAAAATGTGAACTCCCCACAATTGTAATTAATCTCTTCCTGCTTTCCTAGCATTTTGTTTTGTTTTGTTTTGTTTTGTTTTTTTAACTTTTTAATTTTTTTAGATGGAATTTCGCTCTTGTTGCCTACCCTGGAGTGCAATGGTGCGATCTCAGCTCACCGCAACCTCCGCCTCCCCGGTTCAAGTGATTCTCCTGCCTCAGCTTCCTGAGTAGCTGGGATTACAGGCATGCGCCACCACATGCAGCTAATTTTGTATTTTTAGTAGAGACAGGGTTTCTCTATGTTGGTCAGGCTAGTCTCAAACTCCCGACCTCAGGTGATCCCCCTGCCCCGGCCTTCCAAAGTGCTGGGATTACAGGTGTGAGCTACCTCACCCAGCCTTTATTTTTTATTTTTAATGATATACAGCATACATGCTGACTTATATCACAGTGACTTGTGCCATTAGGCTAGATGGTCCACTTTTTTTTTTTGAGATGGTCTCACTCTGTCATCCAGGCTGGAGTACAGTGGCATGATCACAGCTCACTGTAACATTGACCTCTTGGGCTCAAGTGATCCTCCTGCCTTAGCCTCTTGAGTAGATGGGACCACAGGCATGCGCCAGCATGCCTGGCTAATTTTTAAATTTTTTGTACAGACAGGGTTTGCTTTGTTGCCCAGGCTGGTGTTGAACTCCTGGGCTCAAGCAATCTTCTCATCTTGGCCCCTGAAAGTGCTGGGATTGTAGGTCTGAGCCACTGGGTCCAGCCTCAGTGGTCTGCTTTGAGAGCAGGAACAAAACATTACTAATCTTTCCGGACTTTATGTCTTTATGTTTTATCCATAGTAGGCACTCAAATTAATATTGGGTAATTTGAATTTCTAACAGAGAGACTGAAATGCAATTGGCCATAGAGAAGAAGAGATTTGAAAAAGAAAGAGGGGCTTTATCTAGTGGAAAGAAAAAATGTTCCCCAGCCAGGCACGGTGGCTCATGCCTGTAATCCCAGCACTTTGGGAGGTCAAGGCGGGTGGATCACCTGAAATCAGGGGTTCAAGACCAACCTGGGCAACATGGTGAAACCCCGTCTCTACTAAAAATATAAAAATTAGCCAGATGTGGTGGCAGGCACCTGTAATCTCAGCTACTGGGGAGGCTGAGGCATGAGAATCACTTGAACCCAGGAGGCAGAGGCTGCAGTGAGCCAAGATCACACCATTGCACTCCAGCCTGGGCAACAGAGTGAGACTCAGTCTCAAAAAAAAAAAAAAAAAAGAAAAGAAAAGAAAAAGAAAAAATGTTCCCCAACAAATAACTGGGAAATAGCTGAACTCAGAAAAAGGTTAAGGAGAGAGAAAAATTACAGTATAAGAAGATGATGAGGGAGGCTGGGCATGGTGACTTCAGGCACTTTGGGAGGCTGAGGTGGGAGGATCACTTGAGGCCAGGAGTTCAAGACCAGCCTCGCCAACAGAGCAAAACCCCGTCTCTATTTTTCTTTTTTTTTCTGAAACAGAGTCCCGCTCTATTGCCCAGGCTGGAGTGCAGTGGCTCGATCTCAGCTCACTGCAACCTCCATCTCCTAGGTTCCAGCAATTCTCCTGCCTCAGTCTCCCAAGTAGCTGGGATTACAGGCATGCACTACTATGCCTGGCTAATTTTTTTGTATTTTTAGTAGAGACGGGTGTCTCCATGTTGGTCAGGCTGGTCTCAAACTCCCCACCTCAGGTGATCTGCCTGCCTCAGCCTCCCAAAGTGCTGGGATTACAGGCGTGAGCCACTGTGCCTGGCCCCGTCTCTATTACAAATACAAAAAATTAGCTGGGCGTGGTGGCACACACTTGTAATCCCTGCTACTTGGGGGGCTGAGGCAGGAAAATTGCTTGAACCCAGGAGACGGAGGTTGCAGTGAGCCGAGATCGCGCCACTGCACTCCAGCCTGGGAGACACAGGGAGACCCTGTCTCAAAGAAAAAAAAAAAAAAAAAAAGACGAGCCTGGGTGACAAAGAGGCTGCAAGTCCTAAAGTCCTAAAAGTGAGAAGTGTTTAAAATCTGGTAAGGAAGGCACCAGTGAAGAATGAGGGAGGAGGTGCAAGTGAACTGTAAGAAACCTGACCAAGGTTATGAGGGCTGTCATCCTTAGTTCTGGCAGAAAAGGAGCAGTGTGGTGCCAGGCAGAGCAGCTCATGTCTATAATCCTAAGACTTTGGGAAGCTGAGGCAGGAGGATCGGATCACTTGAGGGCAGGAGCTTGAGAGCAGCCTAGGCAACATAGTGAGACCCTGTCTCTTAAAACAAACAGGCTGGGCATGGTGGCTCACACTTGTGATCCCAGCACTTTGGGAGGCCAAGGCGGGCAGATCATGAGGTCAAGATATTGAGACCATCCTGGCCAACATGGTAAAACCCTGTCTCTACTAAAAATACAGAAATTAGCTGGGTGTGGTGGCGTGCGCCTGTAATCCCAGCCACTCGGGAGGCTGAGGCAGAATCATTGAACCCGGGAGGAATCACTTGAACCTGGGAGACGGAGGTTGCAATGAGCAGAGATTGCTCGCCACTGCACTCCAGCCTGGCAACAGAGTAAGACTCCTTCTCAAAACAAACAAGCAAGCAAACAAACAAACAAACAGAAAACAAGGTGACTTTTCTTTTTTTTGAGATGGAGTTTCACTCTTGTTGCCCAGGCTGGAGTGCAATGGCTCGATCTCGGCTCATTGCAACCTCTGCCTCCCGGGTTCAAGTGATTTTCCTGCCTCAGTCTCCCAAGTAGCTGGGATTACAGGTATGTGCCACCATGCCCAGCTAATTTTTTGTATTTTTTTTTAGTAGAGACGGAGTTTCTCCGTGTTGGTAATGCTGGTCTCTAACTCCAGACCTCAGGTGATCCGCCTGCCTTGCCCTCCCAGTGTTGGGATTATAGGCGTGAGCCACTGTGCCTGGCCTAAAACCAGGTTTGTTTTTTTTTTTTTTTTTTTGAGAGAGTCTCACTCTGTCACCTGTAGCTGGGACTACAGGCACACACTGCCATGCCCAGCTATTTTTTTTTTGTATTTTTGGTAGAGACGGGGTTTCACCATGTTGGCCAGGATGGTCTTGATCTCCTAACCTTGTGATTGCCCACCTCTGCCTCCCAAAGTGCTGGGATTACAGGTGTGAGCCACCGCACCTGGCCAACCAGATGACTTTTCTAAGTAACTCTACTACTGCAATCAGTATGCCAGTTAAATATGTGGTTGTTTGAAAATAATACTGCTCCCCGCCCCCCCAAAAAATGAAAAGAATAACCCAGCTGTGACTAAGTTCCTTGGGAAGCCTCTGTGTAACCACCCAAGGGGTTTACCTTGCCCGCTGCCTAGTCAGAGCCGATTTATCAAGACACGGGAATTGCAATAAAAAATAATTCATGCAGAGCTGGTTGTGCGGGAGGCCAGTGGAAGGTCAGGGTTTGTTTTTGTTTGTTTGTTTTTGTTTTTAGGCAGAGTCCCGCTCTGTTCCCCAGGCTGGAGTGCAGTGGTGGGATCTCGGCTCACTGCAACCTTCGCTTCCCGGGTTCAAGCTATTCTCATGGCTCAGCCTCCCTATTCTCATGTCTAAGCCTCCCAATCAGCCAGGATTACAGGCGCCTGTCACAACGCCAGGCTAATTTTTGTATTTTTAGCAGAGACAGAGTTTTGCCATGCTGGTTAGGTTGGTCTCAAACTTCTGACCTTGGGTGATCCACCCGCCTCAACCTCCCAAAGTGCTGGGATTACAGGCGTGAGCCACCGTGCCCGGCCTTGATCAGGGTTTTAAAGAATAATTTGGTGGGTAGGGAGGGGGGGCCAGTGAATCAGGAGTGCTGATTGGCTGGCTCGGGAATGAAATCAGAGGGAGTGGAAGATGTTCTCTTATGCTGAGTCAGTTCCTGGGTGGGGGGCACAGAACTGGTTGGCAGGTCCAGGTGGGGCCATCCAGTTGTTAGAAATGCAAAAACCTGAAAAGACATCTCAAAAGACAGATCTTAGGTTCTCAACGCTGATGTTACCTTTAAGAATAATTGTGATTTCTCTGCATTTCTTCACTGGCCATCAGAGAAATGCAAATCAAAACCACAATGAGATACCATCTCACACCAGTTAGAATGGTGATCATTAAAAAGTCAGGAAACAATAGGTGCTGGAGAGGATGTGGAGAAATAGGAACACTTTTACACTGTTGGTGGGACTGTAAACTAGTTCAACCATTGTGGAAGTCGGTGTGGCGATTCCTCAGGGATCTAGAACTAGAAATACCATTTGACCCAGCCATCCCATTACTGGGTATATACCCAAAGGACTATAAATCATGCTGCTATAAAGACACATGCACACGTATGTTTATTGCGGCACTATTCACGATAGCAAAGACTTGGAACCAACCCAAATGTCCAACAATGATAGACTGGATTAAGAAAATGTGGCACATATACACCATGGAATACTATGCAGCCATAAAAAATGATGAGTTCATGTCCTTTGTAGGGACATGGATGAAATTGGAAATCATCATTCTCAGTAAACTATCACAAGGACAAAAAACCAAACACTGCATGTTCTCACTCATAGGTGGGAATTGAACAATAAGAACACATGGACACAGGAAGGGGAACATCACACTCTGGGGACTGTTGTGGGGTCGGGGGAGGGGGGAGGGATAGCATTGGGAGATATACCTAATGCTAAATGATGAGTTAATGGGTGCAGCACACCAGCATGGCACATGTATACATATGTAACTAACCGGCACATTGTGCACATGTACCCTAAAACTTAAAGTATAATTTAAAAAAATTACAAAAAAAAAAGAATAATTGTGGAAGTTGCGAATCTTACAACCTCTGGGATAACGGCTGGTAATATTTAGAATTCCAGCCCCTCTCATTCTAACTTGGTGGCTGGTGGCCTTTTATTCATTTCACAAGGACAGTTTAGCTTTGAGGAGGGGCTATTATTTAAATTATAAACTAAATTCCTTCCTAAGGCTAGTTGGGGCTATGCCCAGTAATGGACAAGGAGAGTTCAGAGATTAGAGGCAAGATAGAGTTAGTTAGAGCTGATGTCTTTCACTTGTCATAATTTCCTTAGTCGCCGGGCGCAGTGGCTCACGCCTGTAATCCCAGCACTTTGGGAGGCCGAGGCGGGCGGATCACGAGGTCAGGAGATCAAGACCATCCCGGCTAAAACGGTGAAACCCCGTCTCTACTAAAAATACAAAAAATTAGCCGGGCGTAGTGGCGGGCGCCTGTAGTCCCAGCTACTTGGGAGGCTGAGGCAGGAGAATGGCGTGAACCCGGGAGGCGGAGCTTGCAGTGAGCCGAGATCCCGCCACTGCACTCCAGCCTGGGCGACAGAGCGAGACTCCGTCTCAAAAAAAAAAAAAAAAAAAAAAAAAAAAAAAAAAAAAAAAATTTCCTTAGTCATAACTTTGCAAAGGCAGTTTCATTTGTTCTTTTGAAGCCAATTCCCATACTCTCTTGCACCCAAACAAATACAACTCCAAAGACATTGACACTAAGCTTTATTTAATAACCTTTAACTGCAATGGCATTTTTCTCTCTCCTTTTTTTTTTGTTATCCAGTTAGGTTCCCTCTATTCTTTATTTTCTTATCTAGAGAAATTTGGCAACTGTCTGTAAGTTCAGATCTTGAACAGTAAGATTTCTAAAATATAAAATTCCCTTGAATCAATGATTGATTTGCCTAATAAATATGAAATTCTGGTGGGGAGGGAAAAAGGAAAGGTAACTATGGGAGCTTGCTGGGAGTTTAATTGTTGAAAAAGTCTCATTCAAGATACCATTTCCTATTCTGATCACATGTCTCTATTCTTTCTCAGAGCACAAATGCTTGTCCTATATTAAAAGTGGCTGTGGGCCAGGCGCAGTGGCACACACTTGTAATCCCAGCACTTTGGGAGGCCAAGGCAGGCAGATCACCCGAGGTCAGGGGTTTGAGATCAGCCTGGCCAACATGGTGAAATCCCATCTCTACTAAAAATACAAAAAATTAGTTGGGCGTGCTGATGGGCACCTGTAATCCCAGCTACTTGGGAGGCTGAGGCAGGAGAATCGCTTGAACCCGGGAGGCGGAGGTTGCAGTGAGCCGAGATGGCGCCACTGCACTCCAGCCCAGCGACAGTGCGAGACACCGTCTCAAAAAAAATGGCTGATTGTCTGAAGGTAGTGAGTTATCTCAATTGATTGTTCATGGTCAGTTACAGATGGAACTCCTTGTTCTACTGTTTTCCCTGTTGTCACTACTGCACTTGACTAGTATATACATATATATTTTTAAAAAGTGGCTGTGGGCATAATTAAATTTTAAATGGAAGAGCCCACAGAGAAAATGATCTCTAATGTGAAAGGAACCAGAATTTTTGTTGTTGTTCTTCATTATTCAACTTGAAGAAACCAGAATTTTGTAGTGAAAACACAAAACAAGGCTGGGCAAGGTGGTTCATGCCTGTAATCCCAGCACTTTGGGAGGCTAACGCCAGCGAATCACCTGAGGTCAGGAGTTTGAGACCAGCCTGACCAACATGGAGAAACCCCGTCTCTACTAAAAATACAAAGTTAGCCGGGCGTGGTGGCGCATGCCTGTAATCCCAACTACTCAAGAGGCTGAGTCAGGAGAATTGCTTCAACCCGGGAGGCGGAGGTCGTGGTGAGCCCAGATCGCGCCATTGCAACTGCAGCCTGGGCAACAAGACCGAAATTCCATCAAAAAAAAGAAAGAAGAAAGAAAACACAAAACAAAAACGGAGCTTTTTGTTTGGTTTTCTGATTAATTCCCCAAATAATGTTACTTATCATTTCTAATTAAGGGCCTACACTTGACATGGTAGGGATGGCTCTTGGTTCCAGGATAAAGCTACATAGTAAGAAAGTTGCAGCTTTAAAGACTCGTAAAACTAATCAGTTCTGTAATTGAATAGTTTTAACAGTATCTTTCTTCCTATTTAGCCTCATCTTAGGAAATTTAGATCGAATCAATTTTTTTTTTTACTCCATGTCTGAAATAAAACTTTCACCCGTGCTAATAATCTAACCTATCTCAGATTCTTGGCTTTGACAGTAGTCCGTAGGCTAACCGCAGACAACGGTGCTTCTACACAAAACACGAATTGGGAGGAAATAAACTCCTCCAAAACATAGAACTATCTTTCACTATCTCTAACACTGTGTTGTGTCTTGCAGAGGCCTTGTGTAACTGGTTGGATGACTGTTTCTCTTTTTTGTTTTGAGAAGTGTCTCACTGCCGTCGCCCAGGCTGGAGTGTAGTGGCACAATCACGGATCACTGCAGACTCGAACTCCCCGGCTCAGGTGATTCTCCCGCTGCAGCCAGCCCCTGGAGTAGCTGGGACCACAGGCACGTGCCACCAAGCCCGGCTAATTTTGTCTTGTTTTTGTTTTTTGGGATGGAGTTTCGCTCTTGTTGCCCAGGCTGGAGTGCAATGGCGCGATCTAGGCTCACCGCAACCTCTGCCTCCCAGGTTCAAGCCATTCTTCTGCCTCAGCCTTCCCAGTAGCTGGAATTATAGGCATGCACCACCACGCCCAGTTAATTTTATTTGTATTTTTAGTAGAGATGGGGTTTCTCCATGTTGGTCAGGCTGGTCTCAAACTCCTGACCTCAGGTGATCCCCCCGCCTTGGCCTCCCAAAGTGCTGGTGTTACTGGTGGGTCTTTGTTCTTAGAGCTCCCAAGATGGTGGTGGGCCACTCCCAAGATGGTGGCGGCTGCTCCCAGGATGGCAGCAAGCCTTTCGTTCTCTGACCTGGGGTTCTTGGCCTCACGGATTTCAAGGAATGGGACCTTGGGCCATGCAGTGAGTGTTATAGCTCTTTTAGAAGTCGTGGGTCACGGAAGAGAACCGTGGAACCCAGCGACTAGTGTTCAGCTTGATTAGGACCAACCCGGGCACTTAGCCGCACAGGAACAATGGCGAGCCTCTAGCCCAAACAGGAGCGGCAATGGGCACCTCGCTGGATCAGAAACGCAGGGGACACCCTGCCGGATCCAGAGGGGTGGAAGTCAACGGCGGGTCTGCAACAGCGGCGAACAGCAGTGGTGGACGGTGAGCGAAAGCTCAGCTCCAGGTGGAAGAGTGTGCAGCTGCAAGATTTAATAGAGTGAAAACAGCTCCCATACAGTGGGCGGGGACCCAAAGGGGGTTGCCCACTCCCGGCTGGAATGCCTGGGGTTTATATCCCAATCATTGTCCCTCCCCCTGTGCTCTCAGATGATAGATGATTTGACTATTTCTTTACCTCTTGCTTTTAGCTTAATTGGTGTTTTAGTGAGCCCTTTTTACTACCTGATTGGTCAGGTGTGAGCTGAGTTACAAGCCCCATGTTTAAGGGTGGGTGCGGTCCCCTTCCCCAGGTAGGTTTAGGAATTCTTAGTCGCCCCAGGAAATCCGCTACTCTTGTCTCTCACTGGGATTACAGGCGTGAGCCACCGCGCCCAGCCAATTTTGGTATTTTTTGTAGAGCCAGGGTTTCGCCATGTTGCCCAGGCTGGGACTGAATCTTTAGAGCTGCACTCATGATTAAAAACGCTGTGCCAGGCGTTGTGGCTCACGCCTGTAATCCCAGCACTTTGGGAGGCTGAGGCGGGCGGATCACGAGGTCAGAAGATCGAGACCATCCTGGCTAACACGGTGAAACCCCGTCTCTACTGAAAATACAACAAATTAGCCAGGCGTGGTGGCGGGCGCCTGTAGTCCCAGCTACTAGGGAGGCTGAGGCAGGAGAATGGCGTGAACCCGGGAGGTGGAGCTTGCAGTGAGCCGAGATCGCACCACTGCACTCCAGCCTGGGTGACAGAGCAAGACTCTGTCTCAAAAAAAAAAAAAAAAAAAAAAAAAAAAAGCTACCGGAAGCACAGCGAGGATGTCCTTGACACACATCCTATTTTCTGGGAAAAGATTACTACCACAGTAATTGAGCTGTGAAGCGGAGACAAATTGCTCTCGGTGGTGGTTCAAAGTACTGCAATTGACTGGAATAGCACCGCGCAGTTTTCCTTCCTCTCGTGCAAGATAAGAGTGATAGGAGCTGTATCGATTACCTGCAAGATAGAAGTAGAAGCGGGCCGGGTGCGGTGGCTCACGCCTGTAATCCCAGCACTTTGGGAGGCTGAGGCGGGTGGATCATTCGACGTCAGGAGTTCCAGACCAGCCTGACCAACATGGTGAAACCCCGTCTCTACTAAAAATACAACAAATTAGCCGGGTGTGGTGGCAAGCGCCTGTAATCCCAGCTACTCGGTTGGTTGGGCAGGAGAATCGCTTGAACCCGGGAGGCGGAGGTTGCAGTGAGCCGAGATCGCGCCATTGCACTCCAGCCTGGGCGACAAGAGCGAGACTCTGTCTCAAAAAAAAAAAAAAAAGAAGTAGAAGGGAAGAAAATCGCAAGGAACTAGACTAAAAGAATCTCGACCCTTGAATGGAGTTACACGAACGGCCAGATGAAAGAAGGAAGGCCCGGACCTCCACTCAGGGCCGACTAGGGGACTGGCGGAGGGTGCACGCTGATGGATTTACTCACCGGGTGCTTGGAGCTCCAGCAGCTGGCTGGAGCCCGCGATGACGTCACGGACTCGGGTCACATGGCCAAGTCCGCCCCGCCCCCTCCCCGTCCCCGCCGCTGCAGCGGTCGCCTTCGGAGCGAAGGGTACCGACCCGGCAGAAGCTCGGAGCTCTCGGGGTATCGAGGAGGCAGGCCCGCGGGCGCACGGGCGAGCGGGCCGGGAGCCGGAGCGGCGGAGGAGCCGGCAGCAGCGGCGCGGCGGGCTCCAGGCGAGGCGGTCGACGCTCCTGAAAACTTGCGCGCGCGCTCGCGCCACTGCGCCCGGAGCGATGAAGATGGTCGCGCCCTGGACGCGGTTCTACTCCAACAGCTGCTGCTTGTGCTGCCATGTCCGCACCGGCACCATCCTGCTCGGCGTCTGGTATCTGGTGAGCGCGGCGCGCCCGGCCCGGGACCCTGCGTTGCTTCCGCGCCCCTAGCTGGGCTTCTGGCCCGGCCTCGCGGTGGGGTGAGGCGTGCGCTCATCCGCCTAAAGTTGTATTATTAGAAACTTAATTCTCCGGGTGCCGCGTCCGCACTTCCCCCGGCTGGGCCAGCGCCGACTGGGGGAGGCCAGGAGTTTGGGGCGATGGGGGAGGCCAGGGGCGCGGGGCGGAGGGCCGCACTCGACCCTTGGCGCCCAGGTGGTGTGGGTCGCCGATCTCCAGCCTCCGCGCAGCCCCGCGGCCTCGCGTAGGGCGCACCGGGGCAGACAAACTGAGCTTATCTGCCGAGCACGTGTTTCCTTTCTTCTTAAAGCCCGTGGGCTTTGTGTTTCGACGGCTGCGGACGGAGCGGTCGCGGAGGTGACGGCGCATATTTTGCAGCTCTGTGGTTAGGGTTGCGGATTTGTCAATGCTCGTTCTCCCTGGCCGCGTCTCCGCTAGGGTGGCCTGCGCTTTCACGCCGTCGCACGTTCGGATCCCGAGTTGAAGTGGTTGGGAGTTCTTGGCATCCTCTTGTGAATGGGTCCCCCCCCCGATGTTTTAAAGCCCTTACTCCAGGAAGGGATGTGAGTGTGATTTACTGCGTTTCCATCTGCCCGGGGAAGCCATTTTCCACCCACATTTTTCCTGCCCGTGGACAGTTGGTCTTCAGACCTTTTCTTGACAGACTCAGCGGGCAAATCTGGCATTTTTTTTCCTGGTTGGAACTTTTGAAGTCTTTTTTTGTATGAGGAGCAGTGATTTTCAGAGCTAGTGAGGAAACCTGATGGAGTCTTGCCCGCACCTGCCCTGCGTTGGTTGGTGGCACCCCTAGACTGCACCAGCACTGAGTCGGATTCCGCTGCATTTTGGGTTTTGTGACATCATGATGGAGAGTTAGACCAGAGTTGCTTTGCAGTGAATACCACTGCATCGCGAGAAAATGCCCTGAAAATGGTAGACAAATAGCATATATAACTTTTTTCAGTGAGGTTTTTTTTTTTTTTTTTTTTTTTTTTTGAGACAGAGTCTCACTCTGTGGCCCGGGCTGGAGTGCAATGGCATGATCTCTGCTCACTGCAGCCTTCGCCTCCCAGGTTCAAGCGATTCTCCTTCCTCAGCTTCCCGAGTAGCTGGGATTGCAGGCGCCCGCCACTATGCCTAGCTAATTTTTTGTATTTTTAGTAGAGACAGGGTTTCACCATGTTGGCCAGGCTGGTCTCGAACTGCTGACCTCGTGATTCGCCCGCCTTGGACTCCCAAAGTGCTGAGATTACAGGCGTGAGTGAGCCACCGCGCCCGGCCGAGAAAAATTCTTATCTCTTTAATGAGTTGGGGTGTGTGTGTGTGGTTTGTTTATTGGGCCCATTTTTGGGTAGAATATGGACTTTTTGTCTAACTGTGAACCCCTTCCTTGTACCATTTTAAGCAAAACATTTCACCCCAGGCATATGGTATTCACTGTGCTATTTATAGTTTCAAGTTTCCTTTAGTCAGTGCCTATCATGGCCACACAATATAAATTTTTGGCGTGAAAGTATTTCAAACAGATATTTAGCGTGTGTGGGTTCTTACTGTGCAGTGTAAATACAGATGGAACATCAGCATATTAGCTAAACTTCGACTTTGGTAAAAGCCAAGAAATTCTTTACTGAAATTGAAAATTATAGCAAAAGGATAGTAGGTGGCTCAAAATAGTTGGTGCTTTTATTGATGATCAAGACAGCCTGTTTTATACAAGTGTCTGCCTTCCTTGAAAATGTTCAAATCTGCCGACTTGCAAGTACATCAGAGAACGTAATTTGTAAAATCTAGGGCATTGCATTAGGCAAATGTACTACGTGATCCACAGGAAAGATAAATCCTACTTGAGCCCTGTTGGCTGTAATCCAACCAGACAGTGTAGGTGTGATAAAAGGAGAGTACTCAGCATGCTTTGTCTACTGTTTGAGCACGCTCTCTGTGGAAAGTAGTTATTGGTGTGTTTGTCTTAACGTTTGGAAATAAATGGCCTTTTGAAAGGTAATTAGAAAGCTTTCTAGCAGATGTGAATAAAAATGTTGCTTTAGGTAAACCCTATTTCTGGGAAACCTGGCTTAAGTACTGGTAATCTTTATAAATAGTCTTTTGCATTTCACAAGGCAATGTAAGCCTTTTTCTTTTCTTTCTTTTTTTTTTTTAAAGTAGTGATTTTCACTCAGACCTTTGAATATAATTTTGTGATACCCTACCTTGTTTTAACCTGAATTGACTCTCCCTTAGCTAAGAGCCAGACAAGACTCCATCTTGGCTCCTTCACTTGCAGCCCCTTACCCACCCGCTTCCTCAAGGACTTAACTTGTGCAAGCTGACTCCCAGCACATCCAAGAATGCAATTAACTGATAAGATACTGTGGCAAGCTATATCCGCAGTTCCCAGGAATTCGCCCGGTTAATAGTACCCAGAGCCCCCGCGTTTGTGTCCGGTTGATAACACCCAAAGCCCCGCGTCTGTCACCTTGTGATAGATTTAAAGCCCCTGCACCTGGAACTGTTTACTTTCCTGTAACCATTTGTCCTTTTAACTTTTTGCCTACTTTGTTTTAACTAGACTCTCCCCCTCCCCTTTCTGAACAAAAGTATAAAAGAAAATCTAGCCCCTTCTTTAGGGCCAAGAGAATTTTGAGCACTAGCCGTCTCTGGGTCGCCGGCTAATAAAGGACTCCTGAATTCGTCTCAGAGTGTGGTTTCTCTATAAGTTGCTCGGTTACAACAATTTGGTTGTCCAAAACTTTGATTTTCTTGAACTTTTTTAAGAGAGTTTGTGTGGCTAGGGAGCAGGACCACTGTAAAACGAGGCACCTTCCCTGGTTTGTCCTAACCCTTTCTCTCAGCCAGCCATCTGGATGGAATGGAGTCAATTATCAGAAAGTGGAGAGTTAAGAATTAGCCAGGTGTGGTGGCTCACACCTGTAGTCCCAGCTTGAGTCCCAGGAGTTCGAAGCTGCAGTGAGCTGTGATTGCACCCCTACACTCCAGCCTGGGCAACCAGAGTGAGCACTGTCTCTTAACAGAGGCCAAGTGCGGTGGCTCACGCTTGTAATCCCAGCATTTTGGGAGGCTGAGGCGGGCAGATCATTGGAGGTCAGGAGTTCGAGACCAGCCTGACCAACCATGGCCAGTGTGGTAAAACCCCATCTCTACTAAAAGTACAAATTAGGTGCGGTGGTGTAGGCCTATAATCCCAGCTACTTGGGAGACTGAGGCAGGAGAATTGCTTGAACCTGGGAGGCATAGGTTGCAGTGAGCCAAGATTGTGCCACTGCACTCTAGCCTGGGTGACAGTGAGACTCTGTCTCAAAAAAAGAAAAAAAAAGAGAAAGAGGCCTGGTGCAGAGGCTCACGCCTGTAAGCACTTTGGGCGGCCGAGGTAGGCGGATCACTTGAGGTCAGGAGTTCTAGACCAGCCTGGGCAACATGGCAAGATCCCGTCTCTAATAAAAATACAAAAATTATTCGGTCGTGGTGGCATGCGCCTGTAATCCCAGCTACTCAGGAGGCTGAGGCATGAGAATTGCTTGAACTCTGGAGGTGGAAAGTCCAGCCTGGGTGACAGCAAGACTCTTATCTAAAAAAAAAAAAAAAAAAGTTGGGTGTGGGTGGCTCACGCCTATAATCCCAGCACTTTGGGAGGCCGAGGTGAGTGGATCTTGAGGTCAGGAGTTCAAAACCAGTCTGGCCAAGGTGGTGAAACCTCATCTCTACTAAAACTACAAAATTAGTCGGGCGCAGTGGCAGGCACCTGTAATCTCAGCTGCTGGGGAGGCAGAGGCAGGAGAATCCCTTGAACCCAGGTGGCAGAGGTTGCCGTGAGCCGAGATCACGCCACTGCACTCCAGCTTGGGCAACAGAGTGAGACTCTGTCTCAAAAAAAAAAAAAAAAAAGAAAAGTAAAATAAAGAATAATAATAATAAAGCGGAGAGTTTTCAGACAAGGCAGATATTTAAATAAGAGTCCAGGCCGGGTACGGTGGCTCATACCTGTAATCCCAGCACTTTCGGAGACTGAGGCGGGTGGATCACCTGAGGTCAGGAGTTTTGAGACCAGCCTGGCTAACATGATGAAACCCTGTTTCTATTAAAAATATAAAAAATTAGTGGGGCGTGGTGGCACGTGCCTGTAACCCCAGCTACTTGGGAAGCTGAGAGAAGAATCATTTGAACCCAGGAGGCGGAGGTTGCAGTGAGCTGAGATCGTGCGATTGCACTCCAGCTTGGGCAACAAAAGCGAAACTCTGTCTCAAAATAAATAAATAAATAAAACAAAAAGTAAGAGTCCACAATAAGGGCTCATTTAAGTAATTTCCTGTTTTGCAAGATAGGTAAAGTGGATCTTTTTTATATGTTTTCTTATTGTTGATTCCTACCAATACCGTTTACTAAGGCTCCAAGTGTCATGTACTTTACTAGATACTTTGCATAAGGTTAATTTTTACATATTCCTGGTGAGGTAGATTTTCTTATTCCCATTTTACAGATGAGAAAACTGAGGCTTAGAGAACTTTGGTGATTTACTTGAGAGCTTAAAATCCCATGGTTGGTTTATGATCTGAGTGATGTTTTAATCTGTTCTGTTTCCACTGTTTTACTTTTAAAAGTTGTGCATGTGTTTTGGTTTTGTCTTGGAATAATAAAAGTTTTCCTTCAGTCCTGAAGTAAAGTATATTGACTTCAGGTATTTATTATTATTATTACTATTTTTAAAATTCTGGGCCACGCTAACTTTGGGAGACTTCAGGTATTTATTCTAGAGATCATTTTTTGTTTGTCTCTTTTTTTTTCTTTTATTGAGTTGTGATTTATGTACTACAATTTTTTTTTTTTGAGACCGAGTCTCGCTCTGACGCCCAGGCTGGAGTGCAGTGGCGTGATCTCGGCTCACCACAACCTCCGCCTCCTGGGTTCAAGCGATTCTCCTGCTCAGCCTCCTGAGTAGCTGGGATTACAGGTGAGCTCCGGGCTAATTTTTGTATTTTTAGTAGAGATGGGGTTTCCCCATGTTGTTCAGGCTGGTCTTGAACTCCTGACCTTGTGATCCATCCGCCTTGGCCTCCCAAAGTGCTGAGATTACAGGCGTGAGCCACTGTGCCCGGCCTTTTTTTTTTTTTTTTTTTTTGAGGAGTTTTGCTCTTATTGCTCAGGCCGAAGTGCAGTGGTGCAATCTCAGCTCACTGCAACCTTCGCCTCCTGGGTTCAAGTGATTCCTGCCTCAGCCTCCCAAGTAGCTGGTATTACAGGCACCCACCACTGCGCTTGGCTAATTTTTGTTTTCCTAGTAGAGACAGGGTTTCATTATGTTGGCCAGGCTGGTCTTGAACTCCTGACCTCAGGTGATCCGCCCGCCTCGGCCTCCCACAGTGCTGGGATTACAGGCGTGAGCCACCGTGCCCGGCAAAATTCACAGTTAAATGTAGTTTATTGAGTTGACAAATGCCTCTGTAATGTAACCCACATTCCTTGAGAACATTTCCAAACTTTCAGCAAGTTCCCTTGTGCTGTTTCCCAGTTAATCCCTGCCATATCCCCAATCACTGTAGGTAAGTTTTGCTTATTCATGTAAAATGGAATTATGCTGTGTGTACCCTTCTGTATCTAGCTTCTTTCACTTAGCATAACTTCTTTTAGATTCATTCATCTTCTTGGAGTGTTGCTTTTTATTGCTGAGTATTGTTTTTATTGTATTAATATACCACAATTTGTTTATCCATTTGCCAGATATTGGACATTTGGGTTATTTCCAATTTGGGGCTATTATAAATAAAGCTGCACTGAACATTCTTGCACAAGACTTTGGGGACTTTTTTTTTTTTTTTTGAGACAGAGTTTAGCTCTTGTTGCCCAGGCTGGAGTGCAATGGTGCGATCTCGGCTCACCGCAACCTCCGACTCCCAGGTTCAAGCAATTCTCCTGCCTCAGCCTCCCTAGTAGCTGGGATTACAGGCATGCGCCACCACACCTGTTTAATTTTGTATTTTTAGTAGATAACAGGATTTCTCCATGTTGGTCAGGCTGGTCTCGAACTCCCGACCTCTGGTGATCTGCTCCCCTCAGCCTCCCAAAGTGCTGGGATTACAGGCCTGAGCCACCATGCCCAGCTTTTTTTTTTTTTTTTTTTTTTTTTTTGTGACAAGATCTCACTCTATTGCCCAGGCTGGAGTGGCTCAATGCAGCCTTGTCTTCCCTGGCTCAAGCAGCCTTGCCATTTCAGCCTCCCAAGTAGCTGGGACTACAGGCTCACACCACCACTCCACACCACTCCAGGCTTTTGTTTTTGAGACAGAGCCTCACTCTGTTGTCCAGGCTGGAGTGCAGTGGCGCAGTCTCAGCTCACTGCAACGTCTGCCTCCCGGGTTCAAGCGATTCTCCTGCCTCAGTCTCCTGAGTAGCTGGTACTACAGGCATGCGCCACCATCCCTGGCTAATTTTTTATTTTTGGTAGAGACGGGGTTTCACCATGTTGGTCAGGCTTGTCTCGAACTCCTGACCTCCTGATCCACCTGCTTCGGCCTCCCAAAGTGCTGGGATTACGGGCGTGAGCCACCGTCCCCAGCCTTTTTTTTTTTCTGAGACGGAGTCTCGCTCTTGTTGCCCAGGCTGGAGTGCAGTGGTGCAGTCTCGGCTCACTGCAGCCTCCGCCTCTTGGGTTCAAGTGATTCTCCTGCTTCAGCCTCCAAAGTAGCTGGGATTGCAGGCATGCACCACCATACCTGGCTAATTTTGTATTTTATTTATTTATTTATTTATTTATTTATTTATTTATTTATTTTTTAGTAGAGACGGGGTTTCTCCATGTTAGTCAAGCTGGTCTCAAACTCCCGACCTCAGGTGATCTGCCCGCCTTGGCCTCCCAAAGTGTTGGGATTACAAGTGTGAGCCACCGCGCCCGGCCTTTTTTTTTTTTTTTTTTTAAATATCCTTGTTCAGTTATTTTTTAGGAACTTAGACACAGCAAATACATACCAAATGCCTCTGTGCCAGACACTGTTCACAGGGTAGTTAGCCATATATCAGATTATAAAGGATAAAAGAGGTCAGAGTAGCTGCTTCATTGGCTTTATGACCTGGTCTTTCTTTTTAATTTTCTTTCTTTCTTTTTCTTTTGTTTTTTAATTATACTTTAAGTTCTGGGATACAAGTGCAGACCTGGTCTTTCAAAGAATCCACTTGTTCACATAGAAACTCACAGTTTCCTTGTTTACTCAAGTAAAGGAAACCAGAATATCTCACCCAAAATATACCTCTTTGGTATATTTCAAGATAGTATTAGAGAAACTGCAAACAAGAATAGCTCTGAAAAGCTGCTGTTTGTGGAGATTTGCATCTTTAGGGAAAATCTGCATTAGTGAAATAAACAGCCAGGCTTTCTCTGAGCACACCTCCCCACCCCATCCCCCATGTTCAGACCTTGGAAAGATTAACCGAGAGATTGAGAGTCTGACACCTTTGAAGGTCTAATAGAGAAGTTTACCACATACCACAGGCTACCAAGTATCTTTTCTCAAGCCTTCTACCTGTGGGGTCTCATTTGCATAACAAGACCACCTTCCCTAGCCAGGCCTTTCCGTCCCTCCCTCCCATAACCTGTTTTGCCGTGATCTAAACCCCTATTCTTTCTGTAACTTCAGAAAGACATTAAAACTTAAACCATCTGGCCCTTCCTTTGAGTTTTCTTATTTCTGTGACTCCCACGTATGCGTGTGCACGTAATACATTTGTATGCCGTTTCTTGCTGTTGATCTATTATCAGTTTGTTTATTAGACTCAAATGATCAAACCTTCAGAAGTTGTAGAAGGGGGAGAATTTTCTTCACCCCTTCACAAGCCTGATAGATTTTCTTTGTATTCTGAGAAGTTCAACAACTATTGATTTGTCTGAGTACAGGATAGTAAGACCAACATCCTGTATTTGTAGAGTGATTGATAGCTTTCGGTGGGCATTCACATTTGTTCTTATTTAGACCTCAAAGCAACCCTGGGTCACGCATGATAGGTGGTGATATGTTCTTTTAAGATTAATAGCTTCTTTCCAACTGTCAGATTCTGTGACTTGGCCCGTAATTTCAGGATAGAATAACGGACTGATTTGTGGCAATTGTGTCATCTTTATTGCCTGGTGTTTTCCCCACTATGTTAGATTGTAAAAGACTAAATAGTAGGCTAAAGAGTTTGGATTTTATTCTGTAGGCAGTGGGGAACCATTGAAGAATTATGAACAGGAGCGATATGATGAAAGCAGTTTTTTTTGGTTGTTGTTTTTGTTTTGTTTTGTTTTTTGAGACGGAGTCTCGCTCTGTCACCCAGGCTGGAGTGCAGTGGTGGGATCTCCACTCACTGCAAGCTCTGCCTCCCGGGTTCAAGCCATTCTCCTGCCTCAGCCTCTCGAGTAGCTGGGACTACAGGCGCCCACCACCACACCCCGCTGATTTTTTTATTTTTAATAGAGATGAGGTTTCAACGTGGTAGCCAGGATGATCTCAATCTCCTGACTTCGTGATCTGCCCACCTCAGCCTCCCAAAGTGTTGGGATTACAGGCATGAGCCACCACGCCTGGCCAATGAAAGCAGTTTTTAAGTTAGATTAAAATGGCAGGCTGTTTCAGATGGCTGGAAAACCAGGCAGTATGTTATATATAGCTCTCTAGATACAAACTATAGTGGGTATCAGCTCTTAGTGGTATGAATAAGATGGATAGGAATTTTTACCAGTTAGTGAGTGATACAAGTCTCTCTTTCTACCTAGGTTTTCTCCATCTGATTTAAGGAATTGAACAGATTTAGATAGGGAAGGACATTGGATTTTTAAAGTACAGGTTTCCCCTCATCTAATAAAGGATCAAGGGCAGTTCTATAGAACATTGGTTGGTGGAGATTTCAGTGGTATTCAATATCTTTTTAAGCTTTTATCACACTTTTTTTTTTTTTGAGGCAGTTTCATTCTGTCACCCATGATGGAGTGCAGTGGTGCCATCTCGGTTCCCTGCAACCTCCACCTCCCGGGTTCAAGCCCTTCTCTTGCCTCAGCCTCCCGAGTACATGGGATTACAGGCGCAGGCCACCACGCCTGGCTTAATTTAGTAGAGATGGGGTTTCACCATGTTGACCAGGCTGGTCTAGAACTCTTGACCTCAGGTGATCCGCCCGCCTCCCAAAGTGCTGGGATTGCAGGCCTGAGCCTCTTATCACACTTTTATGGTAAATGTTCATTAGAATGTTTTACAGACAAGGTGGCCAATAAATAAAGATTGCTATCAAAACTGTTTATTAATACCAATCACTCTCGGATTCACTTTAAATATATTTAACTTCGACCTAAAAGGAAGAAGCTGAGGCAAAATTAATGTAAGTAGAGAGTTTATTTGGGCCAGGCTTGAGGATTGCAACCCCAGAATATAGACTGACGTTGCCCTGACTGTACACACAGATTAGCAGCAGTTATAAGTGCATTTTTAAAGACTGAAAGGGGGAACAGGGAGTGTACTGATACAAAGTTGTTTGTCAGGAATTGTCCTTGATTTACAGAAACAACATTGGTTCGTGATTGGCTATCCATTGTTGAGCTATGCATTATTAGGTTAATTTGCAGCTGCTTGTGGCAATAGCAATCAGTTTCAACAGTTGAAGACATAGCTCAAAAGGGAGGGGGAGTAGAAAGTGATTGCTGTATCGTTTTAATGTCTCTCTGGGCCTGATAATAAAGACTTGCATCCCTCAGATAAAAGTTATTTTCTCAGTAACTTAGCATAAAGTATTAAGTTAACATGAGTTTTGTCGTACAATGTGTATTATGTTTGAATGAGTAATATATTTGTTTTGTCAATTTAACTTTGAATCTTGGCCCTGAAGGAAGAGGCCACAGTTGTCCCATTCTGCCCCACCACCTTTTGGGCTGATTTGTCATTGGTCAAAGGAATGCTAGTGGAAATAATGTGTGAGCCCTAGCAACTCTCCTTTTCCTCCTCCCAGTTCTTGAGACTCTTAGTAGAGCTTTTGGAGACTGAATGAGAGTTGTTGAGTTATTGGTTAACTCATTGTGCTTGACGGAAAGTAAAAAGCAAACAAAGACCACACTTCTTCAGTTGCTCCTAACGTTTTAAGAGTTTCGAGTTGCCTCTTTGCAGTTGCAGCTTCCAAGGGAAATTGTTTCTCAGGAAAATATGTGGGAGGTTAAAAAAAAATGCTTGAGGAAATGTAATTTCAAATTATTAGTAAACATAACATTGAACTTAAAAAAAAAACAAGGCCGGGTGTGGTGGCTCACGCCTGTAATCCCAGCACTTTGGGAGGCCGAGGCGGGCAAATCATGAGGTTCCGAGTTCGAGACCAGCCTGACCAACATAGTGAAACTCCATCTCTACTAAAAATACAAAAAAATAGGCATGGTGGCACGTGCCTGTAGTCCCAGCTACTCCAGAGGCTGAGCCCGGAGAATCACGTGAACCTGGGAGGCGGAGGTTGTGGTGAGCTGAGATCGTGCCGCTACACTCCAGCCCGGGCAACAGAGCGAGACTCCCGTCTCAGAAAAAAAAAAAAAAAACCATTAACCTTGAGCTACTAAAATTACACAGCCAGTTGGTTCCATGGTGCAGAGATGGTGAAGTAGTAACCCTTAGCATGTAGTAGGTACTTAGATTTGTGTTGACTAACAGTAGTGGGCCTGGGGGTTGCAAAACTGAAGGTGAGCCAGTTATGCTATAGATAAAGTTGCTATAACAAAGAAACGCAAAACTGCAGGAAGGTAGAAGTTTATTTCTTTCCTGTTAACAGTTCAGGGAGTGTTGGCCAACATTGTTCCTTGAGGCCATCCAGAGACCCAGGCTGGGGGGTGGGGGTGTAGCTCCACCATCCCAAATATTGTGCATGGATTCCTTCTCTGGGTTCTAAGGAGGCTGCCTCCTTTATGTTTGTCTTCATGGTGGAGACATTACCAGCACCATGTTTGTGTCCTGGCCTGCTGTAAGGGAGAAAGGGGTATCTGGAGGACAAGGAGCTTTATTTTTTTAAGGATGTGAAATGGAAAATGCACACATCACTTTCACTTACATCCCAGTAACCAAAAACAAGACATGTGACTTAGCTGTGAGGGAGGCTAGGAGATGTTTCTTTCTTTTTTTTTTTTTTTTGAGACTGAGTCTGGCTCTGTTGCCCAGGCTGGAGTGCAGTGGTGCAATCTCGGCTCACTGCAAGCTCCGCCTCCCAGGTTCACGCCATTCTCCTGCCTCAGCCTCCCGAGTAGCTGGGACTACAGGCACCCGCCACCAGGCCCAGCTAATTTTTGTATTTTTAGTAGAGACAGGGTTTCACCATGTTAGCCAGGATGGTCTCGATCTCCTGACCTCATGATCCATCCGCCTCGGCCTCCCAAAGTGCTGGGATTACAGGCATGAACCATTGTGCTTGGCCGATTTCTTTTAACAGATACACCTAACTTATTAAAGTCTGGGGTTAATAATATCTTTGTCTTTCTTTTAAAGAATACAAGTCCTTTAACTCCAGTCGTTTCTCTCTTGTATTTTAGTGTCCTTTTCTAAGTTCCCAAACACATCAATTTACAATTAATGTTTGTTTAGAATTACCCGCATGTTTGCATCCCTCTTTCTCCATTACTCCTTTTTTCTTTTTGTAACCACTATAATTCTTACTTAAAAATGATTTATTTATTTATTTTTTTAGACAGAGTCTCACTTTGTCGCCCAGGCTGGAGAGCGCACTGGCATGATCTCGGCTCACTGCAACCTCTTCTCCCAGGTTCAAGTGATTCTCCTGCGCCAGCCTCCCAAGTAGCTGAGATTATAGGCACCTGCCAACATGCCCAGCTAATTTTTGTATTTCTTTTTTAAAATAAAAGGTCTCATATTTATGACCGAACCCAGCCAACCAACACATTCATAATGATTCAGAGAGAAAAAATATATTCCCAATAAAACGTCCAACTGTCCAGATGGTGGCGCCATTTTCAGCTTGCTGTGGGAAGATGGTGATGGCCTTGACACAGTGTAAATATGTGTCATCTTGTGTGTAATTCCTTATAGATCCAGCTAGCTTCTTCTCCAGTGTCTCCTTTTGGAGTTGTACCTGATTTCATTACCAGTTGTTAATCTGAATCCACTGGGGAATGGGACATTTTTGCTTTTGTTTCTTGGCCAGGAAACAATCCTGAAAGTCTTGTGAGAAGACATGGCAAGAAGCGGAGTCAGGCACACACCACGATGGTGGAGAAAGGAAGAGATAACTAATTTTCTATTTTTAGTAGAGATGAGGTTTCACTATGTTGACCAGGCTGGTCTCCAACTCCTGACCTCAAGTGATCACCTGCCTTGGCCTCCCAGAAGTGCTGAGGTTAACAGGTATGAGCCACCACGCCTGGTCAAAAATGAATATTTTAACACCCAAAGTACACAGCCCATCATTTTCTTTTGCACCTCAGATCTGCTGTCTAGGATCATTATTCCTTTGTATGAAATATATATTCTAAAATTTCCTTTGTTAAGGGTCTGTTGGCTGCAACTTCTGACAGCCATTTTTTTTTTTTGAGATGAAGTCTAGCTCTGTTGCCCAGGTTGGAGTGCAGTGGCTCAAGCTTGGCTCACTGCAACCTCCACCTCCCGGGTTCAAGCGAATCTTCTGCCTCAGCCTCCTGAGTAGCTGAGACTACGGGTGTCTGTCACCACGTCCGGCTAATTTTTTGTATTTTTAGTACAGACGGGGTTTCACCATGTTGACCAGGTTGGTCTCGAACTCCTGACCTCGTGATCCGCCCACCTCAGCCTCCCAAAGTGCTGGGTTTACAGGCGTGAGCTACAGCGCCCAGCCCTGACAGCCATTTTTTTGGAAAACATCTTCATTTGGTGCTCACTCTTTATTTATTTATTTATTTATTTATTTATTTATTTATTTATTTATTTATTTTGAGACGGAGTTTTGCTCTTGTTGCCCAGGCTGGAGTGCAGTGGTGTGATCTCGACTTACTGCAACCTCCGCCTCCCAGGTTCAAGCGATTGTCCTGCCTCAGCCTCCCAAGTAGCTGGGATTACAGGCAAGTGCCACCACGCCCGGCTAATTTTTTGTATTTTTAGTAGAGATGGGGTTTCACCATGTTGGCCAGGCTGGTCTTGAATCCCTACCTTAGGTGATCCGCCCACCTTGGCCTCCCAAAGTGCTGGGATTACAAGTGTGAGCCACCACGCCTGGCCTGTTTTTTTGAGGTAGAGTCTCTCTTGCCCAGGCTGGAGCGCAGTGGTGTGACCATGGCTCACTGCAGCCTTGACATCCTAGGCTCAAATGATCCTCCCTCCTCAGCCTCTGAAGTAGGTGGAACCTGACATACCCTACCATACCTGGCTAATTTTTTTTTTTTTTTTTGAGAGACGGAGATTTGGTCTTATTGTCCAGGCTGGAGTGCAATGGTGTGATCTCGGCTCATCGCAACCCCTGCCTCCCGGGTTCAAGCAATTCTTCTCCCGAGTAGCTGGGATTACAGGCATGCACCATCATACCTGGCTAATTTTTTTTGTATTTTTAGTAGAGATGGGATTTCTCCATGTTGGTCAGGCTGGTCTCGAACTCCTGACCTCAGGTGATCTGCCTGCCTCGGCCTCCCAAAGTGCTGGGATTACAGGCATGAGCCACCTTGCCCGGCCCTCTTTCCACCTTTTTGTACCCATTAACCTTCTGCCTCGTCACTCCCCACTACCCTTCCCAGCCTCTGGTAACCATCCTTCTACTCTCTAGCTACGTGAGTTCAATGGTTTAAAGTTTTAGCTCCCACAAATATGTGAAAACATGCAAAGTTTGGTTTCCTGTGCCTGGCTTATTTCACTTTACATAATGACCTCCAGTTCCATCCATGTTGTTGCAAATGACAAGATCTCATTATGGCTGAATAGTACTCCATTCTGTATATGTAACACAGTTTCTTTATCCATTCACCTGTTGACAGACATTTAGGTTGCTTACAAATCTTGGCTATTGTGAATAGTGCTGCAGTAAAATGGGAGTGCAGCTATTTTTTTTTTGATAAGCTTATTTCCTTTCTTTTGAGTATATACCTAGGTGTGGGATTGCTGCATTGTATGATAGCTCTATTTTTAGTTTTTTGAGGAACCTCCAAACTGTTCTCCATAGTGGTTGTATAATTTTTTTTTTTTTTTTAGACAGAGTCTCACTCTGTCGCCAGGCTGGAGTACAGTGGCGTGATCCTGGCTCACTGCAACCTCCACCTCCTGGGTTCAAGCAATTCTCCTGCCTCAGCTTCCTGAGTAGCTGGGACTAAAGGCACATACCACCATGCCTGGCTAATTTTTGTATTTTTAGTAGAGATGGAGTTTCACTATGTTGGCCAGGCTGGTCTCGAACTCCCGACCTTGTGATCTGCCCGCCTCACTCTCCTAAAGTGCTGGGATCCAGGCATGAGCCACCGTGCCTGGCCTTAATTTTTGTATTTTTAGTGGAAATGGGGTTTCACCACATTGGCCAGGGTAGTCTCAAACTCCTGATCTCAAGTTATCTGCCCGCCTCAGCTTCTCAAAGTGTTGGACTATGGGCGTGAGCCACTGCGCCCAGCTGGTTTTGTGTTTTGAGACAAAGTCTGGCTCTATTGCCCAGGCTGGAGTGCAGTGGCACAGTCTTGGCTCACCGCAACTTTCGCCTCCTGGGTTCAAGCAGTTCTCGTGTCTCAACTTCCCGAGTAGCTGGGATTACAGGTGTGTGCCACTGAGCCCGTCCTAGCTTTTTGTTTTTTTGAGACAGGGGTCTCACTTTATTTCCCAGGTTGGAGTGCAGTGGTGCAATCACGCCTCATTGCAACCTCGGACCTTTCAGCTCAAGTAGTTTTCCCACCTCAGCCTCCCGAGTAGCTGGGACCACAGGCACACACCACACCCAGCTATTTTTACAAATTATTGTTTGTAGAAACAGGGTCTTGCTTGTTTGCCCAGTCTGGTCTCGAGCTTCTGGGTTCAAGCGAGCCACTTGCCTTGGCCTCCCAAAGTGCTGGGATTACAGGCATGAGCCACCATGCCTGGTTGATACTTTTTTGTGCACAGAGTTTAGGTCTCCATTGTCCATCCTGAACTCGGCTCTGGGCTGGGCCTCTCTCTTCATATTCAAATATTTAAAATGTTCTTTAAGACATGAAAGGGAGCACAGTCATTTTCTGCCTCCACACCCTGTCCCTCCATGTCTCCCAGTAGGTCTTTGCCTCTTCTGGGGGCCATCCTTTGCCTTCTGTCCATTGTCTAGACATCCTTCTTGTTAATTACGTGCACCCTGTGTTCTTTGAGTACGTAATGGTGTCTTAGCCTGAGAATGAACACCAGAACCGACTGAAGTTCACTCAGAGAAATTGGGATTGCTTCTGCTGGTGTGGCAGATCGTTTTGCACGCTAGCCCCTTGTCAGATTGGGAGTGCTGTCTGGAGCACTCCCTTGAAAGGAATTTTGAGCTTGCTGCCAGGGATTGGTTTAGCAGAGTTGGCCAGGGCCTGTGAATGGGGTGTGGTGGCTTCTTGGGAGGAACCTGGGTTACTGGTAAGAGCGTATATGGCATTTGTAATCAAAGCACCAACAATTGAATGTCAGTTGAAAACTTTATGCACCTGTATTTTATGAACATGGTATGTGCATATTTCCCTGAAGTCTGAGTCCTCATCTGTAGAATGGTGTAGTAATGATCAGACTTGATAGGGAGGCAGCACTGTTTTTATAATATAAAATGGTGCATATGGGGATGGTGGTTTCTTAGTTTAGTTCATCACCTATGAGGAAGACGTCCTAAAAGGATGGTACTGTTGACTGAACTGGTGAATCAGAAAGACCTGGTTGAATTTGGGGGGAAAAACTTCCATAATATATTAAAAAATTATATCTGTTGAAATGAGGCTCTAATAAAAGATACAACATCCATTTTACTCCTTAAACTTTTTCCCTCAGAGTCTATAACCAAAGAGACCATCCTTTGACTTAGAAGTTCAGCAACTTACAACATGGCCGCCATTATAGTCCAACTCCAAGGATTGCCAAGAGTGGCTCATTTTCCTGCTTGTGTGCTGTAGAGTTTTTCTTAACAGTTGGTTCTTTTTTATTTTTATTTTTTTGATACAAGATCACAGTTTGTCACCCAGGCTGGAGTGCAGTGGCACCATCTCCACTCACTACATCCTTGACCTCCTGGGCTCCAGGTCCCTGCCACCCCAGCTCCCCAGGCAGCTGGGACTACAGGTGCGAGCCACCACAACCAGCTAATTATTTGTATTTTTTGTAGATATGGGTTTCACCATGTTGTTCAGGCTGGTCTCAAACTCCTGAGCTCAAATGATCCACCTCCCTTGGCCTCCCAAAGTGCTGGGATTACAGGTGTGAGCCGCCGTGCCTAGCCTAACAGTCAATTTTTTTTTTATTTTTTATTTTTTTCCTTTTTTGAGACTAAATCTCTCTCTGTAGCGCAGGCTGCATTGCAGTGGCACGATCTCGGCTCACTGCAACCTCTGCCTCCCAGGTCCAAGTGATTCTTCTGTTTCAGCCTCCCAAGTAGCTGGGATTACAGGCTCCTGGCACCACACGTGGCTGTTTTGTATTTTTAGTAGAGAGAGGATTTCACCATGTTGGCCAGGCTGGTTTCGAACTCCTGACCTCAAGTGATCCGCCCTCCTCAGTCTTCCAAAGTGCTGGGATTACAGGCGTGAGCCATTGCGCCCAGCATAACAGTCAATTAGTCACTTAATCTGATACCCTAAAATTGTTTGTGCTATAATTTTTCTCTCTCAGGATGTTTAGGTCTGTTACTTTCTGGTGTTAATAGTGTCACCTCAGAAATCATACAAAGGATACAACAGATTTGAAAATAATAACTAGAAACTCTAGAATGAAAAAAAAATACTGTTGTTGATAAGGTAACAGAATTTGTGTTCACTCTGAATAGAACATCCAATTTATTATTTTCCCCACTAGATAATAGGCTGCCTTGAGGGCTTTGCCATAATATATATGTGATGCTTAGCATTGTGCCTGGCATATATTTGTGGCACAATAGATTAATTTTTGAATAACTGAATGAATGAGTTAATGAATGTTATAGCGTTTATTCTACATTTTACTTGGCTGTTGATGTATGTTTCTTCCACTGGACTAATGTTGGGCACAGGGACCGTGTCTTTTTTTTAAACCATTTTTCTGTTCAGAAAAAAAAAGGTTTAGCTCGCCCCCAGCACTCATTTAATTTTGTATAAACACCCTATGAGGCTGAAGCAAATCTGAGTGATTTTCATTGTAAAATAAAATAAAAATTGTTCTTGGAATTATTTCTAAACAGAATATCAGTATTGTCTATTTCAGAAAAATCGGATTGTTCAAATGAATCTTCGGCCAACAGCTGTTCAAGAGTGATGTCAACATCATCCATAGGAATGCTGTTTTGTAGGATTTGACACTTCAGCGATAGAGAATTAGTATATTTTGTACATGGAAATACCACCATTAAAAATGAATGCTGTAAACAGAATGTCTATCGTTTCCCAAATTGATATACTAGAAGAATGTGAAAATAATAATAAAAGCAAGATTTTTGTGGCAAACTTATCTCAGGATAAACACTGCAGCTGCTAGGGCTGCTGGCAAGTATTCTTGGGACTAATGGGACAAGGGTTAAGAGTTGGGGTTCTTGCTCTGTCGCCCAGGCTGGGGAGCAGTGGCACCATCATAGCTCACTGCAGCCTTGAACTCATGGGCTCAAGAATTAACTCTCACCCCAGCCTGCCAAGTAGCTAGGACTGCAGGCATACACCACCAAACCCAGCTAATTGTTTTTTGTTTTTTGTTTTTTTTGACAGAATCTTGCTCTGTTGCCCAGGCTGGAATGCAATGGTGCAGTCTTGCCTCACTGCAGCCTCTGCCTTCTGGGTTCAAACTGTTCTCCTGCCTCAGCCTCCCAAGTAGCTGGGATTACCAGCACCTGCCATCACACCTGGCTAATTTTTGTATTTTTAGTAGAGATGAGGTTTCACCATGTTAGCCAGGCTGATCTTGAACTCCTGAGCTCAGGTGAACCGCCCGCCTTGGCCTCCCAAAGTGGTGGGATTACAGGTGTGAGCCACTGCACCCGGCCCAAACCTAGCTAATTTAAAATTTTTTAATAAATATAAAAATTAGCTCATCTTGAACTTTTGGCCTCTAGCAGTCCTCCCACTTCAGCCTCCGAAAGTGCTGGGATTGCAAGCGTGAACCACCATGACCAGCTTGGGACCATGTCTTAATCATTTTTGTACAACCCAGTTTCAATCAGAATGTTGGGCACATAGTAGGTGAACTAATTTTAGTGAATTTCTTAGGCAAATAGGATTTTACAATAAATCTAATTTCCCCCCAGAATATATTTACCATATTTATTTGAATTGAAATAACAAGCATGGGAAGAAGTTTATTTTGATATCAGAACAGGACCATAGTGAGAGTCTGATTGAAACTTCCCTTTGATTTGCCCATTGAAATTGAGTCCAAATGAGAGGCATACCTGCCATTAATAGCTTTTATTTTATTTTAATTTTATTTATTTATTTTGAGATGGAGTCTCGCTCTGTCACCCACGCTGGAGTGCAATGGCGTGATCTTGGCTCACTGCAACCTCCACCTCCCATGTTCAAGTGATTCTCCTGCCTCAGCCTCCTGAGTAGCTGGGATTACAGGCACCCGCCACCATGCCCGGCTAATTTTTGTATTTTTAAGAGACAAGGTTTGACCATGTTGTGCAGGTTGGTCTCAAACTCCTGACCTCAGGTGATCCACCTGCCTCAGCCTCCCAAAGTGCTGGGATTACAGGCGTGAGCCGCCATGCCCAGCCCCATTAATAACTTTTAGAAAAAATTTCCAAATACTGGAATATAGAAATTAGCCAAGTATCAGAAAACAGCAAATCAGATTATAATGTTTATTTATTATTATTTTTTGAGACAGAATCTCACTTTGTCACTCAGAGTGCAGTGTGGTAGCATGATCATAGCTCACTGGAGCCGCAACCTCCTGAGCTTAGGCAATCTACCTGCGTCAGCCTCCAGAGTAGCTGGGACCACAGGTGCCTACCACCACACCTGGCTAAATATTATTATTATTTGTCTCATTATGTTGCCCAGGCTAGTCTTGAACTCCTGGTCTCAGTGGATCCTTACTCTTCAGCCTGTCAAAAATTGCTGGGATTACAGGAGTAAGCCACCCACACCTGGCCTATTTTTTAAATTGTGAATCATTTTTACTGATTATTGTACGTTTACATAAAAGGACGTAAAATATAAACAGCTAAGCTATCACTAAGCAAAGACCCCTGTATCTTATCACTCAAGACTTTCTATTAATGGTTTGCCGTAGAGTTTATATATCTTTGACTTTTAAGAAAGTCTAACACTGGCTGGGCGTGGTGGCTCACACCTGTAATCCCAGCATCTTGGGGGGCTGAGGTGGGTGGATCGCTTGAGGTCAGGAGTTTGAGACCAGCCTGGCCAACATGGTGAAACCCTGTCTCTACTAAAAATAGAAAAATTAGCTGAGTGTGGTGGCACTTGCCTGTAGTCCCAGCTACTCTGGAGGCTGAGGTGGGAGAATTGCTTGAACCCCAGAGGCCGAGATTGCCCCACTGCACTCCAGCCTCAGCGACAAAGTGAGACTCTGTCTTTAAAAAAAAAAAAAAAAAAAAAAGATCTAACACTAATTGGTACTTTTGATCTCTTCCTAGACAATGCAAGGACCTTAGCTTAGTTCATTTCCAATCACACCTCCTCTTGATTTATTTGCTGTTTTCCCCACTCACCTTTGTTGCCCAGGCTGGAGTGCAGAGGCGCAGTCTTAGCTTACCGCAGCCTCAACCTCCCGGGCTCAAGCGATCCTCTTGCCTTGGCCCCCCCAGTAGCTGGGACTACAGGCATGCGCCACCCTATCCGCTTAGTTTTTGTGTGTTTTGGTAGAGATGGGGATTCACCGTGTTGGCCAGGCTGGTCTCCGATTCCTGACCTCAAGTGATCTACCTGCCTCGAGCTCCCAAAGTGCTGGGATTATAAGCACCAGCCAGTTATTTCTTGATTATATGCTAAACAATGAGTGGATTATTCATGAGTCTAATTTTTATGGAGATGGAGTCTTACTATGTTGTCCAGGCTGATCTCCTGGACTCAAGCAGTCATCCTGCCTGGGCTTCCTTAAGTGTTGGGATTACAAGTATGAGCCACTGTGCTTGTCCGGATCCTTGAATTAATATTATTTCACTCTGATGTTTCTCCCTTGTTATATCTATTTCCAGGTTTGATTTGAATGCCTGGACAGATTTGTTTATTATTGATCATTGTCTTAGCATGTTAGTTGTTATTTTATGCTTACATTATGCTTACATTAGACAATTTGGGGGAAAAAAGGACCTAGTTTATAATCATTGTATGTTGTAGTGCTTTTTACCTATGATTTATACATGTGAGCACATTACAGATAGAAATGTCCGGGCACGTCCGGGCGCAGTGACTCATTCCTGTAATCCCAGCACTTTGGGAGGCTGTGGTGGGCAGATCACCTGAGGTCAGGAGTTCGAGACCAGTCTGGCCAACATGGTAAAACCCCTTCTCTACTAAAAATACAAAAATTAGCTGGATGTGGTAGCCGGCACTTGTAATCCCAGCTACTCAGGAGGCTGAGGCAGGAGATTCGCTTGAACCCAGGAGGCAGAGGTTGCAGTGAGCTGAGATTGTGCCATTGCACTCCAGCTTGCGTGACAGAGTGAGACTCTATCTCAATAAATAAATAAATCTCAATAAATAATAAAATAAAGAAATGGCCGGGTACAATGGCTCATGCTTGTGATCCCAGCACTTTGGGAGGCTTCTGTGGGAGCATCGCTTAAACCCAGGAGTTTGAGACCAGGTCGAGTAATATAGTGAGATCCTGTCTCAAATAAAAAACTAGATATTAATAATAAAATTGGAATTACAACTTTTTTTTTTTTTGAGATGAAGTTTTGTTCTTATTGCGCAGGCTGGAGTGCAACGGTGCGACCTCGGCTCACTGAAACCTCTGCTTCCCAGGTTGAAGCGATTCTCCTGCCTCAGCCTTCCGAGTAGCTGGGATTACAGACATGCGCCACCACGCACGGCTAATTTTCTATTTTAGTAGAGAAGAGGTTTCTCCATGTTGGTTAGCCTGGTCTCGAACTCCCGACCTCAGGTGCTCCTCCTGCCTCATCCTCCCAAAGTGCTGGGATTACAGGAGTGAGCCACCGCGCCCGGCTGGAATTACAACTTTTTAATACTGTGCTTTTCATTTAGTGTGATTCTGTGAACATTTTCTTGTCATTAACATTTTAAAAAATAAGATTTTAATGCTTGTATAGGATTCTGTTACTTGGCTTTAATATTCAGTCATTCTACTTTTGTTTCAAGTTTTCACTATTATACATAAGTCTGCAGTGATCATTTTTGGATACAACCTGTGTAAATTTCTGATCGTTGTTTAATTACTGTATCAGTGGGTTTGAATGTTCATAAGGATTTTTTTTATTGAGGCTTTTAAAAAGGAGAGCTGACAATTACATTTTCAGTTGTTTAGATTCAAGCTGCAAGTCTCTTATTTGGGATCTGATAGATGACTTATGGGTGAAAAGGACTTTGAATTCCTGGAACATATTCAGGGGCCTAACACCACTTTAGAAATTGGACAGAAGTTGGATTTATTTACATGTGGAAGTAATCATTGTTAAGAACAAGGAAAAATATGTGACATCACAGGATCAGTTTGTAAATAGAACAGGAACAGTTTGCTCATAACATAAAAAAACAGACAATGAAAACCCAAATATAAGTGAGCATTAGCTGAATTAGAGCATAAGTGTGTCCCCTCTTTTGCATTTAGATCAACTGTGGGCATTATGTATTCTGCTCCTGGCAAGCCTGAGCGTCGTCTTGGTTCTCATTTGTGGTGTTTTATTCTTGGTTAGAATGGATGATTGAGTGATTGCCATTTTCGCTCTTTCAGGAAGTTCTTACCCAGTGTTGTTGGGGCTTTGACTCATGTTTGACCTTTTCTATCTGTCTGGGTTTAGTAGCTACCATGGCTAATCCTACCCCCAACCCCTTTGCACAGACATAGGTCCTCATGGCTCCCCATTTTCTATTCACATCATTCATGGTGTGCCAGATTCCCATCCAACAATTGAGGTTTTATATAATAATAATACAGTAGATATGTGGTGGTTCACAGACCTTCTTATATTAGGAAAATTCCACACTGATTAAAAGTCACAGTGGTGAGTCATTTGTGATGTGTAATGAGCTTACCTGTCATATCTTTGTTTTATCTGTGTCCCCTCTATCTGGACGGCCTCGCGAAGAACCAGGGCACCTGGACAGGGACTTGGTCCCCCGAGAGAAAGAACACAGGGCTAGAGGTAGAGTGGGTGATAATAGTTACTGCAGCATTTATGACACTGGCAGGTTTAGGACCCAGGACCCACTCTGGAGTAAGAAGGACACACTGAGCCAGCAGCCAGGACTCTGTTGTCAGATACCATGTGATGTGTTACAGAGATGGAGCAGGAGAGGGCAGAAAGGCATGTAAGTATCTGACAGCATCAGGCTGTCAGAACTCCAGTAGCAAACAGAAAAACAGGGCACACATGAATACCACAGGGCAAGTACAAAGAGAAGGGTTAGAGGCCAGATGGATAAGCTAAAAATAGGATTATCTGGACATCCTGCAGTACTTTCAGCACAGTGTATCTAAAATCGACGTCGTCATAGTCCTTCCACTGACCTTTTCCATTTCTGATAATGACAAGATACATCCTGTCACCAGGCTTGAAGTCTTAGGTCTTCTTTGCTTCTTTTTCTGTGTTCTTTGCTTGTAGTCAGTTACTGTATCTCTAGTAATTCTGCCTCCATGTGGAAAGGTCTTGGGGTTCCAACCTTGGCTCTCCCACACATAGGCCCTAAGATAAAGTCACTAAACCTCACCACCTAACATGGAAGAAGACCATCTCACAGGGTTGTCATGAGAATTGGAGATGAAATGCCCTATTACTTCTTAGCCAGACTATTGTAGGTGTTTCCAGGGTCAAAGGAGAAAAATTACAACAATTTAGTTTTAAGATCTTAATTGGCTTTCTAGAATTGGGCAACACTTCATCTCATAAAATAGAGTATCCTGTGAGCTAAGCAGAGGAGCTTGGCTTTTTAGAGAGAAATGGGCTGAAGAAACCAGAAACAAAGAACTAAAAGCAGATGAGTCGTTTCAAAGGGACTTTTCTTTTAAGGCAGGGGCAGGAAGACAGAACAATACAAAAATAACATGGTTAGCATCAGGTGACTTCAGGTTATCTGAACCTGAGCACGGTGACTGCATTTTGGTTTGTAGTCTAGTATGTTGAGGCCCTATTGTGCAGGAGCTCAATCTGCAACAATGGCCGCCTATAATTTTTATTTGACACCAGATTGGATTCCTGCCTCTAATTTAGCCTTCCCACTTCTGCCAGTTTGTTCTTTCTAACAACATAGCTCTGATCATGTCATATCCTTCCTCAAAACCTTTATGGCATTTTCATTAACTATTAGAATTCCTGTCCTAGTTTCGAGGCCTCTTCACCACCTGGCCCCATCCTACATTTTTGGTTCTATCCTCTAACATTTCCTTTTATACCCCCTGACCCTGGCGTTCCAGCCACATTGAACTTGCTGTCTTGAGGAGATGTCCTTGTCTCAGTGGCATTGCTCATACTTGGAATTGTTCTTTTCCACACCTCTCAGGCTCCAAATCTTCATCTTTTGAGTTCCTGTTCAAATGCTCCCATCTCTGTTGCAGGTCCCTGCAACCCCTGACTGTAACTCTCCTTAACTTCCATGATTCTTTCTCGGAGCTCTTGTCACATTCATTGCTTTATGCTTTTTGTTTTTTGGGTACATGATGTATTTAACTTCATGTTCTGAGTCCTAGGGAGTTCTTCCTAAGCACTTAGCAAATATGTGTTGTAGGCAATTAGTAGCTATATATGATCAGTAGACTCCACGGGGGAATAATAAGCGGATTAAGAGTTGACAGGTCCCTAGGGACTGAGAGTGCGGGGAAAGCACAGGCGTAAAGCAGGTGTCTTAACACTGGCTTTAGAAGATCTAGAAAACTAGTAACCAAGAGCTTTTAACATGGTTCTTGTTAAGATGTGAAGAGGTAAGATAACTAATTTGAGTGGCTATTGTATGCCAGTCACCGGTCTAGGTATTTTATGTATATTCACTCATTTGAACTCTGGCCAGATGACATTCTTCCCTTCTGTAATATTACCCCTTGACCTCTTTTTTTTTTTTTTTTTTTTTTTTTTTGGAGATGGAGTTTTCGCTTTTGTTGCCCAGGCTAGAGTGCAACGATGCAATCTCGGCTCACGGTAACCTCCGCCTCCCGGGTTCAAGCAATTCTCCTGCCTCAGCTTCCGGAGTAGCTGGGATTACAGGCATGCACCACCATGCCCGGCTAATTTTGTATTTTTAGTGGAGACGGGGTTTCTTCATGTTGGTCAGGCTCATCTTAAACTCCTGACTTATGGTGATCTGCCCGCCTTGGCCTCCCAAAGTGCTAGGATTACAGGCATGAGCCACTGTGCCCAGCCCCGTTGACTTCTTGTTACACTTAGAATAAAATACAAAGTCAGGTGGTGGCTCGCGCATTTAATCCCAGGACTTCGGGAGGCCGGGGCAGGAGGATCACTTGAGCCTGAGAGTTCAAGACCAGTCTGGGCAACATAGTGACACACCCCATCTCTAATTAAAAAAAACAAAACAAGACTCCATAAGTAGCCCTACGGGACCCCAGACTCACACTGTACGACTTCCTCACCTTTCCATCTTCTCTGACCAGCTCCTTACCTCTGCTCCCTCCTCTAAAGCTTTTTGCCCATGAATCCCAAATTTATGTTTTTTCATTTCAGCTTTAAAACCCTACCCTGTTATGATAACAATAATGGAGTACATTGCCCTTGTGTGGTTCTTCATACTTTTTTTTTTTTTTTTGAGATGGAGTTTCGCTCTTGTTGCCCAGGCTGGAGTGCAATGGTGCCATCTCAGCTCACTGCCATCTCCGCCCCCCACTGGGTTCAAGCGATTCTCCTGCCTTGGCCTCCGGAGCAGCTGGGATTACAGGCACACACTAACATGTCCAGCTAATTTTTCTATTTTTAGCAGAGATGGGGTTTCACCACGTTGGCCAAACTGGTCTCAAACTCCTGACCTCAGGTGATCCATCTGCCTCGGCCTCCTAAAGTGCTAGGATTACAGGCCACCATGCCCAGCTCTTCATAATTTTTCAAAGCACATTCTTCTTATTTCGTTTGATCCTATTTCAGTCCACAATTTTCCACATACCTTTTCTCAAAAATAAGAGTATAGAAGAGTTGGGTGCAGTGGCTCACACCTGTAATCCCAGCACTTTGGGAGTCTGAGGCAGGCGGATCACTTGAGACCAGCCTGGCTAATATGGTGAAACGCTGTCTCTAATAAAAATACAAAAAATTAGCCAGGTGTGGTGGCAGGTGTCTGTAATCGCAGCTACAGGCTCCTACTGAGGCGGGAGAATCACTTGAACCTGGGTGGTGGAGGTTGCGGTGAGCCGAGCTTGCGCCACTGCACTCCAGCCTGGGCGACAGTGCGAAACTCCATCTCAAAAAAAAAAAAAAAAAAGTATAGAGGGATTGAAATGCCAAGAAAACTTGACAGTTTATCAAATAACATCTTTGCCATAAATCTTAATGCCAGTTGTGGGACTGGCCTGTGGCTCCTTTAAGCCTTGGAGTTGTAACAGAAAGTTTTCTTCAGATAGTTTTGTTAATCACACTGTTTAAAATGTGCTATGAAATTTCTTGGATCTTTGGAGAGAAACAAGATACTGTTATAATAATTACTGTGGAGATGTCACTGGAAAGGGGATCCAGACCCCAAGAGAGGGTTCTTGGACCTCGTGCAAGAAATAATTCAGATTGAGTCCATAGAGTAAAGTGAGTGTAAGTTTATTAAGTAAAGAAACAAAAGAATGGTTACTCCATAGGCAGAGCAGTAGCTTGGACTGCTCGACTGATAATACTATAATTATTTATTCATTATATGCTAAACAAGGGGTGGATTATTCATGAGTTTTCCAGGAAAGGGGTGGGCAATTCCCGGAAATGAGAGTTCCTCCCCATTTCAGGCCATATAGGGTAACTACCTGACGTTGCCATGGCATTTGTAAATTGTCATGGCGCTGGTGGGAGTGTCTTTTAGCATGCATGCTAATGTATTATAACTAGTGCATAATGAGAAATAAGGACAGCCAGAGCTCACTTTTGTCACCATCTTGGTTTTGATGGGTTTTGGCCGGCGTCTTTACCATCACCTGTTTTATCGGCATGGTCTTTGCGACCTGTACCTTGCACCGACCTCCTATCTCATCCTGTGACTTAGAAGGCCTAACCTCCTGGAAGTGCAGCCCAGTGGGTCTTAGCCACATTTTACCAAGCCCCTGTTCATAATGGAGTCGCTTTGGTTCAGATGCCTTTGACGGAGAAGGTAACTTTTCACTATATATTCTTTGTACAGTTCAGGTGTTTGGTTAAACACATGCTTGTAGTATCTGTTTAAATTAGTTATATGTATATGTATACTCTGGGAAGTGGCTCTTCTCATTATTACAATTTTTTTCGAAAAGCAATCAGCTTTTATTTGACAATTTGGAAAATACAGGAAGAAAAAAAGTTATTCCGGCCAGGCACGGTGCCTCACGCCTATAATCCTAGCACTTTGGGAGGCCGAGGCGGGTGGATCACGAGATCAGGAGTTCAAGACCAGCCTGACCAAGACGGTGAAACCCCATCTCTACTAAAAATACAAAAATTAGCCGGGTGTGGTGGCAGGCACTTGTAACCCCAGCTACTCGAGAGGCTGAGGCAGGAGAATCGCTTGAACCTGGCAGGTGGAGGTTGTAGTGAGCCGAGATCGTGCCACTACACTCCAGCCTGGGTGACAGAGTGAGACTCCGTCTCAAAAAAAAAAGAAAAAAAGTTACTTCGAATCCTACAATAATCCTGAAATAACCAATTGGGATTGTCATTTAAAAATGAACTTTTTTTTTTCTTCCCCTGAGACAGGGTCTCACTCTTTCACCCAGGCTGGAGGGCAGTGGCACGATCTCAGCTCACTGGAACCTCTGCCTCCCTGGTTGAAGTGATTCTCCTGCCTCAGCCTCCTGAATAGCTGGGATTACAGGCATCCACCACCATGCCCAACTAATTTGCATTTTAAGAAATAGGGTTTCACCATGTTGGCCAGGCTGGTCTCGAACTCCTAATCTCAAGTAATCCACCCACCTTGGCTTCCCAAAGTGGTGGGATTACAGGTGTGAGCCACCGTGCCGGGCCAAAAATAAACTCTTGAATGGATGTTCTGTAAAACATTTACACTTCCTTTAAACAGGTATTTCCAAGTATGTGGATTTTTGTTTATTTGGTTTTGAGGGAAGGTCTTACTATGTTGCTCAGGTTGGAGTGCAGTGGCGCATCAGCTCACTGTAGCCTCAAACTCCTGGGCTCAGGCGATCCTCCCACCTCAGCCTCCTGAGTAGCTGGGACTACAGGCATGCACCACTGTGCCTGGCTCATTTTCTTGTTTGTTGAGATGGGGTCTCACTGTGTTGCCCAGGCTTGTCTTGAACTCCTGGGCTCAACTGATCTTCCCACCTCAGCCTCCCAAAGTGCTGGGATTACAGACATGAGCCACTGTGTTCAACCCAAATATGATTTTTGTGGTAGGATATGCCATTAGTTAGTGTTGTTAGTAAGAGGCTTTTCTCTGTGTATCTTCACTCCATTTGAGAAGAGTAAAACATAGAACTGTGCCATAAGTTTCTGAACTTAGAATAGTAAAGAAGTAACAAGCCAGTCTTGGCCTGGCCCAGTGATGCGCACCTGTAGGCCCAGCTACTTGGAAGGCAGAGGTGGGAGGATTGCTTGAGCCCAGGAGTTTGAGGCCAGCCTGGGCAATATAGACACCTTGTCTCTCAGCAGACAACAACCCAGTCTTAGCTGGTGCCTCACTTAAACTCTGCAATCCTTGCTACCCCAGCCCCATCAAAGTTAATATGTGTGTGTATTGTCCAGCAGTGACAGGAAGAATAAAGGAAATAGAAATGAAGAGGTAGAATGATCAGGATTTTGCAGTTGGTTGAGTGTGCAGGATAAAGATGGTAAACTCAGATGATCAAGTTTCGTATATGGACAGGAGACTTGTAGAGGTTAGGTTTTGGAACCTAAATTCCTGGATTCAAATCCCATCTCTACAGCTTGGTAGTTGTTTGTTCCTGGGCAGTGTTTTTTAACCTCTGAGCCTCAGTTTGCTATGTATAACATGGGAATAATTTAGTACCCACTTCGTTAGGTTATTGCAGGGCTTAAGAGAGATTCCACATAAAGCACTTAGCATAGTGCCTGAATGTTTTTCATTAATTATTAATAGCGAGGCCATTTTTTAAATTAGAGAACAAATAAGGAGGGCAGAAGTGGGAGATGTTAAAGAAGGTGATTGTCATTTAGAGGAGCTGAGTTTAAAGTAGCCAAGGGCAGTACTCAGAAGACAGGACTACTGGCCTGGCCTGGCCTGGCCTGGCCTGGAAAGGGTTATTGCAGAAGGATGATCCTGGATCCACTATGTAGCTTTGCATTCATTCTCTGAAACTGCTTCCTAGATGGCTTCAAAGCTCTCAAAGCTCCACTAGTTTGAACCTGTAAAATGTTTGATTAACTGAGACAACTTGGGTTGCTTACCTTTAGCTCTAGAGTGTAGCTGACTCACTGGAAAGTTTTTGTGCTTTTTCAACCACTGGCGCCAGGGCTGATGCCTGTGTTTGTGTGTGTTGTTCACTGCTCTATGGTGCCTGGGCCAGGGGGAATGAGGTAAAATCCTGCTGTTGTCTTCACTCCAAGCCTTGTGCACTTGGCTGCAACTGAATGGGCTGGCAGCATTTCTGCCTTGGGAATGTTTATCTGCTCCCTCCATGGGTGGGGCTTAGTGTTGAGAGTCAAGCCACTGAAGAAGTTGCCTGTGGCCAGCCTGACTCCATGTGGTCAGTGTAATTTTCTATTATAAGGATTGCATCCTGGGGTTACTTAAATTCTTTTTTTTTTTTTTTTTTCTTGTTGCAGATCATCAATGCTGTGGTACTGTTGATTTTATTGAGTGCCCTGGCTGATCCGGATCAGTATAACTTTTCAAGTTCTGAACTGGGAGGTGACTTTGAGTTCATGGATGATGCCAGTAAGTAGTAGATATTTGGGTATTTTCAAGGGCAGGGAATCTGACTGCCAGCACTTCCTATTAAATTACAAATATAGACTCGTGAGTTCATTTGAGCTGATATATAACTTGTCATTGCAAATCAACGAATATTTGTGTGCGTCTAACATTCTGTCTTCTAGGTGCAAGAGTCTAAATAAGATCTATTTTCATCTTATGTTAACTTACCCACTTAAAAATGATTGCATTATCATAGACTTTCTACCCTGGGCCTTTTGGCCTTTTTTGAGAGGAAGGGGTATAAATGCCAGGAAGGAAGGTGAAAAGGCTTGTGCTTATCTCCTTGTGTCTTCTATTATGTTTCAGTATTTATTTTTATTCTAGGAGTGATCCTTTTCCATTCTAGAAATGATGTTGCAGATTATTTGGGGGAATTTAGGGCCTTTTCCCAGTGAATGGAAATATGTACAGGGATGTGGATGTGGGGTAAGCAGGGAGGAAGCTAGGCTCCCAGCTTGAAGATCACTGCAGCCTCATCATTTTATAATCATTATGCCGAGTCCATGCCAAAGGAGAGGAGTAGTGCTGTGCATAATCTCCAGCAGAAGATAGTACAGATTTATTTCTCATTGGCTTCGGAGAACTTCAAGTGAGTTTTTCTTAAAAAGTGTTGGAGCAAAGTAAGAGAGGAGAGAGTGGCTCAACATGCAGTTTTAGAGATCGGAAGCATTCGAAAGACATGGTGAGGGCTCTTTGTTTCTCCAAGTAAGAAAAAGCTGTTCAGTGGTTTTAACTAAATGCATGAACTGATATATGCATTTAAGATCCCTTTTGCTGCTGAGTAGGGTACTGGGTGTGTGAGCACAGAGCCTGGGAGAGTGGTATTGGGGATACCACCTAGGCTGCACTGGGGATAGAGAACAGGGAAGGATTTGGCAACTTGCTGTTTTGGGCAGCGAAGGAGACGGAGGAATCAAAGATGACTTCTGCTTTCCAGTTTTAGGAGATGACCTGCATCTTAACTGAGCTGAGAAAGTCCGGAGTCAGGAGGTGGGAACAGACCTGGGGGAGAAAAATAGACTTTAATTTCAGTAACTAGCTGAGCACAGTTGTTTGGAATTGATATGGTTTGGCTGTGTCCCCACCCAAATCTCGAATTGTATCTCCTAGAATTCCCCTGTATTGTGGGAGGGACCCAGGGGGAGGTAATTGAATTGTGGGAGCTGCTCTTTCCCTTGCTATTCTTGTGATAGTGAGTAAGTCTCATGAGATTGAGGCCGAGGCTGGCAGATCAGCTGAGGCCAGGAGTTCGAGACCAGCCTGGCCAAGGTGACAATACCTCATCTCTACTAAAAATAGAAAAATTAGCCCAGTGTGGTGGTGAGTGCCTGTAATCCCAGCTACTTGGGAGGCTGAGGCAGGAGAATTGCTTGAACCCCAGGTGGCGGAGGTTGCAGTGAGCCGAGATCGCGCCAGTGCACTTCAGCCTGGGCAACAGGTCACTTTTGCTTTTTCTTCATTCTGTCTTGTCACCGCCATGTAAGAAGTCCCTTTCACCCTTTGCCATGATTCTGAGGCCTCCCCAGCCATGTGGAACTGTAAGTCCAGTTAAACCTCTTTTTCTTCCCAGTCTCGGGTATGTCTTTATCAGCAGCATGAAAACAGACTAATACAGGTGTAGGCTCCGAAGCCAGAAGAGGTCAGTTTGAGTTCTGACACCGCCGTGTGTTGAAGATGCTAAACTTGAGCTAGTGACTTATCATTGTGTGCCTCAATTTCCCCCTCTGCAAGATAGGAGTGACTTTATAACCACATGATTTAAACGATAGAAAGTAATTACAGACTGGCCACGGTGGCTCACACCTGTAATCCCAGCATTTTGGGAGCCTGGGAGGGTGGTGGGGATCACTTGAGATCAGGAGTTCAAGACCAGCCTGGTCAACGTGGCAAAACACCATCTCTACTAAAATCTACTTGCCTCAGAGTTGTTGTGAGGATTAAATGAGTTAGTGCGTAAAACATGCTTAGAATGGGGCCTGGCCCATAGGAAGTGCTCAGTACCTTTTGCTGTTTCAGCTACTATTATCTAGATTGTTATGGCTGGAACATGTGAACCATCTTAAAGTGGAGAGGTTACAAAGGTCAGGCATGGGAGTCTGTGGCCCAGAGGAAATATTTGGACTGAGATTACAGATTTGAGGATATCAGCCTAAAAACTGAATTTCTGTTAGGGAAAGAGTAAAAAGAAAAGGCAACGGGGCCCAGAACTGAGCCCTGAAGGAGCTCCAACTGTAAGAGGCCAGGAGGAAGAATGAGAGAGTAACTAACTGGTAGTGAAGTAAACAGAGAACCAAGAGATGCTTTCTAGCCATCATCTTCCACCACTGTTGTTTCATAACATGGATTAAGAAGTTGGGGCATTAAAGTTACTGCAGAGATAACTTAAAAAAAAAAAAAAAAAAAAGGAAAAGTTGGCATTATATTATCCTGGGATTTGAGATCCTGATTAGCTGGGATTATAGGTATGTGCCATCACATGGCTAATTTTTGTGTTTTTTGTAGAGATGGGGTTTCGCCATGTTGCGTAGGCTGGTCTGGAACTCTTGAGCTCAAGTGGTCCACCTACCTTGGCCTCCCAAAGTGCTGGGATTATAGGCATGAGCCACCACAACTGGCCAATTTTCATAATTTTCAAGCACAATTTGAAGTAATTAATTATTCAGGCTGGGCTCAGTGGCTCATGCCTGTAATTCCAGCACTTTGGGAGGCCAAGGCAGGCAGATCACCTGAGGTCAGGAGTTGCGAGATCAGCCTGTCCAACATGGCAAAACCCCATCTCTACTAAAAACACAAAAATTAGCTGGGCATGATAGACACCTGGTAATCCCAGCTACTCAGGAGGCTGAGGCAGGAGAATTGCTTGAACCTGGGAGGGGGGAGTTTGCAGTGAGCCGAGATCGCGCCATTGCACTCTAGCCTGGGTGACAGAGTGAGACTACATTTCAAAATTAAAATAAAATTAAATAATCCATCTCAAGGATTACTAATCCTGTCCACACATGAGTTAAATATGGAAAGCTGTGTCCAATAACCTTTGGCCTATGAGCTTATTTATTAAAGGAGACCAAAACACATATAAAAGAAGTTTAAAAAAACAGATTCAGGTGAATATCCACTTTTCTGTACCTTTATAACCACGTGATTTAAATGATGGAAAGTAATTACAGACTGGGTGCGGTGGCTCACACCTGTAATCCCAGCACTTTGGGAGGCTGGGGGCGGTGGTGGGTGGATCACTTGAGACCAGGAGTTCAAGACCAGCCTGGCCAACATGGCAAAACCCTGTCTCTACTAAAAATACAAAAAAAGTAGCCAGGTGTGGTGGCGTGTGTCTGTGGTCCCAGCTACTTGGGAGGCTGAGGCAGGAGAATCGCTTTAACCCGGGAGGCAGAGGCTGCAGTGAGCCGAGATCATGCCACTACACTCCAGCCTGGGCGACAGAGCAAGACTGCATCTCAGAAAGAAAAAGAAAAAAGAAAGTAATTACAAACTATTCATTCAGTCCTTTCAAATATATAAAATAGGAGAGAAACCACAAAGGCACTGGAATTAACATCCAGGACATTATAAAACAATTACTATTTTAAAGTCTTAAGTACCAGCAAGCCTTTCAGGGTAGCTAAATTAAGCCTATCATGTCAGATAGTTATTACCCAGCTTAATCTCTGGTGATTAGAATAAGGCATGCAGTGTTGCTACCAGATCCAGATAGAACCATAGCATTATCATTTACAACTTCTTTTCCTAACCTCGATTGCCTTAGAAAAGGAATCCCGCTACTGGAATTGTGTAGCTTTAATCTGAGGGGAAAGAAAGCAGAGTGACATGAATTTAACATTAATTAAATATTTTTTCTGGAAGAGTTCATATGAGTATAATGGGGTTATTCAGAATAGACAGAGTAAGAAATGTTAGACCAGGTGCGGTAGCTCACATATGTAATCCCAGCACTTTGGGAGGCCAAAGTGGGTGGATTGCTTGAGCTCAGGAGTTCGAGATCAGCCTGGGCAACACAGCAAAACCCTGTCTCAACCAAAAATATAAAAATTAGTCGGGTGTGATGGTGCGTACCTGTAATCCCAGCTACTTGGAAGGCTGAGGTGGGAGGATCACTTGAGCCTGGGTGGCAGAGGTTGCAGTGAGCCAAGATTGTGTCACTGCACTCCAGCCTGGGTGACAGAGCCAGACCCTGTCTCAAATTAAAAAATTACGAAAATTAATATAGCAATTTTATCTTGATATCTTTTTACATTGGTGACAGCTATCTGAAGATTTCATCCAGCCAGACAGAGCAGAACTCTTTCTCACTTTTGCAGGTGATCCTTTCCATGATCTGGTAGAAGAAAGCTAAATTCCTATTTATATTGAAATGAGGCATATAGGAGAATCTACTGGAATAAAGAAAGAAAATATAAGAAAATGAGTTTAAAAATTTATTTTTGAGGCTGGGTCCCACTCTGTCACCAGGCTGGAGTGCAGTGTCGCACACAATCTGGGCTTACTGCAATCCCTACCTCTTGGGCTCAAGCGATTCTCCCACCTTAGCCTCCCAAGTAGCTGTAACTAGAGGCATGAGCCACCATGCCTGGCTAATTTTTTGTAGAGATGGGGTTTTGTCATGTTGCCCAGGCTGGTCTCAAACTCCTGAGCTCAAGCAATTCGTCATTCTCGACGTCCCAAAGTGCTAGGATTACAGGCATGAGCCACCCTACCCGCCCTCAATTTTTTCAGTGTTATAAAAATTGACTATACTGGGAAAGAATGTGGAACTGGCATAGATTGGAGGAGACACAATTAAATGCACTGTGGGATCCTGGATTAGATTCTGGAAAAGAAAAAGGACATTGAAGGGGAACAGGTAAAATTCAAATTAGTTGTACAGTTTAATTAACAGTGTTGTACCAATGTTAATTTCCTGGTTTTGGTAGTTATGCTACAGCTAGGTAAATTGTTAATAGGGGAAGCAGGGTGAAGGGTATACGTGAATTCTGCTGTGTTTGTAACTTTCCTATATGTCTAAAATGACATCAGAATAAAAAGGTAAAGCACAGGTAGTTCAGTCCACTGACCTAGAAGCTCAAAGAGTAATGTTTGAAAAGCATGTATGTGTGGCATATTGTGTTACACACTCATAGCCCTGAGTAGAAGTAGACTTCATGGAATTTTATTTGTGAAATTTTGTTTGGCAAAGAATTATAACATCAAGTGTCTGTACTATGCATAATATGAAACAGGAGTTCATCCATATTTCTAATTAATTTTGTGGTAGATTTGTCTTTCTGGTCAAACTTACTTTCTTCACTGGGCAGACAAATTTAGCCTGAAGAAAGAAATGGCCAGATAAGTTGTCAAGAAATGATGGCTACTTATATATACAGTCACCTGATTTAGGCTAAAGACACCACTACATTTATTGGAGAAAGGATGGTCTTTTCAATAAATGGTTCTGGGTGAAATTGATAAGAGAAAGACAGACACCTCACAAAAGAAGATATCCATAAGAGAATATTCTCCACATTGCAAGTTATAGGGAATTGCAAATTACAGCTACAGTAGTAAATTACCGTGCCCCTTCAAAATGACCAACATTAACGCAGTTAACAGTACCACCTATTGGTATCGATGCCAAACAGCTGGAACTCTCAAATCACGGCTGGGAATGTAAATCACGCCAACCACTTTGGAAAACTAAAGCTAAATATACATCTACCCTATGGCCCTGCATTCCACTCCTTGATATACGTACACTCCAGGAGTGAAGGCTACACAACTCAGTCCTAGATATATACCCTAGGGAAACAGGTGCTTCATAAATCTGTCGTCAGCCATGTATAAAAATGGTCATAGTAGCTTTATTTATGATAGCCAAAAGTTGGAAACAATCCAGATTTCCAATGGCAGAATGGGCAAAAATGAAGCAATCAGAGATGAAATGATATAAGCAAAATGGGTGATGAGAATTAACTGTACTGTGTGTATGCTTATATATGTATGTGCATGTTTTGAAGTTTTGATAATGAAAACTGAGAAATAGGAAACAGCAACAAAAAAGAATGATGAACCTGAGGAGGGCCGCCTTTCCTGATGGCTCTCAACATCACAAACTAAGGCTCATCTTGCTCTGGCATTTGGAAAGGGCCCTTGGCTGCCTACCTGCCCTCTTCACATACCGCAGACTAACTTGGCAGTCTGCACAGCTTGCCGGCTTGTGCATAAAGATCCTGACAGCCTTGAGGAAATAGAACTACAGCAGCAGGGGAAGCTGAGCCAGGGGAACCATCCTGGCCCTTTATTTTCTTTACTTTTGTATTTTATTTTTTGAGACAGGGTCTTGCTCTGTCGCCCAGGCTGGAGTACAGTAGCACAATCTTGGCTCACTGCAACCTCTGCCTCATGGGCTCAAGCAGTTCTCCCACCTCAGTCTCCTGAGTAGCTGGGACCATAGGTGCGTACCACCATGCCTGGCTAATTTTTGTATTTTTAGTAGAGACGGGGTTTTGCCATGTTTCCCAAGTTGGTCTTGAACTCCTGGGCTCAAGCGATCCATCCACCTTGGCCTCCAAAAGTCCTGGGATTGCAGGAGTGAGCCACCGCGCCCGGCCTGGCTCTTTATTTTCATCAATCTGCCCTCCCATCCTTTCAAAAAAAGTAGCATACTCTACATCTTGACTTTTTTTTAAAGGATAAGTAAATTAATTATTTGTTTTTTTTTTGTTGTTTTTTGTTTTTTTTTTGAGTCGGAGTCTGACTCTGTCACCCAGGCTGGAGTACAGTGCTGCTATCTTGGCTCACTGCAACCTCCACCTCCCAGGTTCAAGTGATTCTCCTGCCTTGGCCTCCCGAGTAGCTGGGATTACAGGCATGCACCACCTTTTGTGTTTTTAGTAGAGACAGGGTTTCACCATGTTGGACAGTCTGTTCTTGAACTCCTGACCTCAAGTGATCCACCTGCGTCGGCCTCCCAGAGTGCTGGGATTACAGGCATGAACGACTGCGCCCGTCCTAAATGTTTATTTTCAAGGAGACTTTTTGCAAAAGTACGCCTTTGTATGTATGAGAAGACCACTAGAGTTGGTGAAGTCACTTGGATCATCTAGGCTAGCCATTTTACTATTCTTCTCTAGAATTGAAGAATGGATGGAAAGCCATGGTTATTGGAGTTGGGAATGAGTCACCTAGATTTAACCTATGTGAGGAGCAGTGACATTTGGACTAGGACTACCACCAACCCAAGACAACCTCAGAGTGGGAGGCACCCTCACTCTACTTCCCTCTTTGTGATCTCATTCCCTCACCAGAGGGCGGAGGGCAAAAGAGCTGTATGTTGATAGCCCAAACAAATCACTGCCTGTGGCAGAGAACAGGGCGTTGAAGAATGGATTTGGAACAGCACCAGAAGCCAGCTGGTAGAGCCACTCCCCTACTTACCTTGATGTTCCACCTAACCAAACTGTGTACATTTCCCTACTTTGCCTACAAGAATACTATAAAAAGCTCTGCTAGTGTCTTACTGAAATCGTAGGATGTTATATTAGTCAGGGTTCCCTAGAGGGACAGAACTAATGGGATATATTTAAGGAAGTTTATTAAGGAGGATTGACTTATATGACCACAAGGTAAAGTCCCATGATAGGCCATCTGCAAGTTGAGGAGCAAGGAAGCCAGTGATGGATCAGTCCAAGTCCCAAAACCTCAAAAGTAGGGAAGCTGACAGTGCAGCCTTCAGTTTGTGGCCAAAGGCCGGAGAGCCCCTGGAAAACCACTGGTGTAAGTCCAGGAGTCCAAAAGCGGAAGAATCTGGTGTCTGATGTTCGAGGGCAAGAAGCATCCAGCACGGGAGAAAGATGGAAGCCGGAAGACTCAGCAAGTCTGCTCTTCATCTTCTCCTACCTGCTTTATTCTAGCCAGGCTGGCAGCTGGTTAGATGGTACCCATACAGATTGAGGGTGGGTCTTCGTCTCCCAGTCCACTGACTGAAATGTTAATCTCCTTTGGCAACGCCCTCACAGGCACACCCAGGAACAATACTTTGCATCCTTCAGTCCAGTCAAGTTGACACTCCAGATGCATTAAGCCTACAGAATCCCCTGGATCTGTTGAGGTCCTGTTTGCCACTGGCTAAGAAGGAGTTAGATCAGCTCTGGTGTCCAGTATTCCTCCTTTCATGCTCTTAACGTGCTCACCGGCTGCTTCTCCAATGCATTTTATTGTTGTTGTTTACATTTTAATGTTTTTGAAATCAGGATGTGATTTGCAATTTAGTAGAGATTTAGTATGCAGATTATGTTTTCCCCTCTAGATCTCTGTCGAAAAAATGCAAAGCTTTTAGAGAAGTTGCATGTACAATGAAAACCAATATTATTTTTCTCATTGACAATAATTTGTTCTGCCAGATCTAGGAAAAGCAGTTTAAAAAAACCAATAGTTTGGGGTTCATTTTTATAAAATTATTTCTTATTAAATATTGAGTAGGTATAAAAGAATATTTATAAAATATTTATTACCCGTAGCAAATAATGGTGCTACAAGCAGTTGTGTACCTGCCAAGTTGGTTTAAGATATTTTTGTCCGGGTGCGGTGACTTATGCCTATAATCCCATAGTGACAATGCCCAGGCAATTGAAGCTGCAATGAGCCATGATCACACCACTGCAACTCCAGATTGGGAGACCAAACAAGACTCCTTATTTACCAGAGATTGACTAAAGGAAAAAAGAAGTTGAAGGCCAGGCATGGTGGCTCACGCCTGTAATCCCAGAACTTTGGGAGGCCGAGGCTGGCAGATCATTTGAAGTCAGGAGTTCGAGACCAGCCTGGCCAACATGGTGAAACCCCCGTCTCTACTAAAAATATAAAAATTGGCATGGTGGAGCACACCTGTAGTCTCAGGTACCTAGGGGGTGAGGTGGGAGACTTGCTTGAGCCTGGGAGACTTGCTTGAGCCTGGGATGCGGAATTTGCATTGAGCCAATGTTGTCCCACTGCATTCCAGCCTGGGCGACAGAGTGAGACTCTGTCTCAAAAAAATAAAAAGAAAAAAGAAAAAATAAATAAAATAGAATGAACCAGATGATATGGCTGTCTTAGAGCAAGCAAGAGAGTGGGACAAGGTGAGGCGAGATTAGAGAGGTAGACTGCTCTGGAATAAAGAGGAACATCAAGGCCTTGATAAGAAATGAAGGTTTTATTTTTATTTATTTATTTTTTTGAGATGGAGTCTCGCTCTATCGCCCAGACCGGAGTGCAGTGGCGCGATCTCGGCTCACTGCAAGCTCTGTCTCCCAGGTTCATGCCATTCTTCTGCCTCAGCCTCCCAAGTAGCTGGGTCAGCAGGTGCCCACCACCACGCCCGGCTAATTTTTTGTATTTTTAGTACACATGGGGTTTCACTGTGTTAACCAGGATGGTCTCAATCTCCTGACCTCGTGATCGCCCTCCTCGGCCTCCCAAAGTGTTGGGATTATAGGTGTGAGCCACCGCACCTGGCCGGAGTTTTTATTTTAAATAAGATCGGAAGCTATGAAGGCTTTCATTAGAGCTTTGAGGCACACATGAGTTTACAAAATAGAAGTTAGACACCTATATATCTATAAAGTAATACCTAATTCATTATTTATATAATCCAGTGGACCAGAAGAACAAACATTAAAAAAATCTGTAAACCAATATCCCTTTTTCTATTTTGAAATAATCTCTTAGTATAAAGTATTTACTAACTTTATGCTAGTTTATTTACAAAATGCCTTTGAGAAGAGACTGAAAGTATTCAGTGGATCCACTACTGATTGTCTTTTTTAAAGAAATTCTTTTTAATCTTTCGGCAGACATGTGCATTGCCATTGCGATTTCTCTTCTCATGATCCTGATATGTGCTATGGCTACTTACGGAGCGTACAAGGTAAGCCGCTTGCAGTAAGATGCTGGCCTTTTCCTTGGTCTCTTACATGTGTAATCTGTGCTGCTGTCTATAGTGAGAAGTGACTTTCCAGTTTTCTGTTAAGAATCTCTGTTTAAATCTCTCGTTTGTATTATGTGGTACTAGGAAAACCAATATTATACTGGAAATTTTTTTTTTTTTGGGAAGACGGGGTCTCACTCTGTCACACAGGCTGGAGTAGAGTGGTGTGATCTTAGCTCACTGCAATCTCCGCCTCCCAAGTTCAAGTGATTCTCCCACCTCAGCCTCCAGAGTAGCTGGGACTACAGGTGTGTGCCACCACACCTTGCTGATTTTTGTATTTTTTAGTAGAGACGTGATTTCACCATGTTGGGCAGGCTAGTCTCGAACTCCTGACCTTAAGTGATCCACCCACCTCAGCCTCCCAAAATGCTGGGATTACAGGTGTGAGACACCACACACAGCCAGTCCTGGAAATGTTCACTGAAGCTTATTTGTTGACTGCTTATATTTGGCATACTGGTTTCCACCATGACCTGGGTTAATGAATTCCAATTTTTCCATTTCCTTTCAGATTAATAAAATACTTTGAATTTAAGAAAAATATTGTTTTATAATATTGAACACATTAACTTTCTATTTTCTGTTCTGTTTAGCAACGCGCAGCCTGGATCATCCCATTCTTCTGTTACCAGATCTTTGACTTTGCCCTGAACATGTTGGTTGCAATCACTGTGCTTATTTATCCAAACTCCATTCAGGAATACATACGGCAACTGGTACGTGGACCTCTTACTGCTCCTTTTCATTAATTCTTTTCATTAGGGAAGCTGGTTAAGTAAGGGATGTGTAGAGATACACAGACATTAATTTCAGGATTTTTAGCTTGCAGCTGAGTTACTCATAGGAAATTTCTTTTTTCTTTTTTTTGAGGTGGAGTCTTGCTCTCGTCACCCAGGCTGGAGTGCAGTGATGCGATCTCGGCTCACTGCAACCTCTGCCTCCAGGGTCTCAGCCTCCCAGCTAGCTGGGATTATAGGCATGTACCAACATACCTGGCTAATTTTGTATTTTTAGTAGAGATGGGGTTTCACTGTGTTGGTCAGGCTGGTCTTGAACTCCTGACCTCAGGTGATCCACCCATCTTGGCCTCCCAAAGTGCTGGGATTATGGGTGTGAGCCACTGTGCCTGGCCTGATAAAGTTTTGAGGGCCGGGGTTATGATTGGTGGCAGTGATGGTGGTGGTTGATGTGCCTACCTAAATTATAGTCCAGTTACTAATAGTCGTATTTGGTAAAATGTAGTTTTCTCAGTTATCAACAAAGGATAGCTTTTTGCCTTTGCTAGTGTGTTGAAAGTGGGACTCTGCTCAAAAACAAACAAAATAATTAGCTGGGAGAGGTGGCACACGCCTGTGACCCTAGCCACTCGGGAGGCTGAGGCAGGAGAATTGCTTGAACCTGGGAGGTGGAGGCTGCAGTGAGCCAAGATCACGCCACTGCACTCCAGCCTGGGCAATAGAGTGAGATCTCATCTAAAAAAAAAGAAAAATCAAAAGAAAGTGGAAAGAAAGTGGAACACTGCTGTATACTAGCTCCCAAATTTGTTTGACCATAGAATCCCTTTCTCAAGCATCATTTTGGGACTAGTTTACGGTTAAATGTCCTTTGTGACCATATGAGTGAATATTGGTGGCAGGGTATTAAGAAGCTTATAATGGCTATGAGGTTGGAATAACTTTATTTATTTTTGGGACAGGGTCTCTGTCACCCAGGCTGGAGTGCAGTGGTGTGATTATGGCTTGCTGCAGCGTTGACCTCCCAGGCTCCCGTGATCCTCCCATCTCAACCTCTTGAGTAGCTGGCACTATAGGCATGCACCACCATGCCCACCTAATTTTTCTTTTTGTATCTTATGTAGAGATGGGGTTTCACCATGTTGCCCAGGCTTGTCTCAAACTCCTAGACTCAAGTGATCCTCCAGCCTTGGCCTCCCAAAGTGCTGGCATTATAGATGTGACTCACTGTACCAGGCCAACTTTACTTTTTTTTTTTTTTTTTTTTGAGACAGAGTCTCACTCTATCACCTAGGCTGGAGTGCAGTGTTGTGATCTCGGCTCACTGCAACCTCCGCCTCCCTGGGTTCAAGCCATTCTCCTGCCTCAGTCTCCTGAGTAGCTGGGATTACAGGCACCCGCTACCAAGCCTGGCTAATTTTTTGTATTTTTAGTAGAGATGGGGTTTCACCATCTTTTCCAGGCTGGTCTCAAACATTTAGCCTCAGAGGATCCACCCTCATCGGCCTCCCAGAGTGCTAGGAATACAGGCGCCCACTACCATGCCTGGCTAATTTTTGTATTTTTTTTTTAGTAGAGGTGGGGTTTTGCCATGTTGACCAGGCTGGTCTCGAACTCCTGACCTCAGGTGATCCGCCCACCTTGGCCTCCCAAAGTGCTGAGATTACAGGCGTGAGCCACCATGCCCAGCCTGCAACCTCAATCTTCTGGGCTCAAGTGATCCTTCCACCTTAGCCTCCCAAGTAGTTTGGACTACAGACATGCACCACCATGCCCGGCTAAATTTGTATTTTTAGTAGAGATGGGGTTTGACTATGTTGTCCAGGCTGGTCTCAAACACCTGCACTCAAGCAATCTGCCTGCCTCAGCCTCCCAAAGTGCTGAAATTACAGGCATGAGCCACTGTGCTTGGCCAAGTTATTTTATTAATAAAAGAGTAAAGTTGCATGATCTGATCACAAAGAATGACGATTTTATTTCTTAGATATTTTGTCCCAAGTGAAAGGAGACTGAAAACCATTAGGTGGTGTTCACCCTGGTGAGCAGGAGCCAAGCCCATGAGTCATGGGCCTTCTCCATGTTCTTCCTCAACATTGGAAACAACTTTGTTTTGGAATATTGCTCGTGAGGAATCCAAACACATAGTGTTGAATGGTGAAGGGAGATAAAAGATGAGATAGCACAGTAGGCTGCCTTCCCATTCACTTGCCTAGGCCAGTGATGTAGGCGTTGATCAATGCTGTGTGAGTGTTCTGTGGGGAAAGTCCGGCAACTCCCTCTAACCATAGTAGCAGACTTTGATCCTCCTGAAAAGGTTCCCTTTGACCTGGTTGTTAAGCATTGTGGATGGTAGTGCTTGATTATTTCCCCCCACCCTGGAAGTACTTGCTAGTATAAGAGAATATGCTGTCTTGGGAGAAGTACCATCAACAAAAATGCTCTTTGCAAAGAAGACCTCATTTTAGTAGGTTTCTGTCCCTTGCCCTGCATATGCCCTTTAGAATGGTTCAGAACTTTTGAGACATGGTCTGGCTCTGTCGCCCGGGCGGCTGGAGTGCAGTGGCATGATCTCGCTCACTGCAACCTCCACCACCAGGGCTCAAGTGATTTGCTCACCCCAGCCTCCCAAGTAGCTGAGCTGGGCGACAGAGAGAAACTCCATCTCAAAAAAGAAAAAAAAAAAAAAAAGGAATGGTTCAGAACTTGCAGAGAATACAAATTTCAGAGATCCCTGGATATACAAAATGTCCCTGGATACCGATCACTGACGTCTTTTATATGGTAAGAGGGCAGAGTCAGGCTAGAAATTTTGTATTGGTTCTAAATAATAGCTGTCTGCTTTAATCAGTTGCTTTCTGATAAGCATGTCTGAATTGGTGCCCAAGGAATACTGTCTGGAATGATTAATGAGATTTGCTAATGAGGCCCTTTTCTTTTGCAGCCTCCTAATTTTCCCTACAGAGATGATGTCATGTCAGTGAATCCTACCTGTTTGGTCCTTATTATTCTTCTGTTTATTAGCATTATCTTGACTTTTAAGGTAAGCATGAAGATTTTACTTATAGTCTAAAAATATTAAGTGTATTCCTGAATACCAAATAAGTAAACAAACTTTGGTCAGTTTATTGTCTTTCTTTGGACATCCAAATTGCTTTTTGATTTCCTAAGATTACAATTCTTTATGCTGTCTATGTTGGAGGTAAACACTAATCAAAATTCCACAGTTTGATCAAGGAGTCCAAAATATATTTGGACAGAGATAAGTTAACATAATGTTATACATTACATAGTATATGATATTGCAACGTCTGTTACAAGGTCTGTGTAATGGATATTCTTTTGTAATTTTTTGCTAAAAGTGTAATATTTTCTGAATATTGTTCTATCTCAATCCATTATATGAATATCATTATTTAATAAATTACTTGATGAGCATTGAGACATTTTTTACTTTTTCACTTAATAGGGCTGTAGTGAATATATTTAAGTACATCCTTATATTTATGCATTTATCTCAAGATAAATTTCCTTTTTTTTTTTTTTTTTTTTTTTTTGAGATGGAGTCTCGCTCTGTCGCCCAGGTTGGAGTGCAGTGGCGCAACCTCGGCTTACTGCGAGCTTCGCCTCCCGGCTTCACGCCATTATCTTGCCTCAGCCTCCCCAGTAGGTGGGACCACAGATACCCGCCACCATGCCCAGCAAATTTTTTTGTATTTTTAGTAGAGATGGGGTTTCACTGTGTTAGCCAGGATGGTCTCGATCTCCTGACCTCATGATCCGCCCACCTCGGCCTCCCAAAGCTGGGATTACAGGCATGAGCCACTGTGCCCGGCTTCAAGATAAATTTCTTAAAATCAGGGTGTTCATGGTTGGAAAGCCTTTGATAGGTTGTCAAATTGATGTCCCCCAAAGTTAAATGACTTCTACTTCCTGCAGCAGTGCCTCACCCTTATCAATCAATTGCTGCAAATTCTTTTTCATCTTGGTCAATCTGTTTATAAAACCATCATTATAACTTGTGCTTATGAGCTACTAATGGGTAGAAAACTCTCATGGCTCTTTATGCTTTCAACTTTTTTCTTTTTTTATTTATTTTTCTTTCTTTCTTTTTTTTTTTTTTTTGAGGTAGGGTCTCTCCCTGTAGTCTAGGCTGCCTCCTGCCTTGGTTTCCCAAAGTTTTGGGATTACAGGTGTGAACCACTGCACCCAGCATACTTTGAATTTTTGAATCTCAATGCCTTTCATTGTCTTAATTTTGGCATAAAATTATGTCATTCTTCAAAAATCATGCCTCAGTAAACTTGGGAAAGCTGCATTGAGGCAGAAAATTCATATAGGTACTGTGATGAAAAGGAGTAGAAAGAAAGTGGTTCATTGGAAACCAGTTGGCCAGGTGAAATGGCTCACACCTGTGATCCCAACACTTTGGGAGGCTGAAGTGAGAAGATTGTTTGAGCTGGGAGTGTGAGGCTGTAGTGTGCTATGATAGCAGCACTGTACTTCAGCCTGGGTGACAGAGTGAGACCCCGTCTTGTTGTTGTTGTTGTTGAGACAGAGTCTCACTCTGTCACCTAGGCTGGAGTGCAGAGGTGCGATCTCGGCTCACTGCAACCTCTGCCTCCTAGGTTCAAGCAATTCTCCTGCCTCAGTCTCACGAGTAGCTGGGACTACAGGCGCCTGTTACCACACCCAGCTAATTTTTGTATTTTAGTAGAGACGGGTTTCACCATGTTGGCCATGCTGGTGTCAAACTCCTGACCTCAGGTGATTTGCCTGCCTCGGCCTCCCAAAGTGCTGGAATTACAGGCATAAGTCACCACACCTGGCTGGGGACACCGTCTCTTAAAAAATAAATAAGGCCGGGTGTGGTGGCTCATGCCTGTAATCCCAGCACTTTGGGAGGCCAAGACGGGTGGATCACGAGATCAGGAGATCGAGACCATCCTGGCTAACATGGTGAAACCCTGTCTCTATAAAAATACAAAAAATTAGTTGGGCATGGTGGCGGGCGCCTGTAGTCCCAGCTACTTGGGAGGCTGAGGCAGGAGAATGGCATGAACCCAGGAGGCAGAGCTTGCAGTGAGATGAGATCGAGCTACTGCACTCCAGCCTGGGCGACTCCATCTCAAAAAAAAATAGTGAAATGTTGGGGTGATCAGACCCAACACCAGGTCGTGGGGGTTGTGAAGTCCGGCGGAGTCAGAGGAATGAGACAAGACAAGAGTACATAGAGTGGGTCCAGGGGTCCAGTGCCAGTTTGGAGGCTGCGAAGGCCCTGAGCTCTGGGAGTCCACACTATTTATTGGTAATCAAACAAAGAAGCAGGTAGTGAGGACGTGTGGATGTAGGGGTGGACAGGTGAGGACGTGAGGATAGAAAGGTAGTGGTGCATCAAGCGTAGCTGTGACGGTTTTGCATATGCTCTGCTACTTGAGATAAGGGAGAACAGGTTCTTCTAATTCGAGATGCAATCAATTTGTGATCTTGGGAGAGCAAGGAGCAAGGGGCCAGCGAGTCTGGATATATTCCACAGGCTACAAGGGGTTTTATGCTCTGGGCTTAGATTGTAGTGCGGCAGGGCAGCCTTCCACCCTTTGGCACAGAGCTTGGTGTTCCATAGGCCACAAGGGGTTATAGACCCTGGACCCAGGACATGTTCCAAGACACTTTTACCTTATGTCAGAAGCCCTGCCTCAGCTTTTCTGCCAACATAAATAAAAAAATAAAAACAAAAATAAATAAATAAATAATGAAAGAAAATGAATTGAGTCTAAATTTCCATCATAAAACACCATGATTTCATGTGTCATTCAGCAGTTAAGGATGGGAGTGAATTTTACACACGGATGTTGGGCCTTACTGCCTTGCAGCTCCAGCTCCTCCGCTCCAGTTTCTTGGCTGGTATTTGGCCCCACATGTTGTCCTCTGACCTCCAAGCCTGTGAGGCTAGGGCTGCCTACCATCCAGGCTGCAGGCAGGGCTGGCAGTGCCCCCTGGTGAAAGGCCACAGACTCACATCTCACTCATTGTAGTTCGTCTTTGAAGGGTAGACTCCCCTTTTGACTTCTGCTTGTTTTTGGTCAGTCTCCCATGACTTAAAATTTGTGTGTGTGAGTAATTTTTCTAGATTTTATAAATCTTACCTGCAGGAAGGTTAGTCTGACCAAGCTAACTCTGCCATTACCAGAAACTCGAAGCTAGGACCTCACAATTATCTTTAAAAAGACTTTTTAAATCTTTTAAACATTTTCACTTGTACTTATTTGAAATGCCCACATCACATTTTGAGTCAGAGGACCTAGGGTTAGCTTCTGTCAGTATGACTTCTATTTTATTTATTTATTTATTTATTTATTTATTTATTTATTTATTAAGGCACAACCATGTTCATCATTACTAGTCATATGGTCTAAATTAGCAAAACCATAGCAGAATAAAATATACTACTCATTGATGTATTTATACAGACATTAAAAGATATTTTTGAATGCACTTAATTTTTTAAAAAAATTTTGTGGGTACATACCAAGTGTATATATTTATGGGGTATATGAGATATTTTGATACAGTGCAGAATAATCACATCATGGAAAATCGGGTGTCCATCCCCTTAAGCATTTAGTCATACTCTTTTAGTTATTTTTTTTATTTATTTTTTTTGAGACAAGAGTGTCACTCTGTCACCCAGGCTGGAGTGCAGTGGTGTGATCCCGGCTCACTGCAACCTCTGCTTCCCGGGTTCAAGCAATTGTCCTGCCTCAGCCTCCCGAGTAGTTGGGACTACAGGCGCCTGCCACCATGCCCGGCTAGTTTTTTGTATTTTTACTAGAGACAGGGTTTCATCGCGTTAGCCAGGGTGGTCTCTATCTCCTGACTTTGTGATCCGCCCACCTCGGCCTCCTAAAGTACTGGGATTACAGGTGTGAGCCACAATGCCCGGCCCACTAAATAGTTCTAATTCAATATTGCAGAAGTGTGAAATAAGAAATAAGGTCAATGAAAGAAGTACCTGGGCTTTTCAAGACAGCAGGTCGAGGTTTTTCCCCTTTTGGAGTGTGTAGTAGGTGAATGCATGTGGCCTTGCAAAGGCCCTTGAGAATGCCTATTCTGGGCATTCCATGCGAATACAATCATCATACAATATGGTTTTTTTTTTTGTTTTTTTTTTGTTGTTGTTGTTGTTGTTGTTTTTTTGAGACGGAGTCTCACTCTGTCACCCAGGCTGGAGTGCAGTGGCGCAATCTCGGCTCACTGCAACCTCCACCTCCCAGGTTCACTTGATTCTCCTGCCTCAGCCTCCCACATAGCTGGGATTACAGGCATGCATCCCAATGCCCGGCTAATTTTTGTATTTTTAGTGGAGACGGGGTTTCACTGTGTTGGCCAGGCTGGTCTCAAACTCTTGGGTTCAAGTGATCCACCCACCTCGGCCTCCCAAAGTGCTGGGATTACAGGTGTGAGCCATCGTGCCCAGTCCCATTATTATTATTATTTATTTAGTTTTTTTTTTTTTTTCGGAGATGGAGTCTCGCTCTGTCACCCAGGGTGGAATGCAGTGGCACGATCTTGGCTCACTGCAACTGCCACCTCCCGGGTTCAAGCAATTCTCCCGCCTCAGCCTCCTGAGTAGCTGGGACTACAGGCGCACGCTGCCACACCCAGCTAATGTTTTTGTATTTTAGTAGAGATGGAGTTTCACTGTGTTGCCCAGGCTGTTCTCTAAACTCCTGAACTCAGGTAATCCACCAGCCTCGGCCTCCCAAAGTGTTAGAATTACAGACGTGAGCCACCTTGCCTGGCCCCGCCCCATTATTTTTATTGTTGTTAATACCACATTGTATGGATGGTGCCACATTTTGTCTATCCATTCATCAGTTGAGGGACATTTGGGTTGCTTCTACTTTTTGGCTATTATGAATAATGCTGCTGTGAACATTCAAGTTTTTGTGTGGATGTATATTTTCATTTTATTCGGTATATATTATATATATACTATATGTAGAATACCTAGGAGTGGAATTGCTGGGTCCTGTTGTAACTCTGTTTAACCTTTCGAACTGCCGGACTTTTCCAGAGTGGCTGCAACCATTTTACATTCTCATAAGCAACGTATTTCCTGGATTTTAGCAATCTAGTTTCTCTATGTGTTTAAACTTCTTTTAATCAAAGAATTTTAATGTTAAGGGATTTTGAAATCCTTTAGTTCTAATCCAATTACACATGATGGAATGAAAGTACAGAGTTCATAGCTTAAACATCTCCCGTGAACTCATGTTTCATTTCTAAGCAGTATTTATGTTGGACATTAATTTTAAGTATCGTCGTCGGATATTTCGTTAATAAAGGGGAAATGTTTTAGTGAATTTTATTGACTGTGAGATAAATTTATATGCTATGAAATTTTTAAAAAAATCGACTTGTGTAATAAAATCACAGATAATCATATAGAAGAAAAATTTCCAAAGAAGCAGTTAAACTGTGGCAATAAATGAGTTAATACATTCGATTGTTCTGTGAATTCAGGAGCGATAATGTTAATTGTGTGCTTGTTCTTTCCAGACACTTATTCTTAGAAATTTCTCATTCAACTCTCATCCCTCCCCTCTCCCAACTTCCCCCAGTACCACCCCCATACCCCCATTGGTGTAATAGAATACGGCTCCAGTAGCACATTGTGCCAAGAAGTTACTATACCCAACATTTGTACTTTCAGGGACTTTTGGTTTAGTAGAGCTGTTATAATATGTGCATTTATTGCTTATGTCAATAAAAGTTTTATAATATGGCTTTATCTGTGTGGTATTCTAAATTACCTGCAGTTTGAAAATTAAAAATCTGATAATCACTCCTCATTTTCAGGGTTACTTGATTAGCTGTGTTTGGAACTGCTACCGATACATCAATGGTAGGAACTCCTCTGATGTCCTGGTTTATGTTACCAGCAATGACACTACGGTAGGTATGATGTCACTTATGGTAGAGATCTCGCCCACACCTTTACTGTATGCTGATCTTTAAGTGTTTCTAGTGTTTGCTACATTTTTATTGTTACTGAAACATACTCATGAGCTGCTTAGTTATCAAAAGATTCATCTTAGTTATCAAAATACTCATTTAACTATGAAGTTAAATGTATTTTGTTTTTCTTACAGGATATTAAAATGTAGATGGCTCAACTCTGGTTTATTTTAAAATGTATTACAGATAGATAATATATGTACCTTACTGTAATTATTTATCTTAAACCTGCATTGTTAAACCATGGTGTATAATTCTAGATATCGCTTCTGCATTGTATGACATTATATTAACTCACTTTATATGTGAAGTTAAACCAAGATGCGATGTTTACAGGTAGGTAAAAAAGAACTGCAAAGTTACTATGTCTTTGTAATTTATCTTATGTATGTATTCTTAGTAAAATAATTTAGATGATCTCTGTTCTGCTACTAGTTGCTCATACTTTAAAATTGCAAACCTGTCATAAAAGATTTTTGAAAACATGTCTTCACTGGAAGAGTCCATGAAAACATATGCACTTTATGTAAATTATCTTGAAATTTCCTGGCTCATGGTAAGATGAAGGTATAAGTCCTCATGGTGTCTCTGTCGTCACTGCCTGATGTAATGCACAGTACCAGGAAGTGCTCCATGCATGGTTAGTGAAAACGATGGGGATGGATGACATGTAACTGTGTGGCATGGGACAGGATGGGTGGGTCAAAACGGATAGGATTGGACTGGACGGGTGAAAGGAACACATAAATGGTAGGACGTCAAATTTATACTAGAGTAGAGTTTTGTGTTTTTGGTTTTTTAGTTTGCTTGTTTTTTTCTGGTGACTTGCTCACTCTGACCTTACCGAAATAATCCAGCCTGTTCCTTACTTTACTTTCTTGTGTATAAAATGAGACTAAAACAGTTACAGACTTTGTATTAAATATATGGGTGTAGGCTACTGTATTACTGAGAACTCTGTGTGATAGCTAAAGCATGTTATACACTGACAGTTTTCCTAAATGCTCACCACACATTTCTTGAGTTCAATCAAATATGCATGAGCAGTGGTTTAATAGACAGCCATGACCAGATGCACAAAACCTGGCATACCCAGGTGCTGAGGAGGCTCGTTTTGGGAGTCTGCAGAATTCTGTGTATTGATTACAGTAATCACGTGTTCTGCTCAACCCCTTTAAAATATCACTCCTGGGTCTGTAACTCTCTTTGAAAGAAATATCTATTCAAAATTTTCGTGATTTTGATAAAATTACTGGCTTAAGAATTTTTTTCCTTTTCTCTGAGTTGTTGGGTATTTTTTCATTTGTTTTACCCATTAACTTTTTTTGTTCGCCCAGGCTGGAATGAAGTGGTGTGATCTCGTCTCACTGCAGCCTCCACCCCCTGGGTTCAAGTGATTCTCCTGCCTCAGCCTGCCGAGTAGCTGGGATTATAGGTGCCCACCACCACGCCCGGCTAATTTTTGTATTTTCAGTAGAGATAGGGTGTTGCCATGTTGGCCAGATTGGTCTCGAACTCCTGACTTCAGGTGATCCACCTGCCTTGGCCTCCCAAAGTGCCAGGATTACAGATGTGAGCCACTGTGCCCGGCCTGTTTTACCCATTAACTTTTGCAGAAGGCAAGTTGTTGTTTAGCCATCTATAAATTTTTTCTTTTTCTTAAAACAAATAAAAAGTCCATAATTAGTGTTCTACTGAACTAATGAAAAATGTAAGCAAGGTTTGAGATTTTTAAGTTTGAAGAACCAGTAAAGTTGTTACACAAGATACATCAGAACCTCTTTGTAAATTTCATGGCACATAGGGCTTATAAAGCCACCATCTTTTAGAAGTATCTCAGAGCAGAGAATAATACCCATATTGCATGTGCTTGTTTTGATATGGTGGTGTTATGAAAGAGGAGGCGATACATAGGTTTTCATCCACAGTTCCTGGCTCTTAACTCTTCATAGCCATTGTTAGTCTTTGGTTATTACCCTAGGTGTGTCAGGTCTTAGGGAATCTCTGACTTACTTCTGCACTAAGGCAGGATTCTAATCTTCCCCCTTCCTTTCTAACTGTGGGTCTTAAGACCTTCCCTAAAGAGGGTCCAGCCTCGTACCCTGAGGGAAGGAATGCTGACTGTCCTTAGGAATGCTGAAGCTTCCTTAGGGATAGCTGAACTCCTGGAGGTTCCTTGAGGGTGGTACACCCAGGAAGGGCTTGGAAGCTCCATGTTCCTTCCCCCATATCTATGAATCTCTTCATCTGTATCCCTTGTATCCTTATAATAAGCCAGTAAACCTCAGTAAGTGTTTCTGAGTCCAAAATGTTATGGGAACCTCAACTTGAAGGCTGGTTGGTCAGAAGCTCCTGAGGCCCAGACTTGCAGAGTGTTGGAGTGGGGAGGGGACACTTTTGGGGATTGAGCCCTTAACCTGTGGGATCTGACACTGTTTCCAGGTAGATAGTATTATGTGCGCATCTAAGCGAAGAGACAACCTGAAAAGGCTAAGTGTGAGCAACAAGGCTGTTTATTCACTCAGGTGCGAGCGGGCTGAGTCCGAAAAAGAGAGTCAGCGAAGGGTGGTGGGATTGGAGCTAGTTTTATAGGTTAGGGGTAAGCAGTGGAAAGTTACAGTTAGGGGCCGTTTATTGCGGGCAGGGGAAGGGGTCACAGGCGGGAAGGGTCACAGGGCACAATGTCACAAGGTTGATCGATCAGTTAGGGTAGAGTCTGTTACAATGGTAGAATGTTGCAAGGTTGGCTAATAAGCTAAGACGGCAGCTAGCTGTTTTTCTTCTTTTGTGGTTTTCCTGTTGTCCTAGACTTTCTGGCTCCAGGAGGCCTTCTGGATGTATACGTGTGGGTCACAGAGGTTACAATGGCTTGACCATGGTGCAGCTTTCTCAGAAGACCTCACATTCCTGGCTTTTTATATTAATAATGGAAAAACAAAAATGAGAAAGAGTAGTGAAGTATGGAGAAAATTTATGGTGTAAATTTTGGGGGTGGTATGGAGGGATGATGGGAGATTTTTCTCAGCGCTGCTTCAAGCGGGATTAGGGGTGGCGTGGGTACCTAAAGTGAGAGAGAAAGGTTAAATTGAAGGGAGACCCTGGGGCAGGGGGTGACATTGTCGAGTTGTTAAAAGGAGCATATGTCGAATTTAGTGATTAGTAATAGCTTGGATGCTGTTTTGTATGAACAGAGAGATTAGCCTGAAAAGACAAGGTCCGAATAAGAGAAGGAGAAGGATGAGTGCTAAAGGGCCTGTTAGTGGGAGGAGCCATGAAGCTAAGCTAGAGAATGGCCAAGTAGGTCCAGTATAACTATCTGCCTGATTAGTGAGTTTTTGAGCTCTGTCTTTAAGTTTTTTGATATTGTCGTATACAAGGCCTGATTGATTTACGTAAAAGCAGCATTCTTCATTTAAGAATAGGCAGAGTCCTCCTTTTTCAGCAGTAAGCAGATTGAGGCCTCAGCGATTTTGGAGGACAACTGCGGCTAAGGAATCGACTTGGGATTGGAGGACAGAAAGTGAGTTATATCGGTAAGGCTAGCGGAGAAGTCATTGGAGAGACTGCGAAATGTGGTGATAGAAGTTGCAAGGCCTGCTACTCCTGTTCCGATTGCGGCAGTGGAAACTCCTAATCCTATAAGCAAGGGAATTCATCGAATGACTCTTTTTTGTCTTGTTGGAGTTATAAGGGGAATGGGGAGTTGCTCGCTTCCGTTTGCAAACTGGGTTTTGGGAGTAAGGAAGATTTAAAGTGCAGGTGCCTGTCCGGTTAGCAGGGAGGCACATGTAGGTGGAAGAGCTGCAGAGGAAAAAGAGTCCTTGAGGCAGGCAGAACTGGAAATGCAGAGTAAAAAGGTAAGAGTGTGTTCTGGAAGTGGGGTCCTGCACCCAGACCCCTAGGGATCCAGCAAGGGTAGCAGCTGTTAGAGGTTGTAGCGGGGTTTGGTAGGGGAGCTGCGTGGAGGGAGAGGTTCTATTTTCATGGTGTATAAGAAAGCGCTTGGTATCTACAAGTAGCCATTCACTGTTATTTATAAGACTAGGTATAAGCAGGCAAGAAGAAGGACTTGGAGGGGAATCTGTTGAACGGGGGAGGGTAGCCAAAGATCGAGCAAGTGAGCGGTAAGCGTCTTTCTAGACAAAAGTTGCTACCAATGTTTTAAAGACTGTTTGTGATGAGAGTGGGACTGGAATGCTCCAATTTTCTGGTTGATGTGAGTGTTGGGGCTTTGGAGGTGAAGAGTAAAGGAACATAAGGAAGACGGGAGGTTACCTAAGGGAATTCCAGTAGGTAATTGTTGGGAGATGCATAAGGGAGCAGCAATGGGGATAGTTGTCTGTGTAGCGAGGTGTCCAAGAACAGGGGGTGTGGAATTGATGTAGGGAGATAGACCTCGTAGGTAGGTAGGGAGAAGAGCAGCAGCCTGTTAGTATGAGATATTGGGGGAGTTTTTGCTGAATTTTTCTTTTCTTTCTTCTTTTTTTTTTTTGAGACAAGAGTCTTGCTCTGTAGCCCAAGCTGGAATGCAGTGGCACAACCTCGCTCACTGCTGCCTCTACCTCCCAGGTCCTGGTTCAAGCAATTCTCCTGCCTCAGCCTCCTGAGTAGCTGGGATTATAGGCACGCACCACCATTCCCAGCTAATTTTTGTATTTTTGGTAGAGATGGGGTTTCACCATGTTGGCCAGGCTGGTCTTGAACTCCTGACCTCGTGATCCACCTGCCTCGGCCTCCTAATGTGCTGGGATTACAGGCATGAGCCACCGCGCCCAGCCCCTGCTGAATTTTCCAGAAAGTGAAGAAGATGTTCGGGAGGGTAAAGGTGTGGGGGTCACTGAAAGAGGTTTGGAGGTGTAAGGAGATGGGGGAGGTTGCCTAGTCAGCTAGTAGGGCAGGGACAGCTGTGTAGTAGGAGGAAGAGAGGGAAATGCATAGCCAACAATTTTTTGCTAAGAAAGGATTAGAGACGGTGAGGAGAGAGTGGGTGGGTGAGGTTGATGGTATGTTGGAGATAATTAGGGAGGGGTAGAGGGTAGCAGGAGAACGGGAGTGAGACCCAAAGTGAGTAGAAAAGAACTTCATCGAGGTGGAAGAATTGGAGAGTGCCTTGCCACACAAGGTCACCTATCCACTCTAGGAGAGAGTTAAGGGTGGCACCTTGAGGGTGAGACCAGGAGATGTCAGTTACAATGGTCCAGAGGAAAAGCGTGAGCCGGCAATGTAGACAAAAGCAGGGCATTTAGAAGTAGGCAAGAATGGTGATTAGGGACCTAGGTAGACATTAAGTAGTGGGGTGGCTATGTAAAGGCCTATTGTAAATGAAAGATACAAAGGGCTGTTGTTCTTTTTCAGGAATGCGAGTAAGTTGAAGAGAAGTGGGGGAGAGTACTTGCGACTTCCAGAAGGAGGTAGAGGAGTTAGGCTGGTGGTCAGATGGGCACAGTTTTATCCTGGAGCGATGAACCCAGTGGGGAAGGTTCTGTAGACGGACCGTGGTTGGAGTGCTGTAAACAACCTGGTAGGGTTCCTGTCCACCGAGGTTGTAGAGTTTGAGGGGTTAGTTCTTAACAAGAACTGACCGTCGGGCTAGGATGTCTTTATATGGCTGGGTATCTGGAGTGGGTAAAAGGAAATTGGCAGCTCAGCGGATTTCATGTCTAGCTTGTTGAAGGACTGGAAGATAGTTACCAAGAGGGCTGGTGTCTGGAATGAGGTTGGGCCCATGTAAAAATGTGCGGCCATATAGGAGATCAAAGGGGCTATACCCTGTGGGTTCTTGAAGGGTGGCTCAAATTTGGAGGAGAGCAAAGGGTAGAAGAATTGTCCAGTCTTTTTTGCGTTGGAGGGTGAGTTTGGTAAGATGTGTTTTTAAACGACTGTTGGCCTTTTCTACTTTTCCTGAGGATTGAGGATGATAAGGGTCATGGAGATTCCACTGAATACTGAGGGCTTGGGAAACTGCTTGGGTGATCTGACTAATGAAGGCTGGACTGTTACCAGATTGTACGGAGGTAGGAAGACCAAATTGAGGAATTATGTCAGTTAGGCAAGAAATGCCTGCAGTGGCTTTTTCTGTCCCTGTAGGAAAGGCTTCAACCCATCTGGTAAAGGTATCAACCCAGACTAGGAGGGTTTGAATTTGCAGACTCGGAACATAGGTGTGAAATCTATTTGCCAATCTTTTGTGGGGGTAAATCCTCGGGCTTGGTGTGTGGGAAAGGGAGGGGATTTTAGGAAGCCTTGGGGAGTAGTAGAGTGGCAGATAGAACAGTGAGATGTGCTTGTTTTGAGAATGTATTTCCATAATGGGAAATAAATGAGGGGTTCTAAAAGACAGGTGAGAGGTTTGTGTCCTACATGGAAGTGGTCATGAAAGGAAGAAAGGATAGAGTGGGCTTGTGAGGCAGGGAGAAGGAATTTTCCATGGTCTAAGAACCACTTGCCTTGAGTTGGAAAGGACTGGTAGAACAGGTTTTCAGAAGAAGAATAGGTGGGAGTGATAGATGAGAAAGACAAGTATTGGCTGTCTGGAGCGGAGACTGGAACGTGTGCAGGCGCTGAGGCTGCCTCTTTCGCTGTTTTGTGGGCGCAGACGTTTCCTTGGGCAGTGGGGTCAGATGTTTTTTGGTGCCCTTTGCAGTGGATTACTCTGGCTTTGGCTGTAAGGAGGGCAGTTTTAAGGAGAGCCTTTATTAGACCCAGCTGGTGCCTGCTGCTTGTTGGTGGGAGAAACCCCCACGCCTTTGGTCACAGGAGCCTTCTGCTTTGATTGTTGTGGTATGAGAGCAGAGGAAAAACACAGCTTGAGAGCTTTCCCCAAAACAAATATACTTCTAGTTGTTTTTTTCCAGTAGAAATTTTATAGAAATTAGGGTGCTTAGAGAATTTAAGAACCATGAGTAAGTCCCCCAAATGCATCCTACTAGCTTTTTGGAGAAAACTTCTATTTTTCCCCTTTGAAAGACACAAAGGTATGGAATAACAGGTTTGTTTATTTAGGCTTAGTTATAAAATTTATCAAAATAGCTACACTTTTCAACTGCACGTTCCCACCTCTTCTAACAGTGTGCCTCTTTTCTTCAGAAGGGCTACCAGGTGGGCAGTAGTTTGTGGTAGCTACATTTGGGGGCCATGGTCGAATGCCAGCTGCGTTTGTTTCCTGGTGTGTTGACATACATGCCGGGAAATTGCTTGGTAGCGGTTGGTCAGTCTCTGTCATTTTGTAACAACTTGCCATTTTTAAGATGAGGAAACTGAGGTACTGATAATGTTACTATTTTCCCACAGTTCCCAATGAGCCATTTTTTAAAATTTTCTTCTGAAAGAATTATATTCCTGGAAAAGGTAGATTTATCTTTTCTCTTAACATAGTTGTATTGATATAATCCACTCCGAAATATCAGGGTAGACCACCAGTTGAAGTCTCAGCTTTCTGACGATATTTTTTATTTATTTATTTTTATTTTATTTTATTTTATTTTATTTTTATTTTATTTTATTTTTTTGAGACAGAGTCTTGCTCTGTCATCAAGGCTGGAGTGCACTGGCGCGATCTTGGCTCACTGCAACCTCTGCCTCCCAGGTTCAAGCGATTCTCCTGCCGCAGCCTTCTGAGTAGCTGGGATTACAGGTGCGCACCGCCACGCCTGGCTGATTTTTTGTTTTTAGTAGCAAAGGGGTTTCACCATGTTGGCCAGGCTGGTCTCGAACTCCTGACCTCAAGTGATCCACCCACCTCTGCCTCCCAAAGTGCTGGGGTTACAGGTGTGAGCCACCGCTCCTGACCTTCTCTGACAATATTTTGTTAAAAGATATTTACAAAAACAAAATGGGGCCAGGCACAGTGGCTCACACCTGTAATCCCAGCACTTCGGGAGGCCGAGGTGGGTGGATCACTTGAGGTCGGGAGTTTGAGACCAGCCTGGCCAACACGGTGAAAACCCGTTACTCCTAAAAATAGAAAAGTTAGCCGGGCGTGGTGGCACATGCCTGTAATCCCAGCTACTTGGGAGGCTGGGGCAGGAGAATCGCTTGAACCTGGGAGGTTCACTTGAACCTGGGAGGCAGAGGTTGCAGTGAGCTGAGATTGCGCCATTGCATTCCAGCCCAGGAAATAGCAGCGAAACTCCATCTCAATCAATTAATCACTCAATAACAAAATGGTATTGTTATTTTTTAATTGTTATTTTTTAAAGAGTTATTATTTTACCTAAAATAATAAGTTTCTAATCCCATAAAATATCCAGTAAGTGCTCAGGTTTCCAGTTGTGTCATAAAGGGATAATTTTCTAGCACTTTATTTGAAACAGGATATATGGGTCAATATGTAGTTTGTCTTTATAATTTTTTGTTGAAGAAATTAGGTTGTCCCACAGTCTAGATGATTCTGATTGCATGCCTCTCATGTAGTCTTCTGCATTACCAGCGAATTATTTGGATCTAGAGGCTTTTTGTGTTCAGATTTGCCTGTTTGTTTTGCAAGACTACTTCATAGGTGACGATTTTTTCTTCCATTAGGAAGCAAATAATGTCTGGTTAACCATCTTTTTGGAAGTCAAGAACCATTGATACTTAATACCTAGATTTATTGATCATTAGGGTTGCAATATGATCTATAATTCCTATTTCATTTATTAGTTAGAATATTTGTATAAAGAGAAGCTTTCCCTCATGTACTATTTGGCTACCCATTGTATTTGTGACATGGATAAATATACGTGGTTTTGTTCTCTTTGTCAGTTTTCAAAATAATGAACTCATTCCTCATTCTCTAGTGGTGACCAGTAAGGTTGTTTTAAAGTAATAAATGAACCGATGAAAACTCGCAGTGGCTCACGCCTGTAATTCTAGTGCTTTGGGAGGATCACTGGAGGCCAGGAGTTTGAGACCAGTCTGGTCAACATAGTGAGACCCCTGTCTCTACAGAAAAAAAAAAAAAATCCAGGTGGCATGTGCCTGTAGTTCTAGCTACTTGGGAGGCTGAGGTGGGAGGATTGCTTGAGCCTGGGACTTAGCTGGAAGCTGCAGTGAGCTGTGATCGTGCCACTGCACTCCAGCCTAGGTGACACAGCAAGACTCTTTAAAAAATAAAAAAGGGAGCGCTATTAATGTTATGTTGAAAAGTACAACCATTTTGATAAAGTTTATAAGTACGCCTAAATAAAATTTGTTACTCCGTACCTGTTTTCAGTCTTTCAAAGAAGAAAAATAAACTTTCTCTGAACAGCTGATATATAATAGTTAATATAATTAATGCTCAAGTTGTGCTATCTTTGGCCACTTGGAGTCTCTTCAAGTTGGTTTCTGAGTCTTTTGACATGTCCCTGGTTGTGTGTGTGTGTGTGTGTGTTTATGTGTGTGTGTTTGAAGAGACAGGGTCTCACTCTTTTACCCTGGCTGGAGTGCAGTGGTGTGATCATGCACCTGGGCCTCAAACTTAAGCAATCCTCCTGCCTCAGCCTCCTGAGTAGCTGGGACTACAGGTGTGAGCTACTGAGACCACCCTAGTAGTCTTTGATTGCTTTCTTATTGTCTGGTATGACAAGATGCTCTAGGCTCATCTTGTACATTTCTTGCCCCAAATGTGGAATGAGCCATTTCTCCAGGCAGCCCTGCCTATGTTTTGTAGGAAATGACATCTGGAGACCATAATCTGGATTTCTGGGGTTAGAGGACAGGCTTTTTGTTTTGGTTTCGGCTTTTTAAAGCAGGGCTCTGCATGTTTAAAGATTGTTTAGAACTAAAGGAGTTAATGTTACCATTATCAATTAAGAAAACCAAAGTTACTGAAGCCTCCCTCTGAGACTCTAATGGGGGTTGGAATGATCTAGATCTGTCATTTTCCCTGGTCTCCATAGCTGTGTTAAGAACTTCACCATGTGTAATAATGTATGTTTCTCTTTTGTTCACATCTTTGTTGGGAATCCACATTTACATAATAACATGTCATGTCTTGCTTTCACTTATTCCAGATACTAGGCCAGATAGCTTTTCTCCCAGGCTGAATAGTTTCAGGTTGACCTCTGTGGAAAGATACTGGGGGCTCTTGCTGGTAGAAAATGAATGTGGTTTTTCCTCCTCTTCTCTAAAACAGTATACATATTATTATCCAGATGTGCTCTTTCCCAAAATTCTTCTCAGAGGGAGGATAGAGAAGAGTTGCTAGATATTGGAGATCATTCCCTGGGTTAATCTCTCCTCCAGTTTCCCAGCTAAACCAAACCACATACTTTGAAAGGAATGCGTAACGCAGAAGGTCACAAACTCTGTTCATAATGCTTTAGAGTCATCCCGCCCCCAGCACCCTTAGGCCATTGAGATAAGTAACATAACTGTGGATTTTATTGAGTAGTCATGTCCAAATGACTTAATAGTGGTCATTGGGGCAGTATCTAACAAGTGCTGGCACATTTTCCTTGAAAATTTAAAATATAACAAGGTGTCCTTTTTTGAGTCTGCAGCTCCCTTGGGCGGGCCTGCTGGTGGTGCCTTGGAGCCCCCTTTCTTTTAGGGCAGTGTTATGAAAATCACATGGTGGGTGTATATTGTGTAATACCACACTCTCCACTGCTGCCAAAATTTGGTTATAAGAGGAAAAGATTTAAATACAAATCCTGTAGATCAGGGGTCCCCAAGCCCCGGGCTGCACAGCAGGAGGTGAGCAGCGGGCGCGGGCAAGCAAGCATTACAACCTGAGCACCACTTACAAGATTAGCAACAGCATTACATTTTCATAGGAGCACAGACCCTATTGTGAACTGCACATGCAACGGATCTAGGCTGCATGCTCCTTTTGAGAATCTAATGCTTGATCTGGGGTGGAAGAGTTTCATCCCGAAACCATCATCACACAGCCCCCTCACCCCCTCATCAACCCCTTAGCAAAGTTGTCTTCCATGAAACCAGGGACTGCCGATGTAGATTATGGTAATAGGTTTCTTTCACATTAAGCTTTATTCAAATTAAGTTTTGTTTTGTTTTGTTTTTTGAGTCTCGCTCTGTCAGGCTGGAATACATAGGAGTGATACATCAGCTCACTGCAACCTCCACCCCCTGGGTTCAAGGGATTCTCCTCCCTCAGCCTCCTGAGTAGCTGGGACTACAGGCACATGCCACCATGCCTGGCTAATTTTTGTATTTTCAGTAGAGACAGGGTTTCACCATATTGATCAGGCTGGTCTCGAACTCCTGACCTCAGGTGATCCACCTGCCTTGGCCTCCCAAAGTGCTGGGATTACAGGCGCGAGCTACTGTGCCCGGCCATAAATTAAGGTTTTAAAAAGTATTTCTTAAACCTATGTGACCTTGTTTACTAATACTAATAAAGGCCCGGATGGTGATAAGAGCCAGTATTATGTTAAATCTAAATGTAGGGAACCTGATTCCTCTGGAGTTGTGGCACTCAAAAAGCAGTGAGGTTGATATTTAGCCAAAATGGTATATAAGAATTCTGATTGCAGATAAAAGAATCATAGTCTTGGCTAATGTAGGAAAATTCCTATTTAGGGAAAAACAGGAAAATTGTTAACTCCATAGTATTTATTATGCCATGTCATATTGTAGGCTCTTATCCAGATTAACATTATATGCAAACTTATTGTTTTAACTTCAAAAAGTATTTTGCTATGTGGGGGCCTTCTTTTGCATCTAACTGCTTGAAAAACGCAATTGAAGAAAGGTGAGTGTGGCTTCTTTGGTTTCAGAAAATAAGTATAAAGAGAAAAAAAAATATATATATATAACATATAAGGTGAGTGATGACTGGGGCAAAGGCCAGATTATCTTCTCAGTGTCCTTTTCTCAATAAATTCTCTTTGAAGCACCTGAGATTAATTAAGGCTGACCTTGGGTTGTCAAAAAGCCACAAAACAGGTATTGCCTGACTAAGGGGGAATGGGAGTGGAGTCAGATTTAGTAGTGGTTGCAATGACTTTCAAAAATTGTGCATGAAAAATTTGATGTTTTTCCTCCTGCCACTTTTTTTTTTTTTTTTGGAGACAGAGTCTCTGTCGCCCAGGCTGTGGAGTGCGTGGGTGTGATCTTGGCTCACTGCAGCCTCTGCTTCCCAGGTTCACGTTATTCTCCTGTCTCAGCCTCCTGAGTAGCTGGGACTACAGGCACATGCCACTATGCCTGGCTAATTTTTGTATGTTTATTAGAGACAGGGTTTCACCACGTTGGCCAGGCTGGTCTGAAACTCCTGACCTCAGGTGATCCACCTGCCTTGGCCACCCGAAGTGCTCCTGCCACTTTTAAAAGCAGGTTATTACTTCCGAGTATAGTTTGGATATGGTTAGAAACAAGTTCTTGACTGCATAATGAGTTCTGTTTTTTTTTTCCCTTCATAAAAGTCATAATTAACTTTCCAAAATGGTTTGAAGAAGGCTTTGCCTAAGCGTAGTTACTAGGTTGGCTATTAATTTAGCATCCTTTTCAGTCCTGTACGCACCAAATTCAGGTACATTAAAAGCAGCTCACAACGAAACAGTTTTTACCACTGTCATCTGCGTAAATGAACCAGAGGGCCCAGGGGACGGTGAGGGTAGAAGGGGAGAGAAAGAAGATTCTTCAGGAATTGGACTGGAAGAGTTTGAAACTCTAGCCTGTCATTATTGGCTTTCAAGCTTCTTGCCTACTAAGTTTAGAAGAGAGATCTTATTACTAATATCTCAATTTTAGGTATCACTTTTCCCTTATAATTTAGTAATTTATATAATCTCTCCAAGCATTTTCTTTTCTTTTGATTTTAAAAGCCCAAAACAAAAGTGACAGGTTGATATGGAATAGATTTGGTAAAATTGCAAATAAGCTGAGAGAGCACTAAGAGACTGTTTCCAGAGGCAGGGTTAGAGGCAGTGAAGGTCTGGCCCAGGGCAGGAGTGCTGGGAGTGAGCCAGGCAGATGGGAGAGCTGTCAGAGGTAGTTAATAGTAGATCATTGAGGGAACTGGAATGACAGGAGCTTTCTTGTGTGTGACTGTCACTTAACATATACAATCACACACTTGCAGGGTAGGGTAACACCTTGAACGTCATCTGGCCCAGCCATCATTTGATGCCCTCATTTCCTCAACAGTGTGCCCACCAGTTCCATCCAGTGAGGGTTGAGTGACTGCATTGATGCTGTACTCCTCTCTGCATCTCTTAGACCTCCCTACTCTTGTGTTTGTATCATAGGTTTCTCCGCAGACATGTGGCAGTTGCCGCCCATCAGGCCTTGTGCCGAGTGCTTTACATAGATTAACTCAATCACACAAGAGTCCTTCACGTACTAGGTCCTATTAATTCCTGTGTTGCAAAAGAGGAAACTGAGGCACCAAGAGGGTAACTTCCCGAGGTCACCCTGCTAGTCGAGTGGCAGGAGGGGGACTACAACCTGATCAGCCTGGCTGCAGGCTGTTCTGACCCACTCACCTCCTCCTAACTGTTGTCCAGTTGGGACTGCAGCTGGGGCCAAGTGTTCTCACCGCCGTGTCTGGCTGTATTGCCCAGGATGAGGAGTGAAACATGTGGACACTTTTTCATTCAGACAGTTCTTCTCGAGTACAGTCAGAAACTTTAAAAGCAGTGGGATTTTCTGGTTTGTTGTTCGTTTGCTAGTTTTTACCTTTTCACACAGTGGAAGGGAGGGGTGGGTAACTCAGAAAAGGGGCGGAAGAAAAAGAAAGGGTAAAAGTAAATTTTGCATACCAGGGCAGCTGCTTATCTATATAGTTGTGCTACACAGTCCTGCTTCCCATACCCCAGTCCCTGCATTCTCCCGATGTTGTCATATGCGCATACAGCTTCAGATAGACTTACCTGTTGGTTCCAATATCAAAGCATCATGGGTGAGATTGGACTACATGCTCCTGAGATTTTTCTCCCAAAACCTTTTCCTTGGCTGTAATTCTGAGGTTCAGGCTGACAGTATGTGACATTAACTCGGCTCCTATTTCTTTCCTTCTGCATAATATTCTTCCAACAATTTTTTTTGTTTTGTTTTGTTTTTGGTGAGATGGAGTTTTACTCTTGTTGCCCAGGCTGGAGTGCAATGGCGCGATCTCGGCTCACTGCATCCTCCACCTCCCAGTTCAAGCGATTCTCCTGCCTCAGCCTCCCGAGTAGCTGGGATTACAGGCATGTGTTACCATGCCTGGCTAATTTTGTATTTTTAGTAGAGACGGGGTTTCACCATGTTGCCCAGGCCGATCTCGAACTCCTGACCTCAGGTGATCCGCCTGCCTCGGCCTCCCAAAGTGCTGGGATTACAGGCGTGAACCACTGCGCCCGGCCACCAACAATAAAATTTTAAATGTCCCGGTCTGCTGGAAATTATCTCCGAGCCATATAACTTTCCAGTTGTTTCATCCCAGAGCAACATTCGAGAAGACTACACGAGCACTTGTAAACGTTAGGAGGCTTTGCATCTGGGGGATCTCAGAGTGTGTTTGAGAGGACATCTAGAGCAGTCAGATCAACACATGGATGTTTGAAACCTAAAGTTCTTAAAGCTCCAAACAAACCTAGTTTTCGTTGTGAACCATTTTACTATAAAACACACACACAACTTATTTAATAACGTGCCTCAGAGTCCATATTGATTTTACTCTAGGGACAAATAAGGCAAGGAATTTTATATTTTTACATTGTAGGAAAGGTTTCTGGGAATGTATTTCCCTTTCCATTATTGCAAGGGAGGTGGCAGGGAAGGATGTGGAGTAGGGGAGGCAGGTGAAATGGGAGTCTGAGATCCAAGGTCATGAGCAGTCCCTGCATCCCTCCTTTTTCAGCCCATGTTCTGTGGCAGCAGCTGGGCATGGTGGGATTGTATCCCCCTGGAACGGTTGTTGTCGTGAAGGAGATGTGTACAGTAGGTGGCGTAGCACATTCAGGCTTCAGGAACATGCAGAGGCAGCTGCTGAGATGCCTTTGATAGGATTACCGAGGTGATAGCACACTGCTTATTTCATTTCCTCAATATTTAAATATCCAGTATTTACTTAACTATTATACTTCAGTGTGTAGAACCATTTTAACTTTCAGTTTGGGCCACTGTATTGGTATTTTATAATTTTTGGACCCAACTGAAAATATTTGCGGTGTGAATTCTGTATTTTGAGTACAATCTGTATCAAATAATTCAGATAGCTCCTTTGCTGAGAATTAAGGATAATAATGGCTCCCTCCTATTATGAAGTGAAGAAAACAGAGTAGTTTTGCAGTAAATTGAGGATAAAAATCTACCTCTATCTTGTTTGCCTTTGGAAACAATTCCTTGCTCTAGGTGAGAGGAGAGTTTCTCATTAGAACTCCCAAAAATGTGTTTATATTCTCATCTCCCGATGTCTTAGGTTCACTGAAGACAAGATGTTATCACTTGTCAATAGCACTATTATTTTAGGTACCTCTTACTGTGAGGTACTGTTACAAGGCACAGCCAAAATTATTATTATTTTTTAAAATTAAAAGGTAAACTTTAATGTTGAAAATGCAAACTTGGGGAAGACAGAAAAGATCACACACAAGGCTGTCACTTCACACTTAGAAGGTTGCACAGCGGCCGGGCAGAGGTGCTCCTCACTTCCCAGACGGTGGGGCGGCCGGGCAGAGGCGCTCCTCACTTCCCAGATGGTGGGGCGGCCGGGCAGAGGCGCTCCTCACTTCCCAGACGGTGGGTAGCTGGGCAGAGGCGCTTCTCACATCCCAGATGGGGTGGCAGCCGGGCGGAGGCCCTCATCACTTCTAGACAGTTGGTGGCCAAGCAGAGGTGCTCCTCACTTCCCAGACGGTGGGGAGCTGGGTAGAGGCGCTCCTTACATCCCAGATGGGGCGGCGGCTGGGCAGAGGCACTCCTCACTTCCCAGACAGTGGGGAGCTGGGTAGAGGTGCTCCTCACATCCCAGATGGGGCAGCAGCCGGGCAGAGGGGCTCCTCACTTCCCAGTCAGGGTGGCTGGGCAGAGGCGCTCCTCACTTCCCAGACGGGGCGGCACAGCCAAAATTCTGAGATGTTAAGATGTACGAAAATGTATACTTTAGAATAAAAGGTACAGAGTTGTGTGTCTGTGTTTACTTATAGTATATATCATAGGTGGGGCATTTAAAAAGTTTGGAAAAATTATTCTAGATATCTTTCTCTTTTTTTTGAGATGGAGTTTCACTCTTGTCACCCGGGCTGGAGTGCAATGGCACGATCTTGGCTTACTGCAACCTCCACCTCCTGGGTTCAAGTGATTCTCCTGCCTCAGCCTCCCGAGTAGCTGGGATTACAGGCGCCTGCCATCACGCCCAGCTAATTTTTGTAGTTTTAGTAGAGGTGGGGTTTCACCATGTTGGCTAGGCTGGTCTTGAACTTCTGACCTCAGGTGATCCACCTGCCTCAGCCTCCCAAAGTGCTGGGATTACAGGCGTGAGCCACTGCGACCAGATATCTTAAAGATAAGCCCAGACTTTGTATTTCTGATTATTCGATCCCAAATGCCCAAATAACTCTGTGAGTTATTCCAGTTACTCACAGAGGTTCATAATTCACTTATCTCCCCTTCCCTGTTTGGCTTAAGTAAAGGAATCTCACATCAAAACAGGCAAATGTGGCGTGACCAATTTAAGATAAATATTTGATGTAAACACTGCACATTTTAAACAAGATGCATTATAGGTGATTGGGGGTTTTACATGGTGGAAAAGAAAACATATTTTGGCTACTTGGGATTAATTGAAATGGACCTTTGGAAGACTTAAGTGCCCTTAAATAATGAGACTGCTTGGAGACTGTACTTTCTCATCTGACATCACATCTTCCAAGGTTACAATTAAGGGCAGCGCTTTTCCTTAGTGCAGGCAAAGGCAAACTTATATTTCAGGTTTTGGGGGCCATATAGTCTCTATCGCAAGTATTTGACTTTCTGATGAAGCTGGAAAGCAGCTGTAGACAGTATATGTGAATGAATGTGGCTAAGTCCCGATAAAGCTTTACTTACAAACACTGAATTTTGAATTTCATATGATTTTCACATGTCGCAAAACATTTTTCTTTTGAATTTTTTTTTCCTTCAACCATGAAATGACATTTAAAAACTTCTTAGCTCCCAGGCCATACAATAAAATGGTGACAGGCCCTATTTGGCCCACATAGTTTACCAACCCCAGCCTTACTAGAAATTTAGGCTGAGTTTTCTAGGCAACTGTAGGACAGCTATCTGAAACATTCCAGATTGTTCAGTAGCCCCTGCTTTTGGCTTGGATAGATCTGAATTGAACTATTCCCTCCTGCAGGAGGGCCGGCAAACAGGAGTACCTAATCTTTGTTTTTTTGTTGTTGTTTTTGTTTTTGTTTTTGAGACAGAGTCTTGCTCTGTTGCCCAGGCTGGAGTGCACTGGCGCGATCTCAGCTCACTACAAGCTCCGCCTCTTGGGTTCAAGCATTTCTCCTGCCTCAGCCTCCAGAGTAGTTGGGACTACAGGCGCCCGCCACCACGCCTAGCTAATTTTTGTATTTTTAGTAGAGACGGAGTTTCACCATATTGGCCAGGCTGGTTTCTAACTCCTGACCTTGTGATCTGCCCGCCTCAGCCTCCCAAAGTGCTGGGACTACAGGCGTGAGCCACCGCGCCTGGCCTAATCTTTGGGGTTTTTGTAAGGATATCTTTTTCCTGCAGAAGTTTTAGTGCTCCCTTATATAATATCTTTTTTTTTTTAAAGACAGAGTCTCACGCTCTCACCCAGGCTGGAGTGTGGTGGTGCAAACTTGGCTTACTGCAACCTCCACCTCCTGGGTTCAAGCAATTCCCATGCCTCAGCCTCCTCAGTAGCTGGGACTACAGGCATATGCCATCACACTTGGCTAAATTTTATATTTTGTATTTAGAGACAAGGTTTCATTATCTTGGCCAGGCTGGTCTCTACCTTTTGACCTCAAGCAATTCTCCCGGCTCTGCCTCCCAAAGTGTTAGGATTACAGGCGTGAGCCACCGCGCCCGCCCTTACGTAATATCTGAATTAAAATTTACATTTGGCCGGGCCATCCGAGACCATCCTGGCCAACATGGTGAAACCCCGTCTCTACTAAAATACAAAAAATTAGCTGGCTATGGTGGTGTGTGCCTGTAGTCCCAGCTACTCAGGAGGCTGAGGCAGGGGAATCACTTGATCCTGGGGGGCAGAGATTGCAGTGAGCCAAGATTGCGCCATTGGACTGAGACTCCGTCTCAAACCCACAAAAAACAAAACAACACAACAACAAAAACCCAAAACTTATATTTAACAAACTATAGTGGAAAATAAATAAATCATTTGCTGGCCAGGCACAGTGGCTCACACCTGTAATCCCAGCGTTTGGGGAGGCTGAAGCGAGCAGGTCACCTGAGGTTAGGAGTTTGAGAGACCAGCCTGGCCAACACGGTGAAACTCTGTCTCTACTAGAAATACAAAAATTAGCCAGGTGTGGTGGCAGGTGCATGTAATCCCAGCTACTTGGGAGGCCGAGGCAGGAGAATGCCTTGAACCCAGGAGACAGAGGTTGCATGAGCCAAGATTGCAGCATTGCACTCCAGCCTGGGGCAACAAGAGCGAAACTCCATCTCAAATAAATAAATAAATAAATAAATAAATAAATAAATCATTTGCTTACAAAACAGTTGCTAAAGTCTTGAAGAATAGTAGCTGAAGCTGTTATTTATATAGAATGTTACCTGCTGTCATTTATACAAAGATCCATTCTATAAATTCCTATTTTAGTTTACTACCAGAAAAGAAACTGACATCTCCTCTTTCCCTTTTTGTCTATCTGTGTATATGTAGAAATAAAAACCTTATAACCCAATAAATTTCCATTTTGCCTTATTTCTGGGTGATTTTAACACTCAGTTGTCTTATTTTGCGTGATGATTTTTGGGGGTGGGGGGAGCAGGATGGGGAGAGGGGGGTCTCTGTCATACTGGCTGGAGTGCAGTGGCATGATCATGACTCATTGCAGCCTCAACCCTCCAGGGCTCAAGTGATCCTCCTACCCCAGTCTCCCAAGTAGCTGGGATTACATGCACGTACCACCACACCCAGCTAATTTTTCTTTTTTGTTGTTGTTGAGATGGGGTCTTGCTATGTTGCCTAGGCTGGTCCTGAACTCCTGGGCTTAAACGATCTGCCTGCCTTGGCCTCCCAAAGTGCTGGGATTACAAATGTGAGCTTCTGCATCCCGCCAATGCTGTTCTAATGCTAGAACTCATTTCACAAGCAAAGAAGTTCAGCAGTGAGCTCATGCTTGTGGAATTCATTGGTGTTAACATGTTCCCACCATCCTGAAACAGCTTGCATCCTAGGTCTGTAGTTTCCATTGGGGTTTTGGGTACTTCTAGATTACGTCTCATTGTGGAGGTGGGGTTTCACAAGACTGGAAGACTTCTGTATGAAAACATGTCAGCTCCAAGGCAATGACTTCAAACAGCATGGTACTCCCCCTTGCTTTACTTAGTGTCTATACTGCACGTGTTCAGGCCCTACTTCCTTGTGTTGAAAGTCGCCTCTTTGACAAGTTGGGTTGTTTCCCAGGCCTTTGCAGAAGCTCATAGGTAAAAGCTTGCAACTCATCTGCCAGCTGGGAAGGCCGAAGGAATGGGTAGTCTTTGCCTGCCCACATCCTCAGGCTGAAAGCTTCCCCATGATGACTGACTTCCTCTTTCCATTTTGACTGCCATGATTATCTTTTTATTTTTAAAATGTTGCTTTTAACACCATATTGCACACACATCCCTAAAAATCATAGAATCAAAAGGTTTTTTAATCGTCCCGTCACTCCCTCCCCCATCCTCCACTTTTTCACCCCAGCAGAAAGCACCCTCAACTCTTTCACTCATTTCTTCTGTACTTACCTTCATATTTAAAAGTAATAGTCTGCTTTGCTAGTTGCTGATGATCAATGTGAGATGCCTTTTGAATAGGATGTAACTCTCACTCTTCCATTTTCTCCGCTGCTTTATCCTCCTCGTGTAGTTTCATCACATTTTGCCTGCATCATCAGCTAGTGTTTACTTTGCCTTTGCGAATTTATGATATTGTTCAGTGCAGAGTTCTGTAGTGTACATTCCCTTTCTCATACAACTCTTGATTTTCCCAAACTAACACTTGCTTTGTTTTTTTTTGATCCTAAGTTGTTTTTTTTTTTAAACTTTTACCTAGTCCCAGGCTTTTCTAAGTGGCTATCAAACCTGTCAGTTTATTAATATTAACTATTAATAATGCTATTTTCCAAAGGTTTGATTCTATAAGACACTTCATCAGTTCTCTTTCCTGAGACTTCTCCTCACCCCGTTCCAGGCCAGACAAGGGGCCACACAGTTGTCATCTGGGCATTGATTTCCTTATAGCTTTACCTCACCCTTCTTAGGACCTTGAACAGACTTATGGTGCAATTACCTTGTGCTTTATACTGCCCCCACACCCAGTGTTAGACCTCAAAATCTCCAAGGATGGTTCTTTGAGGGTCTCATGGAAGCTCTAGACACCCTCCCCAGGAAAATAAACACATAGATGGAAAATTTGGCCTGCAATTTCAGGGGACTGGTAGATCCTTGCAGTCCCTTTGTGGATCCCCAAGAACCCATGATCACAATCAGCATATCTTTTTTTTTCTTTCTTTTCTCTTTTCCTTCCTTTTCCTTTTCCCCCCCCTTCCACTCCCCTCCCCTCCCCTCCCCTCCCCTCCCCTCCCCTTCCCTTCGACAGGGTCTTGCTCTGTCACCCAGGTTGGAGTGCAGTGGTACGATCGTGTTTCACTGCAGCCTCAACTCCTTGGGCTCAGTCTTCCCACCTTAGCCTCCTAAGGCTAATTTTTGTATTTTTTGTAGAGACAGGGTCTTGCTATGTTGTCCACACTGTTCTGGAACTCCTGAGGTCAAGCAATCCTCCTGCTTTGGCTTCCAAAAGTGTTGGAGTTACAGGTGTGAGCCACCGCACCAACACAATCATATCTTTTAACGTTTTGTGATATATTTTTATGAATGTCTGAAGACCCTTGTGTAATTTATACTTCATATTTTGGGAAATGTAATGCTAGCAACAGTAGAATTCTAAATAAGCCTATAGTGACTTAACTAATATTACAGTAAAAGTTCAGTTCTAACCAGAGTATCCAATTTTTTTTTTTTTTTTTTGAGATGGAGTTTCGCTCTTGTTGCCCAGGCTGGAGTGCAATGCGCGATCTCAGCTCACCACAGCCACCGCCTCCCGGGTTCAAGCAATCCTACTGCGTCAGCCTCCCGAGTAGCTGGGATTACAGGCATGCGCCACCACGCCCAGCTAACTTTGTATTTTTAGTAGAAACGGGGTTTCTCCATGTTAGTCAGGCTGGTCTTGAACTCTCGACCTCAGGTGATCTGCCCACCTCAGTCTCCCAGAGTACTGGAATTACAGGCGTGAGCCACTGTGTCAGGCCTAAATATTTTCTATTTTTACCAATAAATAGTTCTTCCCTCCTGAGCATTTTGTTATTTATTATTATTTGATGGAGTGCATTCATTTTTCCCAAAAATATTTTAAAATTTAAATAGAGATGGAGTCTTGCTATTTTGCCCAGGGTAGTCTGGAACTCATGGGTTCAAACATAGACCCACCTCACTCAACTTCCCAGACTGTTGGGATTATAGGCATGAGCTACTGTACCCAGCCAGTTTCCCCAAATTATTAATGTCTTGTGGATTTTTGCCTAGTTGGAATCACTTTTATTCTAGGATGTCAGATTTTGCAACCTTTGATTTATTTCTCCCCCCAACTGTTCTATATGTTGATGTAGCTGAGAAGAATGAAGTTACCTCTGGTAACACTCTGAATCTTTGTTAAGTTGAATTGAAATGAATGATGAGTTTCTTTCCCACATGTTATGTAGGCTGTCACCTAGCATGACAACTTCAATAGAAGAGACATTATATATAGATAGAGAGCAGTCTTCCTAATGAACTTCTGAGGTCATTAGCAAGAGGGATTTTTCCTTTTGTGTGGAAGAGAGTTCCACTGTCATTCAGCCATTCCGTAGCTGAACTCATGTTAAAACCAACTGGAAGAAACTGAACTTAGATTAGAATTTGGTTGTATTAAGCATTGCTTGACCTAAAGCAGTCTGTGGTTGCGGTTTTAAACTCTTGAGTATGTTTATCTAGGTGCTCCTTGAGTAGCTGCTGCTTGTCAGGAAGTGACTTCAGAAATAGGACATGACCTATATTCTTAGTTCTCAGAGATTATTTTTGGTCATTCATTGTGAATGGTTAAGTTTTTAAAACAAAAAGAGTGGTTTTAACTAACACCAGCTTCCACAAATGTCAAAATAATAGAGTTGTCACCAGTTTTGTTCTATGGCATCTTGATGGGCACATCCCATGTTCATTGATCTCCTATAGTTATTTTCTCAGATTTTAGTATACTTGACTGATCCTTGTAGAAAAGAAAAATAGCAAGTGTTTGTAGTGAATATACTGCAGTAGAAACTGTGGCAATGCTTCCTTCACCAACCCTTCTAATAATATCAGCATCACTTAGATACAAAGATGATGCTGCCCCTACAAGGATTTAAAACTAGTCCCACGTGGAGAACCTTTGAAAGTAGTCCAAAGGCGTCATCTGGAGAATATTTTGCAATCAGTATTTAGTATGTGTTGAAGGAAAAGTGAAAACAAGGGAGGGTGTCAGAAACTTTAATGAAAGGAGAAATTCTTCTCCAGGCATCTTAAGCTTTGGATTAAGGGTCCAAGGCAATAGAATATTTGAAAGAAAAGACTATCAAGATATTAAAGTACTGGCTGGGCATGGTGGCTCATGCCTATAATCCCTGTACTTTGGGAGGCTGAGGCAGTCGGATCACCTGAGGGCAGAAGTTCTGGACCAGCCTGGCCAACGTGGCAAAACCCCATCACTACTAAAACTAAAAATTAGCCGGGTGTAGTGGCGCATGTCTGTAATCCCAGCTACTTGGGAGGCTGAGGCAGGAGAATCGCTTGAACCCAGGAGGTGGAGGTTGCACTCAGCCGAGATCGCGCCACTGCACTCCAGCCTGGGTGACAGAGCAAGACTCTCTCGAAACAAAACAAAACCAAAGATTTAAAATGTTGATTTAAAATGAAACTTTAAAACGAGTTTGAAGATGAATAATAAGAAATAGTGACAGACCGCCAAATGTAATGTGAAAGTTTTATTTTGACAAAAGGCAGATTTGCAGCACCATTTTTTTTTTCAAGAATATCTTATGTTAATCTTCTGTGAACATTTTGGAGATTTTGATTTGAATATTGTGTTTTGCCTAGAAAAAAAAATGGTGGGTGTGATAGCTGATTTTTACCTTTTAAGTAGCTCTACAGGTCGGCCACAGTGGCTCATGCCTGTAATCCCAACACTTTGGGAGGCTGAAGTGGGAGGATCACTTGAGGCCAAGAGTTCTACACCAGCCTGGGCAACGTGGCAAGACCCCATCTCTATGTTTTAAACATTTAAGTAACTCTACTGTGTTTTAGGATAATTTATCTAAAGATAAGTATATGAATCAGTTAATTGTTTAATGCAGTGGTGGGGCATTGTGGTGAAGCTCAGTCTTGCTAAAATTAATATTTCTGGTGCGGTCACAGCTGTTTCCACTTGTTATAAGTTGCTGTATCTAATGCACACACACGTATGTGCGCTGGGGGCTCAGTCCTAAAGTCAAATATGCACACGCAGAGAAGACAGCTGTTGCTTTGTTTTAGAGAATACTTTTTTCTTCCCGCAGCTCAAGCTGACACTTTTGGAATTGCTAGTGGAGATGCTGTTGTTAGATACTGGCTAGAACTTGTCAAGGTCGACCATGAGGCTCTCTTCATGTGCTGACCTGTGCCTATCTTTCCAACTTCATCTCTGCAACATTCTCCCTTCAGTGTTCACTGTAGCAAACACCTTGCAGTTCCCAGAAAGTGCCCTGTGTCCTGCTTTCCTCTTAACTCCCTACTGGAATGTCATCCTCTTTACTGCACACCTGGTCATCCTACTGAGAGGCCTTCCTTGACTCCCTAGCCTAAATTGGTTGTCCTTGTCTGTTCTTTCCTAACTTGTCTGCATCCACACATTGCTCATGTTGAGTTTTACCTGTGTCTGCCTTCTGCTAGATTGCAGGCCCCTGAACAGACAGTGACATGTTTTCAGGTTCAAGTCGCTGTGACTGAGTTCCCTGGACACCTAGGTGCTCAGTGGGTGCTGGTTTGTTGGACTTAGTTTCCTGCTGTGCTTCCTTACCTCAGGCATGTGTTCTGTACTGAGTGTATCTTGCCTACTCCATTCCTTTTCCACGTGGGCAACGCTGAACATTTGCCCCAGACTCTGTATCTTGGTTAATACCTGACATATAAAGTATTTAGCACATAGGCAAAGATCACTACCTCTTTCAGGAACAAAGGCCGGCTGGCGGGTGCGACTCTGGCGCATTGCCTTTGCCTGTGTGTTGCTGGCCAGTTATCGGCTTCTTGCATCACAGCTCCAGAGTCCCATTTAGCTTGACATGGGCTGGGCCTTGCAGATACTCCTCCTTCACCTCCTGACCCTGTTCAGCCAGGCCAGTAGGGGGCACTGGAGGAGGAAAGCCGCCACCCCCCCTCCTCCACCCCCCTGCCCGCCTGCCCGCCCCCGGTTCCTGTGTGTTTCTGCAGTGTTCAGATCTTGCTGGCAGTGCTCCCCAGGGCCCAGTGCGAGCGGAGACAGCGGTGGCAGCGCCTCTCAGGCGGTTTCCAGAGCGGGCCGTGGCTCCCGGGAACGGCTTCCCGCAGGTGATTCTGTGCACACTGGCCTCTACCTGGTTCAGCGGGAAGCCTCTCCACTGTCCAATGGGCTTCAGCCACACCCTCCCTAGCCGTGTCTCAGCCCAGCCTTGGGGACCTCTGTTCTAGCTTGTTCCGTCCCTGAGTGCCGTACTTCAATCTTCTTATCCATTAGTGCTCTTTCCCCGCCATGAGTCAGTTCCCGGTTCCTCAGTCTCCTGTTAATAATTCTTCATGAAACTATATTCACATCACTGTGTGGCTTCTGTGTTCTGACTGGACCCTAGCCAGTACAGGTGCCCTCTGCCTAGGCAGCTGAAGGAACCATACAGGCTTTTCGGGGGCCGGCCTAAGTGGCACCTCCGTCACTCCGCAAACATCTGAGTTCCTGCTGTCGGATAGGCACTGGCCCACCCTCGAGGAAGTGAGACCTGGCTTCAGCCCCACAGGAGCTCCAAGACTGGGAGGAGAGAAGTAATGAAGTGTGTAGAGCTGGAGAGGAGGGGTGTGTGTGTGTGTGTGTGTGTGTTTGGGAGAGTGCAATGTGACAAAAACTTAACAAAATTTTAGTGTGGTTCTAGTAGGAGCTAAAGGGACAGATAAATGAAAATTAACAAAATTGATGAATACCACTTTAAGCATAAGTGATATCCCTGATAGAAAATCTAACCAAGTGTGGTTTTGTTTGTGAATAGTCTTTCCCTTTCCACAAATCACTTGAGGTGGGTGAGGTTTTGTTTTGTCTTCTCATCTCTGAACTCCTAAAGGGCAGGGACTGTCTTTTGTCTCAATTATCTTATACTCACAATGACTATTACATACTAGATGCATAATAAATGTTAGTTTACTGAATGAAGGGTGATATAACTATTCTGTATTCCATTTTCTACTCCAAGAAAGCCGAAATCAGCCAGTGTATAGACCGCCAACTCTGAGGTATCCTTATTTCATAGACATGGAAACTGATGTTAAGGAACTTACCCAAGGCTACGCTGATAAAATGTGACTGACCCAGGCTTTGAATCCAGGCTGATACCAAAAGCTTGGCGTTTTCACTGCACTTTGCAGTTCTCACCATGAGTGGTTACTGTAGTCAATCAAGTGCCTGCCCTATTTGTGTGTGCACATGGACACACTCACCTAGGGGTCTTTTTTCCTCTTCAGAGCCATCACCATTTCTTTTAGAGTCACCGACCTCTGGCCATCCAGCTACACATGGACAGGGTTAGAAAAACTCAAGGCTTGAGAGTCGCTCTCCATTTGCTCCTTTAAGGATTCAAAAAGTCTTTTAATGAAGTGTATCCACTTGCTAGAAAATTGAACTTGGTACAAGTTGTGGAACATGTTTAGTTGCATAAAAGTTCAGTAAAAGCTAAACCTCGGGGAACGTGTGTGCTCTTCAAACATTAACTCTTGCCGTCCCTCTTTCTTCTCAGGTGCTGCTACCCCCGTATGATGATGCCACTGTGAATGGTGCTGCCAAGGAGCCACCGCCACCTTACGTGTCTGCCTAAGCCTTCAAGTGGGCGGAGCTGAGGGCAGCAGCTTGACTTTGCAGACATCTGAGCAATAGTTCTGTTATTTCACTTTTGCCATGAGCCTCTCTGAGCTTGTTTGTTGCTGAAATGCTACTTTTTAAAATTTAGATGTTAGATTGAAAACTGTAGTTTTCAACATATGCTTTGCTGGAACACTGTGATAGATTAACTGTAGAATTCTTCCTGTACGATTGGGGATATAATGGGCTTCACTAACCTTCCCTAGGCATTGAAACTTCCCCCAAATCTGATGGACCTAGAAGTCTGCTTTTGTACCTGCTGGGCCCCAAAGTTGGGCATTTTTCTCTCTGTTCCCTCTCTTTTGAAAATGTAAAATAAAACCAAAAATAGACAACTTTTTCTTCAGCCATTCCAGCATAGAGAACAAAACCTTATGGAAACAGGAATGTCAATTGTGTAATCATTGTTCTAATTAGGTAAATAGAAGTCCTTATGTATGTGTTACAAGAATTTCCCCCACAACATCCTTTATGACTGAAGTTCAATGACAGTTTGTGTTTGGTGGTAAAGGATTTTCTCCATGGCCTGAATTAAGACCATTAGAAAGCACCAGGCCGTGGGAGCAGTGACCATCTGCTGACTGTTCTTGTGGATCTTGTGTCCAGGGACATGGGGTGACATGCCTCGTATGTGTTAGAGGGTGGAATGGATGTGTTTGGCGCTGCATGGGATCTGGTGCCCCTCTTCTCCTGGATTCACATCCCCACCCAGGGCCCGCTTTTACTAAGTGTTCTGCCCTAGATTGGTTCAAGGAGGTCATCCAACTGACTTTATCAAGTGGAATTGGGATATATTTGATATACTTCTGCCTAACAACATGGAAAAGGGTTTTCTTTTCCCTGCAAGCTACATCCTACTGCTTTGAACTTCCAAGTATGTCTAGTCACCTTTTAAAATGTAAACATTTTCAGAAAAATGAGGATTGCCTTCCTTGTATGCGCTTTTTACCTTGACTACCTGAATTGCAAGGGATTTTTATATATTCATATGTTACAAAGTCAGCAACTCTCCTGTTGGTTCATTATTGAATGTGCTGTAAATTAAGTTGTTTGCAATTAAAACAAGGTTTGCCCACATCCAAGATGACCTTGTGATTTTGTGCTGATTGTGTCTGAGGACCTTTCCCTCCACATATGGTCTGGCAGATGCACCCAGTTCAGCCTAAGGAGTAGGCTTTTTTTTGGGGGGGGGAGGTCGGGTGGGGGGGATTTTTAATCTTTTAATTTTCAAGATGGTTAAAATATTGAAATGTTTAAGTGGATAACTATATTATTCATAAAATGACTGAGTGAAAACTAATACACTATGAGATGAAAAGTACTTGTCAGGGATTTTCAAGCTTTTGCTCAAGTAATTACTATGAAATAACAATTTCTAGAAATGAAGAACAATCCGTGGAGAATAAATTACCATTGGTGTGGGGGAAAAAAGCCAAACAGAAGTAGAAAAAGGTGTAGCCGGCATACAAATGTTATCTACAGTGTATTTTTAGATTTTTTATACTTGACCAGGTCTCTTATGTCCTTTTTCTGGAAAACTGTTTTTAACTACTAAAGTGATTATAAATGAAAAAGTGGCCAGTAAAGTGACTACTATCTTCAGGGCTTTAAACCAGTTGGGATAATGTGGTAAGAGAAAAAGTTGAAGGTGTAATGCTACCCGCATACCCATTATTACTGTGACTATGGCTTCACTAAGTCTTTCAGAAATAAGAAGGCAAACCATGAAAAGAAAAGAGGAGCTGTACTGCTAGCTAAATTAAGGTAGTCTGGTTTGGCTGGACTACCTTCTGGTAGAGCAAAACCGCATCTGATCCCACCCAAGAAAGATGGAAACTGGCTCCATAAGCCATCTGAGTAAAAGCTAATATGGGAATATAAGTTTTTGTCATCAGCATGACCAGTGGTGGGGCAACGAAGGGGATTAGTCCTGCCAGAGTTACATATAATGCTGGCTTTGGGCTGTCAGTTAGGTAAGTGATGGTGCTTGGTGGCCTGGCTGGAAGTGCTTGCTTCTGCTTCTTTTTAAAGCTGCAGGGGGATGTATGATAGCACTGTGTCTTGCTCATATGCACTGGAAATGATGAGGAAAGCCAAGGCCTTGGAAATGGGGAAAAGTTCTGGAGAGACATCTTGAGAGAAAGTATATTTGTTCTGCTGGTTCTTAGTCCCACTGGGAAAGAGTACTTCAGCATCTTTGAAGATGCTTGAGAAAACTTCTGGATGAAGCGAAGCATACTGGGCCCTATTGAAAGTCTTGTTCAGGAAGATGCCAGGCAGTTCTGATTAACATGTTGTTACAGCTAAGCGGAGACACTGAATCAGGGGCATGTTTCCTTGGTGCCTCCCATCCCAACCTGCACCTGTGGCGACTTTGAGACTTTCCAGCATTGCACGGAGAGCAGGAGTAGGCTTTATGGCTTGTTTTACACACAGTGTTTTTAATATCCCAGTCCTGATAAAATCAGCGTTTTAGGCCAAGAGGAATGGGGGACAAACAGACTCGAGCTTCCAACATTCCTAACCATGCATTCAGTTGTTTTGCATATGGTTGCTTTATGTCCATTGTGTACTTTTAATAAGCAGTTAAGATTTTTGCTACATTCCAAGGGTGATTAAGAGAGGAAGGAAGGGGGATTTTTATCCCAAAGAATCAGTTATTTCTTTTGGTGTATCTCATTGGCATTCTTTATAAACTCTACCTAAGTAATTCTGTTTCTTGAAGCTTTATGTCTAGAAGACTGACACAAAGTTAAACACATGGGTTACTAGAAATGGAGAGGGCACCAGGGGCAGTGGCTCATGCCTATAATCCCAGCACCTTGGAAGAAGGAGACAGGAGGATCGCTTGAGCTCAGAAGTTAGAGACCAGCCTGGGCAACATAGTGAGACTTCATCTCTGTGCAAAATTTAAAAATTAGCTGGGCACGATGGCATGTGCCTGTGGTCCCAGCTACTCAGGAGGCTGAGATGGAAAGATAACTTGAGCCCAGGAGGTTGAGGCTGCAGTGAACTGTGGCCGTGATTATGCTACTTGCACTTCAGCCTGAAGGACAGACTGAGACACTGTCTTGAAACAAAAAGAATGGAAAAGCCCTATCAGATAGTTTCATGATCCCTGGGGAAGGGACATAGGAAATCACAGTTAATTGCATGTTGTTCCCCATGATTTTATAGCTCTTTGCCTAATCATTTTTGCAGTATGAAAAATGATACATGGTCAGGCCAGGCACAGTGGCTCATGGCTATAATCCCAACACTTTGGGAGGCCAAAGTGGGTGGATCATCTGAGGTCAGGCGTTCGAGACCAGCCCAGCTGGCCAGCATGGGAAAAGCCCATTTCTACTAAAGACACAAAAATTATCTGGGCATGGTGGTGCACATCTGTAATCTCAGCTACTTGGGAGGCTGAGGCAGGAGAATAATTTGAGCCCAGGAGGTAGAGGTTGCAGTGAGCTGAGATTGCACCACTGCACTCCAGCTTGGGCAACAGAGCCAGACTCCATCTCAGGAAAAAAAAAAAAAAAAAGATGCATGGTCAAATGGAAGGAAGTGCTGATTTTGAGAGTCATAGGGTTCTTGGAGAGAAAACAAGACTGCTGATCTCGTTCATGCAGCACTCAAATAGCATCACAGACTCTTGAGATATCCCTTCGTTCTCAGAGATCCCATATAGTGCTGGTGATGCTGGCTTTTCCTGACTTGTTGCATAACCCAGGCTAAGGTCAAGAGCTGCCTCCATATTTACTTCTGCAAAGTAAGAAATTGTTCCCTTCTTGTCTCCACTATGGGAAGGGTGTGATGTTGGATTAAAATGACCTAGCAGAGCACATTATGTGCCTTAGCAGTTCACTGTATCTTTTTGTCTCATTGCTAATCCAGATAAATGCCTCACTTTTCAATGTATTTCAAATCCATTTTGATATCTAGCCGCTTTCTCCTATTTTGTTGTCCACAGAGAAACAAGCAGTTATTCCTGCAGTTTTTCAAGTCTGTTTGCTGGGGTAGAAGGAAGAGGAAAACATACACACCCTTTGACTTAAATTGTGGTCTGTCCACCCTAGAAACAGCTTCCGTTGAACAAGCTAGTCAGATTTCCAGGATGCCAACTTATGTAAAAGAGGCTTAAGGCCAATAGTCCCTCTCCTTCCTGCACCCTCTTCCTACATGAATACTACATGCGGCAGCTCCTCCAGAGTCTGATATCCTTGTTCCTGCCCCCTTCCTTTCCATCCTCAAGAATGCAAGAAATGGCCAGGCGCGGTGACTCACACCTGTAATCTCAGCACTTTAGGAGGCCGAGGTAGGCGAATCATTTGAGGTCAGGAGTTTGAGACCAGCCTGGCCAACATGGTGAAACCTGTCTCTACTAAAAATAGAAAAATTAGCTGGGCGTGGTGGCACGCACCTGCAATCCCAGCTACTCGGGAGGCTGAGGCATGAGAATCACTTCAGCCAGGGAGGCTGAAGTTGCAGTGAGCCAAGATTGTGCCACTTCACTCCAGCCTGGGCTCGAACAAATAGAAAGGAAAGGAAAGGAGGGAGGGAGGGAGGGAGGGAAAGAAACTTCCCCTACTCTGAGCCTTTTTGCCCCCTCCCCGTTTTTTATGGGGGGGGGAGGAGGAGGAGGGGGGAAAGAAGAAGAGAGAGAGAAAGAAAAGGGAGAGAGGGAGGGAAAAGGAAGAAAGAAATTTCTCCTACTCCAAGCCTTTCCAAGCCTTTCCGCCCCCTTCCTATTTTTTACTCTACCCCTAAACATATTTGTGTAGTTTGACTGCTTAACCAAACCACATCTCATTCCATTTGTCTTTCCTCTACCCTCAGTTCATTAACCAACAATACTGATTATGGATGATCTCAATAGACCATCTGTATAAACTGTAACCATTAAAGTTTTCTCCATAGAGGGATGTATTGTATTTGAAGTATTCATCATTTGAGGAAAATCTTGCTGTGCGAAGTGAGCATTTTTTTGTGACAGAGGAAAACTAATGAGACTATAGAAACATGTACTTTCTGTCTTTGTTTTTTATAGATGTGTTTAGGTTTTACAGCCAGTCTGGAAACTGACTTAAATATCATTAAACTGCATTGGTGCTGGTCATGTGGGCAGTCTGGAGTTCTGGAGGGGACAGAGCAGGTGTCTTTGCCAAGGTGTTGAAAGAGCAACTCATGCAAAAGAACTGCCAGCAGAAAGTGCAGGCTAAGGCTTTTCAAGGCTCCCCCTTCAGGCCTAACAAACACCAAAAATAGTGCCCATGGCCCATATAAAAGGGGCGTTTGGCAGCTCAGATACATGTTTTAAAGGGGAAGGAAAAAGAAGGCATTACAAGGATGTCTCCACACCCATGGAATCACTTAAAGTGTTTCTGCACACTGGCCAAGTTTTCTGCTAAATGGCTCATAGTGTATGGAAACCAGCCAGATCTGCAACCTTCTGCCCAGAAGCCCATGCAGGCCTTCTGCCAACTAGAGTACTAAGACAGCAGGCGAGAAGCTGTCGGTTGGCCAACCCAGAAAAAGTTAGTCTTAGCACCATATACCCATCTATGTGACCCTTACCAGCAAGAGCAGCTGCTGCTGTAGAATGAAGAATTTGGCTTAAAACAGCACAACAGACTCAAGTTTTGTTTTATTCCACCTAAAACTTAGATATGCTTTAAAAACAACAACAACAACAAAAAAGTTTATTTAAACAAGATGCTTGGCTTGAAGGGAAAACGAAAACTATCTAGGATTCTTTTTTTTAGAGTAATTTATCCCTACTTAAAGACAGATTGCCCTACATGTAACAGCTACATACAAGAAAGTTATAAAATTGTCATTGGTTTTACAATTAAAATTCTCCAGTTGAACAAGGTATGCAGGATTTTTGTGTTTTTGTTGTTTAAACAAGAACAAAATAACTTGCAGGAATATAAAGAGTTGAATGAGCATGCCACAGTGGAGAAAGGGTATTTTCACAGAAACAATATTTTTCCCCATCCCATTTCCACTTGATGTCAATCAAAACATAGCGGCTGTTCAGTTTTTAAAAAACGCAACAGGTGGGACGTGGTGTCTCATGCCCATAATGCCCGCACTTTGGGAGGTGGGTGGATCACTTGAGCTTGGGAGTTCGAGACTAGCTTAGGCAATATGACGAAACCTTGTCTCTACAAAAAGTACAAAAAAATTTAGCCGGTTATGGTGGACAGCCTTTAGTCCCAGCTACTCAGGAGCCTGAGCTGGGAGAATTGCTTGAGCCTTGGAGGTGGAGGTTGCAGTGAGCTAAGATTGTGCCATTGCACTCCAGCCTGGGTGACAGAGTGAGACCCTGTCTCAAAAAGAAAAAAATGAACGTGCTTGTGCACACGTAGCAATTACTTCATGTACAGTAAAGGAATGGGGAAGGGGGAAATGAAGGAATAGAGAAACCTATACTGTAGTAGTCAGGATGTGGTGGAACCACATTGCAGTTTCCTAATTGGGAATATAATCTTGGTCTCTAAGAACAGAGTTCTGGAGTAAAGAAGCAGGTTCCCTTTCCAGTAGACACCTCCTGTCTGCTGCTGCAACACATCAATTGTATCTTCATCCTCCTTTTCCAACTGTGCAAGTGTGTCTGTTTCACTGGTGCCTATCAAATTGGAGTCTGATCTGCCTCATTGACAAACCCTGTCCTTCACAATAGGCTCCCGTTAGTTTACTAAGGTGTATGCCTCTTTCCTTTTTGTTTTCTGTTTTTTGGGGTGTTTTTTTTTTTTTTTTGAGACAGATTCTCTATCACCCAGGATGGAATGCAGTGGCACGATCTCAGCTCGTTGCAACCTCCGCCTCCCAGGTTTAGGCGATTCTCGTGCCTCAGCCTTCCGAGTAGCTGGGATTACAGATGCGCACCACCACGCCCGGCTAATTTTTGTATTTTTAGTAGAGACAGGGTTTCGCCATGTTGGCCAGGCTTGTCTCGAACTCCTGGCCTCAAGTGAACTGGCCACTTTGGCCTCCCAAAGTGCTGGGATTATAGCATGAGAAACTGCACCTGGCCTAGTTTACTAAGTGGTGTATGCCTCTTAAACTGCACCACAGGCCAAGTGCAGTGTTTTTTTTGTTTGTTTGTTTTTGTTTTTTGAGACAGAGTCTTGCCCTGTCACCCAGGCTGGAGTGCAATGGCACAATCTAGGCTCACTGCAACCTCCACCTCCCAGGTTCAAGCGATTCTCCTGCCTCAGCTTCCTGAGTAGCTGGGATTACAGGCACCTGCTATCACACCTGGCTAATTTTTGTATTTTTAGTAGAGATGGGGTTTCACCATGCTGGCCAGGCTGGTCTCGAACTGCTGACGTCAGATGATCCGTCCGCCTTGGCCTCCCAAAGTGCTGGGATTACAGGCATGAGCCACCACGCCCGGCCCTGTCTTGACTCTTTCCTTGGGCTTTTCGTTGGCCATGGCCAGCATCTCCTCAGCTGCTGTTTCACAAAAGAGGTATCAGGTCTGCACCAAACCAGGAGCAGCAGAAGTAGATACAGCTTGTTTTGTTTGTTTGTTTTTTTGAGCTGGAGTCTGCTGTGTCTCCAGGCTGGCGTGCAGTGACATGATCTCAGCTCACTGCAACCTCTGCCTCCCAGGTTCAAGCAATTCTCCTGTCTCAGCCCCCTGAGTAGCTGAGAGTACAGGCATGCGCCACCACGCCCAGCTAATTTTTGTATTTTTAGTAGAGACGAAGCTTCACTATGTTGGCCAGGATGGTCTTGATCTCTTGACCTCATGATCCACCTGCCTTGGCCTCCCAAAGTGCTGGGATTACAGTGAGCCTGGCCTTTTTTTTTTTTTTTTTTAATCATTATAATAGTGTAAACACAATTTTTATTAAGATGGAAACCTCTTAACCCAGGAAATAAAAATTATATATCCCTTGATGTATGTCAACATGTAGCAGGTATATTTCTTCAATAGAGCAAAGGTAGTTTTGTGAGGAACTGTGATTAAGGGTAGGATGCACATAGTTCACCAGCAATGAGGGTTGGAGCCGCGTTTCTCTAAGGAAAGGCTAGGATTGAGTGTGGCATCATCTTGGCTGCTACTTACTAGTCACAGGTCTGGGCTGCGGTGTCTCAGCCCCTGCTATCCAAGTGACACGTTCCAATTTCTGGGCTCCTAGATGGGGATGTCCAAGCTAGGCCTACTCAGGGGCAGATGAGTCTTCACCTGTGCCTAAGGAAAGCCCTGGCTCTGGGAAGACAAGGAGCAATGGGTCTGCTGTCTGTGACCAGCAACAGCATAAAGGACCGTGTTGTCTCATGTGGCAGGGACGCCCCTTGCACCCAGTGTGGTGGCCTTTGTGTGATATCCATTTTATTCATTTTAACTAAAGGAATGTATTTCTTTTCTTTTCTCTTTTTTTTTTTTTTTTAATTCAGAGACAGGATCTCACTAAATTGCCCAGGCTGGTCTTGAACTCCTTGGCTCAAGTGATCCTCTGCCTCGGCCTGTTGGGATTATAGGCATGAGCCACCATACCTGGCCAAGGAATGTATTTCAAATTACTCTTTTTCTCTATTTTACTTCACAGGGTGTTCCTTGACTTGTTTTTAACTGTAGGTCTTTATTAAATTTACCTTTCCTATATTTAGTTGCCTTCAGTAAATAATAATAGCAGCTCTAAATCCCAGTCTTCTCTATCTTGACGACCTGTTGACATTTCATATTCATGGTGTCCAAAATGGAAAATTGTCCTCCCTTTTCCCCAGATCTCCTCCTGTTGATTTAATGTGTCTCCGTTGTGTTCCCGTCTTCCTGACTTAAGATCACAGGTCCTCTTCACTTCGCCCCTCTTTCTTTCCCTGTGGCTTCTACCCTTTTATGAGGTAGCATAACATTTACCATTTACTGAGCCCTTCCTGTATGCAGACATGCTTAGATATATTATTAACTCTATCCCCATTTTACAGGTGAGGAAACCGAGGGTTTCAGAGGTAATTAACTGGGCCAAAGTCACCTAGTAAGTGGCAGAGGACTTGAATGCAGATTGAATACATCAAAGTAGGTAATGCATTTCTTTGAGACATCTAGAATTTCAGAATTCTGTACATATAACTTCTTGCTTCTTAACAATCATCAATTTCTACTAATTTGAATTAATACATCCCAAGAAGGAAAGCAGGTTGTGCAAAGCTGTGTAAACTGTAAACTTGGGGTGGATCTTCAACTTGAAGTTCGTGTTAACATAAGTAAAGCTGTCAGTTTCCCATTTAATTAGACTGGAAAATGCTCTGCAAATATCAGCTTTTCATTGTTATAAAGAATGTATTCAGGCAGGAAGAGGGATCAACAGAGGTGGGCCTTTTAGAGTGGTTGTTTTTAAGGGAGCAATTTCCTTTTGAGGAATTGTCCCTGCCCCTGCCCCAGAAAGCCAGTATCGCTGTCTATTTTCACACCTATCCAATAGAGACAGAAAAGAGTAGTCAATTCCCATGGGAGTGTAAGCTTTTTTTTTTTTCCCCTGTTGAAGTTAATGCATTGTATCATCTGTGTCCCTGAGAGTTAAACTTCCTTAAACATCTTAATACAAAATCCAGGTATGAGCTGGGCATCAAGACACATTGCAAACTCATAGGTTTCAATAAAATTACATAAGTAATGGATTGCAAGAAGGAACAGAAAATAAAGCCAATAACATCCTTTTGGTCTCCATCTGAAAATGACTTCCTTCTAGAAGCCTATGGCCTACCAATCTGAGTGGCATTTTTTTTTTTTTTTTTTCTTTTTGAGATGGAGTCTCTCGCTCTGTCGCCCAGGTTGGAGTGCAGTGGCGCGATCTCAGCTCACTGCAACCTCCGCCTCCCCGGTTCAAGTGATCCTCCCACCTCAGCCTCCTGAGTAGCTGGGACCACAGGTGTGCACCACCATGCCCAGCTAATTTTTGAATTTTTAGTAGAGATGGGGTTTTGCCATGTTGGCCAGGCTGGTCTTGAACTCCTGGCCTCAAGTGATCCAACCCCCTTGGCCTCCCAAAGTGCTGGGATTACAGGCGTGAGCCGCTGCGCCTGGCCCTGGGTGGCATTCATTTTATGTTCTTCCATGGCATCCTCAGCATCCCCAATCAAGGTATATCTTCCGCTCTATGGTTACTGCTTTTCTTGTCGATAGTCCCCCAGTAGATTATAAACTCACAGAGAGTCTATGTGTTACTTATTGCTCTGTTCGTGTATGGCACATGTCTGGCAGATAGAAGGAACTCAAAACATATTTACTAGAATAAAATAAAATAAGCACATAAGGAGAATTAAAGCCAGCTGTAATCCCATCCCAGTGACTGCAACAAATTTTTAAAAGCAACTCAGTGGAGCTCAAGTTCCATAGAGACAATTCAGAAGAGCCTACTAGAAAAAAATTCCATTCCACCGGGCGTGGTGGCTCACGCCTATGATCCCAGCACTTTGGGAGGCCGAGGTGGGCAGATCATTTGAGGCCAGGAGTTCGAGACCAGCCTGGCCAACATGGCAAAACCCTGTCTCTACTAAAAATACAAAAATTAGCCAGTCGTGGTGGCACATGCTTGTGGTCCCAGCTACTTGGGTGGCTGAGGTGGGAGAATCACCTGAGCCTGAAAGGTTGACGCTGCAGTGAGTCATCATAATACCACTGCCCTCTAGCCTGGACAGCAGAGTGAGACCCTGTCTCAGAAAAAAAAAAAAAAAAAGAAAAGAAAAAAGAAAAGCAAAAAAAAAAAAAAAAGAAAAAGAAAAGAATTCATTCATTCCTATAGATGATGCAAGGAGACCGCGGGAAGGTCACTGCTCCAGCAACCCTGCCAAAGCCACAGCTGGAGTAGTGTGTACTGGGCTGGGGGGCTTTTAGGGGAGTGTCGACTTTTAGAAGAAAGTTGTAAAGGTGATAACAGCAACACAGTAATAAAAGGATTGCTTTCCGAAGAAAGATTAAAGTCCCGCTAAGATGAGAGGCTACCTAATAGTCTGCCTAAATTTGAAATCAAAAGGAAACCAGCATTCTTAGTTCTTACTATTCTTGTGATCAAGTCCCATTCACGTGAGCTTAATTCAGTAGGAATCTGAATACAAAATTAAATTGCTAGATGTGTCTCCTCTTAGGAGCTTTCTCTTTTCCCTTTCCTAGTAAATCGTTGTTAAAGCAATAAATGACCAAATCTAAGACCTTGGTGGAACCCTGAGACCTTGGATAAATGGGGGGGAATTCTCAACAGCTACTATGCAACTTAAAGATAGTGACCTGTTCACCTACTTCCTGGTCACTTCAGATTTAAATGAAATCCCTGTAAGACCATACATGATAAACCTTGTTTGTCTTTAATCCTTTATAAGAAGATCACAAAATTCCAATAGTAAAAGCAATGTAAATTCCCCTGTGGCAGGTACCATAGACTCAAGCACAGAAATTCCCACTGCAGGCAATTTCTGCAGTGGAAATGAATTTTTTTTTTCTTCAGATACTGTCTCACACTGTCACCCAGGGGAGAGTGGCACGATCACGGCTCACGGCAGCCTCAAACTCCTTGGCTCAAGTGATCCTCCCACCTCAGCCTCTCTGAGTAACTGGGATTACAGACATGCGCCACCATGCCTGGTTAATTTTTTTTTTAATGTTTTATAGAGACAGGAGTCTTGTTATACTGCCCAGGCTGGTCTCTAACTCCTGGCCTCAAGCAATCCTTCCACCTCAACCTTCCAAAGCACTGAGATTACAGGTATGAGTCACTGCACCCGGCCTTCAGACTTTGTTCTTTTTCTTTCAAGATTATTTTGGCTATTAGCATCAACCTGTCAGTTTCTGCAAAGAAGCCTCTGTGATTTCAGTAGGAATTATGTTGAATCTGTAGATCAATTTGGGGATACTGCCATTTTATTAAGTCTTCCAATCCATGAATATGGAATGTCTTTCCATTTGTTTAGATCTTCTGTAATTTCTTTCAATAATGTTTGCAGCTTTTAGAGTATAGAGTTTGCATTTCATTTGCTGAATTTCTTTTCTTTTTTTTCTTTATTTTGAGATGGAGTCTCACTCGGTCACCCAGGTTGGAGTGCAATGACACGATCTTGACTCATTGCAACCTCTGCCTTCCAGGCTCAAGTGATTCTCCTGCCTCAGCCTCCTGAGTAGCTGGGACTGCTGGCTTGTGCCGCCACGCCAGGCTAATTTTGTATTGTTAATAGAGACAGGGTTTTACCATGTTGGCCAGGCTGGTCTCGAACTCCTGACCTCAAGTGATTCACCCACCTCGGCCTCCTAAAGTACTGGGATTACAGGCGTGAGCCACCACACTCGGCCTATTTTTGTTATTCTTGAATCCCCATTTATTGAGCTCTGCCAGCGGGCTGGGGGATTTTATAGAATAGATGCACATAGACATTGCCCAAGTGTCTGGCAAACTGATTTAACACCAGGCATCCCATGCAGACATAGACTCATTAATATCCTTGAGAGAAGGTAGTTAGTTGAGTGTCACAAGGATGAGGCTATCGGCTCCTAATAGCCGACCACTTTGTGCCAATTTCTAGGTTTAGGAATGAAAGCAGCAGCAATCTGTGTTGCTGAGCGATGCTTCCATAAATAGCAGGTCCATCCTCCATTTCCAAAGTGAAACCTAGTCTGCAGGTAGACAGGCAGTGTTTCAGCCTTGTCAGTATCCAAGAAAACAAATCATATTTGTGCTCACTATTGCCTATGCATTAAGGCTCCCCACTTTATTATCTCATTCTTTACATTAATTTTTTTTTTTTTTTTTGTAGAGATGGGGTCTTGCTGTGTTGCCCAAGCCAGGCTCACACTCCTGGGCTCAAGGGATCCTCCTGTCTCAGCTTCTCAAGTAGCTGGGACTACAGCCAACTGCAACTGCCTATTATCTCTCTTTTAAAATCTGAGACGGGGTCTTGCTCTGTTGCTTAGGCTGGAGTCTGGAGTGCAGTGGTGCAATCACAGCTCATGGCAGCCTCGACCTCCCCAGCTCAAGTGATCCTCCCATCTCAGCCTCCCAAATTGCTGGGAGGCTAATTTTTAAATTTTTAAAAAATTAATCCAGCTAATTATTAAATTTTTTGCAGAGATGGGGTCTCACTGTGTTGCTCAGGCTGGTCTCAAACTCCTGCGCTCAAGTGATCCTCCTGCCTAGGTCTCCCAAAGGGCTGACATGACAGGCATGAGCCACTGTGCCAGGCCTTATCTCATCCTTGATAGGAAGCTGCATCAATCTGATTCCACAAAACTACAAGGCTCTAAAATCCTGGTTAGAGCCGGTGTAACCCAGTCCCTTCTACAGCATGGCATAGGGCAAGATCTATAAATAAGCAAAAGGCCCAGTCCCTGTCCTCAGGAGCTCATGGTCCAAGTCAAAATCACATAAAAACATTTGAGTCCCCTTTGAAATGAGTATTGTTTTCTTGAACAAATTTTCAACTTGCTGTAGTTTTTTTCCTGATCACTTTCATCCTGTCTTTCCAAGATGGGATATGTTTATTTAGAAATTACTTCACCTGGGACAGCTGCTTCTCTCTTTTGCTCAGGCCCGTAGCACTGCAGGATGGGCAAGTGTCGTGGACCTCATACTGCTAGGAGTCTCTGTAGTCACCAACAAGATCAGAAGTGGCATGATAAACAGTACAAGAAAGCCCATTTGGGCACAGCCCTGAAGGCCAACCCTTTTGGAGGTGCTTCTCATGCAAAAGGAATTGTGCTGGGAAAAGTAGGAGTTGAAGCCAAAAAGCCAAATTCTGCCATTAGGAAGTGTGTCAGGGTCCAGTGGATCAAGGATGGCAAGAAAATCACAGCCTTTGTATTCAGTGATGGTTGCTTGAACCTTATTGTGGAAAACCATAAAGCTCTGGTTGCTGGATTTGGTCAAAAAGGTCATGCTGTTGGTGATATTTCTGGAGTTCGCTTTCAGGTTGTCAAAGTAGCCTGTGTCTTTCTTTTGGCCCTATACAAAGGCAAGAAGGAAAGACCAAGATCATAAATTTTAATGGTGAAAACACTGTAGTAATAAATGTTCATATGCCAAAAAGAAAAAAAAGAAATTATGTCACCTGGGACAATGGTGCCATCAGTCAGCCTGTCCTCAAAGGAACCCTCTGGACATGGACCCAACTGTCCATGTAGATGGGGTATCCCAAAGGGAGCTCTGCCCTGCCTACAGGGTTCCCCTCCCTGGGCTGGAGTCCAAGCTCATCCACTACCTTGGAACATTCCCTTAACCCTGCATCTCCAGCTCCAACAAATGGGCAGCTGGCCGGATATGAAGATGTTTCCTCTCCTGGCCTTCTACTTGAGGGAGACAGGGAGGAGCTCTAATAGTTTACATAGGACTCAAACACTGTCTGTCACCTAGGGAAACAGTGCACGTGAGATGACATTGCAATTTTACATGTCTCCTCATGCATTCAGTAGAGCTTTATTTTAGGTTTATAGGTCCGTGAGGCAACCTGTTTCTTCTTCAGTTTCCTTATACTGTACTCTGGTCCCCTTTGGATTTGACAGTCTCATTTCAATCTGCCCTCTAGGCCAGATAGCTAGGTCTCAAGTAAGAAGGATTCTAATGCAAAACAAAAAGTTCTAATGTTTACAAGGAGCAAAGGGATGCTTATGTTTAAAGTCTATATTCGAGGCTGTTCACGAGTGTGAGGCCTGGGTCAAATGACTCTCCTGACCCAAATCCTTACTCCACAATAGACTACGTGGAGATCGAGAACTGAGAGTTGATCCCAAGTATAGCTACTCAGGTTGTGATTAGTTTAAACAGATACCAATTCCAGTTAACTTGTGAGCTCTTAGGAGTTCTCAGATAATACATACCTCATTTTTGTCTGCTTACATGAGTGCCCACATAAGAACTGAAAATCTGTTTTTTTTCTTTCTGGGACAGAGTCTCACTCTGTCACCCAGTCTGGAGTGCAGTGGTGCAACCTCGGCTCATTGCGACTTCTGCCTCCCATGTTTAAGTGATTCTCCAGCCTCAGGCTCCCGAGTAGCTGAGATTACAGGCGTATGCCACTACACCCAGATAATTTTTGTATTATTATTATTATTATTATTCTTAATTTTTATTTTTTGAGATGGACTCTAGTTTTGTTGCCCAGGCTGGAGTGCAGTGGCACAATCTCAGCTCACTGCAACCTCCGCCTCCCAGGTTCAAGCGATTCTCCTGAGTTGCTGGGATTATAGCCTCCTGAGTAGCTGGGATTATAGGCGCCCACTACCACACCCGGCTACCTTTTGTATTTTTAGTAGAGACGGGGTTTCACCATGTTGACCAGGCTGGTCTAGAACTCCTGACCTCAAGTGATCAGTTCGCCTCAGCCTCCCAAAGTGCTGGGATTACAGGTGTGAGCCATCGCCCAGTCCCAGAACTAAAAATCTTAAACCCACACTTCTGAATAAGGTTCTCTGTACATCTAGCACATGGCAGGACCTCTAGCAGAAAAGGCAATTTTGGCCTTTTCCTAATCTATAGTCTTAATTATCAACTTGCAATTCATCCTGAAGGTAACCCAGAAATCATTTCATTGTTTGTTCTGCCTTTATATTTCAGGACATTGAACTTGCTTTTCCTTCATTTTTTTCTGGCAGACCTGAAGATCATCCCACAAGGTAGAACAACTCATTTAACCTATTTGACTTGGCCCCAAGTGTAATTTGTACATAGATTAACTATTCTGAAGAATTCCAATAGAACTCCCTGGGGGGAAAACACCCATTTTAATTGGCATACACCAGAGTCACTGGAATCAGTTACTAAATTACAATTTCCTTACAATTTGGAAGGGTTTGGGGATTGTTATTGTTTTCCTGGTAAATTACTGGATCACACTGGTGTCTTGGAATAAGTCAACACATTTTAAATTTAAGTTTCCATAAACTGTAGCTCAACTTCCCAAGTTCCTAGGGGATTTTCACTGGCCCAGACTCAGGAAGAATTTTCTTCTATGGGATCCAAGACTTCAGAGACCAAACATTTCCTGAAGACTTTCCTCTGCTTTCTGACCTCCACCTACCTCCTCCCAAAGACATAACAAAAAAACTATTTGTGATCAGTGCAGGCAGCCAAGAGTGCCCAGTGGGCCTAAGGTACTGGGTAAAGGAACAGGAATCCACAATTCTTTCTTGGTATTAAGGTATCATTGACTTGCCTGATGGCTCGAGTATGTTAACCCCTTGCTTCATGGCTGGAATTTTAATTACCCCTCCTGGAGCTTTTCTGAAGAATTGATTTTGGCGTTTATTCATATTTCAGAAATCAACTCTATCATCAAATAGGAATGATGGTTAATTACAAAACAAAGTCCGCCCAAAGCACCAAATTATCAGACTGTGGCACATCCAGAGGTTTTGAAACTAGTTAGTGCTGCTGCCTCTGCTGGTAGCTTGTTAAAACCTGAACTGGGGCCGGGCGCAGTGGCTCACGCCTGTAATCCCAGCACTTTGGGAGGCCGAGGCGGGCGGATCACGAGGTCAGGAGATCGACACCATCCTGGCTAACACGGTGAAACCCCGTCTCTACTGAAAATACAAAAAAAATTAGCCGGCCGTGGTGGCGGGAGCCTGTAGTCCCAGCTACTCTGAGGCAGGAGAATGGCGTGAATCCGGGAGGCAGAGCTTGCAGTAAGCCAAGATTGCGCCACTGCACTCCAGCCTGGGCGACTCCGTCTCAAAAAACAAACAAACAAACAAAAACACAAAACCTGAACTGGGTGCGTTGGCTAGTGGTTTGGGAACAGAATTTTGGAGCTTTATAGGAGATGTCCTGGTCTGTTATACATCCACTCACCCCAGCCTCCAGGAACTGGGGAGCTGGTAGAGGGGGGTGCCGGCCACTTTGACTGTCGCTGGCCAATCCTGTCTTCTGCATCCCTCCAAGGCTCCATGGGGACATCCAAGGTGAGGTTCCTCCATTCTGCAAAGTTGCAAATGTCTCTGCTCATAATTTCAAAAGTCTTGTCTGAACTAGACTTTCCCTGCTCCCTCGGGGTAGGAATTTTGTCTCCTCTCCATCCTGGCATCTTTACCTCCTCCCCATCCCGGGGCCTGGTCCCCAGCCAGTGGACGCTCTGTTAATATGAACTGGCACTGGTGGGGTGCTCTGGGCACTGGCAAGACAGCTCTTGGCGCTTGTCATCAATTAGCCCAATTCTCACCACTTTTTTCTCCATCCCCGCGTCAGTGGGTGCGTCCCGCAGGTCATGACCCCAAGTTCTAGATGTAAGATTCCTGCCATGTCTCCTTTCCCCCAGAAGACCCCTCCCCGCACTCCCAACCCGACAGGCCCCTAAAGCTGCCTGTGTTCCGTGCCTGCGGCTCCGGACCCCTGGAGTCTGATGCCCGCCTGGGCTCAGGCACGGACGGAGTGGAGCCAGGTGGCAGCAGGCAGGGCGCGCCGCCAGAGTGCCCAGCTCCCGGGGCTGCCCACAGGGTGGGGCCGCCCTCGCCGCCGCTCCCTCTCCGCGCCTTCCCCATCCCCAAAGAGGACACCCCTCCTTCCGCCCGGCCCGCTCCCCACCCCCGCCGCGGCACCGCCTCCCCAGCCGCCCGCCCTTGCCCAGCGCCTCCCAGGCAGCCAGCGAGCGAAGGGAGCGCTCTGGGATGGGACTTGGAGCAAGCGGCGGCGGCGGAGACAGAGGCAGAGGCAGAAGCTGGGGCTCCGTCCTCGCCTCCCACGAGCGATCCCCGAGGAGAGCCGCGGCCCTCGGCGAGGCGAAGAGGCCGACGAGGAAGACCCGGGTGGCTGCGCCCCTGCCTCGCTTCCCAGGCGCCGGCGGCTGCAGGTGAGCGCGGCGCGCTTTCCCCCGGCTCTGCGCGGCCGGGCGGCCTCGAAGTGCAGGCGGACCGACCCACCGACAGAATACCGAGCCTGGGCTGCCCGACGCGCAGGCGCCCTCCCCAGGCCCGCACTGCAGCCCCCAGCGCCCCGGGGCCCCGGCGCCTTCGACCCCTCCGAGGACAGGGGGAGAGGGAGGGCGGCGCTGCCCGACCCCTCGGCCGGGAGAGCTGGGCGCGCTCCCTGCGCAGGACAAGCCGCGCTGCAGCCGCCCCGGAGTGCCCCGTGGGGGCGCTGTGGCACGCAGCGGGGACGCCCAGACCCCGGCCACCGCGACCCAGGGAAAGGGAGACCTGTTGAGCGGGTATGCAGGGTGATTCCTATTCCACGGACAGCCGATGGCTCCCCCTTCCCTCTTCGGAACCTGGTATTTTCATGCCCGTGTCATCTGGATTTTGTTCTTGGGTCTCTATGGCAGCTAAACCTCCAGCTTCCCTATATTGTGGAAGAGGGAGAGAAAGGGGAAGGCATTTTGTGGTAGTTGCTAGAAACCCCAGAACAATTTGGAGCCGTTTGGGGAGAGGACAGAGAAATGGGGACTGTCCCTGGTAGGGTCTCCAGGACTGGGGGCACAGGAAAGTGCTCTCCTCAGGGACACTCGCGCCCACCCTGAACAAACCCAATTGACCAAGTTTCAATTTGTCATAAATCAGGAAGCCACAATGCATCTGCACCAAGCACACTTAAAATCGGCCTTTAAGGAATGGGGCAGTCAAGAGACTTCAGGGACCCGTGGTCGAGAGCAGAGACTGGGGTCAGCCTGCTTGGGTTTCAACCCCAGCTGTGAAGTTTACAGGGTTGATAACTTGAAGGTACCCAAGTATGCCTCAGTTTCCTCATCTGTCTAATGAGGATGGTAATACCCACAGAACTGTGAGGATTAAATGAGATATGGCGGCCGGGCACGGTGGCTCAGGGCTGTCATCCCAGCACTTTGGGAAGCCGGGGCGGGCGGATCACCTGAGGTCGGGAGTTCGAGACCAGCCTGACCAACATGGAGAAACCCCGTCTCTACTAAAAATACAAAATTAGCCGGACTTGGTGGCGCATGCCTGTAATCCCAGCTACTCGGGAGGTTGAGGCAGGAGAATCGGTTGAACCCAGGAGGCAGAGATTGCAGTGAGCGGAGATGGTGCCATTGCACTCCAGCCTGGGCAACAAGAGCTAAACTCCGTCTCAAAAGAAAAAAAAAAAGATATGGCAAGTAAAGTCCTTAGAACATTTCCAGGAGCATTCTAAGATTAGGTGAGTTCCATGGCTTGTCTTTGCAGAAATAGCAAGGAGCTGCTATGAGCAGTGAATGTACCTCTTCCCCAGTTCAGAAAGAGAGGCTCTCCATGGGTACGTGAGGGTGGCAGATAAGCCACGTGTATGCAACTGGTAGTTCCATGCAGGAGTCCACACGGGCGCAGTTCTCCCTGCTTGCTCCCAAAGGGCCAACCTCATAAAACCATGTCAAAATACCAACATGGGTTTATGACCTGGAATGTTTCCTCTCAGTCCCTGAAACTTGGCACTTAGAATCCTCTGTGGAGAATGAGATACTTATGGCTCTTCACCTTGCATTTTCCTATCTGTCCACACTTTTTACTTTTATTTCTGCCAATAGAATTCAATCTCAGGCCCCCGAGTTACCAGGACACTGTCTTCTATAAATCGGGGCTCTGGGGTTTCTTGTTCCCAGGCAACCCAGGGCCACCAAGGCCTAAGCTTGCTTGTTGGAGGTGTCAGAGCAGAGTCCAAATCTGAAACACCCTCGAGCAGCTGTCATGCCCTAAGCTCTTATCAGCGAGTGCCATATGTCCTTGTTTAGCAAAAGGTAGTTAAAAGTGTGGCCTGAGATTTAAAGAAAAGGAGAGATGTTTGCTCTTTGAAATAAGAGAGCCATTGGAGGTTCTGGAAAAATAATTCTACAGTTTATTTAGAAACAGTTCTGACTGGCACCTAAGAGAGGGCAAGGAGTGAGGTGGGGAGACTAAAAGGGGGAGAGACCGGCTTAGGCCTCAGGAAAAGCAGGCCGAAGAGGGTGTGACAGGTCTAACGCTGGCCTGAGCAAGGTGTTGGGTATGAGGCTGGGCAAGCAGTAGGAGAGGTGAGTGGTTTAAGACCAGTCAAGTTGGCAGAGAGCCTCTAGTGCTGCCCCTGGCACTCACTGCCCTCTGATCTGTAGCACCTGCAGGAGCGTCCCTTCCAGGGATTCCCCGTCTTCTAGGGAAGCTATGGAGGACTCCCCTGTTTAAAGCATATGGCAAGATAACTCAGGAGGGCCAGGGAAAGAGGGAGGCTGAGCATATGCCAAGGGGAGAATGGGGAATGTCATTGCTGTTGCTAGTGAATGGTGCCAGGGAGGTCCTTCCAAGGGGCCACTTGCCACTTGGAGCTTCAGCCCATGAGGCCATCCTTGAACCCTGCCATGTGGCTCGGCAGACAGCCAATACTGCCTGAAGGGGGCTCAGATGGAATGGCAGGGCTGGGCTGTTGCCAGTAATTGGTGTTAATGACTATGACAGTGGCTTTGACATGGATGAGATGGAGTTGGGGTACAACCCAAAGCACACTGCTCTTGGCACCCGAAAGACCTGGGTTGCAGTTCTAGCCCCTCATACCTGCAAAGATTTTGGAAAGTTACTTAGACTCTCTGTGCCTGACATCTGTTTCTTCATCTGTAAATGAAGACTGGATTTTTTGGGAGAATTAAATTAGTTAACAGGTGTTCAGTGCCTAGCTCAGAATAAATGCTCAATATTTGTTAGCTATACTTACTATTATTGTCTGAGCCTTGGTTTATATCATCTGTCAAATGGGCGTGATACTATGTCATAGGGTTGTTGTAAGGGTTAAATGAAATAATTAATGTGAATTTATCCAACAGTGTGTGAAGGGTGTAAAGTACTCAAAGTGAGTCAATTGAAATGGAAAATTTCACAAAATACCTGCATGTAAAAATCAGCGGCTGAGCAGGTGGATCAGCTAACATTTTTGGAAAGTTATTCTAAAAGTACTGTCAGAGGAACCTTTATCTACTTATGGAAAGTGGGGCTCACTGCCCATGGGGATACCCTGTAGTTATTTTATGTTGTTGTATTAGTTGCCTATTGCTGCTATAACAAATTTCACAAACATAGTGGCTTAAAACAACCCTAAGATGTTATCTTGCAGTTCTGAAGTTCAGAACTCTTAAATGGGTTTTGTAGAGCTAAAATCAAGGTGTCAGCAGGGCTCTGTGGTTCCTTTTGTAGGCTCTTGGGAAAATGTCTTTCATTTTCTGACTTCTAAAACCTGACTGCATTTCTTGGCTCTTGGTTCCTTCTTCCATCCTCAAAGCCAGTAACAGCATCTTCCAACCCTTCTCCCCATCCTGACTCTCGTGTCTCCCTCTTACAAAACCATACCTAGAAAATCTGGGCTAATCACTGCATCTCATAATTCCTAAGTTAATCACATCTCCAAAGTCCCCCCGTTTTTTTTTTTCAAGACAGAGTCTCGTTCTATCGCCCACGCTAGAGTGCAGTGGCGTGATCTTGGCTCACTGCAGCCTCCGCCTCCCAGGTTCAAGTGTTCTCCTGCTTCAGCCTCCCAAATAGATGGGATTACAGCCATGAGCTACCACACCTGGCTAATTTTTTATATTTTTAGTAGAGATGGGGTTTCACCGTGTTGGCCACGCTGGTTTCGAACTCCTAACCTTAGGTGATCTGCCCACTTTGTCCTCCCAAAGTCCTGGGATCACATGCGTGAGCCAACCGCACCCGGCCCAAAGTCCCTTTTGCCATGTAAGGCAACACAGTCTGGGGATTAGGCCATAGACATCTTTGACATATTATTCTATCTGCCAGAAATATTAGAGTATTAGATTGGGCATGATGGTAAGAAAAACTATTTAGAAAAAAGAAAGAAATATTAGAGTATTAGAGAAAATGATCTAAATCAAAGAGTTTTAGCTCACTTCTGTTTAGGGCTTCTCCCTGTACCCTCCCAGTTAGGTGAGTTTGTTTTCACATCTCTTTTTTTCTTTTTTTTTTTTTTCCCAGACAGTTTCTCTGTGTTGCCCAGGCTAGAGTGCAGTGGCACAATCTCTGCTCACTGCAACCTCTGCCTCCCAGGTTCAGGTGATCCTCCTACCTCAGCCTCCCAAGTTGCAACACCATGCCCTGCTAATTTTTGTATGTTTAGTAGAGACAGGGTTTCACCATGTTGGCCAGGCTGGTCTCAAACTCTTGACCTCATGATCCACCTGACTCAGCCTCCCAAAGTGCTGAGTTTACAGGTGTGAGCCACCATGCTTGGCTGTTTTCACATGTCTTAAAGACCAAAAGCTCAAGACCAGAGGGGTCAAGGCTATGGATCAAATGCTTCTTGAAACTCAGTTCAGAAATGGCTCCTTCCTGTCCTTTTTGGGCTTTCTCCCTCCCCTTGAGTAACCCTCAAATTTGTTTCTTTTTTAGATTTTTGTAAAAACTTTTTTTTTACAGAGACAGGGTCTCGCCATGTTGTCCAGGCTGGTCTCGAACTCCTGAGTTCAAGTGATCCTCTTGCCTCAGCCTCTCAAAGTACTGAGATTATAGGCGTGAGGCACCACGCCTGGCCAGTAACCCTCAACTTTGGCCCTTAGAACAGTCACTGTTGCCCCATCAACAGCATTTGTTGACTTTTCTAGCTGCTTCTCCTCTTCCATTTCTAGTGAAATAGAAAAAATGCCCTCATGTCCAGAGCAAGATCTCTGTGAAGCAAATCACTCTAGTGACGTTTGACCTCCCTGAGATTCCCAGACGGTGTCTGTACTAGTTTCCTATTGCTGCTGTAACAAGTTAGCACAAACTTAGTGACTTAAAACACAGATTTATTATCTTACAGTTCTGGAGGCCACAATTCTGAAATGGTTCTCATGGGGCTAAAAATCCAGGTGTCAGCAGGGAGAATTTGTTCCCCTGCCTTTTCCAACTTCCAGAGGCTGCACGCATTGCTCGGTTTGCTTCCATCTTCAAAGCCAGCAATGTCAGGCTGCATCCTTCTCTCACTGCCACACCTCAGATCTCTCTTCTGCCTTCCTCTTCTTCTTCTTCTTCTTTTTTTTTTTTTGTTTGAGACAAGGTTTTGCTCTGTCGCCCGGGCTATCATGCAGTGGTGCGATCACGGCTCACTGAAACCTCAGTCTCCCGGGTTTAAGTGACCCTCTTATTTAGGCTCCCAAGTAGCTGGGACTACAAGGATTGTGCCACCATGTCTGGCTAAATTTTTTTTTAATTTTAATTTTTTGTAGAGACAGGGTCTCTCTATCTTGCCCGGCTGATCTTCGACTCCTGGGCTCAAGCAATCCTCCTGCCTTGGTTTCCCAAAGTGCTGGGATTACAGGCATGAGCCACCATGCCCTGACCTCTTCTACTTTTTTTTTTTTGAGACAGAGTCTTGCTCTGTTGCCCAGGCTGGAGTGCAGTGGTGTGATCTCAGCTTACTGCAACCTCTGGCTCCTGGGTTCAAGCGATTCTCCTGCCTCAGCCTCCTGAGCAGCTGGGATTACAGGCGCGAGCCACCATGCCTGGCTAATTTTTCTATTTTTAGTAGAGATGGGGTTTCACCATGTTAGTCAGGCTGGTCTCGAACTTTTGACCTTGTGATCTGTCCGCCTCGACCTCCCAAAATGCTGGGATTACAGGCACAAGCCACCGCCCCTGGCCCCTCTTCTACTTTTGAGGACGCTCGTGATTACATTGGCCCACCTAGATAATCCAGGATCATCTCCCCTTTTTTAAGGTCATCTGATTAGCAACCTTAATTCCCTTTGCCATCTAACATCACATATTCCCAGCTTCTGGGAATTATGATGTAGACATCTTTGGAGGGCAATTATTCTGCCTGCCACAGGACCTGAGAAGGAGTTCCAAATAGTGTCCGCCTGGGCTGCCTCATTCTTAATAACCACCCCCTTCCAGAATGTGCACAATGGCCCACTCAAGAGAGAACACCTGTTAAACTCTTCAAAATTTCTCCCGCAGCTCTCAGGTCTCTCAGTCCCTCTGTTGGTGGAAGGATCTGAGGGCAATAGAGCCTGGAACTGCACACTTTATTTGTTAAGTTAATTTTTTTCTTTTAAATCAGAGGAACATATAAAAAGGTGCACAAATCATGAGGGAAATCTCAATGGAGTTTTACAAGTGAGCACTCTCCACTGTCATGTAACTGCCCCCAAGATCTGCACCCATAGCCCCCTTTGGACCCCAAATAAATTATCGTCTTCCCCTAAGGCAACTACTATTTTACCTTCTATCACCATAGGTTAATTTTGTCTGCTTTATCTTACTTTATTTTTTATTTTTATTTTGCTCTCTGGATCTGTGTAGAGTATTTGCCTGTTTTTTTTTTTTTTTTTTTTTTTGAGGTGGAGTCTCACTCTGTCGCCCAGGCTGGAGTGCAGTGGCTCGATCTCGGCTCACTGCAAGCTCCACCTCCCAGGTTCACACCATTCTCCTGCCTCAGCCTCCTGAGTAGCTGGGACTACAGGTGCCCGCCACCCTGACCAGATAATTTTTTGTATTTTTAGTAGAGATGGGGTTTCACCGTGTTAGCCAGGATGGTCTCGATCTCCTGACCTCATGATCCACCCGCCTCAGCCTCCCAAAGTGCTGGGATTACAGGCGTGAGCCACTGCGCCTGGCCGAGTATTTGCCTCCTTTTTAAGCAAACTTCTCTTTTTTTCTTTTGAGACATGGTCTGACTGTCGCCCAGGCTGGAGTGCAGTGGCATGATCCTAGCTCACTGCAACTTCCTGGCTCTAGCCAACCTCCCACCTCAGCCTCCCGAGTAGCTGAGACTACAGGCATGTGCCACCACGCTTGGCTAATTATTGTATTTTTTTTTTTTTTTTTTTTGAGACAGAGTTTCGCTCTTGTCACCCAGGCTGGAGTGCAATGGCGCAATCTCGGCTCACTGCAACCTCCGCCTCCCAGGTTCAAGTAATTCTCCTGCCTCAGCCTCCCGAGTAGCTGGGATTACAGGCATGCACCACCATGCCCGGCTAATTTTGTATTTTTAGTTGAGTTGGGATTTCTCCATGTTGGTCAGGCTGGTCTTGAACTCCCGACCTCAGGTGATCTGCCTGCCTTGGCCTCCCAAAGTGCTGGGATTACAAGCATGAGCCACCGCGCCTGGACAATTCATGTATTTTTTGTAGAGACAGGGTCTCACAATATTGACCAGGCTGGTCTTGAACTCCTGAGCTCAAGCAATCTGCTCGGCTCAGCCTCCCAAAGTGCTAGCATTACAGGCTTAAGCCACTGCGCCTGGCCTACAAACTTCTTATTGACGTATACATACAAAAAAGTACACTAATCAAGGAAGCAGCTGGATTAGTTTTCATGACATAAACCCATGTGTAACCAGCATTTTGATCAATAAATAGAACATTGCCAGCACCCAGAATCCCCGCTCAGGCTCTTTCTGTGCACTAACAAGCCAAGTCTAACCACAATCCTGATTCCTATGATTGTGGATACATTTTTTCCATTTTTGAATGTTATTTTGTTCAATGTTATATTTGTAAATTTCTCATGTAATTAATATGCCGTAATTAATTCTTTTTTATTGCTGCGTAATATCCCATTATATGGCCACACCACAGTTTTTCTGTACTATTGTTAAGGGCTGTTGAGATTGTTTCCATTCACACTTCTTTTTTTTTTTTTTTTTGAGATAAGGTCTCTGTCTGTCACCCAGGCTGAAGCACAGTGGCATGATCGTAGTTCACTGCAGCCTCAACCTCCTGGTGCTCAAGCAATCCTCCCACCTCAGCCTCCCGAGTAGCTGGGACTATAAGTGTGTACCACCATGCTCAGCTAATTTAAAAAAAATTTTTTGGGGGGGCCAGGCACAGTGGCTTATGCCCATAATCCTAACACTTTGGGAGGCCGAGGCGGGCGGATCATCTGAGGTTGGGAGTTTGAGACCTGCCTGACCAACATGGAGAAACCCTGTCTCTACTAAAAATACAAAATTAGCCGGGCATGGTGGTGCATGCCTGTAATCCCAGCTACTCTGGAGGCTGAGGCAGGAGAATTGCTTGAACCCGGGAGGCGGAGGTTGCAGTGAGTCGAGATCGCGCCATTGCATTCCAGCCTGAGCAACGAGAGTGAAACTCAGTCTCAAAAAAAAAACTTTTTTTTTTTTTGTAGAGATGAAGTCTCACTATATTGCCCAGACTGGTCTCAAATTCCTGGGCTCATGTGCTTCTCCCACCTCAGCCTCCCGAAGTGCTGGGATTACAGGCATGAGCTTCTGCTCCTTGCCTACTTCATTTTGAAAGGGAGTGACTACCTACCCATATCTCAGTTGTCATAAATGCAATTCCACCTGCAGAAATTCAGGAAGGGAAGATTGTATTTAGCACTGGTGCCAAATGCATTCATTAGGAGAGACTTAAAAACAGTCTACTGGTTAGGATTAAGTTCAGCTGCAAGTTACAGAAAAAATGAAATGACAGTGGGTTAAAGAAAGAAGTTTATTTCTGTCTTGTGTTCAAGAAGTCTGGAGACAGTGAGTGTCCAAAGTGTATGTGGGGTAAGGCCCCATGCCCTGTGCCTGGTTGCTTTTAGCATGCATAGCTTCCATTTCCATGCAGTCTCACCCAGGATTTCGGGATGACTGCTGAGTACTAAACCAAAAAACAAAAACAAAAACAAAAAAAAACAAAACCGATGTTAGAGAGGCAGGTAAGGCATTTGAAAACATTGTTTTATGGAAAAAAAAAGTTATGGAACATTTATAAAATGAAAAAAGCAGTTTTTTCTAAATTAACACATTATTTTATAACTTAAAATGTTTTAAATATGTATTTGTGACTTAACTGATACATTATTATAAGTAGATACTTGATATTTCATCTATATCCTTTAAAATATTCAAGCTGACCAAGAAATTGTATGTGGGGTCTTCCAATCAGGAAAAATAGGAGCCAGGCACAGTGCCTCACACCTGTAATCCCAGCACTTGGGAGGCCAAGGCTGGAGGATCATTGAGCCCAGGAGCTCACGGCCAGCTGGACAACATGGCAAAACCCCATCTCTACAAAAAATACAAAAACGTGGGGGTACTGGTGTAGTCTCAGTTACTGGGGAGGCTGAGGCAGGAGGATTGCTTGAGCCCAGGAGGTCAAGGCTACAATGAGCCATTATTGTGCAACTCCAACCTGGGCAGCAATGCAAGACTCTGTCTCAAAAAAAAAAAAAGAAGAAGAAGTCCAGGCATGGTCGCTCATGCCTATAATCCCAGAACTTTGGGAGAGCAAGGCGGGGGAATCACTTGAGGTCAGGAGTTCAAGACCAGCCTAGCCAACGTGGTGAAACCCCATCTTTACTAAAAATACAAAAAATTAGCTGGGCATGGTGGCGGGTGCCTGTAATCCCAGCTACTTGGGAGGCTGAGGCAGGAGAGTCACTTGAATCTAGGAGGTGGAGGTTGCAGTGAGCCGAGATCATGCCACTACACTCTAGCCTGGGCAACAAGAGCGAAACTCCATCTCAAAAAAAAAAGAAGAAGAAGGAAGATGTTATCCTCCTATTACAGTCGCCTACATTCAGGCAAACATAGTACGTAGAGGAAGACATGGACTTGACTTTGGTACTTTTTGGATGCAGAACCAGGGCCATTTTGCTTCAACTAATATTTTGTTAATTAATGAAAGATCAATAAATATGTTTGTTCAAATTAATAATTTTAAAAAAATTTATTCACACAATTTGGTACCTAGCACAAGAAGCAAACAGAGGTGACAAGGTGCATGCTGCAGCAGACAACAAACCCATTGTCAGGGGTCTATGAAGCAGTCAGTTCTCATTAGAAAACCGAGAGAATATTTTACAGCATGAGTGACATGTGAGCTGAGGCTTGAGGACTGAATGCAATTTCGATGAATGTAGAATGTAGAAATTTCAGGGTGAGGGACCGGCATGGATGGAGGCGCCCCGCTATGACAAGAGTCTGAGTTCTTCAAGCCCTAATGGGGAGGCTGGGGTGGATGTGGGGGCCACCATGGTCAGAGAGGTGGGCAGTGGCCAGTCAAGGAGGGCCTTGAATGTTAACATTGCACAGTGAGGCCACAGGCAGATTCAAAATCACAAGGGAAGGGCCAGTAGATGAGGGACCCAAGGCAGGGAGGGCAGTTCTGAGGCTCCTGGGAGTCTGGCTGAGAAAGGGTGTGGGTAGAACATTCGCTGCAGCAGTGGGAACTGTCAGGAGGCCTGGACAGGGGAGCTGTGCAGAGGTGGGAACACCAGAATTTATCCACTCACAAATGTGTTGAGGATACAGAGGACACGTGGAAGCTGGCTCCCAAATTTCTGGCCTAGATGGCTGGGCAGATGGGGTTAGCATGACCATGAAAGGATTTGAGGAAAAGATGACTTTGTGTCTGGACAGGCTGAATTGGCAAGCAGGCCTGCACCACTGGGTGGAAGTTACAGACAGCATCAGGTCAACATCGCGGAGAACTGAGGTCTAACATTTAGAGCTGCCTGAAGATTGTGGATGGCCTTGAATCCTAGCCAGAGGTTGTCTTCCCATTTGCTAGGGATTCCAGGATTAGGTGGAAGACAGGAAGGTACAGCCTGAAATTCACACAGCTCCAGTATTGTATGATTCTCTGTGAACTCATAGAACAGTTGGTGTGCATACCTGGTATGCTGACAAAGAGATCTTTGGCAAAACTATTGAGCCTGATGTCTAGGAATTTATCGTTAGAAAAATCTTTCTTTCTTTTTTTTTTTTTTTTTTGAGACCAAGTCTTGCATTGTCACCCAGGCTGCAGTGCAGTGGCGCCATCTCAGCTCACTGCAGCCTCTGCCTCTCGCGTTCAAATGATTCTCCTGCCTCAGCCTCCCGAGTAGCTGGAATTACAGGTGTGCACCACCATGCCTGGCTAATTTTTGTATTTTTAGTAGAGATGGTGGAACAGGAATTAAAAGAAATTAAAGAATATGTGTAAGCAGAAGCTCAGTTGTATATAAGAAAACTCAATTCCCCCTGAGAAAGAGAAAGAGCTGGAGTCCTTTAAAAATTAACTGCCTGTTTTTCTGTGGCTAGTGAGCCTTATCTCTCCTCCTCTCCCAGGCATTGTGAAGACCCTGTTTCTCTAGCTGTGCAGCTGCAAGGTTACTAGACAGATAAACTCAAGTCATAAAACATGTTTTTCCTTGGAAAGTAAGAAATGATGTAATGCATGTCTCTCAATTAATTGAATTATTGTCTTTGTTTCTTGCTGTAATATGCTTCCCCCTGCACAGATCTCCCCACACCCCACGAAATGCTTAAAAGCTAACTTAACTCTTTGTTCAGGGCTCAGTCCTTTGGATGTTAATCCGACTGGGCTGATGCACACCTAAATAATAAATATCCTCCTCAACCCCATTGGTCTCTCTGATTCCTTAAAAAATCCTGCTACAATGGGATTTCACCATGTTGTCCAGGCTGGTCTCGAAATCCTGGCCTCAAGTGATGCATCCTTCTTGGTCTCCCAAAGTTCTGGGATTACAGGCATGAGCCACCATGCCCGGCCTGAAAATCTTATTCTTAACAAGTAGACTGACTGCCTGAGAGGTGCCAGGGTAGAATATTGTCTCTGCCAGTTAACAAGTTCTGAGGCCTTGGAGAGGTCTTTCCACCTATAAATCTTAGTGTTCCATCCATCAAATTTGGAACTCATCCACCTCACAGAATGATTGTGGGGATCAAATGAGATGATACTGTGAAAAATGCCCAGTTCACTGGCTGTCCCATCCAGACACTTAATAAATATTAGTGTCCTGTCCCCTTTCTCTTTTTGTCTGGAGGTGGGGTTACCACTGGAGAGGGGATCTTGCCACCTTCTTCAGGATAGCAGGATCTTGCCAATGGTCTGGTTTAGATTGAGAAACTTGGCTCCCAGGCCATGCCTCTTATTTTATGGATGACTAGTTAAAGCCCAGAGAGTTGTTACCTAGGTGAGGTCATGCAGGTGTGCAGAACCAGGCCTCTGGTCTCAAGGCCCACACCATACAGTTCTGGCTCTGGAGGGAATTCTATTCGCCTGTGGATTTACTTGCAACAGTGATGCTTAGAAGAACCCGTAGTTAAGACAGAATAATCTTCTCTCTCTTCCCCCACCCCCTTGGTGAAGTTAAATGAAAAGACTCATTGTCCCATGGAGAAGAGAAAAACTGTTAAAACAAAAGTCAAAGCCGTTGTATTATTTTAAAATATTCTTTCCATGTTCCCAAATGCTTCATGGAATCTGTTCGGACTGAATTAACCTCTCTATTTCTCAGCACAGAAATTCTTCTCAGATGCCCAAAAATGAAAGGAACTGTTCTCAAATATCATTCCATTTTCCAGTTAGAAATGGGTCCTGATCTTCAAATGCTGACAGCTGTAAATGCCAAACTGAGAAACAACCATTGAGATGGATACATGCACTGACTTATTTTTTTCTTGTTTCACTGCCATTGCAGTTTTTAGGAAAAAATCTATCTTGTCTGGTACTGATATTGCCACACTGATTTTATGTTGGCATCTATATGGTATCCTTTTCCCATTCCTTTATTACTTATCTTTTTTTTTTTTTTTTTTTTTTTGAGACAGAGTCTCACTCTGTTGTTGCCCAGGCTGGAGTGCAATGGTGTGATCTTGGCTCACTGCAACCTCTGCCTCCCGGGTTCAAGCAATTCTCCTGCCTCACCCTCCCAAGTAGCTGGGATTACAGGTGTGCGCCACCATGCCTGGCTAATTTTTTTGTATTTTTAGTAGAGACGGGGTTTCACAATGTTGGCCAGGCTGGTCTCAAACTTCTGACCTCAGGTGATCTGCCCGCCTCAGCTTCCCAAAGTGCTGGGATTACAGGCATGAGCCACCATGCCTGACCCTTATTATTTGTCTTTTTCACAAGCCCACAGTTAACATCATAATTCCTTTTTTTAATGTATTATTTTTAATTTACTTTCTTTAAAAATATTTTATATTAAAAATATTTCTACTTAAAGGAACTTTAGAAGATTTCATGTTAGTTTTCAAGTCACTGTAAGATTTTCTTTCTTTTTTTCTTTTTTTTGAGGCCGGGTCTTGCTCTGTCACCCAGGCTGGGGTGCAGTGGCAGTGATCATGGCTCACTGCAGCTTTGACCTCCTGGGCTCAAGCGATTCTCCCACCTCAGCCCCTCCCTCGAGTAGCTGTTCTAAGTTTTCTTCCTTTGTGCCACCATGTCTGGCTAATTTTTGTATGTTTTGTAGCGATGGGATTTCGCCATGTTGCCCAGGCTGGTCTCCTGGGCAGCATGACCTGCTTACCTTGACCTACCAAAGTTCTGGGATTCCGAGTATGCACCACCGTGCCGAGCCAAGGTTCCAGTTTCTTCACATCTTCACCAACACTTGGTTACGTCAGTCTTTTAAAAATTGTTTTTAAATTTTTTCATATTCCTAGGTCACTATTATACTCTTTTCAATATACTCTTTTCAATTTTATCTATTCCAGCAGATTTGTTGTGGCGTCTTATTGTGCTTTTAATTTGTATTTTTCTAATGACTAAAGATGTTGAACGTGTTTTCATATGTTTATTTTTCATCCGTGTATCTTCTTTGGTGATGTGACTATTCAAATCTTTTGCACATTCTGAAGTGGGTTTATCCTCTTCTAATTGAGTGATAAGAGTTTACATAGTCCCGGCCAGGTGCTGTGGCTCATGCTTGTAAACCTAGCACCCTGAGAGGCCAAGGCAGGCAGATTGCCCGACGTCAGGAGTTCGAGACTGGCCTGGCCGACATAGTGAAACCTCATCTCTACTAAAAATACAAAAATTAGCCTGTAGTCCCAGCTACTCAGGAGGCTGAGACAGGAGAATCGCTTGAACCCAGGAGGCGGAGGTTGCAGTGAGCCAAGATTGCGCGATTGCACTCCAGCCCGGGTGACAGAGTGAGACTCTGTCTCAAAAAAAAAAAAAAAAAAGTGTATATAGTCTGGATAGAAATAATCGATCAGATACATATTTTACAAATATTTTCTACTAGTCTGTAACTTGTCATGCCATTGCACTTTGTTTGTTTGTTTTGAGACAGAGTCTCATTCTGTTACCCAGGCTGGAGTACAGTGGTGTGATTATGGCTCACTGCCACCTCGACCTCTCGGGCTCAAGCAATCCTCCAGTCTCAGCCTCCCAAGTAGCTGGGACTGCAGGTGTGTGCCAACCTTCCCAGCTAATTTTTTTTTTTTTTTTTGAGACAGAGTCTCACTCTGTCCCCAGACTGGAGTGCAGTGGCATGATCTCGGCTCACTGCAAGCTCTGCCTCCTGGGTTTACACCATTCTCCTGCCTCAGCCTCCTGAGTAGCTGGGGGACTACAGGTGCCCGCCACCACACCCGGCTAATTTTTTGTATTTTTAGTAGAGACGGGGTTTCACCGTGTTAACCAGGATGGTCTCGATCTCCTGACCTCGTGATCTGCCCACCTCAGCTTCCCAAAGTGCTGGGATTACAGGCGTGAGCCACTGTGCCTGGCCTAATTTTTGTATTTTTTATAGAGACAGGGTTTTGCCATGTTGCCCTGCCTTCGCCTCCCAAAGTGCTGGGATTATGGGCATGAGCCACTGCACCCCAGCCTTTTGCCATTACATTTTGATAAAAAGAAAGTTTTAAATATTTTTAGATACTAATGTGTATTTAACAATTATGGGTTTGTATGTCATTATTAGGATAATATACATAAGTAAGCATAAAATCTGTCTAATATACATTAAGTGGCTTAATATGACAAAATTAGCAGTGTATACTTTCTTTTTTTTCTTTTTTTTTTTTTCTGAGATGGAGTTTTGCTTTTGCTCTTGTTGCCCAGGTTGGAGTGCAATGGTGCAATCTTGGCTCATTGCAGCCTTCACCTTCCGGGTTTAATAAATTCTCCTGCCTCAGCCTTCCAAGTAGCTGGGATTACAGGCTTGCACCACCATGCCCAGCTAATTTTGTATTTTTAGTAGAGACGGGATTTCTCCATGTTGATGAGGCTGGCCTTGAACTCCTGACCTCAGGTGATACACCCACCTTAGCCTCCAAAGTGCTGGGATTACAGGTGTGAGCCACTGCACCCAGTCAACAGTGTATACTATTGATTGGTTTGATTACAGAATAATACCAAAAATAATAACAGCAACAACAGGCCGAGTGTGGTGGCTCATGCCTGTAATCCTAGCACTTTGGGAAGCTGAGGTGAGTGAGGAGTTCAAGACCAGCCTGGGCAACATGATGAAACCCCGCCTCTACTAAAATACAAAAAATTAGCTGGGCATGGTGTGGCGCACCGGTAGTCCCAGCTACTGGGGCGGCTGAGGCATGAGAATTGCTTGAACCCAGGAGGCAGAGGTTGCAGTGAGCCAAGATCGTGCCACTGCACTCCTGCCTGGGCGACAGCGAGACTCTGTCTCCAAATAACAACAACAACAACAACAACAACACGGAATAGCTAACACTTAAATTCAGCACTTTCTATGTGCCAGGCAGTGTTTGAAGTGCTTTAAATATATCTACATATGAACCGATTGATTCTATATAACAATTAGGTCTACTGTTATCTCCGTTTTAAAGATGAGGAAACTGAGGTCAAGAGAGGGTAAGTAACCTGCTCAGGGTTGGACAGCTAGCATTATTTTGCTTTGTTTATTTTTAACTCCTCACTCTTCACCTATCCTCAGTGCCTTTTGGTTAGCAATGGTGACTTGAAAATACAAACATTTCTTGAAATCCACAGTAAACCCAAACCACATGCAATGATGTTTGTTTTTTGGAAATGATCACACACCACATCATATTCCAAGTGTTGAGTGCATATGCCTCGGAGTGGAAGTGGGCCTTGAGAGCATGTTGTATACATTTTGAAACAAATAAGCCTAGACTTTTTATCTGCTCGGTTTGGAGAAAGGGGAATAGCAATAAAATCATAAATCACATATAAATGATGTAACACACTGAATAGTGTTTTATAAAATAAGGTGAGGGCATGATGGTGCACACCTGTAGTCCCAGCTACTCGGGAGGCTTGGGTGGGAGGATCACTGGAGTTCAGGAGTTCAAAGAGCCAGTGAGTTATTGTGCCACTGCACTCCAGCCTAGATGACAGAGTGAGACCCTGTCCTCCCACCACTAACAAAAACCCTGAGATGATAAATAGCAAGGCAGCTTGAAAGTAAATAGTAAGTTTAGGATTTGAGAAAGGGGCAAGATGTTCTAAGTTTTCTTCCTTTGTTCAGAAGGAATCTCAGAGTTAAAGCTATGAAAAGGGATCAATCTAATTAGTAAAGAGTTTAAATAGGCTGGGTGTGTTGGCTCACACCTGTAGTCCCAGCTACTTGGGAGGCTGAAGTTGGGGGATCCCTCGAGCCTGGGAGGTTGAGGCTGCCGTGAGCCATGATCACACCACTGCATTCTAGCCTGGGTGAGAGAGTGAGACCCTGTCTCAAAAAAAGAGTTTAAATGGTTTAAAAAGGGGGGTGAGGAGAGTAGTTATTTGTAATGAGCTAGTGCAGGGGTCCCCAACCCCCACCCGGAATTAGTCCATGGTCTGTTAGGAACCAGGCCGCACAGCAGGAGGTGAGCAGTGGGCGAGCTCAGCTTCATCTGTATTTACAGCCGCTCCCCATCGCCTGTGTTACCACCTGAGCTCTGCCTCCTGTCAGATCACCAGCACCGTTAGATCCATTAGATTCTTTTTTTTAAATTGCTGCTGCACAAATTAAGGCATTAGATTCTCATAGGAACATGAACCCTATCATGAACTGCACACTCCTTATGAGAATCTAATGCCTGATGACCTGTCACTGTCTCCCGTCACTCCCAGATGAGAACATCTAGTTGCAGGAAAACAAGCTCAGGGCTCCCACTGATTCCTACATTATGTTGAGCTGTATAATTATTTCATTATATATTGCAATGTAATAATAATAGAAATAAAGTGCACAATAAATGTAATGCACTTGAATCATCCCAAAACCACCCCCACAGCTGGGTCTGTGGAAAAATTGTCTTCCACAATATTGGTCCCTGATGCCAAAAAGATTGGGGACCACTGAGCTAGTGGGTTCTGGAACTTCACCTCTTATGAGCGATGTAACCTTGGGCAAGTTACTTCTCTGAGATACTCTATAAATTAAATCACTTAATACGTTGAAGGCACTTGGCCCAGTGCCTGGCACATAGGAGATGCTGAATAAACATTCACTATTTTTAATATAATCTTAATGCATAGTAAAATTATATTAAAAAGAGTGAGCTAGTTCAATACAGCAAGTGTGAAAAACTGGACTCTGAAGGTTGACAGGCCCAGGTCCATTCCCAGGTCAATTTCTGGAAGCAATTTGCTGAACAAACAGTTCGCTGAAATAGTGAGGTTTTTTTTTAAGTTTTGAAACATGGTCCCTGCCCCACCCCTGCCCTGTCCCTGCCTCTGACAAAGAAAGAACTATGGCATTTCATGACTTGATTTCTGGGGATTTTCCTTTCAGTTTTCTACTAATCAATGCATTGGAAAATTGACCTGCTAGTCCTGGGTTTGAATTTGTTTTACCTTTTTTTTTTTTTGAGATAGGGTCTCGTGCTGTCACCCAGGCTGGAGTGTAGTGGTGCAGTCTCTGCTCACTGCAGTCCTGGGTTCAAGTGATTCTTGTGCCTCGGCCTCCTAAGTAGCTAGGACTGCAGGCACGAGCCACCACACCTGGCTAATTTTTGTATTTTTAGTAGAGATTGGGTTTCGCTGTGTTGGCCAGGCTGGTCTCAAACTCTTGGCCTCAAGTGATGTGCCCACCTTGGCCTCCCAAAGTGGTGGGATTACAGGTGTGAGTCACCACACCTGGACTTTTTTAACTTTTTAAATAAATTTAAATTTTTTTTTTGTAGAAACGAGGCCTTGCTGTGTGGACCAGGCTGGTTTCAAACTTCTGGCATCAAGCAATCCTTCTATCTAGGCCTCCTAAAGCACTAGGATTGCAGACATGAGCCATGGCACCTAGACTTGACCCTGGGTTTGAATTCTGGCTCTGACACTTGCTAACTGTGTGTGACCTTGGGCAGGCCACTGACCCTTCCTGAGCCTTATGGGAATGTGGGAATAATATTAGGTAATGGAGCAAGTTAATATAGGTAAAGAATTTAGAATAGGGCCTGGCACATGGCCTCAGTCTAGTACCAGAGTCCAAGCCCATAACCACTGTGCCAACACTCTTGTAATAAATGTATGTGGGAGACAGGGAGGCTGGGAGGCTGGATATGTGATGCTACTTTATGTCAACTACACATGAATTTTATATGTATAATTTATATAAACTAATTGATGCCATCTACTATTATTAGACTGAACAAATATTGTTACTTGGAACTCTCAGATATGTAATAGCTTTTTTTTATTCAAATCCAAAATGTAAAATGTGACTATGAGTAATTGATAATGAACTTAACTGATAAGAAACTTCAGGATAGATTTTTCTCAAGTTTTCCATTCAGTCTTACAGTGATTAAAGTGATGAAAAATTCCAACTATGCATGCCCTGCTCGGAGCGTCCAAGAAGAGCCTACCAACGGGGGCTACTTAAGCTCTCAAAGGCCAAACACACAAACGGCATTTTGAGTGCAAGTGGTCTGTTTGAACTCTGAAAAGGCGGGGCAGCGGGCCTGCAGCTCCTGGAGTTCAGGGAGACCCGGAAATCTCACCCTGCCCTCTTCTTGTGTTGTGTTTGTCACAGCCTTGCCCCTCTTGCTCGCCTTGAAAATGGAAAAGATGCTCGCAGGCTGCTTTCTGCTGATCCTCGGACAGATCGTCCTCCTCCCTGCCGAGGCCAGGGAGCGGTCACGTGGGAGGTCCATCTCTAGGGGCAGACACGCTCGGACCCACCCGCAGACGGCCCTTCTGGGTGAGTGGTGGTGCTCACCCCCAAAAGTGGGCAGGTGGGGGTGGTTTGGGGAGGGCTCAGGGACAGGGATTGGTGACTGTTTGAGAAGCTTTCCTTTCCCTGGGTCCTTGTTGGATGTGCTGGGCCTGGGGTCCTCACTGGTGGTGAATGCATCCGGAGTTGAGCACGTGGTTGCACACGAGTTTTCAAAATAAACTTTTCTTTGAAGCCTTTAATTGAATCTGAGGCTTATGGCTTTTCTCCAATATTCAGGGCAAGATTTCTCATCTGAAAATGTCCTTGTTGTTGGACCTATCTGAGCAAAGGTGTTATGAAAATTTTTTATTGGGTTTGCCCAGCTAGATCTGTTAATAATGCTTCCCTGCATGGCAGCAGGGAAGTAAGAGCTGGGCCAGAAGAGAGGTGGGGACATTGTGAACTGAATCGAGGTATTAGGAATGGAAAATGCCAGGGGTCTATTCATCTGATCCAGTGAACATTTTTCCTAGAAAAAGGAAATGTCATGAAAACACACGGAAAACATGTAAATCAGCTGATTCTAAACAAGGGCATTGGTAAGCCTGGCATGTGGAGGTTATAGGAAGGTTGGGCAGTGCCAAGAGAATGAGTTTTGGCATTGACCTGGGTTCAAGTCCTGCCTCTGCTACTTTCCAGATGTGATATAACCTCCCTGAGGCTATAGATGTGATATAACGTAGGTGATATAACTTCCCTGAGGCTCAGTTTTATCATCTGTAAAATGGAAGTGTGAATGCCAACCTTGGAACATTTCTGAGAAATAAATGAGGTAATATACATACATTCTAGGTACTCAGTAAGTAAAAGCTTTACCACAACTGTCATTCTATTAAGTTCTTTGAAACTGTATTTGACATTTATACCTTGTTGGCCAGCCACTCGAATCTGACCCCCTGCAAAGGCTACTAAGAGAACTGCCCAGTGACCTGGTAGCCTCAGTGGCATCCGAAATTACAATCAGGGACCACAGGGACCTAAAGAGCCCTGTTTTCAGAGGTCAGAATCTTTATTGATGTTAACTAAGTGAGGACCCCAGTGATAGGTCTTCCAGGTTCCTGAAAGTCCTTGTTTCCATAGTGATGTAAACAACACTTTTGCAAATGTGAAAAGGAGTGGGAAGTGTTTAGTATGTTAATTGAAACGTTTTAAAAAAGAAATTCCAAGATGATAAACAACATCTCTCTCTCTCTCTCTCTGTCTATATATATATATATATATATATATATATAAAACTGATGATGCACACAATCTTGGCTCATTGCAACCTCCGCCTCCTGGGTTCAAGCACATCTCCCACCACAGCCTCTTGAGTAGCTGGGTTTACAGGGGCACAACACCACGCTCAGCTAATTTTTGTATTTTTAGTAGAGATGGGGTTTTGCCATGTTGGCCAGGCTGGTCTCAAACTCTTGGCCTCGAGTGATCTGCCATCTCGACCTCCCAAAGTGCTGGGATTACAGACATGAGCCACTACGCATGGCCAAGATACCTGATTTCTGGATCACCAGCAGTAACTGCCCAGTTGGGTTTCTGATGGGGCTGGTCTCAGGAAAAGCCACCACACACTTGCCTGGAAAAGCACACTGCTTCTCTAGGCTCCAAGTCTCTCTCTCCCTCCCTTCCTCCCTCTGATACACACACACAGACCACATCACCCCCACCTTCCCTGGTTGTCAGCATTCACTGTCGTCCTCCTTTGCCTAGAAGCCCATTTTGCTAAAGGCACCAACCCTGCATCCAGCATTGATTCCTTCTTCTCATTTTTCAAGAGAATGTGTCAGAGACAAAGAGGAGGATGGGGCACAACCTATCTTTCCCACCCCAAGACTGGAAGTGGGCATGGGTGTTTTCACTCCGTGAGCTGTGCAAGTGGCTGCTCCCAGATATGCTGGAGGGCTGCTTGGCTTATGAAAATGGTGGAGTGGGCCGGACATGGTGGCTCACACCTGCAATCCCAGCACTTTGGGAGGCCGAGGTGGGCGGATCACAAGGTCAGGAGTTCGAGACCAGCCTGACCAACATGGTGAAACCCTGTCTCTACTAAAAATACAAAAATTAGCTGGGCATGGTGGCGGGTGCCTGTAATCCCAGCTACTCGGGAGGCTGAGGCAGGAGAATCGCTTGAACCCAGGAAGTGGAGGTTGCAGTGAGCTAAGATCGTGCCACTGCACTCTAGCCTGGGTGACAGAGTGAGACTCTGTCTCAAAAAAAAAAAAAAAAGAAAATAGTGGAGTGACAATCATGAAACCAGAAAGCAAACACTATAGCTGTGGCCTGGATTCTCAAGTGCAATCTGCTTTTTTTTTTCTCATTTTGATGGGGAACAAAAATGGAAAAGCATGCTCATTGGTAGTCCTTGCCCCGAGGGTATGACCTTCTCTTCATTCTTAGAATAATGTAGTGTTTTGTATTTTATGCATGTTTGCTTCTCTTGGCTCTTGGACTATTTGTTCAGAATATGGCCCAGGCCACATTTCACTTTTTAATGGCAAATCATTTTGGCTGAAGTTATGGCATCCACTGGCATGATGGATTTTACTGGTTATTTGCTTGCAAGTATGTTCCTGAAAGTTTAACAGAGTAGAAACAGCAGAATTGTTTCTTAGGTTAATTTTTTTTGAACTTTCTGGGTTTTAAAAATGTTTATCTTTTATGTTTAAATTCAGGTCAGAGTCTCAGTAACAACTTGAGTCAGTTTGAAAAAATAACGCATGTATATATCCACCATCCTGTGAACATCTGTGGGCTGTTCACTCGGCAGCCTGTGATGTCTGTCCACATGGGCTTATCTCTTACCTCATTCATTTATCTGGAATTTCTACTCTGTGCCAGATGCCGGTTGGGGGTGTGGGGGTAGTGTTTAAGATGAATAGACACCATCAGGAGGTGCACAGAGTAGTGGAAGAGACAGGCATGTGAAAAGATCATTAATTTGGTAGAATCGGTGTGCAAAAGTAGAGGCATAGCTACATTATAGCTCAACTCTGCCTGCTGAGCAGGCTTAGTGTAAGGCAGTGGTTCTCAAGCTTTGGTCTCAGGATCCTTCCTTTTACGCTAAAAATTATTTTTATTTTATTATTTTATTTTATTTTATTTTGAGATAGGGTCTCACTGTCTCCCAGGCTGGAGTGCAGTGGCATGATCATGGCTCGCTGCAGCCTTGACCTCTTGTGCTTAAGCAATCCTCCAACCTCAGCATCTCAAGTAGCTGAGACTACAGGCACATGACACTACGCCTGGCTAATTTTTGTATTTTTTGTAGAGACAGGGTTTCGCCATGTTGTCCAGGCTGATCTTGAACTCCTGGGCTCAAGCGATCCTCCCCCCTCAGTCTCCCAAAGTGCTGGGATTCTAGGCGTGAGCCACTGTGCCCAGCCAAAAATTATTAAGGATCCCAAATAACTTTTGTTTGTTTTTTAAGAATCCTGAGGACAATCAAGGGAGCTTTGTTTATGTGGGTTAGATCTATTGGTATCTACCTGATCAGAAATTTAAAAATAACAATAATAAAATCAGAATGTGTTAACAAACTATATATGTATAAAAAACTATATTTTCTGGCCAGGTGCAGTGGCTCATGCCTGTAATTCCAGTACTTTGGGAGGCTGAGGTGGAAGGATCACTTGAGCCCAGGAGTTTGAGACCAGTCTGGGCAACATAGGGATACCTTGTCTCTACAAAAATAAAAAAATGAGGCCGTGCACAGTGGCTCACACCTGTAATCCCAGCACTTTGGGAGGCTGAGGTGGGCAGATCACTTGAGGTCAGGAGTTTGAGACCAGCCTGGCCAACATGGTGAAAAACTGTCTCTACTAAAAATACAAAAATTAGCCTGGTTTGGTGGTGTGCACCTGTAATCCCAGCTACTCCGGAGGCTGAGGCAGGAGAATCACTTGAACCCGGGAGGCGGAGGTTGCAGTGAGCCGAGATCACACCACTGCACTTCAGCCTGGGTGACAAGAGTGAAACTGTCTCAAAAAAAAAAAAGAAAGAAAAAAAAAAATTAGCCGGGTGTGGTGGTACACACCTATAGTCCCAGCTAATTGAAATGCTTAGGCTGCAGGATCACTTGAGCCCCAGAGGTCGAGGCTGCATGAGTGAGCCGTGATGGTGCCACTGCACTCCAGCCTGGGTGACAGAGTGAGACCCTGTCTCAAAAAAAAAAAAAAAAAAAAAAAGAAGAGTAGCACCGTTTTACAGTTTTGCAAATCTTGTAACGGTCTGGCTTCGTAGAAGACAGCTAGATTGTCATTTCTTGACCATTCAATCTGTCATGAAATGTTTTCGTTAGATTATATGAAAATGCATGGATATGTAGTTGGAAAAGGGAAGAGCATTTAAATAGCCTTTTCATATAATTGTGAATGTTCTTTGATACTACACCAAAACTTGACAAAGAGTAGTTTCTTAAAGTTTAGTTGCAATGTGAAATCTAAAATCAGATCAATAAACTTTTTGTTCTCTATATACCCACAAGAGAATGAGAGTATGAAAGGCAAACATTCATGTTATTATGGAAATAGTTCTGACCTCATGGATCCTCTGAAAAGGCCTCAGGGACCCCTAGAATTCCCCAAACTACACTTGAGAATGGCTGGTTTAAGAGAATTGTTCCCAGTGAAGGTCCTGCCCACGGAGAGCCCTGTGGGACAGCAGGTGGCAGAGGCATGAGGATGGAGTGTGGCAGTGGGGCTCCGATGTGGCGCTGGGTCTGCCAGACAGGTGGTCTGAGCTGGAGATAAGGCAGCAATAATTTAGGACCTCGAGGGCTCCAAGGAAGGAGTTTTGAGCTTCATTTTGCAGGGGTAGGAGCTGTGGAGGGCTTTAAGCAGTCAACAGTGGGTGTCGCTTTGTCTTTGCACCCACTGTACTCTCCGGACAGACTTGACCTTCCTGGGTTGTGGCAAAGAGCAGGGATCTAAATAGCAGGCTGCAACAGGAGAAGGAACGAGCACCTGCTCTAGCCCAAAGACCCCTCCAGGCCACAACGCTGGCAGGTAGAGTCGGAGAATCTGACTGTGCTGTACCCAGAACCCTTTGGACTTGGATTCTTCCCCTTGACCAGCCTTATCAGTGGCACCCATCCCCTTCCACACTCCTCGCTAGGCCCTCCTCAAGGGGGCGCTAACTGGAAGGCATGCTGCCCCACTGCTAATGGCCGCCTGCTTCGTTTGTGCACACTTTTTCTCTTTGTTACCCCACTTTCCTATGAGGAGGTGGACCTGTCTCCAGAACAACCAGTGGGGTATATCAGCCTTTTTGGAAACCTTAACCCTCCTTGCCCAAACTCCCAGAGTATTCTTATTTATTTATTTATTTATTTATTTATTTATTTATGATAGAGTCTTGCTGTGTCACCAGGCTGGAGTGCAGTGGTGGGATCTCGGCTCACTGCAACCTCCGCCTCCCAGGTTCAAGTGATTCTCCTGCCTCAGCCTCCAGAGTAGCTGGGATTACAGGTGCCTGCCACCACGCCCGGTTAATTTTTGTATTTTTAGTAGAGACAGGGTTTCACCATGTTGGCCGCCTGCCTCGGCCTCCCAAAGTGCTGGGATTACTGGCGTGAGCCGCCGCACCCGGCCCCCAGTGTATTCTTGATTCCCTCCACTCCACAAACTACTCTACAGTCAGCCAGCTTGTGGTCTCTGGTGGTGGTCTGTCTTATGAGGTCTTGTTGACATATGCATTCTTTTCTAAATTTACCAAACTGGCTCATTTTATTTCTGCTAACTAAACTTGAAAGCCTTTTCTTTTCCTATTATAGACTCTCCTTTGGATCAATACTACACACTCAGAAGTTATGTTTGTGTTTTAAGAGAGCATTTTGTGGCAATATGGCATCAATTCTAGAAGTGGGAGACAAAGATTTAAAAGGAAGTTGGCCCTGCAGTCTGGTCAGGGGATGGTAGGGCCTGAGCTCCCTCCCACCCCACACCCCACCACACACACTGCTGGAAGAATTCCAGAGGTGTTCCAGGGTAGACACCACAGCATTTAGTAAAATTTACTCATAACAGTTAATTTACTACTTAAAAACTAATGAAGAAAATCTAAGAATTCACCTTTTTTTTTTTTTTTTTTTTTTTTTAGACAGGATCTTATTCTGTTGCCCAGGCTGGAGTGCAGTGGCACTATCATAGCTCACTGCAGCCTGAGCTCAAGCGATCCTCCCAAGTCAGCTTCCCAACTAACTGGGACTACAGTCATGTACTACCACGCCCAACTAATTGTTTAATTTTTTTGCAGAGACAGGGTCTTACTATGTTGCACAGACTGGTTTCAAATTCTTGGCCTTATGCAATCCTCCTGCCTTGGCCTCCCAAAGTGTTGGGATTACAAGTGTGAACCATTCCTCCTGGCAGAATTCACCTTACACAGCCCCAAATTCTGCTCTTGGGGAATCACAGTGTATTAAGAGACACTTATTTTCATTTTTGCATGTATCTCTAAACCTGACATCAAAATATTCATAAAATTGCAATACGTTTCATATAATGAGCTGAAACCTCCTAAGTGAGCAATGTGAAGTTGTTGGCTGCCTGGAGAATTAAATGTAAGCATGGCCTGCTCTGTGTTGCTAATGGAAATTTTTACCTAGGTTGATATTTATTAACCCCCCCTTTTTTTTTTGAGACAGAGTCTTGCTCTGTCACCCAGGCTGGAGTGCAGTGGCGTGATCTTGGCTCACTGCAACCTCCGCCTCCCGGGTTCAAGCAATTCTTCTGCCTTGGCCTCCTGAGTAGCTGAGATTGCAGGCGCCCGCCACCATGCCCGGCTAATTTTTGTATTTTTAGTAGAGACGGGGTTTCATCATGTTGGCCAGGTTGGTCTCAAATTCCTGACCTCATGTGATCTGCCCACCTAGGCCTCACAAAATGCTGGAATTACAGGCGTGAGCCACCGTGTCTGGCTCCAACCTACATTTTTAAGGCTTAGCTGCCACTCAATGGATTTCTACATCCCAAAACAATACCTTTAATTGACTTTTATTGGCCTCCTCTGTGAAGGACGGAAAGCAGATGCCAGAAGCCATGAGAGGCTCTGGCTCTCCGACCAACCCGTGGAAGCCACTAGTCTTAAATTTCCTGAAGCCATTTTGCCATGATTAAAACTTTTGTCTCCTTCCCTGAGCTTTCCAGAGCTTTGTCCATTCTCTTCCTTCTACCTGGAATATCCTTCCCCAGACAAGACCCATTCTCATCCAGGGCCAGGTCAAATGCCACCTCCTCCCTCTCCAGGCAAGACCTCCATTGAGGGACCACACACATTGCAGGCCCTCTGCCAAAGTGCCAACCCTCTCTGCCTTACATTCCAAGGGGTAATAGTGATACTTACCTCAGAGGGATTCACATTTTAGCTATTTTTGCACTTGTCTCATTTTACTACTAGACTGTCTCTTCAAGATAGGGACTGAATATTTTTCATTTCTCATAGCACCTATGAAAGGCAACTCTCATTTACTGAGCCCCTGCTGTGGGTTGGGACGTGTTATCTCACCTAATCCATAGCAGGAGCAAACACTGTAAGGTAATTCTTGTTATATTCTATTTTCAGACAAGGAAGCTGAGGCTCAGATAGGTTAAGCAGTTTTGGCAAATTTGTCAAGACTTCTGCAAACCTAGACAGAAAAGGTGCTCAACCCCCAGCCCCTTTATGGAAAGGATGCATGGCTTAGGGGCAGATATGCGTTGGAGCAAAGAGAAAGACACGCGTACTCTTGAATGTACTATTTTAGCCCCTGCTTGCTCCTTGACCCAGAGTTTTTGTGTAGACCATAGAATGCCCTGCCCATCTGTATTTGGAGGTGCTGCTGCAGCCGGTCACACCTGGGTTCTACTGACCTCCAGCCCTGGCTGTGGTCCTGCCCAGGGCTCAGTGTGTATTGAACAAGTAAGTGAATGAGACATGCAGAAGGCTGATTTCATTCTTATTTGAATGATTTCAATCTTGATTAACCTTCTTAGCAAGAGGTTATTTTCTTCTCCTGGACCTCAGTTCATTCATCTCTAAAAGAAGGAAGTTGAAGTCAATGATCTCTCAGGTCTCATCTCAGATGTGGTGATGTCACCAATTCCCCTGACATCCCTTCTATGTGGGAACCCTGATGAAATCCGCAGCTTTCCCTCACTGTGTCCAGGTAGGAAAGCCAAGGAGGAACCATATTCTGGAAGCCAAGGAAGGAGAAGTTTTGAGACACAGGGTGGTCAGTAGGATCAGGCAGGACAACAGGGATGGGGCAGTGGGATCAGGTAACACAGCAGGGCTGGGCAGTGGGTTCAGGCAGAACAGTGGGCTGGGCAGGGGATCAGGCAACACAGCAAGGTTAGGCAGTGGGATCAGATAATGCAGGGCTAGGCAATGGGATCAGGCAACACAACAGGGCTAGGCAGTGGGATCAGGTAACACAGCAGGGCTGGGCAGTGGGATCAGGCAACATAACAGGGCTGGGCAGAGGGATCAGGTAACACAGCAAGGCTGGGCAGTGGGATCAGGCAACACAGTAGGGCTGGGCAGTGGGATCAGGCAACATAGTAGGGCTGGACAGTGGGATCAGGCAACACAACAGGGCTGGGCAGTGGGATCAGGTAACACAGCAAGGCTGGGCAGTGGGATCAGGCAACACAGTAGGGCTGGGCAGTGGGATCTGGCAACACGACAGGGCTGGGCAGTGGGATCAGGCAACACAGTAGGGCTGGGCATTGGGATATGGCAACATGACAGGGCTGGGCAGTGGGATCAGGCAACACAACAGGGCTAGGCAGTGGGATCAGGCAATATGGCCGGGCTGGGCAGTGGGATTAGGCAGTGAAGCAGGGGTTGTTAAACTTCATTGTGCATCAAAAGCTCCTGGAAGGCTTGTTAGAACACAGATTACTGGGCCCTGTGCTCAAAGTGTCTGATTCAGTAGGTCTGGGTTGGAGCCTGATAAGTGGTATTCCTGGAAACCTCAGTTTGAGAACTATTACTGTAGAGAAACCTACAAGGTTGGGTGGGAATGGGCAGGAGGAAAAGATACTAGAAGAAGATGCTGTGGGGCATGAGCCGGAAAGACAATACAAGATGAGTAACATCTGCAGAGAATTGCAGCTGCAGAGTATAAACTAACTGTAATCTAGGTCCAGCCCTTCTGAAGCTTTACAAATAAGCTGCTAGCATTGTCCAGCCTTATAGGGAATTGGCAAAAGGTGAGTTTCAGGCCTACATGGGAGCCAGCCTCTTACAGCACAGCAGTTAGCAATACACATCTAAAGAACTAAGTAGCTGGCATGTGTCTTTATCATCAGAATAGATTATACAAATGAAGGTCGATGCATTGAGCTTATCAAATTGTTTTAAATATAGCAACGTTTGTTTTAAAATTTTTTTTTAAACCTTTGAAGTAAAACTGCCTCTTTTTCAGTGCTCAGCTGCAGTGCATCACGGGCAGTACAATGACAGCTGGAAACATGGACCCCATGGAGGCGCTGTCATGGCCGCCCTCAGCACAGACCTGCTGTTCCCTATCAAATTCATCCTCTGTGCCTATGCTCTGTTTAATATAGATTTTTATAAACTGTATGAAGTAAAATTCTTCATTCCTATCTTGTGATTAACGCTGGAAGAATCCAAAAAGCACAGCGTCTGACCTCCAATAAGCCATAAAGTTAAAAGCTTTTCTAGGCAATGAATATATAACCTGATTTTTTTCTCCTACAGATCCTCTCTCTCCCCTTCTTTCTCCCTTTCTCCTTTGTGTGAAACTCTTTCTTTATCCCTTTCCTTTTCTATAAACTTCCTTGATCTTTCCCTCTCCAGTACCCCCCTTCCTCATTCCCTTCTTCAGTTCCAGGATGTTCTCTCCTCAGCTTGCCCATATATTTTGCACCTGCAACTCATGTGTGTGTCAGGGAGTAGAGGTGAGGGATTATCCCTTCCGTGAGTGACAGTCACCTTTCTTTTCTTTGCTGGCTGGTGCTTTTAGGAGACAAGGTGTACAACCTTACCCCTAAGGAGCCAGTCCTGTCCTTCGTCTCTCTATCTAATGCTAATAATGATAACAATAGTAGTGATGACGGCCGGGTGCGGTGGCTCATGCCTGTAATCCCAGCACTTGGGGAGGCCAAGGTGGGTGAATCACCTGAGATGAGGAGTTTGAGACCAGCCTGGCCAACATGGTGAAACCTTGTGTCTACTAAAAATACAAAAAATTAGCCAGGTGTGGTGGTGGGCACCTGTAATCCCAGCTACTCGGGAGGCCGAGGCAGGAAAATTACTTGAACCTCGGAGGCGGAGGTTGCAGTGAGCTGAGATCACACCACTACACTCCAGCCTGGGCAACAAGAGTGAAACTCCTTCTCAAAAAAAAAAAAAAAAAATAGTAGTGATGACAAGCCACCATGTGCCAGGCACTGTGGTAGGCAGCTCACACTTCACTCTGCATGTACTATTATCCCTTAAATGTCTCATACAAGGTCATTCAACTACTGAGCAGCCAGAGGTAGAATTCAAGAAGCGAACTTGCTGTTTTCTCTACTTAAACTCTTTTATCACCCAGGCTGCAGTGCAGTGGTGCGATCATGGCTCACTGCAGCCTCGACCTCCAGGCCCAGGTGATCCTCCTATCTCAACCTCCCAAGTAGCTGGGATTACAAGCACGCACCACCATATCCAGCAATTTTTTTTTTTCATATTTTTTTGTAAAGACAGGGTTTCACCATGTTGGCCAGGCTGTTCTCGAACTCCTGAGCTCAAGCGATCCTCCTGCTGTGGCCTCCCAAAGTGTTAGGATTACAGGCATAAACCACCACACCCCGCCTTCTTGAACTCTTTTCTATAACCCCACCCACCCTGTTTTATCCAGTTGAATTGGACTCATCTTTCAGGTCTCAGTGGAAGCGCTTCTAATCTTCTAGGTTGGGATTTAATACCCCAACTATTGCATTCCCATGGAGTGCTGTATGTCCCCAAAACTGCACTTAGCCTGTACAGCAATTGCCTGCTTAATTGTCTGTGTAGTTCGTCACTGTACCAGCATAGCTGAGCAAGGTGCCTGGTACACAGCAGGTATTCCATAAATGCCTATAGGAAAAGTAAATTAACGGACTCTTCCTCAATAAATATATATATGTTCTAGAAATTTGAGTTGTATATTAGTTTCCTAGGGCTGCTATAACAATATACCACAAAGTGGGTGGTTAAACAACAGAAATGTATTGTCTCACAGTTCTGGAGCTAGAAGTCTGAGCTCAAGGTGTCGGCTGTGTTGGTTTCTTCTGAGCCCTCTCTCCTTGGCTCATAGGTGGCTGTCTTCTCCCTGTGTCTCCACGTGGTCTTTTCCCTCTGTACCTGTGAGTGTCCAGACTTCCTCTTCTTATAAGGACACCAGTCACATTGAATTAGGCTCGCCCTAATAACCTCATTTTAACTTAATCACATCTTTGAAGACCCTAACTCCAAATCCGGTTACCTCCTGAAGGCCTGGGGGTGAGGACTTCAACATATGAATCGCGGGCAGGGAGAGGGACAGAAGTCAGCCCATGACAAGCTGCTTTGCTTTTCACTTTCCCAGTTTGTGGAGGACAGTGTGTCATCTTTCAACATGTTTCTAAATAGCCTCTTTTTCCTTTCTGATTCACTTTATGTTCCCACTTCAGGGTGATATGAGAAACGCTGGGGAAGCATGTTCAAAGACTTGAGCAGTGGGTCACTTATTACTTTACCATGGCATATTTCAGAGTCATTAAAGCAGCTCCAGCAAGCGCAGTGGGCTGTGCAGCCGGAATCCCAGGGCTGAAGATGGGACAGGAGTGCAATCTAACCAGGATGTGAAACCAAGTCCAAGTAAGGTTTTTCAAAAGCCAAGAATTAGAACGACTAACTCAGTCCTGTTTCAGTATATCCAGGGGAGGCTGATTTATAGGGAAAGATGAAAGGAGGACAATGTGTATATTTTGGCTGCTCAGAAGACCATGGGGCTAGACATGGGGGAGGAGGAAGTTATTATAAGCCTACAGCCAGCCAATGAGTAAGAACATCAAAGAGGAAGGCTGGTTGGCCAGATGGACCAAGAGCTGGGGCACAGGCAGGATCTTTGGGAGAAACAAGATGAATGGATGCTTCGGACAACCTAAGTTCAGAGCCCGGAGGGGCCTTTAGAAAGGCATGATGGATTATGTGTACTGTGGGTCATTGCGCCATGAGAAGTCCCATGGGGGATGAGCCCCAGAGGCCCTTAAAGTCAGGGTGGACCATTAAGTAAACTGCGGAGGAATTTCTTCCAGGAGGGCTCAGACTTGGCAAAGGCTGGGAAGGGCTGCTTTCCATCTCCGGCTCTTAATCCCCCAGCCCTGACACTGGGGCTCGCTTGTTCCAGCCTACTTGATCCATTTATTGAATAAAGATATACTGAGAACCAGCCGGGCGTGGTGACTCACGCCTGTAATCCCAGCACTTTGGGAGGCCGAGGTGGGCGGATCACGAGGTCAGGAGATTGAGGCCGTCCTGGCTAACACGGTGAAACTCCGTCTCTGCTAAAAATACAAAAAATTAGACGGGTGTGGTGGCGGGCACCTGTAGTCCCACCTACTCTGGAGGCTGAGGCAGGAGAATGGCGTGAACCCAGAAGGCGGAGCTTGCAGTGAGCCGAGATAGCGCCACTGCACTCCAGCCTGGGCAACAGAGCGAGACTCTGTCCCCGCCCCCCCAAAAAAAGATATACTGAGAACCCTTTTATTCCAAGGTCTGCATTAGGCCCAGTGAAAGATGAGGAATCCTTAAATCTTTGGGACTTGGTGGGGTCACCGGGGATACATCCTCCTCTCCTAGGTACCGTTCATCTGTTTGCACCCAGATGTGGCCTGTCCCATGTGATTGTCCCACCACTGACCGAAGCAGGCCTCTCCATTCTCCTCTTCCAGTTAAAGCTGAATTTGTCTCCAAAGTGAAGAAGAATAGGAAAACCATCAATTTTATGGAGCTTTTTAACTATGCCAAAATGGTTTCATTCTGATACACTTTTTTTTTTTCTTTTTGAGATGGAGTCTTGCTCTGTTGCCTGGGCTGGAGTGCAGTGGTGTGTTCTGGGTTCACTGTAACCTCCGCCTTTTGGGTTCCAGCGATTCTGCTGCCTCAGCCTGCTGAATAGCTGGGATTACAGGCACGCACCACCACACCAGGCTACTTTTTGTATGTTTAGTAGAGATGGGGTTTCGCCATGTTGGCCAGGCTGGTCTTGAACTCCTGACCTCAGGTGATCCACCCACCTTGACCTCCCAAAGTGCTGTGATTACAGGCGTGAGCCACTGCACCCGGCCCTGATATACTATTTTGTTTCATAATTTGCTTGGGTAATCATTGATTCATCCATTCAACAAATACGTATGAAGAAGCTACAGTGTACAAGGCTTTGCTTTGGGTGCCAAGGATACTGCAGGGTCAGGCCAGGGTCACATCTGGCTCACCACCAGTCAGGCTTTAGGGTTTGGTACAAATTCCACGGCCTCAGGCACCATGGGTGCATAGGATCAGCAAAATAAGTCCTTAAAGAGATGGAAAACTCACTCATAAAACCATCTGGGCTTGATGCCTTTTGTAGAGGGGATATATTTGACAACAAATTAAATATCTTCAAAATCCATTTGTGCATTCAGGTTTTTCATTTCTTCTTAAGTCTATTTTGGTCATTGATATCTTTCTGAAAAGTTTTCTCATTTGTCTACATTTTCAAATCTGTTGTTATAAATTATAGCTCATAATACTGAGTTACGTTTTAATAGGGAACATGTATTTTATAAATACATGTTTATAAAAAATAGGGTCCCACTATGTTGCCCAGGCTGGTCTCGAACTCCTGGGCTCAAGCAATCCTCCTGCCTCAGCCTCCCAAAGTGCTGGGATTAGAGATATGAGCCACTGTGCCTGGCCAGGGGACATGTATTTGTTTTTTTTTTTTTTAACAAAAAGTACACAGTGTTAGGCCGGGTGTGGTGGCTCACACCTGTAATCCCAGCACTTTGGGAGGCCGTGGTGGGCAGATCACTTGAGGTCAGGAGTCTGAGACCAGTCTGGCCAACATGGTGAAACCCCGTCTCTACTAAAAATACAAAAAATTAGCTGGGTGTGGTGGCGGGCACCTGTAATCCCAGCTACTTGGGAGGCTGAGGCAGGAGAACTGCTTGAACCCAGGAGGTGGAGGTTGCAGTGAGCCGAGATCGCACCATTGCACTCCAGCCCAGGCAACAAGAACGAAACTCCGTCTCAAAAAAAAAAAAAGAATAAAAAAAAAGACAAAGAAAAAAAGCAAAAAGTGCCCAGTGTTTTATTCTCATAGATCACAAAGCTCTTAGCAAAAATTCTGAAGAAACACTGAGACCTGGGGGATGGGTGTGTGTTGCCGGGAGAGGAGTCGCTATTGCCTCTTGGGTTTCTCCGATAACACCTGGCTTTTGTAGAAGATCTTCACAGTTTTTCAAAGCACCCATCCCTTGCCTTACCTCTCCTGTCTCCCTTGTCTGCCTGATGCCTCCAACTTCTCAGAAGTGCCAGGGCCAGGGCACTGCTGGGCCCATGGTGTGGGTCTACATTGCAGTAAAAGGCTCGTTACCCACTCCCCTCAACACAGGAGTCTCCTGTTTTTAGGCAGCTTAAGAAAGCAGTCTTGTCTGTGGAGGAATGCCCAGCCTTCTTGGTGCAGATGCTGGGTTTGGGGACCCAGCTGTTTGCAGGAGTTGTCTAGGAACGTCAGTACCCAGGGACTGTGAGACTCCTGGGATGTTATAGTCCCCATGCTAGCAGAGGGAAGACACTGGGCCCATGAGAAGTTGAGTTTAGGTAGCCAGTCCTGCTGGGAGAAAGGAAAGCCTCAGATGCCAGCAAGCTTGCTGTCCAGCCATTTTCTGACAACCCTGCTTATTGCACCATGTACAGTAATCAACACAGACTTGCATCTGCTCTGAGGGGTGCAGGTGGTGCTCCATGGAACACACACATGCACGCCTTCACCCACCCTTTCCTGTACCTTTGGAATTCGTGGCATAGGAACACTATATCTATTGCACTTGGGTGTGGTTATAATGCCAGGGTAAAGATAAGTTTCTCTGTGGAGTACCTGAATGACAAGATCATATTTTGTGTCAGTTCCACATGGAAGGGCTCTTCCTCACAGACATTGGAAGGGTAACAGTAGAATCTAAGCTCTAGGAAGGCAGGGTTTTTTTGTTTTTTGTTTTGTTTTTGTCTGCACATGATAGACACTTAGCAAATATTTGCTGGATGGGTGGACAAATGGAAACTGGAATGAAATGGAGATGCCTAGGTGAGTGTGGGAAGGACTCTGCCTCTCCTGGTCTTTGCCCTGTAGATGCCAAATATCCTAGGCGGGAACTGGGAAGTTGGCAGATGCTGCTGTGTAGAGAGTCAGTGGAGCAAAGACTGGAAAAACATCCAGCCTGTGTCAGCTAGCAAAAGAGGGGTTTTGGGTCTATTTTGGGGTCAGAATATTAGAGGAGGTAACCTGTACCCTCAGGCTTCAGAGTGTGGTTGACTAGGAGGCTCCAAAGAGTAAGTGAAACCCAAGGGGACGGAGATAGGACCACTTGATCCATCCTTGTAGGTTCAGAGCTATGTCTTATCAAATGTTTTCCCTTCATGTAGTAGCATGATAATGAACTCTTCCTACTTTGGTTTGATAATGCAATGGATTATATGGATAGATTTTCTAGTGTTGAACCAATCCTTGCATTATTGAGGTAAACTTTACTTGATCATAATGTACTTTTTAATACCTTACTAGAATTATTTTGCTAATCTGTTTTTGTATTTAGATTCATAAATTAAACTGGCAGATATTCCCTCTAATTTTCATTTTTTGCACTCTCTGGTTTTGGTATCAAAGTTAAGTTAGCTTCATGAAAATAAGTTGTTTTTGTAAAGTAGGTATTAGCTATTCCTTAAAGAGCTGGCAAATTTGTTCATAAAACCATCTGGGTTGAATCCCTTCTGTAGGGGAAATATGTTTGAAACTAATTTAATTTCTTTAAAAGCCATTAGTCTATTTGACTTTTCTATTTCTTTTGAGTCTATTTTAGTAATTGATATTTTCCTTGAATGTTAGCCATTTGTCTACATTTTCAAATCTGTTGGCATAAATGACAGTTCATAATACTGAGCTGTGTTTTAATAGGGGACATGTGATTCTTTAACCAAAGGTGCCCAGTGCTTTGTTTCTGTAGGTCACAAAGTTCTTAGGAAAAATTCTAAAGAAACATTGAGACCTGGGGGATGGGTGTGTGTGCTGCAGGGAGGGGAGTCTGGATTGACTCTTGAGTTTCTCTGATAATATCTCGCATATGTGAAAAAGCCGTACAGTTTTTCAACACACGTATTGCTTGCCTTATCTCTTTTGTCTTCTCAAAGTCCTTGAAATGTAGATTTTATAATCAGTCTCAATTTGTAGATAAGGAAAGGCCAATCAGACATACCAGTTTATCTATAATATAGATGAGATCAGAAGCCACTCCTAGATCACACCATTTTAATTAGAAGAGAGTTTAGAGATCATCTCATTGAGAAACTCTTAACCTGGGATCCATGTCCCTCAAAGTGCTCTTGGGTAGACTTCAGTGGCTCCATAATTTGGATGAGAACAAAATTACATTATTTTTCACTAAACTCTAAGTGCAGTTTAGCATTCCCTTCTATTATGATTGCAAGCAACAAACACCAGAGTAGTAGCAGTACTGTGTCTCCAGTAGCAATCACAGATATTTTCATGGCACATTGTAGCCATCAGAGATAACTCAAAATACTGTTTACACTCATCACTACTTCAAAATTACACTAGTTAGTAGACCCGCCTCTTGATCTTGACATGTTGTTTTTAAAAGTACATGTTACTCTATACCAAATTTTTAAAAATATTTTGATAACTGCAGTTCAAATAATTGGCCTCCTTTCTAATCCTTTGCATTCATTTACTTGTTTATTGTGATAAAATATACATAAGATAAAATTGACTATTTTAACCGTTTATAGTACATGTTTGATGGTATTGAGAAAATTTACAATGTTGTGTAACCATCACCACTATTTCCAGAGCTTTTCATCATCCCAAATAGAAACTCTGTAAATAATGAAGCAATAACTCCTCATTCTTCCCTTCCCCACCCCCCAGTAACTTCTATTCTACTTTTTTCTCTATGAATTTGCCTAAATACCTCATACAAATGAAATTCTATCATATTTATCCTTTGGTTGTTAGCTTTTTTCATTTAGCTTAGTGTTTTCAAGGTTCATCCATGTTGTAGCATGTATCAGAACTTCATTCTTTTTGTGGTTCAAAAATACGCTACATTTTACTCCATTCACCTGTCAACGGCCACAGGTTGTTTTCACCTTTGGACTACTGTGGGTTTTTTTGTTTTGTTTTGTTTTTTGTTTTTTTGAGACAGGGTCTTATTCCTATCACCCAGGCTGCAGAGCAGTGGCGTGATCCGGGCTCACTGCAACCTTGACTTCCCTGGCTCAGGTGATCTTTCCACCTCAGCCTCCCAAGTAGTTGGGACTACAGGCACACACCATGCCTGGCTAATTTTTTGTATTTTAAGTAGAGACAGGGTTTCATCATGTTGCCCAGGCTGGTCTTGAACTCCTGGGCTCAAGCAATCCACCTGCCATGGCCTCTCAAAATGCTGGGATTATAGGTGTGAACCACTGTGCCTGGCCACCTTTGAGCTATTGTGAATAAGGCTGCTATGAACATTAGCACACAAGTATCTTCTTGAGTTCCTGCTTTCAATTCTTTTGGATATATACTAAGGAGTAGAATTGCTGGGAAATATGGTAATTCTATGTTTAACTTTCTAGGAACTGCTAAACTGTGTTCAACAGTGGCTGCAGCATGTTACATTCCCACCAGCAGTACACGAGGGTTCCAATTTCTCCACATCCTCACCAATACTTGTTATTTTCATTAAAAAATATTAATTACCATCCTAGTGGGTGTTGCATTTTATTTTAGGCATGTAAAAACTTTATTCTGAGAAGGAGTCATGGGCTTCTCCAGACTGCCATGGGGGTCCCTGATACAAATAAAGGTTAGGAAGCTAGGATGAGGGAACTCAAGAGCTCAGAGATATTGTCACATGTCCAAGGTGAGGTGATGGACTAGCAGCAGCCCAGGCATTAGAACTAAGTTTCCTGGGTCTCAAAGGAGCCCTTTTCCCTCCTACCAGATGGTCTGTTCTCATGTACATGATCCACCCCAGCCAGTGGTCAGAACTGAGTCAGAGCTGGAGCTAAGCCATTGACCAACCAGCTACTGAAGCTGAGGCCAGCACCAGACACAGACTAGATAGACATAATTAATCCCTGTTTGCAAATCACTGCAATGTAGAACTACCATGCACCACCACAGCTGCTAAATCCTTATCCAGCCTACAAACATCCACTGAATGCCTGTGTGCAGATCAAACTCCATATTCAGTTGGAGTGTTTGGGGGACACTTACGGGGACATCAATGGACAATTTGGTTTATAGGTATAAAGTTCAGGAGGGAGAAATAACCCTGTGTATGTTTCATTTAATTACAGAATAGGTGTCTTGATCTCTCGTTTCTTTGTGGGGACCCTCTATTTCCGCAGAGGCAGGTTCAGATGGCCTCTTGAGTCTCATCGCCCATTTTCTTACTGAGCTCTGTCAGCCTTGGCTCCTGAACCTTTCCACACTTGTCAGCTCAGTTTTTAAAATAACCATAGCTGACTTTTTTTTTTTTTTTTTTTTTGAGACAGAGTCTTGCTCTGTCGCCCAGGCTGGAGTGCAGTGGTGCAATCTCGGCTCACTGCAACCTCCATCTCCTGGGTTCAAGTGATTCTCTTGCCTCAGCCTCCCAAGTAGCTGGGATAATAGGAGCCTGCCACCACACCCAACTAATTTTTGTATTTTTGGTAGAGACGGGGTTTCACCATGTTGGCCAGGCTGATCTCGATCTCCTGACCTTAGGTGATCTGCCTGCCTCGGCCCCTTAAACTGCTGGGATTACAGAAGTGAGCCACCATGCCCAGTCATCATAGCTCACTTTTTTTTTTTTTTTTTGAGATGGAGTCTCGCTCTTTCCTCCAGGCTGGAGTGCAGTGGCGCAATCTTGGCTCACTGCAAGCTCCACTTCCCAGGTTCATGCCATTCTCCTGCCTCAGCCTCCCAAGTAGCTGGGACTACAGGCGCCCGCCACCACAGCTGGCTAATTTTTTTTTTTTTTTTTGTATTTTTAGTAGAGATGGGGTTTCACTGTGTTAGCCAGGATGGCCTCGATCTCCTGACCTCGTGATCCACCCGCCTCGGCCTCCCAAAGTGCTGGGATTACAGGCGTGAGCCATGGTGCCCAGCCCATAGCTGACTTTTAATGAGTTTTAATTCTAGCTCTCCACTGTGCAACCATGAATAAGTAACTTAACCACCCTGAAGTTCAGTTGTCTTGTTTGTAAAATGAGGATAATAATGATACCTCCCTCATAGAGTGGTTATGAGGATGGAATAAGACAATACACATAGAGGGCTTGGCACAGAGCCTGGCACAGAGGAAGCATTTCATTAGCGCTGTTATTGTTGATTTTAAAATTTATTATTAAAAGTCACTTTGACGCCTATAATCCCAGCACTTTGGGAGGCTGAGGCAGGTGGATAACCTGAGGCGAGGAGTTTGAGACCAGCCTGACCAATCTGGTGAAACCTTGTCTCTACTAAAAATACAAAAAATTAGCTGGGCGTGGTGGCAGACGCCTGTAACCCCAGCTACTCGGGAGGTGCCTTGTGGTAAAAGATGGGCCAAGGAGTTTTTGGTTTTAAAGCGAAAGCCTGTAATCACTGTGCCTGCTCACAGGGGGATTGCTATGGCTAAGTTCATAGATAATTGGGTAGTTGGCTGAGGCAGGAGAATCGCTTGAACCCGGGAGGTGGAGGTTGCAGTGAGCCAAGATTGTGCCGTTGCATTCCAGCCTGGGCAACAAGAGTGAAACTCTATCTCAAAAAAAAAAAAGTCACTTTGTAAGTTGCAAAGTATGACTCTACTATGAGATCTTTACAACTAGGAATTAAGCCAGTTACGATGGCCCATGCCTATAATCCCAGAACTTTGGGAGGCTGAAGTGGGAGGATTGCTTGAGCCCAGGAGTTCCAGACCAGCCTGGGCAACATGGTGAGAGCCCATCTCAAAGAAAACCTAGGAATCAGAGCTTCTCATCTCTGGGCCTAAAACATCTGGTGGAGTAGCTTCTCAGGAACTGTATACTGAATGAATGAGTGAGATGACATTTACTAACAGTTTTATTAACTTTTATCTTTTATTTACCTATTTGACCATCTACTGTACTGACTTAAATATAAAATAGCAGTTTTTCTCTTTCAACCTTTTTTTTTGAGGCAGAGTCTCACTTTGCCACCCAGACTGGAGTGTGGTGATGCAATCTCGGCTCACTGCAACCTCCGCCTCCTGGTTTCAAGTGATTTTCCTGCCTCAGTCTCCCAAGTAGCTGGGACTATAGGTGCGCCACCGTGCCTGGCTAATTTTGTGTTTTTAGTAGAGACAGGGTTTTGCCATGTTGGCCAGGCCAGTCTTGAACTCCTGACCTCAGGTGATCCACCGGCCTTGGCCTCCCAAAGTGTTGGGATTATAGGTGTAAGCCACCATGCCTGCACCAGCCCCTCCCCGCCCCCTTTTTTTTTTGAGACAGGGTCTCACTCTGTTGCCCAGGCTGGAGGGCAGTGCCCTGATCTTGGCTTACTTCAGCCTCTGCCTCCCATGCTCAAGTGATCCTCCCATCTCAGCCTCCCAAGTAGCTGGGGCCACAGGTGTGCACCACCATGCCCAGATAATTTTTTGTATTTCTTGTGGTAGAGATGGGGTTGCCCAGGCTGGTCTCAAACTCCTCAACTCAAGCGATCCACCTACCTTGGCCTCCCAAATTGCTGGGATTATAGGTGTGAGACACCATGCCCAGCCTCTTTCAACTTTAAATCAAGTATCAGTCTTAGAATCAATTCTCTGTAGAATTTGTCATATGAGTCAGTCTGCTCTCTATTTCTATGAGTTTGGCTTTTTTAAATTCCACATATAAGTGAGGTCATGCAGTATTTGTCATTCTGTGCCTGGTTTCTTTCATTTAGCATACCATGGGGCCAAGGACATTTTTTCTTTTGTTTTCTTTTTCTTTTCTTTTTCCCTGCTCCAGCTCAAAGGATGGGGCTGGGGAATCTTTAGATGAGTCGGGGGAAGGCCTCAGTGAGAAGGTGACTCTTCTTCACATACCTGAAGGCAGTGACAGGATGAGGCACCAGAATAATGTTGCAGGCAGAGAGAACAGCAGGCAGGAGTATGCTTGAATTGTTCAGTACAGCAGGGAGGCCAGTGTGGCTCTTGCCGAGTGAGTGAGGGGCCCACGGTAGGAGATGAGATCAGAGAAGTAACAAGGGGGCCTTTAGTGGGGCCATTGAAACAGCTTAGGATTTTCTCTGAGAGAGATGGGAGCCATTGGTAAGGGAATTACATGATTTCACTTTTTTTTTTTTTTTGAGACGGAGTCTCGCTCTGTCGCCCCGGCTGGAGTACAGTGGCGTGATCTTGGCTCACTGCAAGCTCCGCCTCCCGGGTTCAGGCCATTCTCCTGCCTCAGCCTCCTGAGTAGCTGGGACTACAGGTGCCTGCAACCATGCCTGGCTAATTTTTTGTATTTTTAGTAGAGACGGGGTTTCACCGTGTTAGCCAGGACGGTCTTGATCTCCTGACCTCGTGATCCGCTCACCTCGGCCTCCCAAAGTGCTGGGATTACAGGCGACTTTTTTTTTTTTTTGAGATGGGGTCTTGCTCTGTTGCCCAGGCTGGAGTGCAGTGGTGCAATCTCAGCTCACTGCAACCTCCGCCTCCCAGGTTCAAGCGATTTTCCCACCTCAGCCTCCCCAGTAGCTGGGACTACAGGGGCGTGCCACCACACCTGGCTAATTTTTGTATTTTTTGGTAGAGACGGGGTTTTGCCATGTTGGCTGGTCTCGAACTCCTGACCTCAGGTGATCCACCTGCCTTGGCCTCCCAAAGTGCTGGGATTACAGGTATGAGCCACCATGCCTGGCCGATTTGGTTTTTAAAGAATCACTTCTTCTGCTGGATTGGGAATAGTCTGCAGAGAGGCGAAGGCAAGCAGTGCTTAGGAGGCTAATGCCATCATCCAGGGGAGGGATGATGGTAGGGTTGAGTAATCCCTGGAGTGTAACAAACACTAAGGATTATTTTATTTTGTGGCAAATGTCCTAAAGCTTTCTTGAACAGTACCAGGTTGCTGGGAATGTATAGAGACAGCTTACAGAGCACCCTACAGTTTTAGCAAGGGAACTTTCACGTAATATAAAGGCATGCAGGTTGTACTCTTGTATAGTTGTGTGTACATTGGTTGTTTCCTGTAGCAAAATCATGAAGAGTATGAATTCTAGAGTTAGAGTCCCTACATTCAAATCATGGCTCCACCAGTTACTAACTGTGTGACCTTGGGCAAATAAATTACCCTAACTTCTCTGAGCCTTCAGTTTTCCCTCTAGTAAAATGGGGACAGTGGGTTGCTATGAGGAGTAATGAGTTAGTGCGTGTACAACATTTAGCATTATACTGATATATAACCATGGCTCAATAACATAGTAGCTATCATTATGGATATGAATATAACCATTTGTAAAGGTCAAGGAACATCTCTATTTAACTTAGTTTATTTATTTATTTTTTATTTTTTGAGACGTAGTCTAGCTCTCTTGCCCATGCTGGAGTGCAAGGGAGTGACCTTGGCTCACTGCAACCTCCACCTCCCGCCTTCAAGCGTTTCTCCTGCCTCAGCCTCCAGAGTAGCTGGCATTACAGGCATGCGCCACCAGGCCCAGCTAATTTTTTTTTGTATTTTCGGTAGAGACGGGGTCTCACCATATTGGCCAGGCTGCTCTCGAACTCCTGACCTCCAGTGATCCGCCCGCCTCAGCCTCCAAAGTGCTGGGATTACATGTGTGAACTAATTAACTTAGTTTATTTAGAGCCATAGCATATGGGGCTGAAAAAGAACTAAGACACTTCATTTAGTCTAACCCTCTCATTTTACAGGGGAGAATAAAAACTAGAGATAGAAAATTCCATAGCCAAAATAAAATAAAATAAAGTTATGGTCCGGGTGCCGTGGCTCACACCTGTAATCCCAGCACTTTGGGAGGCCAAGGCAGGCGGATCACGAGGTCAAGATATCGAGACCATCCTGGCCAACATGGTGACGCCCCGTCTCTACTAAAAATGCAAAAAATAGCTGGGCATGGTGGCGTGTGCCTGTAGTCCCAGCTACTCGGGAGGCTGAGGAAGGAGAATCTCTTGAACTTGGGAGGCAGAGGTTGTAGTGAGCCGAGATCACACCACTGTACTCCAGCCTGGTGACAGAGTGAGACTCTGTCTCAAAAAAAAAATAAAATAAAAAATAAAGTTATGCGGCCAGTGTCACCTAGCTGGTAGCAGAGTGGGGACTGGAACACAGGTCTCTGGACTCCCAGTCTGGTGCTTTCTCTGCTATGCCACATTGCTTCCATAGAACCCTCAGTGCAGCACCAGGTGGGAATAATAATAACAACAATAAAGGCTTATTTGACTCTTACTTTGCGCCAGGCACTATTCTAAGTACACATATTTGCTCATTTTATCCTCATGACAACCCTATGAGGCAGGTACAATTATTGTCCCCATCTTGCGGAAGAGGAAACTGAAGGAGAGAGGGATAAAGCCACTTGCCCAGGGTGGAGAATGAGTGTGGTGTGGGAGACATGGGCAGGAGGCTGCTGCCCCGTTACACTGCACGACCTGCTTCTCCCTTTATGTAACAGGGAAATTGAATCCAGTCGTTCAAGTCCTTTTTCAGCCTTCAAATTTGCAGACCCTAAATGCTTTTCTATTATCGGGTCTTGAATAAATACCATTCCACTTCATTAAAACTGCTGTCTTTTTAACTTGTCTTCATCTTAATGATCATCTACAAGAAAGACTATTTGCAGAAGAGCCTAGAAACCAAGTCACCAAGCCTGTGAGAGATTCCTGAAATGTTATTTCTGGCTTCCATAGCAACCCTAACATAGGGCGTTAAGCTTAACGGAGTCAGCGAGAGCAGCTGGAGCCGGGCATTGAAGCGCTGAGAGCGCTGAGGAAACAAATCGTTGGCTCAATAGTTTTCCTTTTGTGTAATATACTGTCCCAGTGTGTTTAGGGAGTTACGACTTCTGCCAAGTAAGAATGGAGGAAATGAAGCATTGTATCAAAGTGTACAGAGTTTCCAAGCAAATTGGAGGATGAGTACAAGTCTGTGTCTAGGGGAGTCTCTGCAGAAGATGAGGGTGGGCCTGCAGAGACGTAGGGGTGGGGAGGAGGGGCAGCTCTGCTTTCCCCAACCTTGGGTGACTAGGCCTTCAGGTCAGCTTTGTGAAGAGGACTGAGCATGCCTGGTTGCCTTTTCTGTTCCACCCCGTTTGCCGACCTCAGTAGAGAGTGGGGGTGATACGTGAGTGAGGCATCAAAGAGGCCAAGATGCTGAGGATGACAGAGGCAGATATGCTGAGGCTGACGGAGCCACCAGGGCCAGTGCAGGAAACAGAGCTCTCTAGGTATTTCAGGAAGAAAAAGATTTAACACGGGGAATTCGGTTATATAGTTGTTGGAAGGGCTGGAGGAGTGGGAGCCCAGGGACCACCACGCAAGAGCACCTCACTGGGATCAGGATGGTGCTGCCACCAGAACTGACGTCTGTGCAGCTGCTGAGCAGACACCAGAACACGAAGTCTGGCTGCCGCAACTAACTGGCTTTCTAAAACCTTGCTTGCTGGCAGAGCCACCATCCACCCCACTTCATCCTTTGTGAATATATTGAATTGGGGTTCCCCAATTCTTACCCAGAACCCTAGCTGCCTGAAAGATAGTCTGGGAAATATTTGTTTTGTCCTTTTAGCTTCTGCAACGCTGGAAGACTCATGGGGAGAGTTGGGAGTTCATGCCAAGTGCCAATGGACATGGACAGCAATCGATTTTTTTTTTTTTTTTTTGAGATGGAGTCTTGCTTTGTTGCCTAGGTTGGAGTGCAGTGGCACGATCTTGGCTCACTGCAGCCTCTGCCTCCCGGGTTCAAGTGATTCTCTTGCCTCAGCCTCCCAAGTAGCTGGGATTACAGGTGCACACCACCACACCCAGCTAAATTTTGTATTTTTAGTAGAGACGGGGTTTCGCCATGTTGGCCAGGCTGGTCTTGAACTCCTGACCTCAGGTGATCTGCCTTCCTCGGCCTCTCAGAGTGCTAGGATTACAGGTATATGCCACTGCACCCTGCCATTTTTTTTTTTTTTTTTGAGATGGAGTCTCACTGTGTCGCCCAGGCTGGATTGCAGTGGTACAATCTCGGCTCACTGCAACCTCTGCCTCCCGGGTTCAAGCAATTCTCCTGCCTTAGTCTACCAAGTAGCTGGGACTACAGGCACGTGCCACCACGCCCAGCTAATGTTTGTATTCTTAGTACAGATGGGGTTTTGCCATGTTGGCCAGGCTGGCCTCGAACTCCTGACCTCAGCCGATCCGCCCGCCTTGGCCTTCTAAAGTGCTGGGATTACAGGCATGGGCCACCTTGCTCAGCCTGATATTTATTTCATTTGAAATTTGGATTAAATAGGTAGAGGAGTTGAACACCAAATAGAGATGAGTTGAAAGGGCCCATCGTTGACCTAAACTATTTGCTCCACCATCTGAAAGTCCTTTGGGATTAAGTCCAGGGTTAGATAACAGAGGGGCAGAAACTCAACTCCCAGAGACAAAGGAGTGGCCTTAACATTCTCTCTGGTGCCTTCTCTATTAGTATATACATAAGGAAACATTAATTTACACCCAAGAGTAGGCTGGGAGCTTGGATGGGAGGGGAAGCAGGGTTGGGGGTCAGGCCTGGAGAGATTGGCTTTGGGCTGGGCCATAGATGGAGAAGACTGAAGTCTGGGCTGTCAGGAACCCTTAGAATAAGCCTAAAATAGGAAGGGCACATCTAAAACCCTTCAGTGCTCCTCGTTTGTCCTAATAAAATCCAGACCTTTTTTTTTTTTTTTTTTTTTTTTTTTTTTGGAACAGGGTCTTGCTCTGTGGCCCAAGCTGGAGAGCAGTGGCACAATAATGGCTTACTGCATCCTCACCCTCCAGGGCTCAAGCCATCCTCCTGCTTCAGCCTCCCATGTAGCGAGGACTACAGGCCTGCACCATTACACCCGGCTACTTTTTTTTTTTTAATCTATTGTAGAGAGGGGGTCTCAAACTCCTGAGCTCAAGTGATCCTCTTGCCTCAGCCTCCCAAAGTGCTGAGATTACATGTGTGAGCCACTGTGCCCTGCCTGAAGTCCAGACTTCTTATGCAGGAGGCACATGCCGTCCACCCACATGGCCCTGTCTTCCCCAACTTGTCCTTTAGGACCCAGCCTTGCCACATCACCTGTGGTTACCTGGGTGCGTGTGCATCCCACTCTGTTCTGGCCTCCAGCTTTTGCATACGCTGCCCTTTTACCTAAATGCACACCCCAGCTTGTTGCCTGGTCAACACCTGCTCACCTTATAATAACATCATCCTATTATAATACTCATCACCTTGTCCAGGGATCTTCCCCCACCCCCTATCTTGGGACTGGTGATCTACTCCAGGCTCTAGTCACTCGTCCTTTTTTGTTGTTGCTTTGTTTTTTGTTTTTAGAGACAGAGTCTCTCTCTGTTGCCCAGGATAAAGTGCAGTGGTGTAATCATAGCTCACGGCAACCTTGACCTCTTGGGCTCAAGCGATCCTCCCGCCTCAGCCTCCCAAGTAACTGGGACTACAGGCGCACGCCATCATGCTTGGCTTGTGAAAAAACTTTTTTTTTTGTAGTGATGTGGTATCACCATGTTGCCCAGGCTGGTCTCTAACTGCTGGGCTCAGGCAGTCCTCCTGCCTTAGCCACCCAAAGTGCTGGGACTATAGGTGTGAGCCATCGTGCCTGGCCTGCTCATATTTTTTATGAATCTTAATGAATCTGTCTTCTCTACAGGGTTGTAAGCTCCTCCCAGGCTGAGACTGGTTCTCATACTCTATCCCTAGCACCCAGCACAAAGAGGGGATTCCTGCAATGTTTGTACAACTCAACCAAACCAAAATGATGATAGAATTGTCTCCGAAGACAAACTTTGCCTTTGCTGGCACAGGGCTGTGGAACCTTGTGCCCTGTTATCTAACTGGCCCCTTCCTCCTTGTGTACCTACACCTCCTCCCCTCCTCCTTCCAGGGAAAGGCCCTGAGGCGCTGTGTTTTGGGGCCTCCACCTCCTTCCTCTCCTCTCTTGCAGCCCAGCCCTGTGTTGCTATTTATTCACAGGTCTCTGCTCTGCTCTGGCTTTCACTTGCTGAATTCTCAGAAAGCAGATGAAGCAATTTATTCAGTTAAAGTGCCCCTGTGGGTCAAATGCCAGCTTGCTTTTTAAAACCTTCCTATGCTGCTTTTTACTTTGCAGAGAGCAGAAATTACCTGTTTTGTTTCCTGGTGCTTTCTGCACTCTCTTGTATTGAGGGATGGTTGTGTGTCTGTGTGTGTGTGTGTGTCTGTGTGTGTATTACAATTTTAACGTACATGTCATTTCTCAATTTGAGAAAGGAAGAAAGATAGTGAGGGGGTTTGATAGAGAATATCAAAATTATTTTGTATGTATTCAGTCAGCTCATTTTTTAAAAGAAAATGTTTTAATATCACTGGCTATGGTTTTTATTTTATTTTATTTTATTTTATTTTATTTTATTTTATTTTTTGAGACAGAGTCTCACTCAGTTACCCAGGCTGGAGTGTAGTGGCGCAATCTCGGCTCACTGCAACCTCCACCTCCTGGGTTTAAGCAATTCTCATGCCTCAGCGTCCCAAGTAGCTGGAATTGCAGGCACGCGCTACAACACCTGGCTAATTTTTGTATTTTTAGTAGAGACGGGGTTTCGCCATGTTGGCCAGGCTGGTCTCGAACTCCTGGCCTCACGTGATCTGCCCACCTTGGTCTCCCAAAGTGCTGAGATTACAGGCATGAGCCACTGTGCCTGACCTGACTATTGTTTTTAATTTTAACTTTAATTTTAAGTTCAGGGGTACATGTGCAGGTTTGTTATGTAGGTAAACTCAGGTGTCACAGGGGCTGGTTGTACAGATTATTTCATCATCCAGGTATTAAATCTATTACCCATTAGTTATTTTTCCTGATCCTCTCCCTCCTCCCACCCTCTGATGGGCCCCAGTGTGTGTTGTTCCCCTCTATGTGTCCGTGTGTTCCCATCATTTAGCTCCCACTTATAAAAACCACTGTTTCACAGCTTATTTGTACTTCTCTTTATCAATTAAGAAAAAGACTGTTTGTATAGCAAACTCCGAGAGAGGACGTGAGGGGTATTTTTTGGTGAGACTTGAGCAAACTGCTTTACGTTGCAAGGAAATTCAATTCATTGGAAACTTTTTCCTCCAGGACTAAACTGGGGCAGCTTTCATTTTGGCTCTCTCACAAAGAAAATTGTCCAGGGTCTGGAAACCACAGTTGTTGAACCTCATATGACGTCTCTTTTCTTTCAGCTCATGCAACATTTACTAGAGGAGACTGGTGTGATGTGGCGTGTTTTTCCTTTCCTTTTTTTTCCTTTCCATTTTGCTGGCTCGTTGGTGCACACTTCCTGAGGGCCTGAGAGGGCTGTCTTCCTGGAGGAATTTATGACAGTCAGCAGGGACAACTGAAATTTGAGCTGGTGTGAACCCATAATCCCTCAGGGCCCTACTGGCTGGAGTCTCTTTAGGGAGCATCCTTGCTACCCAAAGATGCACACCCATTCCCCAGCACCTTCATAAAACAACAACAAAATCTTACCATGGCATTGCCAAGCATATTTTGCATACAAACTTCCCAGGATGGATTCTATCTCCATGGGCAGATGGAATCCATCCCGAAAGCATCTTTCTCTGCCAGCACACTCACCTGTCTCTGCTCTGCAAATGCCCTTCTTGGTAGTAGCTTGTTCAAGGGTACGCAGAGCAAATTTGGCAATTCTGAAATTTCAGCTTTTGTTTGTGAACTTCGGCTCTGCTCAGGAAGAACTTGTCAGAATGAAGGTTGACATTCAGCCTGTATGTCGAGCATTCTTGAGAGAAGCACACGGTGCCTGGCATCTTGAATGGCATCAGCTGCTTGCTACCCAGTTCTTTGGGACAAGTGGGTCCATGAGAGAAAATATACAGAGCAGGGATAAGACTGCACCCGCTCTGGCAGGACAGGGAGCCTGGCTACCCCAACTTCCTTTTCCCAAGCCATCTGCTACTTTTCTTCTTCTGCAACCAGGCATTCAAAGCAGGGTGTATGTGGGGGAAGACCCTGGAAATCACCTCCATCTGGGTGTACATTGTTACTTTTATCCTCAGTAGTTGGTCAAGAAGTAGAGTGTATTCTCTATATATCTTTATTGGGTTCATCCCCACTTATTCAGAAGTAGAATCTCTAGGCCGGGCATGGTGGCTCACACCTGTAATCCCAGCACTTTGGGAGACTGAAGCTGGTGGATTGTCTGAGCTCAGGAGTTTGAGACCAGCCTGGGCAACATGGCGAAACCCTGTCTCTTTCAAAAATACAAAAAATTAGTCGGGTGTGGTGGGTGTGCCTGTAGTCTCAGCTACTCTGGAGGCTACGTTGGGAGGATCACTTGAGCCTGGGAGGCGGAGGTTGTAGTGAGCTGAGACTGCACCACTGCACTCTAGCCTGGGTGAGGCTTTGTTTGAGACCCAGTCTCAAAAAAAGGAAAAAGTTTTTAGAAAGTTTTAGAAATACTAATTTTTAAAAAAGAAGAATCTCTAGCGACCGTTCAGTGTGATCTGGAGTTAGGCTGTTCTGGTTAAACGTAGATTGTGCCTATCGAATAATAATTTCTCTTACCCTGCCTAGCTCTACAGTCGCCTCTATACTTGTCTCAATGACCCCTGCACTGTGAGCTTCTTGAGGCCAGGACCTGACGATACAGCACTAACCATTGTATTTTGCCTGTGGTGCCTTCAGTACAGTGCCTTCTATGTGCCGGCCCTGAGCCAGGCATCGATGAAAGATGAATAAGTCCAAGTCATGACCTCAAAGGTGGCTTATAGATTGATGGGACTTGCAGGCCAGTAAATACCATAAGTATTTGTGGGGCGACATCACTGCACATTAAGTTACTCATTGGGCTTACTGTCATCACGACCTGGTGCTGAGAAGGCACATTTGAACTCCGGTAGGTGCAGCAGATGAATCACTGGGGCCTGAGCGATGCCTCCCAGGGCACTGGCCTGGGCAGAGGGTGAAGTGGGGAGATTTGCACTTAGGCGACTGTGTCTTGAGTTGAGCTTTATCTCCTGGGTCACATTCCAGGCTCAGCTGCCAGTCAATGTGTTATCTGGTGATGGGGAGGGTAACAGGGCTCTTCACTCTTGGCCACCTACTGGGAGCAGTGGGTAAAAATGCAGGTATGAGAGTCAGACCAACTTGGGGTTTAAATCCCTGTTCTGCCACCACTCATTAATCCCCTGACTGTGCACTTGTCACTTAACCTCCCTGAGCCTCAGCTTCCTCATCTACAAGTGGAGGGTAACAGTGCCTATCTTCTTTATTTTCTGAACCTAATTGAATGCCAGATATATCTGTCATGCATATGATCTGACAATGGAACAGAATATTTGCATCAGGAGACAAAAGAGACTCCAGGCTGTATGATTGCCATATTTTCAAGGCCACTCCTGGTTTGGGGGAAGAAGATGGCAGGACATCAGAATGGGGTGCCCTGCCACTATCTTCTTTTCTAGACCCTTGGCAGATGGTCTCTCAGGCTCACATAACCCTAGAGACAGAGTTCTCAAATTTGTTGTGCTTAAGAATCACTTGTAGCAATTACAAATGCAGATTCCTGGGCCTTAATCCCAGAGATTCTGATTCCCTGGGTCTAGGGTACAGCTGGAGTGCAGTGGTGCGACCACAGCTCGCTGCAGCCTCTGCCTCTCAAGTTCAAGCAATTCTCCTGCCTCAGCCTCCCGAGTAGCTGGGATTACAGGTGCCCGCCACCAAGCCTGCTAATTTTTGTGTTTTTAGTAGAGGCAGGGTTTCACTATGTTGGCCAGGCTGGTCTCGAACTCTTGACCTCAAGTGATCCACCCACCTCGGCCTCCCAAAGTGCTGGGATTACAGGCATGAGCCACGATGCCCAGCCGTCCCCACCTCTTTCTGATGTTATCGAGCTGTCGAGTATCCCAGCTGCAACCTGTTCTTTATTGTGTCTCTGCTGACCAGCGTTCCCAGCCCATTCCAGCTCATGGCAGGGTATCTGCAATCTTTCTCTTCCCTGCCCTCCCAAACCCCCACCCACAAGCTTTACCTGGAAGCTCATGTACACACCAAAGGGAATAAGCAAGGACCCAGACAGGCAGCCAGGTGCCTGGCACTAGGCCGGGTACTAGGGATTCATAGAAGATACTGCTTGTGGCCAGGTAGCTGCATGTGTGAGATACTGGTGGAAGACACTCAGACAGAGGTAAGCAGGGAGTGTTGGGGCTCAGAGGAAGGCCACTGAGGCCAGTGGAGAATGGCCCATTAAGGAAAGGTTTTCAAAATAGGTGACCACAGGGCTGAGTCTTAAGCTGAACAGGGAGCAGAGGGCATGCCTAGCAGAGAGGGCGCTGTGTAGGGACTACAGACAGGCAGTGTGACATTGTATAAGGTATAGGGCAGGGAGTGGTGGCTGGTGGAGAAGGCTGAGTTCATGAGTTCATTCTCCCCTGAACATCAGCAACCTTGCCATTAGTGACCCTTGGGATGGTGGCTTTTGAAGAAATTGCTTTGATGGAATAGCTCCCCAAGACTCATGGATACTGGGAGTTTATGTATGTATGTATGTATTTATTTATGAGACAGAGTTTTGCTCTGTTGCCCAGGCTGTAGTGTAGGGGCGTGATCTCGACTCACTGCAACCTCTGCTTTCCATGTTCAAGTGATTCTCCTGCCTCAGCCTCCTGAGTAGCTGGGATTAGAGGGGCACGCCACCATGCCTGGCTAATTTTTGCATTTTTAGTAGAGATGGGGTTTTGCCATATTGGCCAGGCTGGTCTTGAACTCCTGACCTCAGATGATCTGCCCACCTCAGCCTCCCAAAGTGCTGAGATTATAGGCGTGAGCCACTGCACCCAGCCCGATACTAGGAGTTTAAAGCTGTCATTTCTGGTTCTTGGGACTCAGATCAATGAAACTCACTAAAATATTCATTCATGGGAAAGTTCTGGTAGAAAGGGGAAGATTAAAGTCCATTTTTGTCAGGAGAGTCTCTCTCTGGGAAAGCCATTGATGAGATGACTGGGGCATAAGGTGGTGTGGTGGTGTGTGCCTGTAGTCCCAGCTACTCTGGAGGCTAACTTGGGAGGATCACTTGAGCCTGGGAGGCGGAGTGATTGGGAGTAATTGGAAAGTGACATCTGGAAGACAAATCGGTTTATTTTCATAAGCTCCCTCCAGTCTATGGGTGATGGGAAATTGGGGTGCTGTGTCAAGAGGAATCCTGTGGTTGGACTTTGATTCTGAGACCAGGACTGATTAGGGGTGTCGGTCACAGATGCCAGGGCTGGGGACATGGGGGTGACATGCAAGGCTTGGACTTGCCATCCTGGCTCCATATTTTATCATGGGACCAGCTGTCTCCCTTCCTTTGGTTTATGCAGTTGATTTCGAACCCTACGTGCAGGGCTTGACATTTTTACCAATTACACTTCATCTTACTAGTTTCTACTCATTATTCCATCCCTCAGAAACCCTTTCTGGGCCTGTCTGTGTTACTCAGCTTATTAACAGTTCCTCCCAGCATCGTATGCAGTGGTGTAGGGAGAACCATAAATGCCTCCAGAATTTGCAAAAATGTTTGGAAAATGTTACCAAGTGGGAAATGATTTGCTAATGAGTTCACAATATGTCTTAGACCCATTAAGTAATCCAGGGTGTCTCCCTAATATAGTAGAAGCAAGTTTTCAGAATATTCCCCAGCGGTTTTTTCAGAAAATGTGAATAGAGCACGACTGAGTCAAAGAAAGCCCTAGCTCATCAACTGCATTCTACAGTGTCAGGCCTCATGTGATGCCGCAGCTGGCGACTGACTAATAAGGGAATTGGAGAGGGGAGAATTGATTATTTCCTGGACAAGGACCATGGTGCCTTAATCAAGTGCCCTAAATGCAGGGGACTGCAGGGGAAGTCGCACTGTGGTAAAAAAAAAACAAATATAGTCTAAATTACATCTGAAGTAGCCTTTCAATTACCCTTAAGCACTGAGAGCTGGTCACAGTCTGGAGGCACACAGGGACAGAAGCACCTGAGGAGGCTCAGGGGCCGCATCTCAGGTGTCTGTGGACATGCCCCTGAGGGAGCACAGTGGTGGGTGGGATCCCACTGCTGTGTCGCACGGTCGTCTTTGCTCTCAGTCCATCTGTCTCTCTGTCTCTCTTTGACAAGCCCATGTAGTTCAAGTCTCATAAATAAAATGCGTACAGCCGGGGTTCCCAAACCCCATGCTGTGGACCGATCTCAGTCCGTGGCCTGTTAGGAACCAGGCCGCACAGCAGGAAATGAATGGCAGGTGAGCATTACCACCTGAGCTCCACCTCCTGTGAGATCAGTGGCGACATTCCGTTCTCACACAAGCGCAAACCCTATTGTGAATTGTGCATGCAAGGGATCTAGGTTGCACACTCCTTATGAAAATCTAACTAATGCCTGATGATCTGAGGTGAAACAGTCCCCCTCTTCCCCACTCTGTCCCTGGAACATTTGTCTTCCATTAAACCAGTGCCTGGTACCAAAAAGGTTGGGGACTGCTGGCTTATCGGATGCAATTTCCTTGTATTCTGATGTGCTAGTTTTATATTCTTATAGTGGAGGATCCATACCGCTTTCACGGTTTTATGAGAAATATCTCTTACAATCTTTCTATTTGTTTTGCTCTGACCCCATGCCCACCTGGCAGCCCTCCCTCATGAGTGCAGTTTTACCTGGAAGCTCATGTGCTGACCCTTCACATAGCCAGCCTTGTCTGCCTGCCCTTATTTCTCACTGAAAAAGAATGTTAGCCTTTATAGTCAGACGGTGTCTCATATGATTAGCTAGTTTACCTTTATTCATTTTTTCAGACGTGGGTAAAATTGAGTACTTCAATCTTTGTTGCAGAGCACCAGGCTCTAAGACCAGGTTGGTAGAAGGATTCTATTTCATGTGCCAGTTCTGACAAATTGTTTATTGGTACTCAAAGTGCCATGTTGAAAGGATCCAGGCTGAGGGGGACAGGGCCAGAATTGATTAACAATGTCTGCCAGGGACTGAAAAAAATGGCATTGTTAAGCTTGCCTTAGAGCCTGAGACAGTCAACCATTCCCTCTCTCCTCTACCAAAAGGTAGTCAACCACTCCCTCACTGTCCTTCTCTCTCTCAGCATGTATCATTAGAGACCTCCTTCCAGACTGGCTTGATCTGTTTATATTTATCAACAACAGCACACTGTATCTTTTTGGTCTGCCTGCTTCATTGTATCCCGTTATTGTGTCCTTTTCACAGTCAGGAGTCTTTTCCTTCCTCTGTATCCCCAGGCCCTGGCATACAATAGGTATGTTGAATGACTGGCTCACAACCTAAGAGTTCTACCTAATTGTTCTGCATGCAGGGAATCTGCCTTATTAGGGTCAGTCGTTTGCCTTGCTGAGATCCATACTACAGAGTTCCGTGGATCCTCTTGGTCTGTTCCATCTAGGAATAAAACGTACATTTTGCATGCCCTTTTTTTTTTCTTTCTTAAACTCCTGCTAGCTCATTACGATCATGGCTTGCTGTCTCTCTCTCTCTGTTCTTCTCTCATCATAAAACAGCTTCAACTTTTCTCCCCAGTGTCCCTTTGAAACTGTTGGTGAGCTAGTTTTTTCTCTGTCCCTTTAGGAAATTTTAATCATGTTTTTAATCATGCTTCATAGTGTTTTGGGTCACCCTTCGGTAATTTTTAAAATCCTCTGGTTATTCCTAGTTCTAAGAACAATTTTAGCTCTTGGCTTACTGCTACTCTGTCCAGCATTACCCTTGTCATAATTGTTGGTGATTTCAAGATCCACATGAATCATGAATCATCCTTTAATAGCTTTGAGATTCTTTTCTCCAATATTCTTGTCTTCCACCAGATCTCAGCCACTCACTTCTCTCTCTCTCTCTCTCTCTCTGTCTCTCTTTTTTTTGAGACGGAGCCTTGCTTTGTTGCCCAGATTGGAGTATAGTGGCACAATCTCGGCTCACTGCTATGTCTAGCCTCCCAGGTTCAAGCGATTCTCCTGCCTCAGCCTCCCAAGTAGCTGGGATAACAGGCGCCTGCCACCACGGCCGGCTAATATTTGTATTTTTAGTAGAGACGGGGTTTCACCATATTGGCCAGGCTGATCTCAAACTCCTAACCTCAAGTGATCCAACCGCCTTGGCCTCCCAAAGTGCGGGGATTACAGGCATGAGCTACTGTTCCCAGCTAGATTTCAGCCACCTTCTTCTCTTATCTTGACCCTATAATTACAGTAACTTTATTCCTGCCATAATTTCAGTTTAAACCTCCTATCTTCCCAGCTTACCTGTACTAGTATTCCAACTCCAACAATTCTGTGACCTTATCTGGACTTCCAGTTAATTGATCCTGCTATTTTTTCACTGTCTTTCACCTCAATTCCTCTATTTCCTGCTTCCCCAGCTTCAATTCTATAGGGAATCACTATAGTCACTGTCAACTACCTTTGCCCCTTTCCTGATTCATCGTTCTCGTTTGGCTACATGATAACCCTTGTTAAATTCAACTTTTACCAGCCTGCCCCCCATATCTGTGTAGCTGAATGTGGCTGTAGCAAAACATGCAACCACCTGGATTGGTCTCATGTAAATTTCATAATTGCAGCCTTTAAGTAGGCCTTTAATGTGGCCTGGAAATCATACTCTAGTTCCCTAATCCCTTCACTCTTCCACTGTCCTAGAAACTGTTACAGTTTTTTTTCACTTGTGTTATTACATTTTTCATGGTTCTCTTGTTAAGTGCCCACAAACCATCTGCTCGTGGGAACTTTGCTGGGAATTGATATGGAACATCACATTTTCTGAAATCAATTTTCCTGGGTATTTGACTACTGTCCAGACTGTAGTCCTTCTATTCCCCACAGCCCCTCAAAGATCGGTGACCTCTCTCTTTCCGTCACACCTGTCCCGTCCTTCATTCTCCCCCTGGCCCTTGACCGTACTGAACTCTCCGTAAGCGCTTGTCGAGGAGTAAGAATGGGAACCATCAGTGGCTTGACTTACTGGGCTGCTGCTATCCAGGCAGGCAAGCATCTGTTTTCATCATATTATTAAGTGTTTTTTTTTTTTTTTCAGCACTTGGCAGGAGGTAGGCAAGTTTGGGCCATAGCTTTCAGGCCCTGAGTCCAGGCAAGGAAAGAACTGACCCCAGAGAGCCAATCCAGCCCTGGTGCATCTTGAGTATTCTGGAAATGGCAGATCTAAAAGGACAAAATCATTTCATATTCATCATGAGTATAGCTTGGTGGTTAAGAGTGCAGACTACGGAGCCATCACGATGGGTTCAGATCCCAGCTCCTCTACTTCCTAGTGATAAAAGAAAAAACTCAACCAAATTAAATTTAAAGGAGTTTAACTGAGCAATGAACAATTTGTGAATCGGGCAGCACCCAGAATCACAGCAGATTCACAGAGACTCCAGTACAGCCACGTGGTGGAAGATTTATAGACAAAAAAAGGGAAATGATGTACAGAAATCAAAAGTGAGGTACACAGCGGGTGGATTGGCTACAGGCTGGCGTTTGTCTTATTTGAACACAGTTTGAACACTCAGTAGTGTATGAATGGTTGAAGTACGGCCGCTGGGATTGGCCAAGACTCAGCTATTGTTACAGGTGCATACTCCTAAGTTAGGTTTTCAATCTTGTGTACTTATAAGCTTGGTTGCAGTTTTTCCACAAAGACTGAAATATAGAAGCATGGAGTCATTCTCAGGCCATATTTACTTCACTTTTATACTAGATAGGAGAACTCAAGCAAGTTATCTAACCTCTCTAGACTCACTGTCCTCATCTATTAAAGAACAGTAACAACACCTACTTTCTAAGGTGTGTTCTTTCCTACTTTCTAAGGTGTGTGTGAAGAATAAACAAGCCAACACCTGTAAACCATTCAGAACAAGGCCTGGCACTAATTAAGTGCTCAGTAAATATTAGCTATAAATTACGATTATTTTCTCTTTTGAGTCTCACAACAGTATTGTAAGGTATTATTATCCCTATTTTGCAGAGGAAGAGACTGAGGGTCACACAGGTTAAGGAGAGGCTCAAGATCATTTGGACAGAAAGTGGCAGAGGCTGGGCTTGCATGGGATCATAGGACTCTAATACTGTTTCACTTAGGATTTCAGAGCCCCCTTTGGTCTCCAGATGAAATGATTTTACCCTTGTCATGGAGATTCATATTCATTCCTTCTCCAAATGTGTCCTAACTTCCCCATGCAGATGGCACCAAATATTTACAGTATGATTACACTGCCATGATTGAATTTAGCCAGAACGGGAGAGAGGCTGATTAGTGACAAGGCTGCAATCTTGAGAGGAGGAAATAGTTCTGATGTTGCACATTGTCATTCTGCTGGAGTAGGAATGTTGCTTAAAATTGTCCTGGCTCAGTTCCCTTTCTCTGGAAGAGTAAAAGACACTCATTTGCCCAATACATGGACTTTGGAGTCAAGCTGACAGTACTGGAAGAGCTGTTAACAGAGTCCAGATCATCACTTTATGGTTAGAGGGATGACGTTTTATTATGGGCCCACAAACTGTCCTCCAACTGTGGCTGAAAACCCTGTCATGAGAGGCCAGAAGGAAGATCATTGTATGTTCTTCTCCCAGGCCAAGGAGACAGGATGTCCTTCATCAGAACCAGTTGTCAGCATAAGAAGAACACACACCAAGGAAATCCATTTCCTGGAAACATCTCTCAACAGTTCCCATGTGGAGAAACTGTGAAGCTTTTCACAGCAAATGTTTTAGAGTGTTCCCAGGTATTTGCAAAGCTCCTATCATAATGCTGGCTGTACTGATAATTTCCTAAGGGTGCCTGCCATGAGACGATGGAAAGGGCATCAGGTCTGACCATGGTGAGCCATGAGGGCCTTGCAGAGATAGAGTCAACTCTCTGGGCCTCAGTTTTCCTTTCTATAAAATGAGTGACTTGGACTCTGTTGGGACCCCTCTGCCTCTAAGATTCTACTAGTCTGTGATTCCATGAGTCAAACTTCAGAAGTGGTTATGGTCCCTCATAAAATGGCAAAGATTTGGGTCCTAGAATCTATGACTCCATTAGCAGGACCACATCTCCTCTAGAACATTTTGGCTTCGTGCTTGTCATCATCTTTTTGTACTAACTGCTCTGATTCAATCTCTTTCCCTGAAGACTTGCTTCCACCAGAATTCCATTTAATTCCACAGATGTTGAATGAAGACTTTCTGTGTTTCCAACTGCATGCCTACAAAGATAAATGAGACTAGTTTCCTAACCTTGGGGAATTCCCAGTGAGATAGCAAGGTCAAGACTTTATAGAACTTCTTTTCTCCAGAGAGCTCTCTATTTCTTTGACCTGTGTGTGTCCCTAGACCAGTAATATTGACTTCACCAGGGAGCTTGTTAGAAATGGAAACCTACAGAATCAGAAGCTCTGGGGTTGTGGTGCACTGGTCTTAGTTTTGTTCTGTTTTGTTTTGTTTTTGTTTTTGTTTTTGTTTTTGTTTTTGAGATGGAGTTCCACTCTTGTTGCCCAGGCTGCAGTGCAATGGCATGATCTTGGCTCACAGCAACCTCCAGCTCCCAGGTTCAAGCGATTCTCCTGCCTCAGCCTCCTGAATAGCTGAGATTATGGGCATGCACCACCACACCCAGCTAATTTTGTATTATTATTATTTTTTTTTTTTTAGTAGAGATGGGGTTTCTCCATGTTGGTCAGGCTGGTCTTGAACTCCCAACCTCAGGTGATCTGCCTGCCTCGGCCTCCCAAAGTGCTGGGATTACAGGCATGAGCCACTGTGCATTTGGCCTGGTCTTAGTTTTTAACAAGTCCTCTAGAGAGTTGAGATGCACACTTGAGTTTGAGAACCATTGAACTAGCCCTTTCAGGGACAAGCTATGAGACTGTGGTTCTGAGCCCTCAAGGGACCCAAGGACACATTTTGAAGAAAATTCAGTTACTTGGGCTGCCAGGACTTGGTGTTTTCAACTCAGAATTACAGCTTTCTTGGAACCTCCAACAACATTTTGAACCTTTGTGGCGTTTTTGTACATGTGCAGGTGTTGTGGAAACTACCCATTTGTTTTGAAGGGAGAGAATCCAGTTTAGCACACAATTCTCCATGGAACTTCCAGGCTTCCCTTTAAATTGATTGTGATGCTTGGATAGATATTGACACCATGACTAAGACCCATAATAAAGGCCCAATCCAAGGAGGCTCTGCTACTTCCAAAGATCTCCAAAGGAAGAGAGTTCTCAGAGTGCGAGTCTTGTGTGAATTTCCCTCCCTTCAAAGGTGCCTTAATTAATATCCTCCTCCATGGCAGGGTCTAAGCCTGGCCCCTCTTCTCAGCAGGTAAAGATTATTGGGTCACACTCTCCCTGCAGTAAGTTCAGACATGAAGGGTCGGGCAGGTGTGGCTCTTGGAGAGGGCCTGCCTGGGTCTTGGGAATGCTCCCCCTTGTCCTCCTTCCTGGGATCTGCAGATCCATCATCTACTGCCCCAACCCAGGGCTATATGCTAAACCACAGGAGCCTTCATGAAAATTAGAAAAGCACTCCTGCCTTTTTTTTTTTTTTTTTTTTTTTTCTGAGGTGGAGTCTTGCACTGTCACCTGGGCTGGAGTGCAGTGGCGCCATCTCAGCTCACTGCAACCTCCGCCTCCTGGGTTCAAGTGATTCTCCCGCCTCAGCCTCCCAAGTAGCTGGGACTACAGGTGCGTGCCACCATGCCTGACTAATTTTTTGTATTTTTAGTAGATTTGGCGCTTCACCATGTTAGCCAAGATGGTCTCAATCTCCTGACCTTGTGATCCTCCCGCCTCGGCCTCCCAAAGTGCTGGGATTACAGGCGTGAGCCACTGCACCTGGCTGAAAAGCACCCCCCTTAAGGTGCCTCTTAGGGTGGCTCAGCCCCTGGGGCTCAGGGCTTGGCTGGATTTCAGTTCCTCTCACCTCCTTGAGCAGGTGCCTGTGTGCAGCACCAACCACATAGCCATAGCTGTAACCCTGCCCCTACCCAGCCTGGGGCTGGACACGAGTGAGGGCTGATGGAGGGGTGGGGAGAGCCTGTACATGCAGCCAGCACACGTCGGGAGTTCCCAAGTGCTGGATCCTTCATTACATCATTTCCTTAAATTCTTACAGCTGCCCAACGAGGTGGATATTGGTTGCACCTCTGTATATTTTTTTCTTTTTCTAAATTATGAAAGATTTCAAACTCTCAGTGCTCCCATGTTCTCATCTATGCAATGGGTATGATGCTTCTTGATCCTTTCTCAAAAACTTGTTCTGAAAATCAAATCACACCAAGTGACAAAGTGCTCTGGAAATGTTAGGTTTCATATAGATCTTATCGCTGAACCCTCAAAGGCTCACTTTCTGGGGCCTCTGTTTTGAGACACTCACCCTGGACTCACCCAGCCCTCAGGGTTATGCATGGGTATGTCAGAACGTTGGTTTCTTGCCAGGCTACTGGTATTTGTGGGTGCCTCCTCCCCTAAAATCATTAGACTTGTGAGGCGGCAAGGATGAGTTGTGTGTGCAGGCACTCAGGGACGAGTCACAGCCTGGCAAGCTGGCCTGGACAGGATGACTTCATGGGCCTTTCCCACTTCTCATTTTTATGACTAGCTTTACTGTTTCATTTTGGCTTTCTCTCTCTTTCTTGCAGCTGTGGTGATTAGGATTTAGGGCAAGCATTTGGGATCCCTTTTCTAATACCTTTCAAATCCTGATTCAGCTGCAAAGTCCGGGAAGGGAGTAGAGAATGGGGGAGGAGGGACTCACCCTGGTGAAAGGCAGTAGCTCAGAATATCCGAGAAACTCCCAACAGGAATGCCCAGCCTCCACCCACTAAAGCTGGAGGCCTCTCATCTCATCCAATATCACCCTCGTACTAGAAACGCAAAAGGGATGAGTTTGTCTATGGACTCAAACCTTTACAGTCTTCTTGCTTAGCAGCTTAAGGCATAATTATGGTAGTCATGGTGGTAAGGGACTTAACATTTGCCTTTTTCCAATTTAACTGTGTCCTTTGTTGAAATATTTCTTAGTCAGGTCCCCTTTTCTCTATTTCCACTACTGTCCTAGGATTAGATCTGAGTCCCCCTCTCAATGAGATTAGTCCAGAAATTGTGTATACCATCCATCTTGCAAACCACTGCCAGACTCTGTTGACTTTTCATTATGTAACTTCCCTATGGGAGAGGTGAGTTACATAATATGATGCTAAGATGCCCCTCACTGGTGGCATCATGTACATATTTCTCAGTCTGAAAGGAAAGGTCTTTTTAAACTGGCTTCAGGCCATCTGTCCAACTAATTCCTGCCTGCAACTCCTAGTATACCCTCTACTACAAGGTCTCATCACTTATTCTGTTACCCACCACATTCATTCCGTCTTGGGCTTTGGTTCATGTGATCCACTCGATGTGCTCCTTCTCTCTAATCCAAACACCACGCATCTATAAGGTCAGCTCACGTCCCATCTCCTTGACCCCAGCCCATTCATATCCCTATTCTCTTAGCAGCTATTGTCAGGACGACACAGTTTTCATGCCAGTTATTCTTTCATGGTTTTATTAGTTAATTCTCCCCAGGTAGATTAGAAGCTCCTTAACTTTGGACCCTGTCCTAAGCTTCTGTTATATTCTCTGCAGTGCCCAGCCAAGCTTATGTGTCATGCAGTAAAGAATAAAATAATTTTGACCCTGATCAGGTGTTTGGTTACATAAAAACTGCATTGGCAACTTTCTAGAAACTAATATATTCATTTATCTTGCAAAAAGGATTGCTATCTGATTATAGCCAGTAGTCATGATCTTCCAGCCATGCACAAATATACCCTTATAACTTTCATGAGTGGGGAGGAAAATTGATGAAGGAGGTTTCAAAGGTGATCATCAGTCCCAGGATTTCCAACAATAGCCAGTCTGCCCTGGGTCCTTAACTCTCTTTTAATGTTTTTATTCTTATTTTTATTTTTTTAATGCAGTCTCACTCTTGTTGCCCAGGCTGGAGTTCAATGGCACTCTCTTGGCTCACTGCAACCTGTGCTTGCTGGATTCAAGTGATTCTCCTACCTCAGCCTCTCGAGTAGCTGGGAATACAGGTGCCGCCACCACACCCGGCTAATTTTTGTATTTTTAGTAGAGACAGGGTTTTACAGTGTTGACCAGGCTGGTCTTGAATTCCTGACCTCAGGTGATCCACCCGCCTTCCAAAGTGCTGGGATTACAGGTGTGAGCCACCACACCTGGCCTCTCTTCTAATGTATTTGACCTCTCCTCTTTCCCCAGAGAGTTCCTGTGAGAACAAGCGGGCAGACCTGGTTTTCATCATTGACAGCTCTCGCAGTGTCAACACCCATGACTATGCAAAGGTCAAGGAGTTCATCGTGGACATCTTGCAATTCTTGGACATTGGTCCTGATGTCACCCGAGTGGGCCTGCTCCAATATGGCAGCACTGTCAAGAATGAGTTCTCCCTCAAGACCTTCAAGAGGAAGTCCGAGGTGGAGCGTGCTGTCAAGAGGATGCGGCATCTGTCCACGGGCACCATGACTGGGCTGGCCATCCAGTATGCCCTGAACATCGCATTCTCAGAAGCAGAGGGGGCCCGGCCCCTGAGGGAGAATGTGCCACGGGTCATAATGATCGTGACAGATGGGAGACCTCAGGACTCCGTGGCCGAGGTGGCTGCTAAGGCACGGGACACGGGCATCCTAATCTTTGCCATTGGTGTGGGCCAGGTAGACTTCAACACCTTGAAGTCCATTGGGAGTGAGCCCCATGAGGACCATGTCTTCCTTGTGGCCAATTTCAGCCAGATTGAGACGCTGACCTCCGTGTTCCAGAAGAAGTTGTGCAGTAAGTCCTGCTCCTTTGTCACTCTTCTAGAGGAACCACTAGAATTCATTCATTCATCTTCAAGTGTTCATTCTGTGTTACTATGTCCCAGGTACTGTGCTGGCAATAGGTTTTCAACAAAGGCCAAGATAAACACAACGTGCTCCAGGGGCTTACACTTTGGCCAAGAGACACATGTTTTTATTTATTTATCTTTTAGAGACAGGGTCATGCTCTGTCACCCAGGCTGTAGTGCAGTGGCATGATCACAGCTCACTGTAACCTCAAACTCCTGGGCTTAGGTGATCCTCTTGCCTTAGCCTCATGAGTAGCTGGGACTACAGGTGTGCACCACCATGCCTGGCTTATTTTTTAACTATTTGTAGAGACAACGTTTCGCCATGTTGCCCAGGCTGATCTGAAACTCCTGGCTTCAAGCGATCCTCCTGCCTCAACCTCCCAAAGTGCTGGGATTATAGGCATGAGCACCCAGCTAAGACAGACATTAAATATATAATTATACAAATAAGTAACTATAGTTGTCACAGTGTAATGGAGGAAGAATTCAGGACATGAAGGAGTGTGCAACCCCAGGACCTTATCTAGGCCTGGATGCTCAGGGAGATTGCCCTGGGGAAGGGACACGTAAGCCCAAACCACAGAATGAGGAAGAGTAGATAGACAGAGTTTTTCTTCAGCACATGGAGCTGCCCTGGAATTCCCTAAGTTGGAATTCATGAGTTGGAGTACGGATAGGAATGGAAGGGCAGAAAAAGTAACATAATCTCTCCTTGGATGGTGTGGAATACCAAGGCATTTTTGCCCCATGGTGGTGCTGGCAGGGGATGTTTTCTCAGCTGACAAAGAGGTCCAGCGTATACAGAGGACCAAGGTGTGGTCCTGGCAGCTCCCCACCTGTTAAGATTGTAGGGGCCACTCCTCACCTGCCAACTCTTTCTGCAGGAAGATGCCTCTCGGAGCCCCTGAGCTGCATTCTTCTATGTTGGAAGCTTTCTTTCCTCTTTTGCTTTCTAACCCTCTTTTCACAGGGCTTCTCTCTCCCTTCCTTCCCACGCACTTTCCAGTTATCTCTACCCCTGCTGCTGCCCCCACTCTTCTCAGCAGGTCAGCCTGCATTCTCCCCAGTTTCCTGCCTCTGCGGCTGCCTTTTTGTTCCTTCCTCCTCCGGGAGGGCAGGGGGCCAGCCGCCCAATCCAGGAAACTCGCATCCTGATTTGGTAAACAATGTCCCACCCTGACTTGTCCATTCCCAGTGGTCCCTGTCCCCTCCAGCTACCATGAATCTTTGGTGGGGAAATAAAGGGAAATAATCTATTTTTAAATATCTATTTGTAAATTATCTATATGTAAATATCTATTTGTAAAATGTAAAATATCTTCCTAGAGCAGAGTGGAGAATGAGCTTTAGAGCCAGACTCAGCACCAACTCCCCAGGAGAGGGCACCCAGGAGGGGGTTCTCAGAATGTGACATATTCTAGACCTCTAAGATATAGCCCCCAGCGAAGAACAATGTGCTTTTGATGTGTATTAAACAAAATCCCCTGCTGAGAACTAACTTCAAAAAGCACAGAGATCTCATTTGTTCTTGACTCCGGAATCAAAAGATTTACTTAAGAAATCAATGCCATGAAGAAAAAAAGAACCTTTTTCCTTGCCATGCCACTTGGAAAGTGTTCAGAAGTGCCATTTCCCTGGCACTGCAGAGGCTGTGTTGTTGTGGTGTGTTGTGGCCTAAGTCAGCTGGAACACTTCAATCAGCAGAACACACTGCAAACATTTTCAAGGTTTATGACTTTAAATGACTTCTGCAGAATTTATGTTTCCCCTTTCCTGAAAATATTAAAAGGGAAATTGGTTCTGTAACCATTTTGACAGCTTATTCATTTGTGTTGGAAAATTTTAATGGAGGGGTTCTTTTTATAAGCCTTCTGTATTTATCAGAAAATGGAAAGATAACATGATAAGGCTGAGGAGCTACACAATGGGACTGACCGCCCCCCTCCCCCCACCCCCGCAATCCTGGTGTCGAATAGGATATACCAATGTGGACTTGTCTGTGGAAAAACCATCTCTGTGTGCTTTCTGGCAAGGCAGCAAAATGAAAAGGCAGTTTGGACTTTTCCTCCCTTCATCTTCTTTGTTATAATCTGGAAGCTCTAAGAAAACATTAGCGTTATCCCGCTTGTTCCTGTGCCTGAGAAATGAATCCCCTGTGAGTCCCCCCATCCACTCTGCAGGAGACAGGGCTGCTGTCTCTCACTGCACTGCACTGCCCGGCTTTGCTCAGCAGACTCAGCAGCCGTCTTGAAAGGCTGAAGAGGCCCCAGGGCCTCTTTATCAACTTCATGGTAAAGACTGTAGTAACTAACATTTATAAAGCACTTTCCCTTATGTTATCGCAGAAAGCCCCAGGAGGCAGGCAGCACACTCTTGCCACTCTCTTTTTACAGGTTAAGGAACTTGCTAAGTGAATCACCTGAAAAACAAATAGCCAAGAGATAGTTGGATGCTAATTCCAAACCTCTTGCTCATTTCACTCCTCTGCATGTTGGGAATTACAAATTCCTCTTTTAAGGTAAACCATTTTCTGGTGGCCACCTCCACAGTCCAGCCTGGCCAGGTAAACCTACTTTGCAATTGGCATTCACCTAAAATAGGTGAAACTCTGAAGGCAGCCTTCGTAGGAGGAAGAGGAGCTGACTCTAGTTGTACAATCTTGAGCAAATCCTTTGTGCTCTCTGAGCCTCAGTTGCCTCATCTGTAAAATGGGGATTTTATATGCAGAAAGTAGATGAGTGAACAGGTGTTGTAAATGGTAGAGCCCTATTCAGTGTGCACTGTGTTATGTATTATTACAATCAAATACACTGAGGACCGATGGGCTAGGCAGATGGCCTCAGTTTTGATCTGCACTCAAATGATCAGACAAAAATGGTGAGCATTTTCCAAGTTGCAGATGACATCTCTGAGGTTTGGGAAGTCTCATTTGTTCCTTAAACATTCATTGAACCTGTAAACCAAAAAGTATCTGAGACAAGTCCCAATCAATGTAAAAGTTTATTTTGCCAAGGTTAAGGACATGCCTGGAGAAAAGGAACACAAAATCACAGGAACAATCTGTGGTCTGTGCCTTTTTCCAAAGATGATTTTGAGAGCTTCAGTATTTAAAAGGGAGAGAGGGAGGGCATGGTCACATTACTGAATCCACATGTTGCAAGAGAAAAGGAGCAGGTAGGGGAACAGTCAATCATGTATTCCTCTAGTGCTCAGTAAATCAACACTTTACATAAGATAAGGTGAACATAGAGTAGCTACTTATGCAGATATTTAACCTTTTATCTGTAGCTATCTGCTTAGGAACAAAAGCAAAGGCAGTTTCTTGCATTACTCAGCTTTTAGCTTAATTTTTTTCCTTTTGGCATAGTGATTTGGGATCCTGAGATTTTATTTTCCTTTCACAAACTGTACCCCAATAATAGCTAATCTTGTCCTGTGCTAGGTACTTTCAAATACAGTATTCCACTTAATACTTAAAATAGCCGTTTGAGATAGGTACTATCATTATCTTTTTTTTTTCTTTCTAAGAGATAAGGTCTCACTATGTTGTCCAGGCTGGCCTCGAACTCCTGGGCTCAAGCAACCCTCTCACATCAGCCTCCCAAGTAGCTGGGACTACATGTCACTATACCTGGCTCTATTATCCCTATTTTACACAACTGGAAATTGTCAGGGTCTGCCTGGGGGCTCCAGGAGAGCTTTAAAGATGAGGTGATACTAATAATCACTAACATTTCTTGATATTAATGTATGCATGTGTTGTTTCAGGCTATTAGTGTATGTTAACTCACTTTATTCACACAACAAACCTGTCAAGTAGATGCTCTTATAGTTCCCATTTTATGGAAGAGGAAATTGAGAACCAAAGAGGTTAAATAACTTGTCCAAGGTCACAAACCTGTAAGTGCTGGAGCTTGTTTTTTTGTTTTTATTTGTTTGTTTTATTTTGTTTTTTGAGATAGGGTCTCACTCTGTCACCCAGGCTAGAGTGCAGTGGCATGATCATAGCTCACTACCGCCTCAAAGTTCCATCTCAGCTTGGACTACAGGTGTGCGCCGCCATGACTGAATAATTTTTACTTTTTAAAAAAGAAACAATGTCTTACTATGTTGCCTAGGCTGGTCTTGAACTCCTGGGCTCAAGCAGCTCTCCTGCCTCTGCCTCCCAAAGTGCTGGGACTACAGACATGAGCCACTGTGCCTGGCCTGTAAGTGGTAGAGTTGAGACGTGAGCCTAGGCATTCTGCAGGCAGAACTGAAAATCAATGCTACATCTGCAGATTGGGACAGGTTCTGTCTGGGTGTGATCAAGGCAGGACCTTTATCATACAGTGAGGAATTGATTAGACTCTGCAGCCAGACCTCGCTGGGTGAGAGTCCTGGCTTTTTTCTCTTTGGCTGTCTGGCTGTACAATCTTGAGCACAGTGGAGGCTTTATACTTGCAGGCAGGGACTTCCCATACCAGCCACAGCAAGGGGAATCCTGAGGTTGCATTCTCAGGCCACCCTTGAGACCACCAGGGAGAGGCCAGGTGCCCTGTGAATTGAGGTCCTGTCTACAAGATGACCAAACCCCACACATCCTGGAGTCTGCCATTTTTGCCACCCAGTAAGAGAAAACATGGAATCTATGGGCTGAAAACGCTGTCCCCAGTGTTCTGGTGATTCTTGCCACCTGGGCGAGATTGCTTTTAATTAACCTCTAGGTGCTGACTTTATCAGCCTCATCTGGTATTTTGGAGCAGGGAGCCAGGCTGTTCCTACCCTAATAGCCCCACCCCACCCAGGCCAGGCACAATTTAAGGCCCTAATAGTATTCCTAGGACACACCCTTCATGAACTGGCCTGGGCAGTCTACACTGATGGCACCCCTTTGAGGTCCTGATGTGAAGTGGGGAGGCTGGACTGACTTCACAAACGTTGAGTCTACTGTGCCCAGTAATACAAGACCTCCAGCCCACCTCCCTACACTGACCACTCCTTTAGTCATTCATACAATCATTAAAAAAAGGACTGTTCTTATTTCCTAGTCAACAAATCCAATCCCACCAATGACTTAGGCTGCTGATTAGTTATTCCTCCCCGCTGAACACAAGGCCTTGGCTGAGTGTAAACCCAGAGGGCCTTCTGAGAAATGAGGCTCATAGGACTGTTTCCAGCAGGCCGGTGGAGGAGGCAAGGCTGTGGTCTCCCCTTGGCTCTCACCGCAAAGGCCCATCCCACAGAGGGCAAGGCATGAGGCCTGGATGCTCTGAAAGTCACTCAGCACTCACCCACAGCATTCTACAGATGGGAAAGTTTTATTCTAGTTTAGTGAAGGTGTTTGAGATTCTTTTGGTTGAAAGTGTCAGGAATTCCATTTTTTTCTAAAAGGAGGGGGGAGTGCATTATATTATCCATGGAAATAAGGATGGCAGTTGTGAGAGTCCTGCTTTCACTGCATCTCCCCTCCACTCCTCTCCTTCTCCAGTCCACAGTCAGGAAGCATGGCCCCACCAGCCCCTGAGGCTCACTTGTTCTCAGTTTGAGCCTCCTTTTATTCAGTTCTGGTTCCTAAATGCCAGTAAAGGACTCTGATTGTCAAACCCTGTACCAACCAACAGTGGCCAGGAGTGAGACTACCTCAGACCACCACGGCAGCTCCCCGATGCAAGGTGTCTGGAGTGAGAAGGAAGGGCAGTTTCTAGAAAAACCAGGTACCAGATTAAATAATAGGTGTCTGTACTGAGGTCCCTAGAGGCTGTCCATGCCTTTACTCTACAGGTAAAGAAATAGCCTACAAGAGCTACCTGATTTCCCAGAACTTCCCTCACTTGTTCGAGGTAGAGGGGAACTAGAGCACAGTCTTCTAGCTCCCAATCCAGTGCCTTTTCCATTACACCAAGTTATAATCTTTTTTAGTTCCAGTTTCTCTTATGGCACATGGCCAAAATAAGCCTTAGTAACAAGCTGTCATTCTGAAACCCAATGCAATAGTTCTTTTAATTCCCCCTCCCCACTAACTTTTTTTTTTTTTTTTTTTTTTTGAGATGGAGTCACTCTCTGTCACCCAGGCTGGAGTGCAGTGGCACGACCTCAGCTCACTGCAACCTCTGCCTCCCGGTTTCAAGCAATTCTCCTGCCTCAGCCTCCCAAGTAGCTGAGCCCACCACCATGCCTAGCTTATCTTTATGTTTTTAGTAGAGATGGGATTTTGCCATGTTGGCCAGGCTGGTTTCAAACTCCTGGACTCAAGTGATCTGCTCACCTCAGCCTCCCAAAGTGCTGGTATTACAGGCATGAGCCACCATGCCTGGCCTAATTTCCGCAATTGATAGGTGAAGAAAGTGGAGTTCAGAGAAACCAAGTCATTTGCACAAGGTCATAGGGAGTGGCGAAGCTGAGCCTTCAGGTGGTCTATTTCCGGTAGCCATCCTCTCCCCACGATGCTGCCTGCTGCCCGCCAGATATTTTCTCTGCCTCACATCTCCTGTCTTCTTATTTTGTCTGTTAGGGTCTCACCAAGAAGACAGGCACCAGGTACATCACTTGGGCCTCCCACTCATGACAGTGGGTGACTGCCGTGTAGTTGGTTGCCTACACACTACACTTCCTTAATTATGGAGAGAGACAGTGACATGCTGTGAGTGCCTTAGAAATGTCCTCTGCCCGTGGGTAATTTGACTCCAGCAGTCCAGGAAAAGAAGAGAGTCTTTCAGGATGCAAAGCAAATGCAAATTAAAAGTGGGATAATGATTACCCCTCACCATACGATTGTCAAAACTTGAAGTTTGATAACACCAAGTACTGAAGTTTTGAGGGGATGGGAATCGTTAGGACCATCGTTGCTGACATGAGCTGTCTTGGAAGGCAATCAGGCCATATCTGTTTAAAGTGAGACCCAGTCCTAGAGAAAACATCGTACATGAATTCAAGGGGACGTGTTCAGGAATGTTCATCACAACACTGTGAAAGTGAAAACTTGGAAACCACCCAAATGCTTACCAATGGGGAAATGGCCAAATAAAATGAGGAAAGTCATATGACCAATGGATAAAACAATTGGGAGGGATAAACTAGATCTAAGGTTTTGATTAAATCTTTAAATCTAAAATACAGCTAGTTTTCATTATTCACAATAATTATGTTTTATAAAGTCACTGCAAACACTGAGTTAGAGAATACTAAACCATTGCTCCATATATTCCTGATGGAATATAGGGTTAGGTTCCTGCAATCCTCTGGTGACAATATTTTTTGTCAACTAATCAATACGTAGCCTTGTTTTATGTGTGTTTCTGTTTAAAAACATCTTATTTTTTGTTTGTTTGTTTATTTTTTGAGACAGAGTCTCGCTGTGTCTGCAGTGGCACAATCTCAGCTCACTGCAACCTCTGCCTCCCGGTTTCAAGCAATTCTCCCGCCTCAGCCTCCCGAGTAGCTGGGATTACAGGCACCTGCCACCATTCCTGACTACTTTTTGTATTTTTTTTTTTTAGTAGAGACAGGGTTTCACCATGTTGGCCAGGCTGGTCTTAAACTCCTGACCTCAACTGATCCACCCACCTTGGCCTCCCAAAGTGCTGAGATTACAGGTGTGAGCCACCATGCCTGGCCGAAAACATCGTATTTGATATATACCATTGATTCATTAACATCAGACCCACAGCCAACGGTAACTCCTGACTGAATGAAACTTACCTAACACATGTTTTCCCTGTAAGGCACATCGCAGCCTTTCTGCACTGAGGAACACTAGACGGCGCATCACCATTTTAAACCGCAAAATCACTTACAGAAAGCACAGAAATGAAAAAACAAACAAACAAACAAAAAAACCACGGTGCTAAGTAGACTGTGAAAAGGATGCTTGTTCACAGAATGAAAGCTGAAAAAGAAGGCAGAGTGGCTCCTTGTTCAACCTCAGCTGAGAACATCTGCACCAGGCAACACATTTTTTTGTAGTCTCAGCTACTTGGGAGGCTGAGGCTGAGGCAGGAGGATCACTGGAGCCCCGGAGATTGAGGCTGCAGCAAGCTGTGACTGTGCCACTGTACTCCAGCCTAGGTGACAGAGCAAGAGCCTGTCTCACAAAATAAACTAAATTTAGAGATATTTTAAATTGAGTGCTCATGCACTCTGAGCATGTCCACTAGTGACCGTGAAAACGCTGTGAGTATTGGTTTGGGCTTACAAATACATTTTAGTGAGTAGGCAAATTCACAAATATGGAATCTGTGAAGAATGAGGATCAACTGAACATGTCTTCACAGTTTGATATCTCTGAAACTGGGGTGCATTTTAGATTCCATGAAATACAGTACATGTATCAACATTGATAGAATCTGTGATTAACGTTGAGTGAAAACTGAGGTGAAGGTCAATGTATATAGGATGAACCTACAGATGTAAAATAAGACAAAATGCCACCATAATTCTCCTTTGCTATAAAATGGTTAGCAGGTATCTTCAGCATTCCCCAGGCACTATTCTCAACACTCTACCATCTCCATTAATTTAACCTTTTTGAGGTTCTTATGAGGTAGGTGCTATTTTTATTCTCATGTCTTATAAAGAAGTTAAGAAAATTGCACAAAGGGCTGGGTGTGGTGGCTCATGTCTGTGATCCTAACACTTTGGGAGGCTGATGTAGGAGAATCGCTTCAGCTCAGGAGTTTGAGACCAGCCTGGGCAACATAGTAAGACATCATCTCTATTTTTAAAAATGAGAAAACTTCTATTTTATTTAAAAATAATGATAACAATAAAAGAAACTTGTACAAGGTCACAAAAAAAGCTGTTTGTTTCACCCTGAAGTAAAAATGACTGATTGGATCTACAAACTTTCCTAGTGATATTTGTATCCTAACAGGAACCAAAACACAGACAATCAAACTCAGAACAGTACATTCTAAATTGTATTGTTGTGAAATGAAACAGCTTTACTTCCCTAGTTCATTTATTGCCCACCATATTTCTTACTCCAATGTAGAGACATAAACTTCAGATGGATTTAATCACAGCTGAGTTTTCACAAGCGCTGGATTAATGGAATTGTTCTAAGCTTTTGAGAGCTCCTTTTATTTTAGCTTCATAAAAATATATTTCTACATATAGACATCTTTTTTGTTTATGAGAACACTTGCATAACTTGTTATGTTTGTACTGTTGCTTGTTAATTTTAAATACAATCAAGTTACATTGAGTAAAGTCATAAATTAGGACATTAAAAAAAGAGAATTTTTATGAGCTACAGACAGACTTATGCAGGAACCAATGTACCAGAAAGCTGAGGTACTTCAAGAACTAAATGCAGAGGGCAGGCGTGGTGGCTTATGCCTGTAATCCCAGCACTTTGGGAGGCCAAACTGGGAGGATTGCTTGAGCCCAGGAGTTTGAGACCAGCCTGGGCAACATAGTGAAACCCTGTCTCTACAAAAAAAATTTTAAAAATTAGCCGGGCATGGTGGCACACGCCCATAGTCCCAGCTACTCAGGAAGCTGAGGTGGGAGGATGGCTTTAGCCCAGGAGTTTGAGGCTGCAGTGAGCCATGATTGTGCCACTGCTCTCCAGCCTGGAAGACAGAGCAAGACCTTGTCTCAAAAAAAAAAAAAAAAAAAAAAAAGAAAGAAAGAAAGAAAAGATGCTAAATAGGTATCTTAAATTGAGACATAAAGATTACAGAAACATGAAACGTGTGAGTGCATTTTTTACTCCAAAATTGTGTGTATACTTTTGCATATTAAAAATTTACGTTACTCTTGAAACATGATTTTGAGAAACTGTTGGTTCTTTAACACATTCTTGCTTATTTAATAGCTTTTCCTCCAGCCCCATTGCTGCTTCCTAAAAATCCACACTTAAGTCAAAGTCCCCTCTGATGCTGGCAAACTTTTCTGATTCCCCAGCCCACCACATGGGTATTATTAAGTTGAATTGGAAATTTCTTGCTTTTTTTTGTAGATCAAAACCAATCAAGTATCAGCAATTTCATATAGTTCAGCCTAACACTGTTTCTCTTTGATTTTCCATGGCCCTTTATCTGGCCCTGTCTTGTCCACCTTGGACTGTGAGCCCCCTTGAGGGTAGGGACTGCAGCTTATTTCTCTGAGTCCTGCCCAGAGGAGAGAGTAGGCACTGAATAAATGCTTGCTGGCTGGAATGGAGTGAGAAAGGGCATCACTGTTGACTTACCTTCCTGTGTCTTCCCTTTCAGCGGCCCATATGTGCAGCACCCTGGAGCATAACTGTGCCCACTTCTGCATCAACATCCCTGGCTCATACGTCTGCAGGTGCAAACAAGGCTACATTCTCAACTCGGATCAGACGACTTGCAGAAGTAAGATTGCTTTGCTGATGTATTTGTGGTTTCTTCCTATTCCCTCATCCTCTCCCTTCTTTTATCTGGGCTCATTTTATTCATCTGTGATGCCTCACCCACCCCAGTTATCATCCCTTGGGGACAGAAATAAAGTTTGGTATTTTCTGTTGACCCCATCACAGTGCCTAGTCCAGAGCTGGGCACATAGTAGGCCATCAGGAAGAGTTGGAGAGATAGGTAGAAGCACCATCTCAGAAATAGCCTCTTTGGATGTGTGAACTGGTCTCCTTTACTTCCAAGCTTGTTCTTTAGCAGGGACTACTGAAGAGCCTTTTCATCCACTGTCTTTATTAACTGTACCCTAAGGAACTGTTTCCATATTTTATTATCTTCTATAAAGTGTGGATTTAGGAAGAGTTGTTAACCTCGGCTGGGAGTGATTATTCAAGTTCTGTTTTAGAGGGGTGCAGGGACCCAGTTGCTTTGGTGTGGGACACTTTATAGGTGTCCTAGATTTTAAAAAGGGGGTAAACAGATGTAAGATATTAGAACTCGCATTCTCTTTTTTGGCTAAGTGCCAAAGACTAGACAGTATACTGATATTTGAGCCAGCACGAGGTAGTCTACCCCTTAAAGGACAGAATTACTCATACACTGAGTACCGTGTCCTTACTTTTTAAAGTTATGGATAAAGCCACTGAGTTAACCTACAGATGACCAGGCTACCAAAAACAAGTCATGAGGAAGACCAGCCCACATGGAAGCAAATAAAACTCAGCTAATCTGACACTTAGTTCGTGCAGTGCATAACTGTTGCCATGTGTAATTGTTGCAGTGTGTCATTGTTGCAATGTATAATTGTTGTTATACCTCATGGCAAGCAATTAAGCATTAATGGAAAGCAGTTTGCACAAATGGCTGTAATTAGTGTCACATTTATAGAGGCCAACCACCTTTTTCATGTTTCTTCTCACTGTTTTTCAGTTTTGGGGTTGAGTGGTTGGCTGGAGTTCTCCCTGCCCCTCAAGATTAGGTAACATCTACTTGACCCTCCGCTTCTGTGTGGCCTGTGGAAACCCAAAGCCCTCTGGACTCTGAATCGCAGGGGTGGGGTGGGCGGTATGTGTTCTTAGCCTCCTCTAAGACCCCAGGATCCCAAGTTGAGTGCAGCCTGAATCATCCTCATCTTCCAGTTGAAGATCTGACGCTTCCTCAAAATCCATAACAAAAACTCACTCCCACCGAATACTCATGGGTTTCATAGAGTTTCCTAAAGAACTGGGGGAGCCTGGGAAAGGTCATCTCACACACTGCTCAGCAAACAACCTAGAGATCTCTTTAGACACCCCCCTCTAGACACCTCCACCTCTTCAGGTGTTCTACCTCCCCACAACCATCCTCTGGAGGCACCCTTCCTCCTCTTCAGGCATCCTCCCCTCTGCCCCGGATGCTTCTCTGTCCCATCTCAGCTTCCCACCATCTTGCCCACTCCCTTCCTGCCCTTTCTCCTTCTCCTTCTCTGTCTCCTTCTCCTTCTCCTTCTCCTTCTCCTTCTCCTCCTCCTCCACCTCCTCCTCCTCCTCCTTCTTCTTCTTTTCCTTTGTTTTTTTAAGACAGGGTCTTGCTCTGTCGTCCAGGCTGTAGTGCAGTGGCACAATTATGGCTCACTGTACCCTCAACCTTCCGGGTTCAAGCAGTCCTCCCACCTCAGCCTCCTGAGTATCAGGGACCACAGCTGCATGCCACCATGCCTGGCTAATTTTTGTAGAGATGAGGTTGCTCAGGCTGCTCTCGAACTCCTGAGCTCAAGTGCTCCATCTGCCTCAACCCCCAAAGTGCTGAGATTTACAGGATTGAGCCGCTGTGCCTGGTGCCCTTCTCTTCTTAGGAGCACAAGGAATTCCTCTCCTTGTCTCATGTCCCACTGAGTGACTGGGATCTGGGAATCTGCTGATATTTATTTTCCGTGGGCTGGCCTAGCCAAGCCAGAGGAATTCTGACACCAGCAAATAAAAAATAAAGTGTTCTTTCCCTAATTTTATGAGCAAGGCCTTCCCCCACACAGCAGAGTTTGCCAGACCCCTGCCTGGTCCTGCCACAGGCCCTGATGTCCCCCAGATCTCAAGTACTGCTCTGGCCTTGGATTCCTCCTGCCTAGGGATGTGCCACAGGAGAATATGAAGCAGACCCTGCCTGGACTTCAGACAGACTGACCAGGGGGAGGGGCAGGGAGGTCCAGGCGGAGGAGGGCTAGGAGCTCAGGGCAGGCTTTCTCAAACTTCAGTGACTAAGAATGAGCCAGGAAACTGACTTCTGGGCTCACCCGCAGAGATGCAGAGTCAACAGGTCTGGATTTTCAATGAACCGACGAATGACTGCCACACTTTGAGATTCACTGGCCTCAGGCAGTGAGGGGTCCCAGGGAAGGGCTTAGCAGAGCTCTGCTGTCCCGTCTGACCCAGCTCTCCAGTCACCCTGAAGCAGTTAAACCATCTTAACCTTCAGCCAGACTTAGCTTAATAAATGTGCAGTGATAAAGAACAGCTCTCTCTCTTTCAGAAGGGGATAATACTAATAACTCTTTTGCTTTCCCAAAATTGGTGTACCAGGGGCCTTGGTGGAAGAACAAGGCCTTCACTGTCTGCAGATCTGGGCTTGAACCCGACCTTATCACTTACCAACTATGGCTGTCTCACTCTGAGCTGGTTATTTAAACTTCTTGACTCTCAGTTTCCTCGCCCATAAGATGGGACGGGTGGTAACAAATCAATACCTGTCTCACTGATTATGTCCTTGTTAGGCCCTGTTTTTGGTCTAGGGGACAGTTAAAAGCTGTGCCAAGTGAAGGCTGTGCCATCTACTGACCCCTGCTGATGAGCAGGGACCTGTGCCTGCCAACACTGAGAGAAACTCACAGTGGGCCTGGAGAGGAGGCATGTACTCCACTTCTGGAAGCTGTTTCCACTTAATTTCCATGTCCTGGGCGTAGCTGGATAATCTCCCAGATGAAAAGCCATGTGGGTGACACCTCCTCCCCAAAGCACCTCTTACTCTCTAAGAAGTGCTTGCCATTCATTCTTCCATACAATCATTGATTGGTTCATTTATTTTTTCATTTAACAATTGTTTTTGAGCATAAAAATGTGCCAGGCAGCATGCAAAGTACTGGAAATAAAATAGTGAATAACACAGCAATATTCTTTCTTTTTTGGAGCTCACATTTTTGCATGGGAGTGAATCAAATAAACAACCAGGGTAATTGCAACCAAAAGTGACTGCAATCCACGTCCACCTCAGTGTGCAACACATGAGGTCAAGCCTAACTATAGCCACTTGTTAGGTGTTTACCATGTGCCAGGAGCTTTCCTGAGTGTTTTATATCTGCTGTCTCATTTAATTCTCACAATGAGCTCTTAAAGTGGGTTTTATCACTCTCATTTTACAGATAAGCAAAATAAGGAACAAAAAGTTTAGACGATTTACCCAAGCTCACATGGCTAGCAATGTGATCAAACCAGAATCCAAATCCTGTTATGTCCTCACTCTTGGCCATCATTTGAGACTGTCCCATGACCCTAGAGGACCCCGACATGGCAGCAGGACAACCCTTCAATCAGAAAACCTTCTCCAAGCCGGGAAGACAGATAGGTTCCTCAGCCCACTAATCCAGGGGAGACTTAGAACTAATTCAGGACTAACATTCAACAGATTGTTACTTCCCCAAGTCCACTGCTAATTGCTGTGGTACTGTCATCACACAAAATAATAGTGGGAGGGCCTCTTCAGCAACTGCCTTCAAATACACACACACATACACACTATAGAAAAAAAAAAAAATATATATATATATATATAATCTCCCCACCATTGTATATTTGTAATTTGTGTGGAGAGGGAAAGCAGACACAGTTGATCCACACATTCTTTGAATGGTGATGGACCTTGGCTATTAGACTTCTGGCTTCCTCTCTTATGGAACTTCAGAATTCTGTCCCCTCCCAGTGTCCCAGAGGGGTGATGGTTCTTACAGAATCAGGTTATTACAAAACACCTGAATCCCATATTCAGACAGCTTGGATCAGCGGTTGAGCTGAAATCCTACTTGTCTATAATTTCCACTTTTATCCTATTTCTGCTATCTGAAGCCATATACCAAAAAGTTATTTCCTTATCCAAATAAATAGAGAAAGCCCTTCAATTATTATACAGTGTTATTCCCACACACTGACCCCATTCCTATCAATTTTCTCTTCTTCAGGGGAGAAACACATCTTTTGATGACCTAGTTTTGGGTCTCTTCACTGTCCAGGTAACCCTCTTCTGGGTGGATATTAGTTGTCTAAAAAGGGCCTTTCCATTCGAAGACTAGATCAAATGCATTAAAGAATTTTAGCTTCCATCACTTCTTGGCCTTTTGGCTAAGATCAAGGTGTAGAATTTTATCTTCCAAGTTGTGTCTATATGGGCAATTTTGAACATACTGGACCTCAACATTGTGGATTCCTTCTGCCTTTCAAAAAGTCTTCCCTGTCAAATACCATTATATGAGATATATGCAAGAGCATCAGCATAATACTAGAACAATGGAATTTTATGTTCCTTCCTTTTCCCATTTAAAAAAAATGGGGGGAAAGAAAACCTCATGAAGTGTGCCCGTCTTCACATGCTATTTCCCCTTATCCTTCCCCTTCCCAGAATTCCTGTCCTACTAAGAAAGAACTTTATCTTGTTTCTTTTTCTTGATATATTTTCAAAATAAGGAATTTTCCCTTTCTTCTGGAACATTTAATCTATCTGGAAGCTGATGATAATGCAGCATTTAGAAAACTCCATTTGGCAGAAAATGTAGACTTTCTTATCCAGCTTAAATTTTTTTTCTTCTCTCAAGAACGATACCAAATGCATTTTACTGCTTTCATTCTTTGGAAATGTTCCCAACATTATTTTTCCCAAGCTACATAAGTGATTTAATAGATTTATGTTAGAGTTTAAACAAGGAGCATGACCCAGAAAAACCACTGAATTATTAGAGAGAGATAACTATAACCAACATTCTTTGTGAATTTAGATGTGAAAATTCTTAAAAATTTAGCAAATAGAATTCAACAATATATAGAAAGAACAATACATCAAGACCAAATGGAGTTTATTCCAAGAATGCAAGTTTGGTTTAACATTCAAAAATCAATCAATATAATTAATCATAGTGGCGAGGTGTGGTGGCTCATGCCTGCAATCCTAGCACTTTGGGAGACTGAGTTGGGCGTATCACCTGAGGTCAGGAGTTTGAGACCAACCTAGCTAACATGGCAAAACCCTGTCTCTACTAAAAATACAAAAATTACCCTGGTGTGGTGGTGCATGCCTGTAATCCCAATTACTCAGGAGGCTGAGGCAGGAGAATCACTTGAACCTGGGAGGTGTAGGTTGTGAGCCAAGATTGCACCACTGCACTCCAGCAACAGAGCGAGACTCCGTCTCAAAACAACAACAACAACAAAAAGCCACTAAAACTAATAAATGAGTTTAGCAATGTTGCAAGATAAAAAGTCAATATACTTAAAAAATTACTTCATTGTATTTCTGTACACTGGCAACAAAAGTCAGAAATTGAGATTTTAAAATACCAGGTATAATGGCATCAAAAATATGTAAATTAGGGATAAATTTTAAAGATGTGTATGATTTACACATTGAAAAATATAAAAGATTTCTGAGATTAATTTAAAAAAAACCTAAATAAATGGAGAGATATACCCTATCATGGATTGGAAGACTTAATATGGCCAAGATGTCAATTCTTTCCAAATTGATCCATAGATTCAAAGCAATCCCCTTCAAAATCCTAGCAGACCTATTTTTTTAGAAATCGACAACTGATTTTAAAATATACATGAACATGCAAAAAAACTAGAATAGTCAAACCCAGTCAGTTCTCATTATTCCCAGTAGTTATCATCCATAAAATATCCATAAACACTAAATTGCAAATTCTGAATCATTGCTCCTAGATGAAATACAGAGTTGGGTTCCTGAGAGCTTCCAATCACAACATTCATCAATCAATACATAAACTTGTTTGATGTTCTGTTTAAACACACGTTTTTGAGTATATACTGTTAATTCATTAACATTGAAAGCTATCGTTCATATTTTGAATGAAGTACTTAGGAACAATAGACAGCAGATCAGCATTACTCTTGGGGGCCATTTTCAACAGCAAAATCTCCAACAAGAAGTACAAAAAGGCAAAAAATGTGGCACTGCATAGACCACAGAAAGGATGCTTGTTCATGGGATGAGAGCTGAAATAAGAAGACAGAACGTTGCCTTGTTTGACCTTACCTGGGAATATGTGTCCTGGGTGACTCAAATTTTTTGCCACTCTGTGTATGTCCATGAATGGCTGAGAAAGTGTCATGGGTATTGACTTGGGGTTACAAGCAAATTTTAGCAAGTAGGCAGATTCACAAATATGGAATCTGTGAATCATGCACATTAAACAAAGCTTTGAAAAAGATAAAGTTCATCTTTAAATTTTGTTTAAACTACCTGATTTCAAGACTAAGTATAAAACAACAGTAATCAAGACAGTGTGGCATTGGTATAAAGATGAACATATAGAGCAATGGAACAGAACAGAATCGAGAAATAACCCATATGTATGTGGTGAAATGATTTTTTGACGGAGTGGGAAGGCAATCCAATGAGGAAACAATAATGTCTTCAACAAATGGTGTTGCAGCAATTGAACTGCCATGTGCAAAAAAGCAAGCAAACAAACAAAAGGAACATAGATCTTGTCTTTACCTCATAACATGTATAAAAATTAATTGAAAATGTATTCTAAGCCTAAATGCAAGAGCAGACACTATTAAATACCATGATGAAATGGTAGAAGAAAAATCTTGATGACCTCAGGTTGGCAAAGATTTCTTAAATAGTACACAAAAAGCTACAAAACATAAAAGAAAAAAATCAATATATTTAATCACAATGAAAACATTTGCTCTTCAGTACTCTGCTACTAAAATGAAAGGGCAAGCCACAGATTGGAATAAAACATTTGCAAAACATATGTCCAACAAAGGACTTTAGAATATAAGGAATTCTTAGCTCAGTACCAAGTACCAAGTATTCAGTACCAAGAAGACAAACACCACCATAAAAATGGGCAAAATATTTGAACAGACACTAAACCATGGAAGACATATGGGTAGTGAAGAAGCACATGAAGAGATGCTCAATGTTATCAGACAGGAGATATCACTATACCTCCACTAGAATGGATTTTTTTTTTTTTTTTGAGACAGAGTCTTGCTCTGTCGCCCAGGCTGGAGTGCAGTGGCGTGATCTCAGCTCACTGCAACCTCTGCCTCCTGGGCCAAGCAATTCCCCTGCCTCAACCTCCAAGTAGCTGGATCTACAGGCACGCACCACCAAGCCTGGCTAATTTTTTTTTTGTATTTACTAGTAGAGATGGGGTTTCACCATGTTGGCCAGGCTGGTCTTGAACTTCTGAACTCAGATCATCTGTCCACCTCAGCCTCCCAAAGTGCTGGGATTACAGTCTTGAGCCACTGTGCCTGACCAGAGTGGATAAATTTTAAAAGATTGACTATACCATGTGTTCGCAAAATTGGGAACTGGAATGCTCATACATCACCAGTGGTCATGTAAAATGGTTCAGCCACTCTGGAAAACAGCTTAGCGGTTTCTTACAAAGTTAGATATTTACCTATCATGTGACCCAGCCATTCCACTTTTAAGTATTTACTCAAAAGAAATAAAAGTTTATGTCTAAAAAAAGATTTGAACACAAATGTTCACATCAGCTTTACTTGTAATAGCCCCAAACTGAAAACAACTCACATGTTGATTAACAGATGAATGGGTGATACACTGCAATACACGCATCCTGTATAATACTCCTCTGCAGTGAAAAGAATGCACTATTGAAACATGCAGTAGCCTGGATGCATCTCCAAATCACTATGCTGAATGAAAGAAACCAGACCCAAAAAAACCAGAACATACCATGTGGTTCCATTTGTATAAAATTTTTGGAAATGGTGCCTACTCAGTAATGACAGAGAGCAGATTAGTGGGTGCTTGGGGCCAAGGAGTGGGGAGCAGCAGGGAGAGGGATTACAAAGCAGCATCAGGAAACTTGGGGGGGTGATGACTATGCTCATTATCTTGATTGTGGTGATGATATATTGATAAGCCCGATTTATCAAACTGTACACTTGAAGTATGTACAGTTTATTGTATGCCAGTTGTCACTCAATAAAGCTGACATTCATTAATCAGAACAAGGTTTCGGAAGTAAGTAGTGGCGCTGGACCAGACTGCCTTTCTGGAATAGTTTGTTTGTGGCATCAGTGGAGGATGAGAGAAGGAATGTAAGCAGGGATAAAGTATGGAGCAATTTGATTCTCAAGCTAAGTTCCAACAGTGTCCTTTGTTGAGTAGGGGAATTGAACACAGGGTGTCAAGGGCAAAACCAGGTCATTTTAGTAAATTGGGGCTGGCAATAATGTATGTGCTGTATTAGAGGTAGAGAGTGGGGCAGGGATGCCTTCACTCATCCGCTCATTCATTCAATACCTGTGGATTCCCCTCTATGGGCCTGATACTCTTATGGGGTATTTTTCTTACATATTAGGGACCCAAGAAACATTCAGATCTTGGCTTCCCTTTTACCCCCCACACAGAGAGCAGAATATAAAAGATGGAATCAGAGAACAATTCTAATCAGTCCAGTCAATTCAGTGTATGTTTCTTACGCCCGCAGAATTAAGTAGGAGACCACGGCAACCATCCCAGCCCCAGGGAGGAGTTTATGACATCAGATAGGTGATGGCTGGTGGGTTCAGAGTAATTAAGACTGATGGATAACTGCAGAGAGGAAATCTAGTTTTCAGGGCAAACAGATGCGTCCAAGAGAGAGCCCACACACGTGGTTGGATGCAGCTGGAGATGGAGAATTCCAGTTCAAGGAAAAGGCCTGGGCAGTATGTGTTTGGTGGTGGTCGTTGACCCTGAAAATAGATGGAATCTTGGAGGGAGAAAGCGAGTGTGGAAAGTGAAGGTCAGGTTGTGAGCTCTGGGGCAGCCCACAGTCAGAGGGTGGGTCAAAGCTAGAAGGGCGAGCAGGCCGCACGCACACACACGCAAAGCAGCTGCCTTCACTGACAATCAATGGCAGCCACCTGAGCTGTGGCTGAGCTGCTGTGAGCCGAAGCAGTGGGCTTGCTAAATGCCGTCATCCAGCTTCCCCTTGACCCTGGCTGTCAGGCCTGGGTCTGGGAGCTTAGGGATCATTTTGTGCAGTCTGCTCACCCTCTGGCTGTGCCAGGGCACAGGATTTTCTACAAAAGAAGGAATCTGGGGTGAGTAGAGCCCCATGGGAGAACTGAGCTGACTAAATGTGAGTGGAGAAATGCCAATTATGAAAAAAATGTACATATCAGGGGAACATGAGCTTGAACCTTGCACAGCTTTTCCTCCGCTTGGCTGTTTTTATGAGGACCCAGGCAAGTGGTTCTCAAAGTGTGGTCCCCCCGGAAAACAATATCAGCTTTGCCCGGAACTTACTAGAAATGCAGGTTCCCAGGCTTACCCTAGACCCACTGAATCAGGACCTCTGGAACTGGGGCCCAGGAATGTGGGTTTTCCCAAGCCCTCCAGGGGATGTCGATGTACGCTGCAGTTTAAGGACTACTGACTTAGATGTTTTAAATAAGATCTCTCCCTGGCAGCATCCACTCAAAAGGGGGTTTATATTAAGAACATAATGTGACAACGGTTTGGAAATTGAAAAGCACTCTACAGGAGTAGGACATTATTTTTGTTTGTTTATTTATTATTTTTGTCAACCTCATTCACTCAGATTTCACTGTATTTTAGAACTTGTTTCAGAGATTCCCCCCTTCCTCCTTTTCCCTTCCCCGAGGAAAACCAAAATCTTGTTAGTGAACAGGAGAATTGATTGAAAAAAAATTCAACTGCTGCGGGAAAGGAGGAGACTAGGCACAGCTGGAGTTTGCCTGAAAGGATAATTTTCTCAGTGACATTGGGTTTGTTTTGTTTCTTTCAGTGTAGAAGCACGAGGCTGATGACTCATTTACCATTGGAAGACTTCAAATCCAAACTGCAGTTGTCAAAATAAGATTAGTGCTTTCAGACATGATGAAAGAGAGGGCATGGTCTCGAAAAGGCAAGCTTGGGTTTTGCCTGCATTTGTGGAGCCCTAACTCATAGCAAGCTTTCCTGTGGGAGTGGGCAGAGACCCCATCGTTTACCCAGTTGAGTGAAATGGCAGCCCTAATAACCCACTTCTCCTTCTCTCTTGCTGTGATAAACAATTTCTGATTTCTACATCTCAGATTAAATAACAGCAAGAGCTATAAAAAGTAGAGGGTGTCTCCTAAAGGTGTTCATTTGCTTTAACTCCAAAGATGAGATTAAACTGTCATTGGTGTCAACAGCGTGCAGTGCAGCTTGTCTAAAATTCTGAAACGTTGGTGAAACCCTTTGATTTAGCCCTGGATGATGGCCATAGCCTTTGCCCCATGCTCCGTGCTCCCCCCTCAGTTCTGCCTCCTTCCGGTGTAAGCAGATGAAAGTTTCCAAGTTCTCTGGACTGAGATGCAGGCGCCAGGGTTTCTAAAGGAAGGCACTTACATCTAGGGTGCATGGGAGTCTCTGGGGAAACTGGTTGGGTTTGAGCACAGCTTTGGGGCTCTTGGCAGCAAATCTTCACTAATTAGTTTCACCTGGGAAGACTGAGTTATCCCTCTTAAAATTCTCCAGGCACTGAAACAAGCGAGCAGATTTTGCTGACTGTCAGATACATGCTAATGGTAGCTCCCTGGCAAGGTGTATCTCAAATTTGGCCAGGTCTTTTTGTTATGAAATTCCAAATTACCTACTTTGCTGTATCACTTCAATTTAGCATAGAACTCAAAAACCAAACTTGGCCAGAGATAAATTTTAGAACGTTAGGATCTAATATTCATGTTTGTAGGGATTTTTTTTTTTTTTTTTTTTTTTTGAGACAGGATCTCGCTCTGTCTCCCAGGCTGGAGTGCAGTGGCGCAATCATAGCTTACTGCGACCTGGAACTCCCTGGCTGAAATGATCTTCCTACCTCAGCCTCCCTAGTAGCTGGGACTACAGGTGTGTGCCACTGTGCCTGGCTAATTTTTTAATTTTCTGTAGAGACAAGATGTCGTTCTGTTGCCCAGGCTGGTCTTGATCCTCCTGCGTTGGCCTCCCAAAGTGCTGGGATTATAGGTGTGACCCATCGTGCCGGCCCATGTTTGCAGCTTTTATAGGTACCCAATAAAGTGAAACTATTAGAATTGGGATGTGAGCAAAATTTGGTTGAAGTTCAACTCTCTGCCATGCTTAAATAGGTATGTGCCACTGACACTTTTCTTTTCCCCCTTGATTTAGGAAAGGAGAAGGATGCTAACATTTGTTGAATACTTACTGTCAGCCCTGCACTTCGGGAGGCCAGGGCGGGTAGATCGCTTGAGCTCATGAGTTCAAGACCAGCCTGTCCAACACGGTGAAACCCTGTCTCTACAAATAATACAAAAGTTAGCTGGTATTTTGCTGAGCGTGGTGGCTCACGCCTGTAATCCCAGCACTTTGGGAGGCCAAGGCGGGCAGATCACCTGAGGTCAGGAGTTCGAGATCAGCCTGGGCAACACGGTGAAACCCTGTCTCTACTTAAAATACAAAATTAGGCGGGCATGGTGGCACATGCCTGTAATCCCAGCTACTCAGCATGAGTACTGAGGCATGAGAATCGCTTGAACCTAGGAGGCGGAGAATGCGGTGAGCCAAGATAGCGCCATTGCACTCCAGCCTGGGCAACAAGAGTAAATCTCCATCTCACCAAAAAAAAAAAAAAAAAAGTTAGCTGGGTATGGTGGTGCGTACCTTTAGTCCCAGCTACTCGGGAGGCTGAGGTGGAAGGATTGCTTGAGCTCGGGAAGCAGAGGTTGCAGTGAGCCTAGATTGTGCCATTGCACTCTAGCCTGGGTGACAGAGCCAGACCTTGTCTCAAAAAAATTAAAAATAAAAAAATAAAATAAAAATATCTTCTGTGAGACAGATGCTTTGCCCATCTAGATTATCTCACTCAACCCTACAAATAAGATATTTAACCTTTTTATGAAAACTGAATCTCTCAAAAGTCCCTTACTTGAAGTCGTTACCCAGCTGGGGCCAAGTCTGGCTCCAAAGTCGATATTCTTTTCACCTGCCTGCCTCACCCCTACCCTTTCTGAGGAGACGTAACTGACATCCTGCCCTCCCCCAGTGGTGGCTCTCTTCATCATTTTTCATGTCACCTCTTTCAGGTCCAAATAAAAATTTGGAGAAGGTCAAAATCATCTTTTCAGTTCACACTGTTAAAAATGGAAGCCTGCTCTCTCACCACGCTCAACTCCCCTTTCCTGCTTATAACGTATCACAGATTTTTACCTATTTGCTTTGTTTACTATCAATCTTCTATCAGGTATGTGCTGCTAAATGTTTAACAATCAGGTCTCCAGGAGACAAAAGCTCTGATTTGTAGATTTGCCAATTTCCATGGTGTAAATACTCCCACCGTGGACATTTCAAGCTACCAACGTGGCCTCTTTGAATGCAGCTGTGGGAAGAGATGCACATCATTGTGTGAGTCAGTACGAGCTGCCTCTAGCACATGACTGGCCCCTCACTGGACCATCAGCTCTATAAGGGTAGGAATTTTTCTGTTGTTGTCCACTGATTCACTGTTGTTTTCCCAGCACTCCGAACCGTTCCATCGTTGAATAGATTTATTAATTCAGTCATCCACAAATCAGCCACATGGCAGATGCTAGATATTTGAACTAGCATGCTGAGCAAGACAAGCACTGTGGCTGCCCTATGTGGCAGGTGAAATAGACATGAAATAATTAGTTGCAAATTAAGCATTAAATTATAATTGTGTTGAGGATTACAAATGGAAACTCTGAGGGAGGACTTCACCCCTAGTGGCAGGTCAGAGCTTCCTGAGAAAGCAGACTTTCAGGTGAGTACTAAAGGAGGTATGAGAGTTAGGTAGGGGAAAAGGAGGTCAGGAAGAGGCTTGAGCATTCTAGGCAGAAGGAATGACCTTTGCAAAGGTCCCAAGACATGAAGAAGCTTGATTTGAAAATGGAGAGGGCCATGTAAATGGAGCAGAGAAAATAAGAGGAGGCTTGAGATAAGACTGGAGAGGTGAAGGGGTGGGTCTTGTAGCCCCCTTGACCATCACATTAGAGTTTTTGGACTCCATCCTAAAGCAGTGATAAGCCATTAAGGGTTTTAAGCAGAAGAGAGGCAGGAGCAGATTACTCTGGCTACAGGAGGATGCTAGGCTGGGATGAATACAGGAAAACCAGTTAAGAGGTTGCCACGGCTGTTCAGCCAACAGATGATAGTGGCTCCATGGTGGCAGGGGAGATGAAGAGAAGTAAATCCAGGATTGACTGGGTCTGAGGGGTACAGGAGAGGGAGGAATCCCATGACTTTCAAGTTTCTGTTCCCATCTTCGACCCCAGGGTAAAAGTTAGCTATTCTAAAAATTCATCTTTGCTAAAGAGAAATTAAAGAATACTTCAGAATCATCCCCAGCTGTCCCATTTCTGCCCAGTGACATTTATTAATTGAGACAGAGCTCTAGGCTGCCCAGCAAGGGAGGCTGTCAAGTCAACAATAGATGGCTACTAAGCACCAACTGTGTGAAGTGCATGGCATTATACAGGCACCGTAAGGAACACCAAGACTTAGAGACATGGCTCTGTCCTTCACAGAGCTTACAAGAGTAGGTAAGAGAGATGAGTTAGGAACACCTGACAACCCTGTGCTTGTGTCACATGAGCATGAGTTCATTCATCCATTCAACAAGTACTTGTTGAGCAAGGACAAAGTGCCAGGCACTGTGCTAGATACCGGGATGCAGTGGATAGCAGGGCACACAGGTTCCCTAACTGTCATGACAGCTTTTCTGGTGTCCATAGCTGGGGGCTGGCTCTGAGATGTCATTGTGTTCTTGATGCAGGACAAGTGAGCCCCAAAGTGGGGCTTAGCCCATGAGGGTTCTTGGCTTTATCCAGGAGAGAATTCAAGGGCAAGCAGAGGTAGATGTAAACAGCTTTATTGAAGAGACGGTGTTACAGCCCTGGCAGTGTTACGCCTCCGTGACTGCTCCTGCAGAGCAGGGCTATCCTTATAGGCAGAGAGTAGGTAGTAGCTCAGGGCAGTTTTACAGTCATATTTATACCCACTTTTTTTTTTTTGAGATGGAGTTTCCCAGGCTGGAGTGCAGTGGCGCGATCTCAGCTCACTGCAACATCTGCCTCCTAGGTTCAAGTGATTCTCCTGCCTCAGCCTCCCAAGTAACTGGGATTACAGGCACCTGCCACCACATCTGGCTAATTTTGTATTTTTAATAGAGATGGGGTTTCACCATGTTGGCCAGGCTGCTCTTGAACTCTTGACCTCACATGATCCACCTGCCTCGGTCTCCGAAAATGCTGGGATTATGGGTGTGATCCCAGTGGCCTATACCCACTTTTAACTGCATGCAGATTAAGAGGCAGTTTATGCAGGAATTTCTAGGGAAGGGATAGTAGCTCTTGGTTTGTCAGGTCATTGACACGGAGGAGGTGGTTACTCCCAGGTGTTGCCATGGCAATGGTAAACTGACATGTCACACTGGTGGGTGTGTCTTATGGAAAGCTGCTTCTGCCCCAGCCCTCAATTTGATCCTGTGTCCAAGCCCTGCCTCTGGAGTTAAGCTCTGCCTCTGGAGTTGAGTCCTGCCTCCTACCTCACTCTGAGCCCTCTTCTGGTGTGTGAATACCTCTTGCTGAGGATGAGGAGAGGCAGAGAGACTTGGAGAGAATTTTGTTCCCATCTCAGTCATCTTCTGAGGACCCCACATCTAATGGAGGAGGGTATTCTTAGGACTTTAGGGCCATTCCTCCTGGGAGGCAGGGCATCTGGGCCTTTTTCATTGTTCATTCAGCAAATGAACTCTTATGGAGACCAAATACATGTGCTAGGACACTGTGCTAGACTCTGGAGAGTCAAAACTGACCCTCTTATAATGGGGCAGATAGCCGTGATCAAGTCCTTCCAATACCATGGGATCAGTGCCGAAATGCTAGAGCGGAGCCATGTCTATAGTGCTGTGGGGGCCCAGGGGAAGAAGCCTTAACTCCAGCCAACTTGAAGGAGGCTTCCCACAGGAGGTGACATTTGACTGGGGTTGTGAGCCATTCATGGGGGTCACCAGGTGGAGAAGGTGGAAGGCTGTGCCGGGGCAGGGGGAGCTCTGGACACAGTGCTTCTTATCCTTCAGTGAAATCCTCCTGGCCTCAGAGAGAAAGAAGGGCTGTTTTTCAAAAGCATAAGGAATCATCCAAAAAACATCTGTATTTGTTTCAAAAGGAAATGGCCACTGCCAGAAAAACAGCAAAGTTGTTTTGTCAGAACCCAGTCTGTATTTATTCCTTTGTCTTTGTTTAATTAGATTAATCCCTGAATGGTTTCCCTTGGGTCGGTACAAATCGCTCGTGGCCATAAATCCCCAACAATTCTAAAAACAGTAAGAAAGGACAATCCGCATGAAGCCAACTGGCAAGCTTGCTGTTTGTGGGACAGTTCTGGGATGCGAGCAGTAATCTTGCACCCGCACATAGGTGTTTGGGGTTCTTTTAGCCTCTTGGAGAGGGGAGCAAGGACAACAATCACTCAGATTTGTTTAGAAGAGGAAAGCTGAACCGTAGGGTCTCATCATTAAAGGGGGAGACTGACTCCTGGATCTGGGCACCTTCCCCAGGGAGGATTGTGGGGACTTTTTATCTGTTAGGTTCAATGACATTCAGCCTGGCTGCACACTGGGGCTACCTGGGAGCTTTGACAAACACCACTGCCCAAATCCCACCCCCTGCCAGTCTGATTTAATTGTGGTGGGGAGTACCTTGGCATCAAGATTTTCAAAGGTCGCTGCTGCTTCTGTAGATGGGAGCTTGCAGTTACTCACAGACTCTTCTGCGGATATCCCAGTCTGTCCTGAAAGGAACAAGCATATCCTTGCCTTTCTCTACCTACCCTGTGCAGGGAAGCCTTTTAGAAAAAAAGATTGTTCCTTCAAGGTCCTGGTTCCTTGCTTTTGAAATGGTACTTTCAAAAGGGTTCTTTTGTAACAGGTTGATTTTTTTGTCTTCCTCCATTATTATAAAAGTTCCTGTTAGAAAATTTGAAATCAGACAATTATAAATAAAAGAATGAAAAATCACCTGTATTCACACCACTACTTGGTAACCATGGTAGGTAGGGTTCCTGCCAGACCCCTGATGGGGCAAGGCAGCATCTGCAGTAGAGATTGGGAGGACCCATGTGGAGAAGCTGCTGCCACCCTTCCAGAGCTGGTTCCAGCATGCTGGAGCGTCACCTCCCAGCCATCAGGACTTCATGCAGGGACACTGCCCACCCACTTAGGGAGCTTAGAGTCTAGTAAGAGAGACACAGTACATCCATCGCTCTATAAACACATACGTAGTTAACATTATGATTCATGCCAGGAGGGAAAAGTGCAGGGGTGGGCTGACAGCCGATGGGTGAGGCCAAAAGTGTAAAGAATGTTTAAAGGTCCTCATAGCAAGAGGTTAATTTTCTCATCACCATTCAGGCAACCCAAAGCTACTTCAGCCCGGAACTCAGAAACCTACTGCTGTTCCCAAGAAAGCAATGCTTTTCATTGAACTTTGCTAGAGGTGCTTAAATTTTCCCAGGCCTGAGAGGATCTGTGGTGCTGCCAGACTTATCCTTCCGAAGCACAACTTGGGTGAAATTGCTGGTCTCCCTTTTTAAAGTTTTTCCCTTGAGTGGTCCCCATTGCCCGCTGATTGGAGTTCAGCCTATGCAGCCTGTGTGCAGAGATCCCTCTGCCTCTGGTGTCAATGGTCTTTCCCATCCTCTCTTCTGCTACTTCCCCTGGAATTTCCAGAGCAGAATTCAGCTGCCACGCCTCTCCTGCTTCCCTCTTCTGTTTACTCACGCGTCCCAAGCCTGGAGTGCTGTTTCTCTTTCTCCATACCTGCCAGCCTTTCCCAGTCCTTGCTAGACTTGCAGTAATCTGTCCCAATTCTGAACTCCCATAGTTTTCTTGGCACTTCTCTTAGGGATTCTTATCATGTCCTACCTCGCATGTTAGTTATTTAGGTGGCATCTAACAACCACTCTGGCCTTTCTGTTCCTCAAATAGGATCAGTTTGTTCTTCAGGACCTTTGCATTCACTGTTCTTTTGGCCGAAAATACTCTTCCTAAAGGTTCATGTTATTAACTCCTAGTAGGATACAAGCTGCGTGACAGCAGAAACCCCTTGTCTGTTTTGTTCACCATGATATCCCCAATGCTTGGGACATAGTATGCGCTCAAACCGTATTTATTGACTAAATGAATGAATATCGTATGATTCAGACATTTCTTATATCTGGCCTAGCTCATTTAGGTTTTGTATTTCTTTGATTACTCACTACGATTTTTGTATTAGCTGAAGTTTTCTTCCGGTTATGGGTGTTTTCCTTACATCTGAATCCACTGAAAATCTACATTGGACTTTCTGGTTGGAGTTCTCAATTGGAAATGTGAGATATAAACTTACTGGTGAGAGGTAAAAGAATCTGTGTCTATAAGGCTTTTTTTTCCATCTACTTTATTGATTTGGGAGTGAAACTTCTTTTAGGAGTTTAAAACCAGAATTCTTATTTGTAGACTCTTAGACCTAAGCGTTTTTAAAATGTGATGATGTAAGTTTTAATGTTTAAAATTGTTTAATGCATTTAATAGAGATGTTGAATCAAATCAGCTTTTATCTTTTTAAAAATCAATTTGGATATTTTATATTTATGTAAAAGCATAATAAACTATGAAACTCAAAGATCTAGAAGATGATATGAAAATGTAGCCATTGGATTCAGGAATTAATCAAGCTTTCTAGGTAATTAAGTTTTTTTAAATCATACCTGTTGTAGTGATAGCTTTTTTTTGTTTGAGACAGTCTTGTTCTGTCGCCCAGGCTGGAGTGCAATGGTGTGATCTCGGCTCACTGCAACCTCCACCTCCCGGGTTCAAGCCATTCTCCTGCCTCAGCCTCCCATCTTCTGAGTAGCTGGGATTACAGGCGCGTGCCACCACGCCAAGCTAATTTTTGTATTTTTAGTAGAGACGGGGTTTCACCATGTTGGTCAGGCTGATCTCGAACTTCTGACCTCAGATGATCCTCCCGCCTTGGCCTCCCAAAGTGTTGGGATTACAGGTGTGAGCTACCACGCCCGGCCAGTGATAGCTTTTAACCAGAGAAAATTCTCTTTAATATATTCAACCCCTTTAATGCTCTCTGATTATCTCCAGTTTTAATGGCAAAATCAATGGTACAGCTAGCTGTTTCATGGTATCCAAGCTGTTCTCCTTGCTGGGAAATAGTGTTAGAGACTGAGTCAGTGATGGATGGAAGATGCCTTTAATCTTTTCATCCACCAACATATTCTTAGTTCTGTTGCAGTAGATGCATACTGCAATTCCATTCCTACGTTGCATGTGAATAAACAGGCAGAGCTTAGCACTTAGTGGACATGTAATAAATATTTGACCAAAATAAGACCACGAATAGACATGTATCTATTTCTCCCTGGCAATGTTTGTTACCTCTACCTAACCTCTTTTGGCTTCTCCATTTTCCTCGTTTGTTATTAGAATGAATACATAGAGCACAAAGAGGGTTTTCAAAGAGCTTTGTCTCATTCCTTCTTATACCAGCAACAGAGTGAGATTCTGTCTCAAAAAAATTATTTAATGTATTTCAAAGTAATTCCAACTTTGAAAAATGTGTTTTTTTTATGTTATTTATTTATTTTGAGACAGAGACTCGCTCTGTCGTCCAGGCTGGAGTGCAATGGCACGATCTTGGCTCACTGCAACCTCCGCCTCCTGAGTTCAAGCGATTCTCCTGCCTCGGCCTCCTGAGTAGCTGGGATTACAAGCACACACCACCACACTCAGCTAATTTTTATATTTTTAGTAGAGATGAGGTTTCACCATGTTGGCCAGGCTGGTCTCCAACTCCTGACCTCAAGTGATCCGCCCACCTCGGCCTCCCATAGTGCTGGAATTACAGGCGTGAGCCACCGCATGGCTGAAAAATGTGTTTTTATATACATGCAGAAACTCACCTGGAAAGAAAACTCACCAAAATGTTAACAGTGGTTGCCTCTGGGTAGTAGGATTACAGATGGGGGGATTACAGGTGAATTTTCTTTTATCTATTTTTTTATGTTTTCCAAATTTTCTACTATGATCACGTATCAAACCTTACAATGTTTTTAAAAGTTACTTTGGTGAGGGCTCTGGAGTTCCCTGTTGCCTCACCCTGGGCTGGGAGCATTCTCAGGTGTGCCTGACGTTGTGTTCTAACATCGTGACTTTGCCTCAGTCCAGGATCTGTGTGCCATGGAGGACCACAACTGTGAGCAGCTCTGTGTGAATGTGCCGGGCTCCTTCGTCTGCCAGTGCTACAGTGGCTACGCCCTGGCTGAGGATGGGAAGAGGTGTGTGGGTGAGTATCCCTCCAGCTGGGCTTGGTAGGGAAGGACAAGTTAAGCATGGTGAGGAGGAGGGGAGACTCACGTGTACCTCCCACATATTTGTTTCCTCACCTTTGGGTTTCCACAAAGTGCTCAGTTGTTTGGTGTAGTTGTTAGGCAGAATTTGAACTTTAAAGGCTTCATTTATGGCTGAGGTCAGCGTTTTCTTATTCTGGGTCTCCAGTAAAAGGAACACTTATGATAATCCATGCAAATATAACTGTGTGTTACTGCATCTCTTGAAAAGGATCGGGTGGATTTTCTTCAACTTTGGAGGATATGTTTGGAATGGCCTGACTTATATATAGCTCAGGTGTTATACATGAAATTTACTTGGGTGGGTTGCTGAGTGACACCTCAAAGACAACGGGCAGCCTTCCTCCCTAATGTCACCTATAGCTCAGTGACAGGCCAAAGTGACTGCCAGGTGAAAGAGCCCAGCCATATGGGCTCAGCGTAATTAGACGGCGTGGTCAGAGGAAACTAGCAGTAGCCTCAAACCCTCAAACACAAGCCCAGGTAATGAGGCTCAAGGGCAGTGCTTGATGCTGCAGACATCCCCCCTGTTTATCTACAAAGCCTTTGCAACTTAACATGGTCTCATTCCTCCTTATACCAACAAACAGTGCCTGGTGGATAGTAGGTGTTTCATAAACTGAACTGAATACTTATGAGGCAGAAAATCTAGAAGGAAAAGAACTTGACTGACATCAAAACTGGAATGTAAATTTTCTGCTAAATCCTGCATTTTGTCTTCCGTGTTCTATTGTTTTCAGGACCCTATTTTATTTTGCTTCGCACAAACAGGGTATGCTTATATTTTTGCACATAGAATTTGCATTTTCCAGCACACCTTAATTCTTAGCTAGGGATGTGGAAGGCAAAACAAAACAACAACAAAACAAAAGTTAGGTGGTAGCCTGCAATTGGCAGGTGAGTGATGAGAGTATCGTGGGTTTGTTTTTACACACTGATAGGAATGAAAGCAACCTCTGCCTCTGACTCTCATCAAAGGGCCACAAATGCAGCTGGTCTCCTGGGCCTTAGGGTTGTTTTTCTTCTTAATCTGCTGGTGGTGGCCATGATAGAGTGGCAGGGTTCCACACCCACTACCACTAGCAAAAAAGAAGCCAACATATATACCCATGGTTATTTTTGCTTCATTAATTTTTATTATGCAAGTAATACCCGTTCATAGAGAAACTTAAACAGATGAGAAAAATCACTATTAATAGGTTATTGTATTTTCTACCAGACTTTCTCCATATAAATATCTACTTTAAAACATTTTGTTGGACAGGTGCGATGGCTCACGTCTGTAATCCCAGCACTATGGGAGGCTGAGGCGGGCAGATCACTTGAGGTCAGGAGTTTGAGACCAACCTGGCCAATATGGCGAAACCCGGTCTCTACTAAAAATACAAAAATTAGCTGGGTCTGGTAGTGTGCCCCTGTATTTTCAGCTAGTTGGGAGGGTGAGGAAGAAGAATCACTTGACCCTGGGAGGCGGATTTTGCAGTGAGCTGAGATTGTGCCACTGCACTCCAGCCTGGGTGACAGAGCGAGACTCATCTCAAACAAACAAACAAATAAACAAAAAACATTTTGTAAAGATTTAACAAAATGAGGTCACACTGTCTATTTTGTTTTACAACCTGCTTTTTCCCCTCTACTATTTGTTAAATGGGTAGAAACTCTGAGTGCTGTTTGGTCAGGAGGAAATCAAGCCATTGTGAGTTAGGCTGGTGGAGGAGCTTCAGGAAACAGGATGAGGGTAATGGGTTGATTAGGACAAGGGGAGGGACAGTAGAACACAGGGCTTGCATTGGTCACAGGGAGTAGATGGGGCAGGAAGCCCACCTTGGCCCATGGGAAACTGGAGGCCACTGAAAAACCCATTTCTCTGAGTGTTTCCAAATAATTACCTGCTTGTCCGTGTGTAGTAGAGAACCTTTGTATCTCTGAGGATTTTGCTGTAACTTTTGGGATTTGACATTTATTGAAGAGCTACAAGCGTGGGAGGGTAGATGCTGTCATTGCCAGAGAGCTTTGGCGTGCTGTTTATCGGAGATGGGCGTTTCTCTGCGGCTGCTTGACTGCATATAAGAATGTCTGCATTTTCTCAGTGGGGATCCAATCCAAAGAGTGGGAAAATGGGAGAGACTGCATCCCATTGCAACCCAGGTCTCCTCCGTCAGATGATCCTAGCATCACCAGCCTTACCACCTTTTCCCCAATGCCCTTTACAGCGGTTCACTAAGCACTCGATCTGTTAGAGGCTGGGAGTGAGATGATTAAGCAGGCAGTACTTTTGTTGCCAGTAGCCTTTCTTAGGGACTCCAGACAAAATCCTACAAGGTTAGTTGCTGCTCAATAGGGCTATGGTGAGTACAACGCAAATGATAGAGAAAATATTGGCCACGGAAGGTCAGAGAGAGACATCCTAATGGCTAGGCTGGAAGATCTGAGTGTGGAAGGAAGGGTGGCAATTGGACAAATGTCCAAGGCAGGGGGAGAGATGAAGGGCAGTGACTGTGGAGGTGGCAATGCTCTTCAAGCATTAGGGCTAAGTCTGGCCTAGGAGTGGCAGGGCCAGCTCCTGGGAGCTGGTAGGTCAGAGAGAGACTGTTACAGTGAAAAGGCCAAACTGAAAGTTAACCAGGTGGCCTAACCTGAGGGCCAGAAGGCGCTTATCAAAGATGGAGACTCCAGGTACCAGACTTAGAGCAGGAAATTTAGAGGAGAGGCTGGTGAGAACTCTGGACATACTCCATTAGTAGCTGATCTGGGGTGCCCTGTGTGTAGATGGCCAGGGAACATTAAGAACAGAGTGATTATGCCTCCCAGTTAATACAGGACAATCCCAGTTTATGCCCTGTTGGCCCAATTCTTTTTTTTTTTTTTCTTTTTTTTGAGATTGAGTCTTGCTCTGTTGCCCAGGCCATGATCACAGCTTTGCAGCCTCGACCTCCTGGGCTCAAGCGATACTCCCACCTCAGCCTCCTGAGTAGCTGGGACCACGTGTGTGCACCACTGTGCCCAGCTAATTTATTTTTTGTAGAGACAGGGTCTCCATACATTGTCTAGGCTGGTCTCAATCTCCTGGGCTCAAGTGATCCTCCTGCCTTGGCCTCCCAAAGTGTTGGGATTACAGGTGTGAGCCACCTCGCCTGATGCCATTTCTTTTTATTTTTAGACAGGGTCTCACTCTGTCACCCAGACTGGAGTACAGTGGCGCGACCTCGGCTCACTGCAACCTCTGTCCCCCAGGCTCACATGATCCTCCCACCTCAGACTCCCAAGTTGCTGGGACCACAGGTGCATACCACACGTCTGGCTAATTTTTTGTATTTTTGGTAGAGATGGGGTCTTGCTATGTTGCCCAGGCAGGTATTGAACTCCTGAGCTCAAGTAGTCTACCTGCCTCGGCCTCCTAAAGTGCAGGGATTATAGACATGAGCCACTGCGCCCGACTGACCCCATTTCTTACCCAGCTGGCCTCATTTCTTGATGGCACATCTTTTCACTTTGAAAGGGGTTCCAGTTTGGATGATAAATTACATAATCACCCTAGTTAAGGCTGTCCAATTTGACTTAAACTGTTAAGTTCAGCAGAGAATTCCTGTATACATGAAGTAGGAGATGAAGTTGAAGACAGCAGAAGGAACTGGATTGTTCAGGGCTTTGAAAATCAGACGTAAAGCCTAGATTTTATCTCTGAAAAAGAGCCACCGAAGGGTTTATATTTGGGTGACAAATGCAAAGCTTCATTTTTAGGAAACTCAACCTCATGGGGAACTGCAGGGTGTATTCCAGGAGAAGGATGGCAAGAAGTGGGAAGACCAGATAGGAGATTGTAGCAGTTATCGGGTGAGAGAGGATAGGAACCAGCCAGGATTTGAGGTGCAACTGTAGGAAAGGAGAGGGAGACAGTAAGGAATGAAAGAAGGTGCTGTACATAAAGGGAACAAGGAGAAGTCAAAAGTGACTCTAGGCCAGGTACCGTGGCACATGTCTATAATCCTAGTACTTTGGGAGGCCAAAGTAGGAGGATTGCTTGAGCCCAGGTGTTCAAGACTAACCTGGGCAACATAGTGAGACCCCCATCTCTACCAAAAAATAAAAAAATTAGTTGGACATGGCTGGATGTGGTGGCTCATGCCTGTAATCCCAGCACTTTGGGAGGCTGAGGCAGGCAGATCACCTGAGGTCAGGAGTTTGTGACCAGCCTGGCCAACATGATGAAACTCCATCTCTACTAAAAAAAAATACAAAATTAGTCAGGCGTGGTGGCAGTCACCTGTAGTCCCAGCTACTCCAGAGGCTGAGGCAGGAGAATCGCTTGAACCTGGGAGGCAGAGGTTGCAGTGAGCCGAGATCGCACCATTGCACTCCAGCCTGGGCAACAAGAGCAAAACTCTGTCTCAAAAACAAAACAAAAATATTAGCCAAGCATGTTGGTGCACATGCTGGTGGTCACAGCTACTTGGGAGGCTGAGGTAGGAGGATTGCTTGAGCCCAGGAGATCATTCAAGGCTGCAGAAAGTCATGTTCACACCACTGTACTCCAGCCTGGGCGACACAGCAAGACCTTGTCTCAAAAAAAAAATAAATGAATAAAATTGAAAAAGACTCCATGATCTTGAGCTTCCATGGCTGTGAGAGTGATGGCAACAGTGATGGAAGAGTGATGGAATCGATTTTCAAAAAGATAAGGCCAAGCGTGGTGGCTCATGCCTGTAAACCTAGGACTTTGTGAGGCCAAGGTGGGAGGATTGCTTGAGACCAGGAGTTCTAGACAGGCCTGGGCAACAAAGCAAGACCCTATATCTACAAAAAAATTAAGAAATTAGCTGGGTATGGTGGTGCACACCTGAAGTCCCAGCTACTCCAGAGGCTGAGGTGGGAGGGGTGGGAGGATTGCTTGAGCCCAGGATGTTGAGACTATAGTGAGCCATGATAGTGCCGCTGCACTCTAGCCTGGGCAACAGAGTAAGACCTTGTCTCAAAAAAAAAAAAAAATGTTGGGGTGATAATTAGTAGTCATTGACAAGGTGAATTTTGAATTCAGGTTAGACACCACAAGGACACGTCAAGAGGAAGCAGAAAACTCGGCATTAACATGACAGAGAGAGTAGAATCAATGCTGTAGTCAGGAAGCAGCATAGTTTATTTCTTAACTTCCAGTTATTTTCTATTTTAAATATTTATGTGTCAGTTGGTTTGTTTTGAGGGCATCTAGACCTTTAAAACAGTGCTACCTGAGCTGAAATCCCAACTCTGCTACTTGCTAGGTGTGTTAGGCCATTTGCGTTGCTATAAAGGAATACCTGAGATTAGCTAAAAGAAAAGGTTTAATTGGCTCATGATTCTGCAGGCTGTATAGGAAGCATGACACCAGCATCTGCTTCTGGTGAGGGCCTCAGGAAACTTCCAATCATGGTAGAAGGTGAAGGCGGAGCAGGCATGTCACATGGTGAGAGCAGGAGCAAGAGGTAGGGGGAGGTGACACACTCTTTTCAGACCAACCAAATCTCACATGAACTAACTGAGCGAGAAATCACTTATCACCAAGATGATAACACTAAGCCATTAATGAGAGATCCACAGCTATGATCCAATACCTCCCACTAAGCCCCACCTCCAACATTGGGAATCACGTTTCAACATCAGATTTGGAGGCAATAAGCATCCAAACCATATTATTCCACTCCTGGCCCCCCATATTTCATGTCCTTCTCACATTTCAAAATACAATCGTGCCTTTGCAATAGTTCCCCAAAGTCTTAACTTGTTCCAGGCTTAACTCAAAAGTCTCAAACTCCAAAGTCTGAAGTGTCATCTGGAGATGAGTTCCTTCCACCTATGAGCCTGTGAGATTTAAAAAAAAAAAAAGAAAAAGTTTTTACTTCCAAGGTACAAGGTGTTATAGGCACTGGGTAAATATTCTCATTTCAAAAGGGAGAAATTGGCCAAAACAAAGGGCAATAGGACCATACAACTTTGAAACCCAGAAGGGCAGCCATTACATTTTAAAACTCCAAAACAATCTCCTTTGACTCCATGTCCTGCATCCAAGGCACACAGGTGCAAGGGGTGGGCCCCCAAGGCCTTGGTTGGCTCCGCCCCTGTGGTTGCAGGGTATAGCCCCCAAGGCTGCCCTCACAGGTTGTTGGGTGCCCATGGCTCTTGCATGCTAAGGTTGCAAACTGCCAGTGGCTCTACCATTCTCAGGTCTGGAGGGTGGTGGCCCCCTTCTCACAGCTCCACTAGGCAGTGCCCCAGTAGGGACTCTGTATGAGAGTTCCAACCCTACATTTCCCTTTGGCACTGACCTAGTAGAGTCTCTCTATGAGGCTTCACCCCTGCAGCAGGCTTCTGCCTGGACATCCAGGCTTTCCAAGACATACTCTGAAGTCTAGGGAGAAGCTGCCAAGCCTCTTTCATGCCTGCATTCTGTGTGCCTGCAGACTTAACACCACATCGTAGCCACTAAGGTTTATGGTGGCTTGTACTCTCTGGAGCAGCAGCCCAAGCTGTACCTGTGGCCCTGTGAGCCATGGCTGGAGCTGGAGCAGCCTGGATGTGAGGAGCAGTGTGCTGAGGCTACACAGGGCAGTAGTGCCCTGGACCTGGCCCCCCAAATCATTTTTTTCCCCTAGGCCTCTGGGCCTTTGATGGGGAGTGGGTGCTGCCTAGAAGATCTCTGAAATGCCTTTGAGGCCTTTTTCCCATGTCTTGGATATTTGCACTTGGCTCCCTTTTAGTTACACTAATCTCTCTAGCAAGTGGTTGCTCCACAGCCTGCTTGTATTCCTGTCCTGAAAATGCCTTTTCTTTCTCTGCCACATGGCTAGGCTGCAAATTTTCCAAACTCGTACATTCTGCTTCCCTTTTACATATAAGTTCCAACTTTATTTCTTTGCTCCAGTATCTGATCATAGGCTTGAATGCTTTGCTGTTTAGAAATTTTTTCCATCAGATAGCTACCTTAGGTCATCCCTCTTAAATTCAAACTTCCACAGATCCCTAGGGCATGAACACAACCCAGCTAAGATCTTTGCTAAGGCATAGAATTGGTGACCTTTACTCCAGTTCCCAATAAATTCTTCATTTCTATCTGAGATCTCATCAGCCTGGCCTTTACTGTCCATATCTATTAGCATTTTGGTCACAACCACTTAACAAGTCTCTAAGGGGTTCCAAACTTTCCCTCATCTTCCTGTCTTCTTCTAAGCCCTCCAAACTCATCTGACCTCTGCCCATTGCCCAGTTCCAAAGCTGCTTCCATACTTTCAAGTGTGTTAATAGCAACACCCCACTCTCAGTACCGGTTTTCTGTGTTAGGCTGCTTGCATTGCTCTAAAGGAGTACCTGAGACTGGGTAATTTATTTGAAAAAGAAAGAGTTTAATTGGCTCACAGTTCTGCAGGCTGTACAAGAAGCATGGCATTGGCCTCTGCTTCTGGTGAGGGCCTCAGAAAGTTTACAATCAAGGCAAAAGCCAAAGGGGGAGCAAGTATGTCACATGACAAGGACAAGAGTGAGAGTTGGGAGGTGGGGAGGTGCCACACTTTTAAACAACCAGGTCTCATGTGAACTAACTGAGCAAGAACTCACTCATCACCTAGGGGTGGTGCTAAGCCATTTATGGGGGATCTGTCCCTGTGATCCAATACTTCCCACCAGGGTCCACCTGTAACACGGGGGATCACATTTCAGTGTGAGATTTGGAGGGCACAAACATCCAGACCGTATCACTAAGCACATATCTTTAAGTCTAATTTCTGAGCTTATTTTCCTCACCCATAATGTAGAATAGTAATATATACATTGTAAGGTTTTATGGGATTAAATAAGATAGTGAGTGACATTCCCAATATACTCTAAGAACTTAGCATTATTATTACAACACCTACTATTATCGTAATTTCCTGTATATAGTGAAGTATGGAGTGAGAAGAGAGTGAAGGACTGAGCCTTGGATTGCAGTCACATGTAGGGAGCAGGAAGTAGGGGCAGGAAAAATATTCATGAAGAAGTAGCTTAAGGCTGGGGGAGAGAAAGAAGAATCATGGAACATGATAGGAAGATAATTTCTTGGCCAGGTCAATATTAATGTCATGCTTCAGCATGGCCAAAGGTAACAGGACTTAGAGAAAAAGCCATCAACTTGAGTCACAGATTCACCGCTGCAAACATTTCAGAACTCTGCCAGGGACTTTGCTAGGCTTGAGGAGCACAAAGGTGACCAGGAGGCCATTGAGAATGGCAAAGGGGGCATGGGTAAAGGGCAGATTTCAAGAGGCAGGGAGTGGGTGACAAGAAAGTGTGGGCAGCAGGTTCAAACTATTTATTTAAAGAAATTTGGTAGAAGTTAAGCATGTCCAGCTGATGCAGGGCAGGCAAGTCCCAAAGTGGAGCTTAGCCTACCTGGGTTCTTGGCTTTGCCCAGGGAAGAATTCAAGGGCAAGCCAGAGGTAGAAGAAAACAGCTTTATTGAAGAGGCAGTGTTATAGCTCCATGACTGCTCTTGCAGAGCAGGGCTACCCTGTAGGCAGAGAATAGCAGCTTAGGCAGTTTTGCAGTCATATTTATACCCACTTTCAATTGCAGGCACGTTAAGGGGAGGTTTATGCAGAAATTTCTAGGGAAGGGGTAGTAATCGTTGGGTCATTGCCCAATGATAGTAAGGGATGGTAACTCCCAGGTGTTGCCATAGCAACAGTAAATTGACATGGTATACTGATTGAAGTCTGATTGAAGGCTGCTTTCACCCCAGCCCTGTTTTAGCTAGTTCTCAATCAGGTCCGATGTCTCAGCCCCACCTCTGGAGTCAAGTCCTGCCTCCTACCTCACAGCTACTAGTGAATTTATGCAGTAGATTTTCAGTTTCAACACTTTCATAGCTACTGCTATGAAAAGCACTTCTTTTGTTACCAAAACATTAGGGGTTCAGTCTAGGTCCTGTTGCTTGTTGCACAGAAAGCCAATCACTGAGACAACAAGTATTACCAGGAAAGAAGGCTTCAGTCAGGTGCCATAGCCAAGAAGATGGGAGATCAGTCTCAAATCCATCTCCCTGACTGACTAAAATTAGGGATTTAGGCTGGATGTGGTGGCTTATGCATGTAATCCCAGCACTTTGAGAGGCCAAGGTGGGAGGATCACTTGAGACCAGGAGTTTGAGACCAGCCTAGACAACATAGTAAGACTCCTGTCTCTACAAAGAATAAAAAAAAATCAGCTGGGTGTGGTGGCCAACACCTGTAGTCCCAGCTACTCAGGAGGGAAGATTGCTTGAGTCTGGGAGGTTGAGGCTGCAGTGAGCCATGATTGCACTACTGCATTCCAGCCTGGGTGACAGAGTGAGACCCTGCCTCAGAATAAAATAAAATAAATAAAATAAAAATTAGGGGTTTATATAGCAGGGAATAAATGTAAACATATGGGGGAAAACAGGAATTAGGGAGGAGTATGGAAGAGGAGTTGGTCAACACGCAGCAGGTGGTTGGTTAGGCAGTCATAAATGGGGAGGGGTCTGGCATGTCATTGTGCAGATGCAGTGATCTGGTAAGTTTCAGCCCCTTGATACTGTCAGAGAGTCCTGACGGTTTGGTTCTTGAGAAGGGTTCTCAGATAAAACAAATGTAACTTTCTCAAGTTTCAAGACTGGAAAGGTAAATTTCTATGTTTATTCAAAATAAACCATAAACATCAGTTCTGTGGGACAATTGGGCCGGTTTCACTTTGATTCATCCCTGAATTATTACTGTGACCTGCATGAAAGTTCAGTTCTTAGTCATGGACTCAGCATTTTTTTATAGATTTCCACACATTTGAGTAAGTGGAACGTTCAATTCCAGCACCAGAGTTCCAACTCCCTGACAGCTCATTTCACCATTGAGAGTCCTGAATTTATTCCGTATTCAATGGTGGATTGCTGACTAAGAACCTCCTCTGCTTTAGTGGAGTCCCTGAATTTATAATTCATCAGCTGCCACTAAAGTCATGTTCATTGCCATCCAAAACTATTTTTCAAAGACCATTTATCTAGATTTCTGAACATGAATTTTCTGCTGTACTTACTCACCTGGTGTTTACAAACTGTCTTTTATTTTGGGGTAACTTTGGTCCTGTTTGCATCTTATCTACCCAGGCAGATTGTAAACCCTTGAGGGCAAAACCACTTGTACTTTTCATCTTTCACAGAGTGGACTTGAAATACATTTTCTTGAAGCACTGACTGAGGTTGATTGCAATCTCATGCATTCATGTTTTGTAAAAAATATTTCCCCCATTGACTGGTTTTTAAATTATAAAGTCATTTTTGCTTATTAAAAAAAAAAAAGTCAGGCCAGGCATGGTGGCTCAAGCCTGTAATCCCAGCACTTCGGGAGGCCAAGGCGGGCAGATCTCTTGAGCTCAGGAGTTCGAGACCAGCCTGGTCAACATGGTGAAAACCTGTCACTACAAAAATAACAAAAATTAGCTGGGGGTGGTAGCACACACCTGTAGTCCCAGCTATTCAGGAGGCTGAGGTGGGAGAATTGATTGAGCCCAAGGAGATATGTGCCACCACCCCCAGCTAATGGACCAACACCGTCTCTACCAAAAATATATAAAGAAATTAGCCAGGCATGGTGGCACGTGCATGTAGTCCCAGCTACTTGGGAGGCTGAGGTGGGAGGATGGCTTGAGTCTGGGAGGGCTGAGGTTGCAGTGAGCCGTGATCATGCCACTGCATTAGAGCCTGGGCGACAGAATGAGACCCTGTCTCAAAAAAAAAAAAAAAAAGAAAAGAAAAGAAAAGAAATTTTCTCTGGGTTTTAAATCCTGCATTTGGAATTCCAGTTATGCCTTGGAGAAGAGAGGTTTTGTGAGTCTGACTCTGTGTGTGTGTGTCTAATGTATGCTCAGCAAGTAAATTGGTTCTACCATTTCTCTAAATGACAAATTTGGTTTTTCTTACTTTGTTATCAGCAAACTTTAAACTCCAAATGCTCCTCTTTAAAATATACTATTTCTGCTAATGCCATTCCCTTGCAGACGGAGTCCTGCTGAGAAAACGTTAGAATTGGACCAGGTTATAAAACAGAAATCATTGATTTTAGGGTTTTATTACCTGCAGCAAGGTATCATTTATTCTTAGAGACAGTGGAGTGATTTCTCACATGTTGGGCAGAGAATGAATGTGGCAAGACTGACTTCTGACTCTGGGATCTTAGCACTTGTGATCTGGAGGGCTAAAGAGCTACAGCTGGAGAATTACTCTTTCCATTTGTAAACAAGAATGTAGACATTTTAGGCATAAATGACTGAGAACAGATTTTGTTGAAGTAGATGAGAACTTGGAACAATAGAGCCATCATTGAGTTATACAAGAGGTCACCTCCATACATCTGCCTCCCTAATCTTGACCTCTCTTTTTATGAGTACAATTTTGCAACCAAGAAAGTTATGCAAACAACCCAAACCACTTGGCAAATAACATTAGAGCTGAATGCCCTAGAACTCTCTTGGCCTTAAAAAACTGTTAGATTCACATGCCTGGCAGTGGGTTCTTCCATGTTTAACCACTGCACTGATGGCCTCATCTGCCGTCTCCAGAAGCCTAGCAGTGTGTCAGTGGGTGGATTTCAAATTGAGATGGGATTTGACACCTTGGAGTTTTACAGACTGGAGACTTGGGACCCAGGAATGCGTGAATCCTGCCTTGCCAATCACATCCTCCCCCTTAGTTCCCCAGAGAGCTGTGTACACAAAGAACAAAAACATTATGAGAGTCAAGATCCAGAGAAGCTCTCTTATCTCATGAATTGGGCCTGTGGTTAGCTGATAAATGGAAAACATCATTCAGAGAGGGGAATCCTAAAAAACTATATATGCAAACCCACCTTAGTCATTTTATTTTTATTTAAAACACATAAATGTATACTTAGTAAAAATCACTTTTATGCTTTTAAAAAATGCTAATTTTAAGTTGAAGAAAAAAGTATGATATTTACAAATCTTTTTTTTTTTTTTTTTTGAGATGGTATAATTCTGTTGCCCAGATTGGAGTGCAGTGGCATGATCTTGGTTCCCCGCAGCCTCAATCTCCCAAACTCAAGCAATCCTCCCACCTCAGCCTCCTGAGTAGCTTGGACCACAGGTGCATGCCACCATGCCCAGCTAATTTTTGTATTTTTTGTAGAGATGGGGTCTCGCTATGTATCCCAGGCTGGTCTCGAACCCCTGGGCTCAAGCAGTCTGCCTGCCTCGGCCTCCCAAAGTGCTGGGATTATATAAAAATCTTTTTTGCATAAACCATACCCATAATGTGTTGTCTATGATTTTTTAGTTTTGGTTTCTTTAAATTGGAACAAGGATTTCAAGACATCTGTAAAGCAGTCTAACAGCAGAACTCTTGTAAATTTTAATGGGAAATTTCCCAATGTTTTACATTTGTTTCATCCATGCCTGGTTCTATAGCAATTTTGGTTAGCAAATTGCTTTAATTTTTTCCAAAGCTTTCAACAAAATTTTTATTTTTAAAAACTCAGTTTCTTTTAGTGCTTATATTTTATTGGTTTTTATTTTATTTATTTATTTATTTTGAGACAGAATTTCGCTTGTTGCCCAGGCTGGAGTGCAGTGGCACAATCTCAGCTCACTGCAACCTCCACCTCCTGGGCTCAAGCAATCCTCCCACCTCAGCCTCCAGAGTAAATGCGACAACAGGTGCCCACCATCATACCTGGCTAATTTTTGTATTTTTAGTAGAGATGGGGTTTCACCATGTTGGCCAGGCTGGTCTTGAGCTCTTAGACTCAAGTGATCCACCCACCTTGGCCTCCCAAAGCGCTGGGATTACAGATGTGAGCCTTTTTGTTTTGTTTTGTTTTTTTGTTTTGTTTTGTTTTTGAGATGTAGTCTCACACTGTCGCCCAGGCTGGAATGCAGTGGCACGATCTTGGCTCACTGCAACCTCCACCTCCCAGATTCAAATGATTCTGCTGCTTCAGTCTCCTGAGTAACTGGGATTACAGGCGCCTGCCACCACGCCCAGCTACTTTTTATATTTTTAGTACAGATGGGGTTTCACCATGTTGGCCAGGCTGGTCTTGAACTCCTGACCTTGTGATCCACCTGCCTTGGCCTCCCAAAGTGCTGGGATTACAGGCTTGAGCCACCGCGTCCAGCCCCAGCCCAGTTTTTATAATATTTAAATTACTTACAATAACATGTACAAATGACACATACAGGTTTGGAAACAAAAGCAACCTTGACTCTAACAATGGCTCTTAAGTTTTAGCGTGCCTCAGAATCACCTGGAGGGCTTGCTCAAACACATATTCCTGGGTCCCACTCCCAGAACTTCTGATCAGTAGGTCTGGGATGGAGCCTGAGAATGGGCATTACTGACAAGTTCTCAAGCGATGGTTGATGCAGTTGGTTCACAGACCACACTTTGAGAACCAATGTTTATAAGAATACATCTCAGTCAATGGAAAAAGTACACAGGTGTCCTAGAGCCCATGTGTTCCACCAAGGCTGCTTTATCAGCATACAACCCAGCCAATGTGAGGCGTGTACAGGTGTTTTAAAACACAGGTGTTCTAACTGCCTTGAGTGTGTAGCATGCCCTGGGTTATCAGGATTCATATGGTCAGAGGGAATGAAAGCGTTGCTTGATCAGGAGTTGCTTAAGGAGTGATCAGTTAAAAGAGCATCTTAGTACAACTTTTTTCTTGAAACACCCGAGCCAATTTGGATACTCTATTCTATAACATTCTGGAAAAGGGGAAAGTTTGGAGTATGTGGCTTAGATTCAAAGCCTAAGCCAAGCCTTCAACACCTCTCTAAATTATTACATTAGTCTAAATTACGGGGCCAGCATAATTATGGGATATCCCTCTGAGAGACAGAAATGGCCGGGCTCAGATTATACCCCATGGTGTAAGAGAGGACATTCAAGAGAAAAGGTAGAGTGTGAGTTTCTGACTTTTAGGTATAGAGACCTGACCACTCATTGTTGCAGCACCATCAATGTCCTACAATTTGGAAGTCAGATCAGCAGCTCCTCTCTTTGTAGGGGATACTAAGAAGTGGGTGGCCATAGATAGGACTGGCTGACTGATGGCAGGCACCCATATCCAGGATTGGGAGATTTTCATCATGGTGAATCAAGCCCAGCATGAGGAAGTTGAAGCTGGGGATTGTTGACTGCTAACACGGGCCCAAGCAGGCTCTGGCATGGCCAACTCCTGTGACAAACAGACTGGACCGTGTGCCAGGGTTTAGCCTTCCTCGATCTCAGTGTTCCCAGTGTCACCATTGATTCTTTTGATGATCCCTTGGTTCTTGAGAAATGAGAAATGAACTATTAGAAGGATGTGGTGCTAGCTCAGTCTTTATGTTATGACTCAACTCTAGCAACCAGCTGATATCCAATGACGTTGAGATCCTGAGATGACATGAATGCCCTATCCCCAACATAATGGCTTGTGAATTAAACCTGCAAATACTAGGTTCTACTAGAACTCTTTAGGGAGCTGAAGTTACAAAAACAATATTTAGACTGAAACTTTTTTTTTTTTTTGAGACAGAGTCTTGCTCTGTTGCCTGGGCTGGAATGTAGTGGTGCAATCTCGGCTCCCGGGTTCAAGCAGTTCTCCCTGCCTCAGCCTTCCGAGTAGCTGGGATTACAGGCACCTGCCACCATGCCCAGCTATTTTTTGTATTTTTAGTAGAGACAGGGTTTCGCCATATTGGCAAGGCTGGTCTCAAACTCCTGACCTCCGGTGATCCACCCTCCTCAGCCTCCCAAAGTGCTGGGATTACAGGCGTGAGCCACCATGCCTGGCCTAGACTGAAACTTAATGAAACTTTGAAGCAAAAGAATAAACGTAACACAGGTTATTACCCTTTACAAATCTTCAGTGTCCCTTTGCATCTTTTTATTGCTATGCTAAATATGTCATTATCTTCTCCATGCATGGTTTTGCTTTTTAAAATTTTACATATGTATTACTTTTGTAGATTCTATTTCCTTGTTATTATTTACACACTTTTGATATTAATATAATCCTAAAACATTGTAGGGAGTACTTTTTTTTGAAAAGGGACTGGTCTTAAGCTCCTGAGCTCAAATGATTGCCCTGCCTCAGTCTCCCAAGTAGCTGGGATTTCCAAAAACTTTTTTTTTTTTGAGACAGGGTCTTGCTCTGTCAACCCCAGAGTTGACCCTAGGTGCACTCTCTTTTTCTCATTTCACCTCTAATCCAACAGGAATCCTGTTAGCCCCACCTTCAGTATTTACCAGGTGTATTAGTTTGCTAGAGCTATGCTGTGGTTTGGATATGGTTTGTTTGGCTTCACCAAGTCTCGTGTTGAAATTTGACCTCTGTGGCCAGGCACGGTGGCTCATGCCTGTAATCCCAGCACTTTGGGAGGAGGCTGAGGCCAGTGGATCTCTTGAGCTCAGAAGGTTGAGGCCAGCCTGGCCCACATGGTGAAACCCCGTTCCTACTAAAAATATAAAAATTAGCCAGATGTGGTGGCGCACACCTGTAGTCCCAGCTACTTGGATGGCTGAGGCAGGAGGATCACTTGAACCCAGGAGGTTGAGGCTGCAGTGAGCAGAGGTGGTGCCACTGCACTCCAGCCTGGGAGACAAAGTGAGACCCTGTCTCAAAAAAAAAAAAAAAAAAAAAAAAAAAAAAGACAAGAAATTTGATTCCCAATGTTGGAGGTGGGACCTGCTGGAAAGTGTTTGGGTCGTAGGGACAGATCTCTTCTTATAAGAACACCAGTCATATTGAATTAGAGCACGCCACCCTAATAAGCACATTTTAACTTGGTTACTTCTGCAAAGACCCTATTTCCAAATAAGGCCACATTCGTAGGTACCAGGGTTTAGGACTCCAACATGTCTTTTTAGGGGACATAATTCAACCCATAACTTCCAGAACACCACTCCCCCTCATCCCCTGCAACATCCTGGTTTAAGCCTCCACCCTTCCTCCCTGGGATTACTGGAGTCACTTTCTTACTGGTTTTCTACTCTCAGATTTGCCCTGTCAGTCTATTCTTGACTCATGGGTCCAGAACCCTGCAGTGACTCCCAACTCATTCAGACTAAAAGCTGAGGTCCTTGCATGGCCCATGGGTCCCTCCTGACTGCCCCCTTCTCATCTCCCACCTCTCTCCCTCCTCCAGCCACCCTGGCCTCTTTGCTGATCCTCCAGCCCACCAGGCAGAGTCCCACCTCCTGGCCTTCGCACTTGCTGTTTGTTTTGCCCAAGATACCCTCTCCCAGATATCCTCACGGCTCGTATTTTAGTCAACACTCTTCCTAACCACCCACCTTCTCAGAGAGGCCTCTCCTGACCACCTCTATTACATCCCACCTGCTACCCACTCCCCCACTGACCCTACTCCTATTCATTGTTTTGCTTTTCTCCAGAATTTTCTTTATCTCCTAATAGACTATGCTATTTACTTATTTTACTTCTTATCTGCTCCCCACTCCCAGCATCATTATCCAAATATACGCTCCTTGGGGGCTGGAATTTTGGATTATTTTCTTACTTGTTCTATCCCTAGCACCTAAAACAGGACCTGGCCCGTAGTAGGTACTCAGGAACTAATGAATACATTTTTGTTCATTACACATATTTGTGTAATGAACACATATTTGTGGAACTAATGAAACAAATGAAATATTTGTGGAACACAGGAACACATTTGTGGAACTAATGAAAAATCAGCCAGTGTATTTTCTCATACATTGTTAAATCATTTACCCTTATTCAATGTTCATCTTATTTTCTAGGATTTTTTGTTGTTGTTGTAAACAATGCTATTAATAGTTTATTGTATATAATTTCACCCTTTTCCTGGCTATTTCTTTGGGTTTCACGTCCAGGGTGAACATTGTCAAATTGCCTTCCAAAAGGATCTTTCTCAATTTATAATGCCCCTACCATTAATAACGCTGCTGCCTTTCTACCACTGGGTTTTATCTCATCTTATTTTTGCCAGTTTACTAGGTGTAAGTGCACCTTGTGATGATTTTGATTTGCAATTCTTTAACTTTTAAATACAATTGTTCACATGTTCTTTAGTTTACTTCCTATATCTTCCTATATGAATTGCCTGATATAGACTCCTGATTTTTTTTGAGGGGGGCAGAGACCTTGGGTTCATAACTGTTTATCCTACTCTTTTGGGGGGCAATAATATTAATCCTAATTAATATCTGTTATCATTTTGCCCTCATCCTACCATTCCCTTTTCCTCTGTTTGCATTTCTAATTCTGAATGTGTTTTATTCTCTCCAGCTGTGGACTACTGTGCCTCAGAAAACCACGGATGTGAACATGAGTGTGTAAATGCTGATGGCTCCTACCTTTGCCAGTGCCATGAAGGATTTGCTCTTAACCCAGATAAAAAAACGTGCACAAGTAAGTTACACACACATGCACACACAGAGAAATATTTGCTGTTACTGCTGTGGTGACTGTGACCATGGAACTCTCTCAAGTATAGATTAGCAATATAATTATGTCATGGGGGTCTAATACCTTTTGCCCCATTCCTCCTCTGTCAGGACTTTCATGACTTGGCTTAAGACCATAGACCACTGTATCTCAACATCACTATTCAAGGAATATGATGAAGGCACCATGTGTAGGACTGTTCCTTCAGCATCTGCTGAGCATGCTGACAATCCGAGCAACTTACTTCCTGCTAACTCAGCCTGACTGTGCCCATCAGCACTAACAGGGCTTGAGATGTTTTCATTGAAGCTTTGTGGCTTGTGGGCTTTAGCTCTGACTCCACGCAAGAAAATCGCTGAGCCAAAAAGAATCATAAGTGATTTCTTCTGGTGGACCGCAGTTTGCAAAGAACTGCTCATGTTTTGTTTGAGCTATTTAGTTCAATTGGATTTTAACTGTATACATAAAAATCAGAATTAATTTCAGCTCCCAAAATTTGAACATAAAATTCGATAAACTAAAGATGATCATTAGTTTTGCAAAAAAGATAATAACTAGTTACAAAAAGATTCCAAAAGTGTTCTATTAAATATAAAGGTACATCAGGAGACTTAAGGGATTGTGTATGGATTATTATCCTTCTATAGGGAGGATCACTTGAGAAAAGCTTGCTTGTTAAGTATTAGGGCCAAGCATTTATAAAAAGTGGACTTTAATAACAATCTAGAATAGGGTAAGGCACCTCAGAGACATGCATCAGTGAGAAAACAGGATTTTAATTCATAAAAAGTTCATGTACCTACAACCTTTCTAAAATGTATTCACTATGTAAAACAGGATACATCTGCACAAAACCTTTTTCAACATAAACTTACTTCCTACTCTTCAATACCTAAATATCAGCAGCTTACAAACACCAGAGCTGGAGGTTTGGGTGATGTATGGAACTATAAGGGACACATTAGGTCAAAAGCATACATTTCTGGAGCCCCAACCATGTGCCAATAGAAATGAGTACGGCAAGGTCCTTAAGGGAGAAGATAACTGTGGCTGAGTCTTGGAGGTGGAGCTGTCATTCACTAGGCAGAAAAGGGTGAGGTGGGGGTTCCAGGAGAAGGAAAGAAGTTGAAGATGTGAACCAAGCAGAGAACTGTAGTCTCCATGCCCCGTGCATGACTGGCATATACAGTGGTTTATTTGTTTTGTTTATTGAAAGAGTAAGTAAATGAATGAGTGGGCTGCTGTGTTTGTGGTCTCCCTTCCCTTCTGAATATTCTGAACTGTAAAATAGCAGCCTGTGCTGTCGTCGTGGTTGGGGAGTTGTGGTTGTTGGGCTGATGAGTCAGTGTTCCTCATCAAAGAGGAGGCCGTGGGCTGCCAGCAGCGGGCCTTGGTTCTAATCCCAGCTTCTCTGCTTTTTCTCTTGGTGATCTTGGGCAAGTTACTTATGCCTCAGTTTCCTCAGTTACAGTACAGGATGATAATGCTGCCTACTGCATAGCATTATTCTTTCCTTTTTTTTTTTTTTTTTTTTTTTTGACACTGGGTCTTACTCTGTCACCCAGGCTGGAGAGCAGTGATGTGATCTCGGCTCACTGCAACCTCCACCTCCTGGGTTCAAGCGATTCCCCCACCTCAGCCTCCCAAGTGGCTGAGACTACAGGCTCGCACCAACACACCCAGCTAATTTTTTTGGTATTTTTTGATAGCAGTGGTGTTTCACCATATTAGCCAGGCTGGTGTCGAATCCCTGACCTCAAGTGATCCACCCACCTCAGCCTCCCAAAGTGCTGGGAATACAGGCATGAGCCACAGCACCCGGCCATAGCATAATCTTGAATACTAAATGAGGCTGGGCACAGTGGCTCACGCCTGTAATCCCAGCACTTTGGGAAGAGAAGCAGGAGGATTACTTGAGCCCAGGAGTTTGAGACCAGCCCTGGTAATATGGAGGGACCCTATTTCTACAAAAACTGTTTTTTTTTTAATTAGCCAGGTATGGTGACAAGTGTCTGTACTCCCAGCTACTTGGGAGGCTCAGGTGGGAAGATCACTAGTTGGGCCTGGGAGGTTGGGGCTGTAGTGAGCCATGATGGCACCACTGCACTCCAGCCTGGAGGACACAGTAAGACCTTGTCTTAAAAAAAAAAAAAGGCTAAAAAGGGATGATGTGGGTTTCAAAGACTTTATTTATTATCATTATGTTTTTTTAGAAATAGGATCTTACTCTGTCACCCATGCTGGAATGCAGTGGTGCAATCCTAGCTCATTGCAGCTTCCAACTCCTGGGCTCAAGCAATCCTCCCACCTCAGCCTCCCAAAGTGCTGGAATTATGGTCATCATGAGCCACCACACCTGGCCTCCAAAACTCTAAAAAAATGAGTATTTAACTGTGCATATACCACGTGCCTGGGCTACATTTAAAGGTGCAAAAAACATTCAAGATTTCCACTGCAAGCTGGTGAGGGACCTTAGCCATAGCCACACTGAGTAGCTGAGTCATGGTGCCAGGAGTTATGTGACCAAGGGCCTACAGTGTGATGCAGCCAGGACCACAGCAGGAGTTAGAGGAAGGAGACCAGTTAGACCAGAACAGGTGAGATGCTGCCTTGCAGGGATGAGGACTGGAGAAAAACACATATCCTAGCCAGTCTCCTACCTGCCTCTCCAGACTGCACACACTGGCTGGGGTCACCTGATTTCCACCCCAGCACCAGCCCTAGTTCCCAGAGTGGCACCATCTTCCCCACCCTGTGGCTCAGCATGCCTCCTGTCCCAGATCCCCAGCCCAGGGTGGTGCAGGCAAGGAGGGTGTTGGAGCCCTGGAATCAGACCCTGGAAGTAGATACCGCAGCATAGTGGGACTGGGAGAGGAGGTTTGGCTAGGAGCCACGGGAGGGGCTGATCCAGCTGTGAGGTCTCACCAGCTAGGCAGCGAGCCCAGCAGTGCAGTTGTCAGAATCAAGATCCAGAAGTGGGCCGCCCCAATGCGTGTGCAGGGAAGAGTGCTGGGAGACTGGAGGGTTCGTGCAGGCAGCCTCAGGGCAGTACATCCCTTAGAAGAGCCCTCTTCCCACCATGCTTGGGGTGGGCAGGAGCCAGACCCAGGAGGAGGGAGACAAGAGGAAGAAAGGAGACAGAGTACTTGGAAAGCTAAGAGTAGAAAATAAGGCAAAAGCCCAGTCGTAAGAATGAAACACTCAGGAGTGCTCCAGATCTGTGGCAGGGACAAGAACTGAGAAATAGAGACTAGTTAAAATTACAGAAACAGGATAGAGGCAGAAGCTCAGAACCGAAGCAGCCACCCTGTTTTAGTGAGTACCAAGGCCTCCCACCAGCTTCCAGCCAAGTCGGCCTGGTTACTGCTGTGATGTTGAAAGATTTTTTTTTAAAATTCTACTTCTTATACACTTGCAAAAAATGAAAGAAACTCAGTTTCTCAAATTTCAGCCTATATTTTTAACCAAAAGTATATTTGAAAGCGAATACAATTAGTAAGTGTGCAACTATTATCTCAAAAAGGTAGACTAGTCAATGTAATAAACCAAGCATGGTTAATTTATGATTAAGCAAAAATGTACATAATAGGGCTTTATGTTCATGAACCAGTACTATAATTTGAAATATGTAAGTGGTGTTCAAAAAAGCACCACCTTTATATCAATTTCTTACCCTAGAGCAGCCCATCCAAATCTAGACGGGAGAAAGGTGGAAACACACAGGTACCATCAGTTTGCAAAAAGTTAGCAAGACTTTTCTTTTTCTGGTATTGTTATAAAACATACATAATAGAAAATTTACCACTGTACTCATTCAGTGGCATTAAATACACTCACATTGTGAAAAACGCATATCCTAGCCTGTCTCCTTCCTGCCTCTCCAGACCACACCCCCTGGCTGGGGTCACCTGATTTCCACCCAGCTGTAACTATCCTCACCATCCATCTCCAGAACTTTTCATCACCCCAAACTGAAACGCTGTACCCATTGAACAATAACTCCCCATTGCCTGCCCTGTCAACCACCATTCTACTTTCTGTCTGTGAATTTCACCACTCTCGGCACTTCATGTAAGTGGGATTATATGGTATTTGTCCTTTGCCGTCTAACATATTTCACTTAGCATAATGTCCTCAAGGTTTATCTGTGTTGTAGTATATATCAGAATTTCCTTCCTTTTTAAGACTGCATAATATTCAATTATATGTATATATCCCATTTTGTTTATCCATCTGTTGATGGACGTTTGGGCTCCTTCCACCTTTTGCCTATTGTGAATAAAGCTACTATAAAGATGAGTGTTCAAGTCCTTGCTTTCAGTTCTTCTGGGTTTTTATACCCAGAAGTGGAATTGCTGGTCCTATGGTAGCAAGACTTTTTGAGATCTAGATTGAAACCCTTATTCTTGAGCCAAGCATGAGAAAGAACACTCTCAGATATCCAGGGTCTTTTCACCAGAAAGATCTATAGAGGACTTCAGTCTGCTGGACAGGGATTCATGTCTTTGGTAGCAAGGAGACTGTGGGCTTTGAGTCTAATGCTTAATCATCTAATGCCTGTAAGGATGAATAAAGGCAATTGCGGACACCATCTTTTGCATGTTGCCATTTATTATTTTCGTGCTTGGAGGTCATTATACTCATTGTTTTTCAGTCTCCAGTAATAACTTGGTTGACATTTCCATCCTTATTTTTCAAATAAGAATGCTTTGCACAGAGTAAGGCACTGAATGAATATTTTTGTGTTTGCACTAGAAACAAAACACAGAAGGAAGTAAACTTTTTAAAGTAGAGATGGGGTCTGCTATGTTGCTCAGGTTGGACTAGACCTCCTGACCTCAAGTGATTCTCCCAGCTTGGCCTCCCAAAGTGCTGAGATTACAGGATGAGCCACCATTCCGGAAATAATTTTATACTGAATCAGCAATAGAAGAACTACAAAGTATCGGTTGTCAGGTTTCTTGGCCAGAGCATAGTTAACATACTGAGTGCCACTACCTTCCTACAGCCTGTAATATGCCACTTTTGTGACTCCCTATGTGGATAAATCAAACACTTTCAGCTGGAAGAGGCTTTAAAGTTCAACCTAGTTCTTGCCCAACTATCCATCCTACAATATTCTCACTGTGCCATCATCCAACCTGCATTTGAATACCCCCACTGACAGGATATTCACTATACCCCATGGTAGTTCATTCCACTTTGTATAGCTCTGACTCTTAGAAAGTGATTCCCTAGACTGAGCTGATATCTATTTCCTTGCTCTTAGAAATGAACAAAACAAATTTGGCTACTTGCGTTCTTTGTGGCCACTAAGAGTGAGTCATATCAGAGTAACTTTATTTCACTTAGTAGACTAGCCAGGCATGGAAAATGTAGTAGTGACCATCTAAATTTTAATAGGCATTTGACCAATTTGTGTGTGGAGGAATTTGTGCTCAATGAATGATTGGTTGGTTTGTAACTGGCCGAATGTCTGTAACCACAGGATGCTAATTGTTGAACTGAGATCCTCCTAGAAGGAGGTTTTTAAACAGCTTGCTGGGAAGAAGCCTTATGGAGGGATGAGAGCTATCTTCCATTCATAGGGTCCCCCGTGTTTCTTCATGGTGTGCAATGTGTATGTATCTAAACTCTCAAAAACACACTCCAGTAAGAGTAATACCAATAACCTTTTATTCATTCCACAAATATTTGTTGAGTATCTACTATGTGTCAGATATGATTGTAGACACTGGGCATGCAGTAATAAATTAAACAGACCAAAAAGAAACCCCACCAATATCTGTCCTTATGGAGCCTACATTCTATTGGAGCAGGATAAGAGAATACTACAGGTCTCAACAGCAAAGTAATACTAGTCTTTGATTAAAGATTTGAAGGCAGTGAGAGAAGGAGGAAACCTTTGAGGCAGAGGTAGAAATGAAATTCTATGAAATAAAATGATCTGTGATACTATCACACAGCACCAGTACAAAATGGATATGTTTTAGTCCATTTGTGTTGCTATAAAGGAACACCTGAGACTGGGTAATTTATAAAGAAAATAAGGTTTATTTGGCTCATGATTCTGCTGGCGGGAAGACTGGGCATCTAGTGAAAGCCTAAGGCTGCTTCCACTCACAGCGGGAGGTGATGTGGAGCCGACCTGTGCAGAGATCACATGGTGAGAGAGGAAGCAAGAGAGAAAGGATGAGGCGGTGCTCTTTTTAACAACCAGCTCTCATGAGAACTAACAGAGCAAACGTACTCATTACTGTGAGGACAGCACCAAGCTATTCATTAGGGATTCCCCACCATGACCCAAAAACCTCCCATTAAGCCCCGCCTCCAACACTGTGGATTAAATTTTAACATGAAGTTTATGGGATCAAACATCCAAACTGTAGCAGATATGCACACCTGAAGCTATATATATTTATTGTTTTTAGCAATGTTCCCTGATTATGTTCTTCTCCAAATCACAGGACACTTCCCACATTGTTCTTTTTTGTATATTATTTGGGCCGTTTTCCATGGCAACTAGTTTCACAAAGTACAAATGTACAAATGTGTACATTTATTTTTAGTACTTTTTCTGATTACAAAAGTAATACAGGTTCATTGAGGGAAACTGGTTCCTATAGAAGTGAAATTCTATGAAATAAAATGATCTGTGATACTACCGCCCAGAAAAAACCACTGTTTTTGTGTTTGTTTTGCTTTTTGAGATGGGTTTCTCACCATGTTGCCCAGGCTGGTCTTGATCTCCTGAGCTCAAGCAGTCCTTCTGCCTTGGTCTCCCAAGTTTTGAGATTATAGGCGCACACTACTGCACCTAGCTGATAACCATTGTTTATGCCAATTTGGAACATTTCTCTCCAGTCTTTTTTTAATGTATGTGTATGGATTTATTTTTATAGAGTTGAGATCATGCAGTATAATAATAAATCATAAGCATTTTGACATGTCACTTAAACGTTATCAAAAACATTTTAATGTCTGTGTAAAATTCTATTATATGTATATGTCAGAATGTGTTCAGGTTTTTTTGGCTGCTCAAATAATATTGTGATAAACATTCTTATGCTTGAATCTTTTTTTCTGATCATTTTCTTAGGAACACAACAAAAAAGGAAATTTATTGAGTCAAAGGCAATTAACATTTTAAGTCTTTTGATACATATTCAAAATTATTTTCTAAAAACGTTTTACCGATTTATACTCTACCATCAGTGTTTAAGGGGGCAATTTTTATTTTTAAATTAAATTAAATTATTTATGATTTCAATAGGTTTTTGGGGAGCAGGTGGTGTTTGGTTATATGGACAAGTTCTTTAGTGGTGATTCTGAGATTTTTGGTGCAACCATCACCTGAGCAGGATACATAGTACCCAATGTGTAGTCTTTTATCCCTCACCATCCTCCCACCCCAAGTCCATTGTATCATTCTTATGCCTTTGCATCCTCATAGCTTAGCTCCCATTTAAAAGTGAGAAGTGGGATATTTGGTTTTCCATTCCTGAGTTACTTCACTTAGAATAATGGTCTCCATCTCCATCTAGGTTGCTGCAAATGCCATTCTTTTGTTCCTTTTTATGGCTGAGTAGTATTCCATGGTGTATATAGACACTGTATTTTCTTTATCCACTTGTTGATTGATAGGCATTGGGACTGGTTCCATATTTTTGCAATTGCAAATTGTATTGCTATAAACATGCGTGTGCAAGTATCTTTTTCATATAATGACTTAATTTCCTCTGGGTAGATACTCAGTAGTGGGATTGCTGGATCAAATAGTAGATCTACTTTTAGTTATTTTTTTTTGAGACGGAGTCTCGCTCTGTGGCCCAGGCTGGAGTGCAGTGGCGCGATCTCGGCTCACTGCAAGCTCCACCTCCAGGGTTCACGCCATTCTCCTGCCTCAGCCTCCCGAGTGGCTGGGACTACAGGTGCCCGCCACCACGCCCAGCTAATTTTTTTTTTTTTTTGTATTTTTAGTAGAGACAGGGTTTCATCGTGTTAGCCAGGGTGGTCTCGAACTCCTGAACTTGTGATCCGCCTGCCTTGGCCTCTCAAAGTGCTGGGATTACAGGCGTGAGCCACCACACCTGGCCTACTTTTAGTTCTTTAAGGAATCTCTACATTGCTTTCCATAGTTGTTGTACTAGTTTACATTCCCACCAGCAGTGTAAACGGAATTTGTCCATTTCATCTTAACACATGGACACGTGATAGGGAGCAACACACACCGGGGCCTGTAGCAAGGAGTGGGGAGAGGGAAAGCATCCAGAAGAACAGCTAATGGATGCTGGGCTTAATACCTGGGTGATGCGCTGATCTGTGCAGCAAACCAACATGGCACACATTTACCTAACAAACCTGCACATCCTGCACATACACCCTAGAACTTAAAATAAAAGTTGAAGGAAAAAAAAGTGTTTCTTAAGGGAGCAATTTTTAAAAATGTTGCTGATTTTCTAGGAGAAAATTTCTTCTTCTTGCTTTTTTATCATGTCTTTAATACCTGTTCTTCATAAAATTATCCAATTATATATATCTAATTTATAAATGTATGTTTATTGGTGTTATTATTTGATTAATGAATATTTTCCAGTATAAGTGATTGTAAGGGACTCTTACAAATTTCATGAAGCAAGGGACTGTGCCTCTTTGTTCAACACTGATCCTAGTGCCTGTCCCATGGTAAATGCTCAGAGAATATTTACTGAATGAATGAATGAACAGGGAAGTTAACATGTCTTCATATATTAGACATTCAAGAGAGAGGGAATAATAAAGATCTGAGCTAAAATAAAAGGAATAGAAGACATAAATCAATAGAGATAATTGGTAAAAACCAAAATGTGTTTTTTTTAGAAGATTAATAAAATTGATAAATGTCTAACCAGACTAGTCAAGGAAGAAAAAAGAGAGAAGACACAAATTACTAATATCAGGAATGAGAAAGTGGACATCAATACATATCCTACAAACTTTGAAGCATAATACAGGCCAAGCATGGTGGATCATGCCTGTAATCTGAACACTGTGGGAGGCCAAAGCAGGAGGATCACTTGAGGCAAGGAGTTAAAGACCAGCCTGGGCAACATAGAGCCCATCTCCACCAAAAAAAAAAAAAAAAAAAATATATATATATATATATACACACACACACATATGTATACACACATACATATATATATATATATACAGAAAAATCATAAACAAGTTTATGCCAATAACTATGACAACTTAGATGAAATGGACAAATTCCTTGAAAGACACAAACTACTAAAGTTTACCCAAGAATAAATAGAGGCTGGGCATGGTGGCTCATACCTGTAATCCCAGAACTTTGGGAGGCTTAGGTGGGAGGATTGCTTGAGTCCAGGAGTTCTAGATCAGCCTGAGTAACATAGCAAGACCCCATCTCTACAAAAAATAAATAAATTAACTGGGCATGGTGGCAAGTGCCTGTAGTCCCAGCTACTCGAAAGGCTGAGGCAGGAGGGTTGCTTGAGCCCAGGAGGTTGAGGCTTCAGTAAGCCACGATCACACCACTGCACTCCAGCCTGGGCAACAGAGTGAGACTCTCTCCCCAGACCGACCAAAAACAAAAGAATATAGTCTGAATAGATCTCTATCTATTAAAAGAAATGGAATTTGCACTTTAAAACCTTCCCACAGAGAAGACTTCAAACCTAGTTGGCTTAACTGGTGAATTCTACCAAAAATTTGAAGAAAAACTCATACTAATTCTACACAAATTATTCCAAAAAATTGAAGAAGAAAGAACAATTTTCAACTCATCCTATGAGGCTATCAGTACCCTGATACCCAAACCAGAAAAGAAAGACATAAAAAAAGAAAACTATACACAAATATTTCTCATGAAATACCTGCAAAAGTTATTTAAACAGTTTCTAGCAATCAAATTTAACAATATATTAAAAAGTACAATACATCACAACCAAGTGGGATTTATTCCAGGAATTCAAAGTTGGCTTAACATTCAAAACTCAATCAATGTAATTCATAATATTAACATATTAAAAAGTCAAAACCATATGAGCCATCTCAATAGATGCAGAAAAGGCATTGGATAAGATCTGACATTCATTTTTTCTTTAAATAAACTTTCAGCAAATTAGGAATGAAGGTGGCCAGGCGTGGTGGCTCACGCCTGTAATCCCAGTACTTTGGGAGGCCGAGGCGGGCGGATCATGAGGTCAGGAGATTGAGACCATCCTGGCTAACACGGTGAAACCCCGTCTCTCCTAAAAATAGAAGAAATTAGCTGGGCATGGTGGCAGGCACCTGTAGTCCCAGCTACTCGGGAGGCTGAGGCAGGAGAATGGCGTGAACCTGGGAGGCAGAGCTTGCAGTGAGCCGAGATCGTGCCACTGCACTCCAGCCTGGGCAACAGAGCAAGACTCCATCTCAAAAAAAAAAAAAAACGGAATGAAGGTAACTGCCTCAATCTGATAAAGTGCATCAGTGAAAAAACTATCAGCTAACATCATACTTAATAGTGAAAGACAATGCTTTCTTTATCAGATCAGGAATAAAACAGAATGTCCACTCACACCACTGCTATTTAATATTGTACTGGAAGTTCTAGCCAGTGCAATAAGACAGAGAAAGATCAATAAATGGTACCTAGATTGTTAAAAAAAAACACCATCTTTATTAACAGATAACCTGATCACCTGTGTAGAAAATCCAATGGAATCTATTAAAAAGCTACTAGAACTATTAATAGCAAGTGAATTTATCAAGGTTGCAGGACACAAGATCAATATACAAAAATAAGTTAGTTTTATGTACTTACAATGGACCATCAAAATATGAAATTTAAAAAAATACCTTTTCAGGCTGGGCACGGTGGCTCATGCTTGTAATCCCAGCACAATGGGAGACCAAAGCAGGTGGATCACTTGAGGTCAGGAGTTTGAGACAAGCCTGGCCAACATGGTGAAAGCTTGTCTCTACTAAAAATATGAACATTAGCCAGGCATGGTGGCAGGTGCCTGTAATCCTAGCTACTTGGGAAGCTGAGGCAGGGGAATTGCTTGAACCCAGGAGGCAGAGGTTTCAGTGAGCTGAGATTGCACCACTGCATTCCAGCCTGGGTGACAGAGCAAGACTCTGTCAAAAAAAAAAAAAAAAAAAAAAAGACAAGCCACTCAATAAAAATGGGAAAAATATTTGAATAGAAACTTCACCAAAGAATATATAGAGATGGCGAAGAAGCATATGAAAATATATTCAACAACATTAGTCATTAGGTAAATACAAAGTGAAGTCATATTGAGATAATCATACCCACTAGAATGACTAAAATTACCAAGTGATGATGGGGATACGGAGCAACTGGAACTCTCATAAATTGCTGGTGGGAATGTTTAAGCAGTTAAGCATACATGTCCCATATGACTCATTCATTATGCAAAAGGAATGAAAGCATATGTCCACACAAAAACTTGTGCATTAGTGTTCATAGCTGCTTTATTTGTGATAGCCCCAAACTGGGAACAGGTAACCAGCCCTTCAGCAAGTGAATGGATAAACAAATTGTGGTATAATCACATAGTGAAATACTACTCTGCAATAAAAAGGAACAAACTATTGACACACATATGAATCTGGATGAATCTCAAAATAATTATGCTGAATGAAAGAAACCAGACAAAAAAGAATACATACTATATGATTACATTTATTTAAAGTTCCTTGGGGAGATAAAAAAAGAAGATAAAAAATAAAATTCTAGAAAATGCAAACTGATTTATCTGGATAGAAGGTAAATGGTTATTTGGGACTGGAGAGAGTGGGGAAGAATGAATTAGCAAGAGACAGGAGGAAAGTTTTGAGAGTAATGCATATGCTTATTATTTTGATTGTGGCGATGGTTTCATGGCAGGATACATATGCAAAATGCATCAGATTGTTTTTCTTGAGTATGTGCAGTTTGGTTTTTGTCAATTATACCTCAAAAAAACTAAAAACAAGTAGAAGAGACTGTATTATTCCAAAATTTCTATGTCATAAAACACAAAGAGAGGCTGTGGAAATGTTCTGGCCCATCACTATCCTATGGGACACTCTGGTTGATGGAAATTCTCTGTTTGCATCATACAATACAGTAGTCAGGAGCCACACGTGGCCACTGAGCACTTGAGATACAGCCAGTGCAACCCAGTAACTGAATTTTTGTTTCGTTTTGTTTTGTTTGTTAGAGACAGGCTCTTGCTTTGTTGCCCAGGCTGGACTGCAGTGGTACAGTCATAGCTCATAGCTCACTGCAATCACCAACTCCTGGGCTCATGAGATCTCCTGGCCTCAGCCTCCCTAGTAGCTGGGACTACAGGCAGGTGCCACCATGCTCAGCTAACTTAAAAAAATTATTTTTCTGCTGGGCACAGTGGCTCACGCCTGTAATCCTAGCACTTTGAGAGGCCGAGGCGAGTGGATTGCCTGAGTTCAGGAGTTCGAGAACAGCCTGGGCAACACGGTGAAACCCCGTCTCTACTAAATTACAAAAAATTAGCTGGGTGTGGTGGTGTGTGCCTATAGTTCCAGCTACTCGGGAGGCTGAGGCAGGAGAATTGCTTGAACCCGGGAGGCGGAGATTGCAGTGAGCTGAGATCGTGCCACTGCACTCCACCCTGGGCAGCAGAGCGAGACTCTATCTCAAAAAAAAAAAAAAATTCTTTTTTCAGAAATGGGGTCTTGCTATGTTGCTCAGGCTGGTCTCAAATTTCTGGGTTCAAGCAATCCTCCAGCCTCAGCTTCACAAAGCATTGGGATTACAAGCATGAGCCACCACCCCTGGCTGAATTTTAATTGTTATTTCATTTTAATCAATTTTAATTTAAATAGACATATTAGGCAGCATGGTTCTAGATTAAGGGAGACTAAGCAGATATGAAAACGAGATACAATCTCTGACCCTAGACTAGATCCTGTACTGGAAGGTGAAAAATGCTATGAAGAACATAATTAAGTCAACTGACAAAATTAGAATATGGATGGTAGATTAAATATAAGTATTGTATCAATGTAAACTTATGAAATTTATAACCATACTGCAGTTATGTAAGAGAATATCCCTCCTCTTAGGAAACACGGACTGTTTTTAAGGGAAAGGACCAGAATGTATGTAATGTACCCTCACATAGGTCAGAGAGATGACCAAGTAATCACAGGAATGGGGTAAAATGTTAACAAAGGTGAATCTGGGTAAAGAGTATTTAAGTGTTTCTTGTTTTATTTTTATGTTTGTAACTTTTTGTAAGCTTGAAATTGTTTTCAAAGAAAAAGATTTTTTAAATGCCTTTATATATGACTATGGTATTACAATTATATTGTTTATAAAGACTCCCAGTGTTTTAAAGCTACATTATGAAGCATTTATGGACAAAATAATACAATGTCTGGGCCAGGTGTGGTGGCTCACTCCTGTAATCCCAGCACTTTGGAAGGCTGAGGCAGGTGGATCACGAGATCAGGAGTTCAAGACCAGCCTGGCCAAGATGGTGAAACCCCATCTCCACTAAAAATACAAAAATTAGCTGGGCACAGTGGCAGGCGCCTGTAATCCCAACTACTTGGGAGGCTGAGGCAGGAGGATTGCCTGAACCTGGGCGGCAGAGGTTGCAGTGAGCCAAGATTGCGCCACTGCACTCCAGCCTGGGTGTTAGAGTGAGACTCCATCTCAAAAAAAAAAAAAAAAAAAAAAAAATTACTCAGGCATGGTGGCATGCACTGGTAATTCCAGCTACTCAGGAGGCTGAAGCAGGAGAATTGCTTGAACCTGGGAGGTGGAGGTTGCAGTGAGCCTAGATTGCGACATTGCGCTTCAGCCTGGGCGATGGAGCGAGACTCTGTCTCAAAACAAACAATAATAATAATAATAATAATAATAATAATAACAACAATACAATGTCTGGGGTTTGCTTCAAAGTAATGTGGGATCTTACTATAGAGAGTGGGGACATAGCTGAAAGCCAAGCAGCCATAGATTGATTCTCCTGAAGCTGGGTGATATGTACATGGATTTATTATACTACTCAGTCCATTTTTGAAATTGGACATTATTGTATATTTTGCTTAACATTTCCATAAGTTTAAATTGGGAAAAATTGGCATCTCACTCAACATTTTTTCCTTTCAAGAATATTGTATATCTTTCCCTTACTCAGTTTGTTTCCTCTGGTATGGACTGGGAACTCTCATTTATACCAAATTATTTGTTAGGAAGATTATTTATGCAGTTCAAATGTTCCTTAAAATAATAAAAACCCTCATCAAAACAAAGACTCCTTTTAAGATTCCATCAGTGGTCATTTATTTCAAGCAATTTTAAACAATGTGTCCAAGTTCCACTATGGGAAAATATTTTGCTCAGATTCTGCAATAAAAGTTTCTTTCCATATTTAAAAATACTTATACAAAAAATACAAAAAAAAGAAAAAGAACAAAAACAAAAAAATAAAAATACACAAGTAAAATTTCATTATGAAAAATTTCATGAAATACTTTTAAAAAAATATTTTGGTTTAAATTAATGTATCCCTAGAGATCACATTCTCTGTGAATCTTGAGGTAAAAATCCTATTTATGTGCAGCTGAGCCCAATGAGGTAACCAGGAGGTGTTTTGAACTCAGAGTATTTATGCCTTTCACTCCTAGGCCTTATTTTTCCCAGGATATGATTTTGTGTCTTATTGTTTGGCTCATTGTTTGATGGGTTTAAGTGGTTTGGAGTTTGGCTTTGGGAACGTTTAATTGTTTTAATTGCTTAAATTCGATAAAACACTCAGCTAAACCATTCTCAGCCTGCAGTCTGGCAAATACCCCATCTTCATTTTAGTGGCTCTTACATGAATCAAGACAAGGAAAGCATGTTCACAAATTTGTTTGTTGCATAAACGTTTTGTAATATGTCAGGAAGTTTGTCTTTGCCTAGCAGAAGAGTCCAGGTATAATAATAATAATAATAGAAGAAGAAGAAGGAAAGGAAGAGAGAAAGAAAGAAAGAAAGAAAAAGAAAGAAAGAAAGAAGAAAGGAAGAAAGGAAAGGAAGGAAGGAAGGAAGGGAGAGAGAGGAAGGAAGGAAAGAAAGAAAGAAAAGAAAAGAGGGAAAGAAGAGGAGGAGGGAGGGGGGAAGAGGGAAGAGGGGGAAGGGAAAGAGGAAGGAGAAGGGGGAGGAAGGGAAAGAGGGAGGAGGAGGGAAGAAGGAGAAGAAGGAAAGAAGGAGAAGAAGTTTCTCTTAGGAGAGGCCATATCTCTAAACATGGAAGTAGCTTTATTGGGAGACCCCTTCATGGTGTGACTCTTTGAGGTGTGGGATTTTACCTGTTTGGGAAAATGAAGACTGGAAATCCCTGGTTTTCCTATGCTAGCTTTATTGATTGGTTTGCCATTCTTGTGATTTTTCCTTCTTGCCAGAGATAGACTACTGTGCCTCATCTAATCACGGATGTCAGCACGAGTGTGTTAACACAGATGATTCCTATTCCTGCCACTGCCTGAAAGGCTTTACCCTGAATCCAGATAAGAAAACCTGCAGAAGTAAGTTACAGTGGGAGTTGGAGAAGGGCTTGTTCTGCTAAATGCTCCTCTAGTTAGTTTTCCTTTCCGTGCAAATCTTAAGCAAGATGTGCTTGTATTCAGCATTGTGTCTATTAACATTATTCTCCCCTTTATTTTACTTTTTGGCTCACTAGATCCTATTATGTGGATGATTTTTAAATATTGAATAGGTCTGGCCATTAGATTCAATTAGCCAAGTGGACCCAAGCTGAAGCTCCCACCTATGTGAAATGCAGGTGCAGTCTCCCTCCCCCTTATTCCCATAGCATTGGGGTCTTGGAAAAAGAAAAGAATGGGCCCAGAGATGAGAGGTAGAAGGAGTTGGTTTCTTCTACTCCTACAAGATAAGACACTTGACGGATGCTAAGAGGGAGGACATTGCAGCTTTATTCCCTTTGATAGGAAAGAAGAAGAAAAATGAGACTCTAGGACATCCCAGCAATATTCAAGGGGTACAGGGTGTCAGCGGGTTGATATTGTGGATGTACTGAGTGCCTCAAATGCCTGTCATCTAGCACATCAAAGGGCATGATTGGGGATCTGAGCACAGGCCCCAGAGGGCACCTGCTTAAGACAAACCATTCCTGAGAGACTGCTAGAATGGACGGCCCACAAGGACAGAGACGATTATCTTTTTCTCGCTGCTGAATTCTCAAAAGCTCAAAGAGTGCTTGGCACTCATAGATGTGCACAATGTTTGCTGAATGGGAATGAGTAAGTGAATCTTTCTATGATGTATCATCCTGGAGAAATTGAAGCTATTTTTTTTTTAATTCTTCAATCTTGTTAGAAAGATAGCCTTTTTTAGGCGTGCAAGTTGTGAATTTTTTTTCAGAAAGTCTTTCCCTAGTTAGTCCACACTTATGCACACTGAATTGTTTGGGGTCTGCTGACAATGTCATTCGTAGAACTCTCTGGAGCTTCCATTGAGGGATGTAATTTTCTGTATGTTCCTTCACCCATTTCTTCCTGATGGTGTGTACAGCAGTGTTCTGCCTGGCAAGACTGCGTTTTGAAAGGTTTCACATATATCTTTTTTGAAAAGCACCATGAGCTATTTAACTGAATCCAGATGAGTCACATTCTGCTCATAGCACAGATTAACTTTCATACTCATTCTAGCAAGTGCTAAACTGTGTATAGTGGCAGATGGTTGCAAATCCTGGATTTTGAAACGGAGCCTGTCTTATAAAACTATTCTCACTGCCTTGTGAGGGTACAAACCCTGCACACATTCAAGCATTAAATGAAAATTTTAATGGAGAGCATTCAGAATGTGAAAACAATTAGATAAGCTATTTTTCATAAGACCACACATGCCTGCAATAGGTCAGAGGGCCAACTTTTCTGGTCTGGCCACTCCTCTGTGCTATTTACACCTTTTGCTAGGAGTGGGTGTGTGAGGGACTGGCTGCACCCAGGGGAAATCACTCCCAGGTGGACTCAAATTTGCAGACCCAAAGCTCTTCAGTGGGCGGTGATTAGATCTGGTTCAGCTCAGATGCTCATTGCAAGCTTCCTCATGTGTTACTAATGGAGGGGAAAAAGGAAACAAGTTAGGCTTGGGGCCATGGGCGGAGGACATTTTCTTGACGTTCTGCATGTCTTACCAACCATCTGAGTCCCTTAATTTCTGCTACTCCCTCCACACCCTTCCTGGAGAGGCACTTGGAATAAGAGAAGATCCAATGCAATGCAGGCATCATTATCATGGGAAGGAGAAGACTGAGAAAGGAAGAGCGAGTAGAGAGGGAGTGACCGTTTTGGAGTGGTCTGAGCGCTACAGATTGGTCCCCAGGTGGGCCTGTTTGCAAGCAAGCTGTGGCCCCGACCAGAGTCCCTAATGCTCATCCATGTATATTCAGTGGGTATAGCCCCTCTTTAGCCAGGGTTCTTACTTTTTCATCCAAGAAAAATGAAATTTGTTCCTAAAGGCCAGTGTCCTCATCAGCCCTCGCCCAACGTCCCGCCTCATCGTTACATTTTCCATTGTCTTTGCTGTGAACCCAACCCTGACTCCTGAGGTCAGCCTGCAGGAGCGGCCCCTGACTTCATGCTTGCACTCAGTCCATTAGGGCAGACAGCTGTAAACGGAAGCGAGTGCTCACTGTCTCTCTGGAGCATTATGTGGATGAAGGAAGCCAAGAAATTGGGTTTAAAAATCTGGAGTCCGTTATTAGAAGCCTGAGGTCTCTTGAGTGATCTGAGCATTACAAATCTTCAGCCCAGGATACAGCCATTTACGTTTAATAGGAGGTTGATGGATGTGGGTAATTTTCAAATCTAATATGAAATCTATTTTTAAAGGAATTTGATGTCATCGAAATTAAACTGGGGGAAAAAAGATCAAGGCAGAATCCTACTGAAGAAAAGATTCTTGGCCAGGATTTGTTCTTGCTCCTCATCTGGGCACAATTTCTCCTCATGGAGAGTGCTATCATCAGTTTAAGGCATGAATTATTAAGGCAGTAGTGCAAAGCACAGAAACTGCGACTGCCTTGCCTGCCCAGGTAGAGCCCTAGGGCCAAATCAGATGTGGGTTCATCCCCTGTGCTGGGCTCCAGGATCCCTGATTCTGGTACCATGATGAGTGCTCTCAAAAATTGGTGTGAAGCCCACGGGTTCGACTGAGCCAAGAGACGTGACGTCCAGGCTTGGCAATGTCACTCATATTGGTTATGTGACCCTGAGCAGCTACTTTCTACTTCTCAGGACCTGGATTTCCTAAACTGTAGGAACAGGACTTCCTGCCTTAACACCCTGTTGCCTCTCCAGTTTTTTTGAAACTTACTATCTGTGCACTCAGCTGGTATCAAAATGTACTACCTGGGGTCACTGATCTTTCATGGTTTCAGTCTTACCTGCTCAGGGCTCCAACTCTTTCACAAGTTAGCACTCAGAAAGATCGTTTGATTTGTTTTCTGACAGTCCTGTCATCTGACCTCACAGAGCTTTAGTGGACACTCTGGGCCTTACCAGATTAAGTTGTGTCCATCCTGTGGGTGCCATGTCAGAGCACCTATCATGGTACCAGATATAGGATGCACAGTAGGTCCTCAATAAATATTTAGTGAATGAATAAGTGAGTGAGTGAATATCTGAGAAGCACACACATGAGGAAATATGACAAAAGGGTGGTGAGAAGGCAAAGAGCCACTGTTAAACGTCTGCTAAAAAGAACCATTTGGAGAAGGTTTTTTTTTTTTTTTTTTTCCAGACAGAATCTCATTCTATTGCCCAGGCTGGAGTGCAGTGGAGCAATCTTGGCTCACTACAACCTCTGTCTCCCAGGCTCAGGTGATTGTCTCACTTCGGCCTCCCTAGTAGCTGGGACTACAGGCGTGCACCATCATGCCTGACTAGTTTTTGTATTTTTAGTAGAGACGGGGTTTCACCATGTTGTCCAGGCTGGTCTCAAACTCCTGGACTCAAGTGATTCTCCCTCCTCAGTCTCCCAAAGTGCTGGGATTACAGGCATGAGCCACCACGCCCAGCCGAAAAGGGTGGTATTTGAATAGCTGCCTGCCAGATTGCTGGGTGATAACCTCTTTAAGAATCTAAATGGTTTTCAGTTGAATTATCTCATGTGTAAATCATTCTTTAAAAAAAAAATCTTGCTGGGCGCGGTGGCTCACGCCTGTAATCCCAGCACTTTGGGAGGCCGAGGCGGGCGGATCACAAGGTCAGGAGATCGAGACCATCCTGGCTAACACGGTGAAACCCCGTCTCTACTAAAAAATATTAAAAAATTAGCCGGGCTTGGTGGCGGGCGCCTGTAGTCCCAACTGCTCAGGAGGCTGAGGCAGGAGAATGGCGTGAACCTGGGAGGCGGAGCTTGCAGTGAGCCGAGATCGTGCCACTGCACTCCAGCCTGGGCGACAGTGAGACTCTGTCTCAAAAAAAAAAAAAAAAAAAAAATCTTGCTTGAAACATTATTTACTAATTTATTTTAATTTTTTAAAAATGTTTTTCTTTTTATATTTTTATTGTATGTGCTGCTGAAGCGAGAGCTTCAGCATATTTTTTTATATTTTTAAAATTTTAAAAATTTTTTTTTATATTTTTAAAATTGTTACAACATAGTTGTACCTCTTTTTGGTATTTATTTATTTTTTAAAATTGACATAAAAATTGTATACTTGTATACAATATGTTGTTTTGCAATACGTAAATATAAATTTTTCTTAAAGACAACATTGGCTTTTTTAGTGTGGCAAAATATATATAACATAAAATGTACCATTTTAACCATTTTTAAGTATCTAGTCCAGTGGTATTAAGCACATTCACATTGTTGTGCAACCATCACCACCTTCAATCTCCAGAACTTCTTCACCCCAAACTGAGACTCTATACCCATTAAACAATAATTCCCCAGCTCCTCCTCCTCCATCTCCTGGCAGCCACCAATCTACTTTTTGTCTATGAATTTGACTATTCTAGGTGCCTCATATAAGTGGAATCATAGAATATTTGTCCTTTTGTAACCAGCTTATATTGCTTGGCATAATGTCTTCAAGGTTCGTTCAGTTGTAGGACGTGTCAGAATTTCCTTCCTTTTTAAGGCTGAATAATATTCCATTGTATCTATACATCATCCTTTGTACTCATCCTTTGATAGATCCCTGGGTTGCTTCCACCTTTTGACTTTTATTTATTAATGCAGCTATGAACTTGGGTGTGTATACCCAGAAATGGAATTGCTGGATCATATGGTTAATTCTATATTTAATTTTTTGAGGAACCGCCATGCTGTTTTCCACAGTGGCTGAATGCTGGGTTTTAAAAAGAGAGTTGACTAAAGATCATTTCACCTTTCCCTGATGGTGTAATGGAGTGATTCCTACAGGCAGTAGACTGCGGGCCCTTCCTGTTCTGTGTTTGTCTGTCTGTCTGTGACTGGTGTTTTATTGCCAGGCCTATTTTCCTCCATCAAAGCTCTTGGCTTGTTTCCTGGCACTCAGTTATGGCCTGCACAGGTGAGGCTGCTGATGAGTTTCAGGTAGATGAATAGAAACTGCACACAGCTAACAATATCCTGCCTCTCCTCACATGGGAGTGAGCTCCAGAGAGAGTGCCAAGGGTCAGTGACACAGCAAGGTGATGTCTTTTCTTCTACACCAGCCCTGCATGTTGTGACCTTCTCTCCATGCACTCTGTCTGCAGCCATTCTGCTCATACTCTGGGCATGAAGCAAGCTCCAGCCACCAGTCACCTGGGAGGGCACGTCACGGATTCTTTTTTTTTTTTTTTTTTTAATTTTTTAATTTTTTTAAAGACGGAATCTCACTCTGTCACCCAGGCTGGAATACAGTGGCGCGATCTTGGCTCACTGCAACCTCCATCTCCTGGGTTCTAGCGATCCTCTCACCTCAGCTTCCCAAGTAGCTGGGACTACAGATATGTACCACCATGCCTGGCTGATTTTTGTATTGTTAGTAGAGGTGGGCTTTCACCATGTTGGCCAGGCTGGTCTTGAACTCCTGACCTCAAGTGATCCATCCGCCTCAGCCTTCCAAAGTGCTGGGATACAGGCATGAGCCACTGTGTCCAGCCAGATCCTTTAAGAGACCCTTTGAGGGGTCCTTCAGGTCTGGGTCCCATTCACATTTCCATTTTTACTAGCAGTGGATCTTGATCAAGTTATTAACCTCGCTAAACCTCAATTCCTCAGCTTTGAAATATGGATAACAGGCCAGGTGCGGTGGCTCACGCCTATAATCCCAGCACTTTGGGAGGCTGAGGCGGGTGGATCACAAGGTCAGGAGATCGAGACCAGCCTGGCCAATATGGTGAAACCCCGTCTCTACTAAATATATAAAAATTAGCCGGGTGTGGTAGCGGGCACCTGTAGTCCCAGCTACTCAGGAGGCTGAGGCAGGAGAATTGCTTGAACCCAGGAGGCAGAAGTTGCAGTGAGCCGAGATCACGCCACTGCACTCCAGCCTGGATGACAGAGCGAGACTCCGTCTCAAAAAAAAAAAAAAGAAATATGGTTAACAATCACACATATCTTGCAGGGTCAAATGAAGTTATGTTTGTAAAGTGGTTGGCACAGCATCTGGCATTCAGCAGGTATTTAAGAAATGGCAGCAGCTATGATGCTATGATTATCATCACTAATGTAACTATCAGACTGCCACTAATAGTGAGAAAAATAAAGATGGCATGGTCCCTGCTCGTGGAACTCAGTCTAGTGAAAGAAACAGACTTTGAAGCATCACAGATACAAAACATACTACATAACCATTGTGATGAATGCTACGAAAGAGAGGTCCTGTAGAAAGAACTGACTTCATCTACGAGGTCACAAAAGATGACAAAATGATGTTGAGCTGATCGTGAAGGAAGATAGAGGTTAGCCAGTGCAGCAAGGAGCCACTGAGACAAGAGGGTGATGTGTCATATCTTTAAGTGATTTGTGGATGTGAGCTTCGTCAAATAACTTTTGGGCAGATACATGGTAAAAATAAAATCTAGTCATTACTTTATGATTTCAGATCATTTCCCCTGTATCAGTTATGGTGCTTTTTGTTCACACAAAACCGGAAATCCAATTAATGGTGTTTTAAGTCAGAAGGACTTTTATTTTTTACCTGACAAGTCCAAAGGTGGTTGGTCCTATGGATGGCTCAGTGACTCAGTGATATTATCAAGAACCCAGACTCTTTCTGTCTTTCTATTCTGGCAAAGTATGTTGCATTTACATTTTCATCCTTGTCACCTCTTGGTTACAAGATGGTTGCTGCAGCTACCAGCATCATATCCTTACACTACAAGACTCAAAGGCAGAAAGGACAGAGAGCAGAGAAAAGCATTTCTCTTTATACACTTTTGTCTTTTTTTTTTTTTTTTTTTTGAGACAGAGTCTCACTCTGTTGCCCAGGCTGGAGTGCAGTGGCACAATCTCAGCTCACTGCAACCTCTGCCTCCTGGGTTCAAGCGATTCTCATGCCTCAGGCTCCCAAGTAGCTGGGATTGCAGACGCATGCCACCATGCCCAGCTAATTTTGTTTTTTTGTTTGTTTGTTTTTAGTAGAGGTGGGGTTTCACCATGTTAGCCAGGCTGGTCTTGAACTCCTGGCCTCAAGTGATCTGCCCACCTTGGCCTTCCAAAGTGCTGGGATTACAGGCATGAGCCACTGTGCCTGGCCACCTTTGTCTTTTCAGGAAGAAAAATCTTTCTTGAGGGCCCCCAGTAAGCTTCTTATGTTTCATTGGTCAGAACTAGGGCATATTCCCACCCCTTGACCAATGACTGACAAAGAAGAACATGGTTGCCACGCTGGCTTAGACCAGCCATGACTCATGCTTGGGGGTCATGGGGTAATGGTTATTGGCAAGACAACCAACAGTGTCTGCCACATCCCCAGAAAAAGAACAATGCTGTGCAGTTAAACTGATCCAGCCCAGCCAATGAGGTCGGTGGTGACCTTTTCCCGCAACACCAGTCTCATAAAGCCTCTCCACAAGCTCATTTTGTGTCCTTTTCCAGTTCTCTATCTTCCCTGGAGCCTGCTATGTGTGGGGTCTTATGGCTTTAGCATTTTCTACCAGGAAAGGAATTGCTTATTGGCTCCTGGTTATGACACAGTTTCCATCTGCTGGCAGAAACACAGCATGGATAGAGTGACCTTACCATAGGACAGAATTGCAGTAGCCTGGGGCAGCATCAGAGATACGCCTCCTCCAGTCCCACGATACTATGCCAGCGTGGTCTCAACAGAGCAAGGCGAAGCATTTAGATCCTTCTTCATGAAACTGCCAACCCCTGCGTCCCTAAATAGCTGGATATTTTGCAAGATCACCTTTTGTTTATTTTGCCTTGTGCCGTCCAATGTCACTGTCAGATGTCACTGTAGACAGAAGCTCTCTACATGCTTTGAGCCCAAGTGATCAGGTTAACCTGAGAGAGATACTGGATTTTCTTAGCTTTTCCATCTTTCTTGGAAGGAGGTAGGCTGGGGAGCGTGGCTCTCACCCCAGCTCTCAGCTCTTTGGCCACTGACTCAGTTCAGCTCAGCTCAACTGAGCCTTGGCTTGCTCTTTGGCCATCAAAGAGGGAAAATGCTGGAGAATCCACAGGTATACTTCAGGTGCCAGGCCCTCTTTTAAACAAGCTCCTGGAGAGCAGGAGCTATTTTCTCTGTGTCCTGTAGCTCACCTGGTTTCCTGAAGATTTAGTGAAGTTTGCCTGCCTTTCCACCTCTACTGCAAAGTCTTCTTCAAGACATAACCCTGGCCTTGTCACCTCCACCAACATTCTCACCTCTAGTCACCTGTTTAGAGCCTTCACTGATCCATCCTGGGGCTTGCAAAGCCCGCACGTCCAGTCATGCTCAGGTGGGCCAGCTCCCTCTGCCTCCCAGCCTCATCTCTCTCCTCACACTCCAGCCATACTCAGCTCCTCACAGCTCCCCAGGCATGCCCCTCGCCCTCATCCCCAGGCATTTGTGTTCACTGTCCCCTCATCCCTGGGCGTTTGTGTTCACTGTCCCCTCATCCCCGGGCATTTGTGTTCACCGTCCCCTCATCCCCGGGCATTTGTGTTCACTGTTCCCTCATCCCCAAGCACTTGTGTTTTTTGTCTCCTCACCCTCAGGTGTTTGCGTTTGCTGTCCTCGAGTCCTCATGTTCTTCTTCCTGTTGAGCTCCCTTACCTATGGAACTCCTCCTCCTCCCTGGGGCCTCCTGTTGGCCTTATCTCTTCTTGGAAGACCCTCTCACCCCAGGACTCAGTGAGGCCCCTGCTCTGTGCTCTGCATTGTCTTTTAGTTGCTGTCCTTGTCTGACTCCTCACCAGAGCCTGAACCCATTGAGGCAGGGCCTCCATCTCAGTCGTCATTAAATCTCTGAATCTAGCTCAAGGCCTGGCACTTGGCTGGCAGACAAACGAATGAATGATCCGTCCCGGCTTGCCTCAGCAGGCAGCACCCACCAGCCCTCTCCATGGGGGCTCATGGGAGCCCCGAGGGGCTGCCATCAGCCCTGGGAGAGGTCCAGAGTCTGAAGGAAGGTCTGCCCTTCTTCCCCTCAGGGATCAACTACTGTGCACTGAACAAACCGGGCTGTGAGCATGAGTGCGTCAACATGGAGGAGAGCTACTACTGCCGCTGCCACCGTGGCTACACTCTGGACCCCAATGGCAAAACCTGCAGCCGTGAGTGTACCCTAGGGGTGGGGTGCTGATGGAAGGTGGGGTCCACTCATGGGGGCGGGCGGGTTCACTAGCAACCAGTTATTTCTGGAGCCCACCGGGTTTCCTGATGGTCTGTCAGGTGTATCCTTCCTTATCCTCAGTTTCATCACCCATAGAATGTGACTATTAATGCTATCGGCCTAGCCAACTTGGGTTGCAAGGATTAAAAGAATTAATAGGAATAGGCTGGGCGCGGTGGCTCACGCCTGTAATCCCAGCACAGGGAGGCCAAGGCGGGCAGATCACCTGAGGTCAGGAGTTCAAGACCAGCCTGGCCAACATGGTGAAACCCTATCTCTACTAAAAATACAAAAAATTAGCTGGGTGTGGTGGTGGGTGCCTATAATCCCAGCTACTCGGGAGGCTGAAGCAGGAGAATTACTCGAACCTAGGAGGCAGAGGTGCAGTGAGCTGAGATTGCGCCATTGCACTCCAACCTGGGCGACAAAGCAAAACTTCATCTCAAAAAAAAAAAAAAAAGAATAGGAGTAAAATACTTAGAACAGCACTGCTAGGCATAAGCACTCAATAAATGTTAACTAATATTAGTATTTGCTGTTAAGTGTATTTACTAGGTCAGACAGGTCTAATTTCAAATCCAACCTCTCCCACCTACTAGATGTGTGTGAACTTGGGCAAGTTATTTAACTTCTCCATGCTTTGATTTCCCATTTATGACAAAAAGCAAAACTAATAGTCGTATTATTCCCACAGGGTTTTTATAGGGAGAAATAGGAGCCATTTTGATATGTTAGCCTGGTGCCTGGCACAGGGTAAACTTCCAATCAAGGGGAACTGTTCCTATCATGGAGCCTGTGAGAGGGGCCAGTGCCTGGCGCCAGACTGGGACAAGAGGCCGGAGGGGACAGACCTTGGAAAGCAATGGGCTGCAGAGGCTGATCTGAGAGCAGAATCAAGAAACATGGGATTTTCTGAGAAGGCTTGTCTTAATTTTCTTGTGTCAGAGCCACAACAAAGCTCCACTGGGTGATGTAAATGTATGGGAACTTGCAAGCTCTGCCAGCTGGGCGGCTCCATGGTTTTTTATGAGGCACCATCTCCACGGGTCCTGGCCAGCAGGATAGGAGCGCCTGAGTGTGGTGATGGACCCTATGCCCTTGGCATGCGGGAGAGGGGGCCCATCTCCATGACATGGCCTATGCAGAAGGGGCCCTTTATGTGCCTTTCCACTCAGCAAGCCCCACATCTGCTCCCTTTGGAGAAAGAGATAGATTGTGAGTGAGGACAGTGCAGCTGTTGAGCCCTGGGCTCCACGCTGCCAGCAGGGAAGTTTCCCAGATGAAATAAGAGGTCCAGGGCAGTCCTCAGGAAAGCGTGGCTCCTCCAGTGTCCAGAGAGAACAAAGTGCCCGGTAAAGGCTTTCTAAGGACTGATCTCAGAGGCCAAAGGGCTTTTGAACTGGAAAGTGGTGCCAAAGTCAGTGCCTGCTGTACGTTGCCTCTGCATGTCTCTGAGTCCTTTTGAGAGGCCAGCGGGGAGCGGGTCTCCCATTCAACAGGAGATGCCCTGGTGACCATGGATCTGTGTGTATCCTGCCTGTTTCCCGGAGTGTCAGGTCTGCCAGCTGATGGCCCTGGCAATTTTCCCAGGGCAGGTGGTCCTGACCTGGCTGAGCCCACGCAGATCACCAGGGACATGGCTTGACTGCCCCTCCCAGCATGCTTCCGGGGGCCAGAAGAGCTCTAAGAACGGACCACAAGAGATCGGGACCCTCCCTTCTCTCTGGGATCTAGTCAACTCTAAGAAAGTACAAACCAAGCTGTTTCTGTCTCGCAGTCCTTAGAGAAAGCCACAGGCTTCTGCTTTCTCAGAGGAATCAGGGAGCCCAGGCCATAAAGACAGCAAGCAATTCTGAGGCGCTCACTCTGTGCAGGCAATGCCCTGAGCACTTCCCATGCATAAACTCCCTGCATCCTCACAGCCGCCCTACTGGGCACCCACATTCTTGTCGCTATTTAAACAAGGGCAAACTGTGACACAAAGGGATTAAGTCACTGTCCTGGGGTCCTGTGATTAACAAATGGCAACACTAGGATGTGAACACAGGCATGTAGCTCCCAAGATCCAGCAAGTGTTCGCAGGAGATGCATCCACCAGTGGAATGTTCTGGAAGGCACTGGTCCCAGACTCTGCGGGAGTCAAGAGGCCCACTTGGCAGACCTGCACCAGGCCTCCAGTGTCTGTCCAGTCTCTGGAGGTGCATTTTCTCCATAAGGGAAACCTGGGAAGCAGCCTGCAGGGCTGTTAGTGGGAGCTGTTCACCACAGCTGTGTGTTCATTAGCCTTCGGCACTTGCTGCCCGGAGGACCAGCTGTGCAGCATTCGGATGCCAGGATAGGCCACACATGCAGTCCCAGGCTTTGGTTTGTTTTTTAATCTGGATGTCCTGATAATGGGGGTAAAAAAAATAGAAATTGATTTCATGGAGAATGACAACTCTTTTTCATTTTCAATTAGAAATGAAACTATATGACTAATTCTTACTCAGCACTACTTGATAATAATAGTGTGTTCATTAAGTGGTTGCTGTATGCTAGCTACTGTTCTGAGCGCTTTACATAATCAACCCCTCTTATTCTCACCCTATTCCTATAAGAAAGCAACCATCAACATCCACATTCACAAATCAGGAAACGATGGCAAAGAGGCCGTGGGACTGCCCAGCATCCATAGCTAGGAAGTGGCAGAGGTGTGATTTGAACCCAGGTAGTTTGATGCCAGAACCTGCATTCTAAGCACTACTCTATTAGCTGTGTGGCTTTGATCTTGACCTTCCTGAGCCTCACTTTCCTCTCTGTGAAATGGGAATTGCACCTGCTCTCAGAGGTGCCCTGAGACTGTGGATTCTGTGCGCCATGGCCCTGGCAGAGTGCTGCTGTCGTCAACACCAGGGACAGCATTCCCCAGCCATTGGAGTTGTATGCTTTACCCTTCAAAGAAAGAAATGGGAAAGAAGGCTGGGCATGGTGTCAGGCACCTGTAACCCCAGCTAGCTACTCTGGAGGCTGGGGCAGGAGAATCGCTTGAATCCAGGAGGTGGAGGTTGCAGTGAGCCGAGATCTCGCCACTGCACTCCAGCCTGGGTGAAAAGGGAAAGAAAACCAACAAGCCAGGCTGATTTTCTAGAGGGATCAGTGATGTGGGGTAGAATGACACCTTCCCTGTGGCTTGTTATGCCTCCGGTTTTGTTTTTGAATCTTGGTTGCTGGTGGGGTATTGCCCCCTCGGCTCCTCTATGCTTTCGCGTGTGTGAAAATGCAGGAGTGGACCACTGTGCACAGCAGGACCATGGCTGTGAGCAGCTGTGTCTGAACACGGAGGATTCCTTCGTCTGCCAGTGCTCAGAAGGCTTCCTCATCAACGAGGACCTCAAGACCTGCTCCCGTGAGTCCCTCCGCGCTCCTCTCATAGGGGAAGGTTTGCACCAGGAGTGAAACCTATGTGACTGCAGAGGGCACAGGTTGTACTTGGGCACCCCTCCCCTGCCCCTTGCTCTGCTCCAGGAGATAGTGAGGATGTCCACTGGGACTGCATGCCTTCGAGGGAGGGCGGGGTGAGCATGACGGTCACTTGATCCAATCACTGTCGCCCAGAGGTCTCACTGATAAAGGGCTGCCTGGCTTTTGGTTTTGCAGGGGTGGATTACTGCCTGCTGAGTGACCATGGTTGTGAATACTCCTGTGTCAACATGGACAGATCCTTTGCCTGTCAGTGTCCTGAGGGACACGTGCTCCGCAGCGATGGGAAGACGTGTGCAAGTAAGTGTCTGAAGGACAAGCAGGACCTGCACAGGTGTTCCGTGGGTGCCGGTGTGGGTGCGCTGCCGACGTGTATATGTGCCTGTGTGTCCTGTCTCCAGGCTTTGCTGGGCCTGCATGAATGTGTGTGACAGCATCTCTTAGCCATTAAGCCTTGGTGGCTGCTTCACCAACTCCCCTCAATCTTCCTTCCCCCGTGCCCTGAAGTGGCTTTTTGCTGTTTCCACCTCCCTGTCATTCTGAAGCTGGACAGAGCCCTTGTCCTCAGCTCTCTCTGCTCTACCCCCAGCCAGCTAGTATGGCACATGAATAATAATAATGTGGACCCCTCACTGACTGCTAGCTGCATGCTGGGCACTGTGCTAAGCACACATGCTGTTGCATTCAGGGGACAGATGAGGAAAAACTGTAGCTCAGATTAAGTAAAGAGCCTAAGGTCACCAGCTAGTGAGTGGTGGGTTCAAACTCTGCTGGCTGTGATTCCAAAGTCAGTCCTGGGAGAAGAGGATGCTCCTGAGAAACGCTTTGCCCTGCTTTCTGACCCCGGTGATCTCACAGCACATGGTGAGGCTGGCAGTGATGTGTCCTGGGTACATATTTCCTTGCAGCTGGTCCCAAATCTTGTCTCAATTAAAAAAAAAAAAATTGCTCCCAGACCTCCTTCTCTCCTTTACTGAAGAATGCTGGTGTGTTTGTTGCCCTGAAATCCTGTTTCGAAGTGGACCAAGATAAAGAATCGAAATATGGTCATTTTGAGAGAAGGAATCAGAAATGAAAGAAAAGGACCACCATTTATCTTCCCCAGCCTGCTGGTCTTTCTGGTTATAGGGCCAAGTTCCCTGACCACTGGTATAATTGTAGGCACAACCTAATTTATCCACTTTTTATATCATCTATTCATCTAGGCAGATGAGCTGGCTGCACAGCTGGGCGTGCCTCTCTATGCTGCCTGTGAGAAAATATTTCCAGTTTGGGACAGATCCTTGGATCTTAGCAAATGGGTTATCCATGTTATAGCTTTCGGTGGCTCCCTGCCCAGCTGCCTCCCAGACTGCTGCTGCAGCCAGCTCAGGGAGGGATCGGGCACAGGGGGTGCAGAAAGAGGGTGGGTGTGTTGAACTGCATCGACATTGACAGCATGCCAAAGCCAGATGTAAGGGGTTTGTTGGTTTGTTTAATTCTCCATCATTTTAGATTATTCTGAGAATAAGAGGAGTCATTCTTCTGTCCACCTCGTTCCTGTAATAATCAAGAACTGACTACAAGATGGTTGTAGGACCCTACGAAATTCTCATGAGCCCTTCTAAACAAATGCAGCTCCATCTCCTTTGAATCAGGTGCCCCTTCCTCTCCCCTGCCCAGGTCCACATCTGGATTTTGACCTGACCACTTTTAAGTGTTGCCCATTTTCTCATTTAAAGTGGGTTTCTAACCAATGGCACAGTGGAACCATCTACATGAGTAAATGTCCAACAATGCAATGAATAGTGAATTTTGTTATTTATATGTGGTTGTATCTAGATGAGAACTTGTGAGATAGTCAGATAAGTGAGAATTGTCCTCAGGAACCGTATAGGAGAGATGCATTTCACCCACCAGCTGATACATATGCATTGAGCTATTCCCCTAATTGAAGACTTTCTGCCTGTCCCAGAATGATTCATTCTGACTGTCCTGTCCTGTAATAATGGGCTAGGTTTTCAGCGTGGCCACAGCTAACTGGGGGTTGGGATGTGTGTTCCCCAGCTCTACTCTCAATGACAAAGGGCCAGACGACATGACTGCACCTATTTGGTAAAGCCTTTTGGGGGGCAGTCAGGCCTGGCTCAGCAGATAAGAGTGTCCTTGGCTCTTTATAGAGGCAGCCTCCACTTAGAGCTTTGATAGCAAGTGGTCTTAAGAATGTGTCACTCACCTTCTGGAAAGTTCTCTGAAGTGTGGAGGGGTTCCAGGGGCCCTGGGATGAGATGGGCACTGCTGTGCCCCTACCTCTTCAGGCACCTTGGGTTCTCTGGCCTCTGGAGCGATGTCCCCTCCCTTCCTCCAGCCCCCTGACCGCAAGCTCTGCTTTCCCAGATTTTCCCCAGAGGCCTTTTTGCCTCGGGCAGTTAGATGCACAGACTCAGGGTGTGGGGGGTCGGGGAGGGGATGGGGCGATCTCTTTTACCAGCTGCAGCTGCGCAGACTCCTTCCCTCTCTAGACGTTTCCCTGAGATTGACCTTGTGCAAGGGCATCCCAGCACCAAGAAAGACTCTATAGGCCTGATGTGCATGGACCACACTGCCCACTGGCCTGCAAGCTCCTGGAGGTTGGAGGTCAGAGGCCAACATGAAATGACTGGGAGCGTGAATGGACAGAGGCCACCTGTCTTTTTGCCCCACGGCCCCTGGCACAGGGTCCGCTCCCCGCTTGATAACCTTCAGTGGCTCTCCACTGTCTCCCAGAATAAATTTCCATTGCACTCCTTGATTTGGCAGAGTGCAGAACCCCCTCTTCCACTTCTTTAGCCTCACCCCAGGCCCTCCCTGAAGCCGCCTCCTGTTCTTTAGCCAAAGTGGCAAGTCCCCCATTCTCTGAACAGGCCTGGTGCCTTCCAGCCCATCCCAATGTCACCCCCATGGGTAACCTCCTCTCCCACCTGATAGGCTCTCCTCTCCTCCTCCCACCCCAGGCTCTGCTGGGGCCTCTCTGCAGAGCTCTCCTGCCCAGCCTCACCCTGGGGCTCTCTGTGCACATGTCTGAGAAACAGTGTGGCAGAGCAGAAAGAGTACTGAACTGGAAGCCCAAAGACTGGGTTTAAATCGTGTCGCTTCTACCCTAGGCAAGGGAATTGGCCCTCTTGGGGTCTGACTGCTCATCTCTAAACTGAGAATGGTCGTTGCTGCCTTTCAAGGCCACTGTGTGGTTCAGGGAGACTGCTGTTGCAGTGCTATGTGAACTTGTGGACTGCCGTGACCCCTAAGGAATTCCTCTTCCTCTCTCCCCTCCCAGCATCAGAACCCCCTGCACTGAGGAGACTCAGAAGGTATTGCTGCCTGGAAACCCATCTGCCAGGGCCAGGCCTGCTCTCCTTGGAGGGGCCCCAGAGACACACAACTCTGGAAGTGGGCTGGACTCAGGAGTCCAAGGGCTGTCCTATGAGGGACCCTCCCTTCTGCAAGCGGAGGACACCAACGGGGATCAGAGCCGTCAGCCTAGGGCACTGGGGGATCTCTGCTGGTGATACTCCCAGTCCAACTACCACAGGCAGATCTGCGAGGGCCTGTTAGGCTGCCTGAGGCCCTGAGCTTGGCCTTCCAGGGCTGAGGCAGGCCTAGGCGAGGCTAGGGGAGTGTCTTAGTCTACTCGGGCTCCCATCACAAAATACCATAGACTGAATGTTGTTTCTTAACCACAGAAATTTCTTTCTCACAGTTCTGGAGGCTGGAAGTCCAGGATCCAGGTGCTGGCATGGCTGGGTTCTGGTGAGGGCCCTCTTCTTGGTTTGCAGACAGCCAGCACCCAGCTGTGTCCTCATATTGCATGGGTTGTAGGGGGTGAGAGAGCAAAAGAGTGCAGGCAAGTTCTCTGGTGTCTCTTCTTATAAGAACACTAATCCTATCAGGTCAGGATCCTGCCCTCACAACCCCATCTAAACCTAATTACCTCCCAAAGACTCCACCTCTGAATACCCTCACATCAGGGTTAGGGATTCAGATGTAAATTTTGGGGGAAACAGTCTGTAGCAGGGAGTAGGGGGAGGGGACCACCCTCACTCTCATGTATTCACATTACAGGCTTGATGCAACAGAAGGAAACTAGAGATTTTCCCTTATTTTGTGGGAAACGGACACATGGAGGAAAGTGATGCCTCCAAGCTGGCCCTGGTCGGGGAGTCAGTGGCAGAGCCAGGACCAGAGCCGAGTCCCCTGATTTTAGGATCTTTTGCCCAGTGTGAGATGCCCTGGAAAAGCACATCTCAGTTCAGCTGCTTCTTGGTTTGTCTGAGAAAAAGCCTATATTAAGTTAGCAAAGGATTGGCTGCTGCTAGTTTTATTACGAGAAAAGCCAGGAAGCAGTGTAATTCTATCTGTCGGCTTCTGGTTACTGTCTTGGCAGATGGCCACTGTGGCTTTCTCTCTCTGGGGTTGGGGTTGGTTTTAACAACGTCTTATGTGGAGCCCCAGACGCAGGATTGCTGTCTGTCATCACGGCAGAGGTGCAAGTCCACAGAACACGTTGCCCCACTGTTGCTGCGCCACAGACTTACGTGACTCACCTGTGTCAGCGTGCAGGGCTGCTAGACAGGGACCCTAAAGACCCGTGCTACATCCTAAAACTTCTAATCATCCTGAGCACACGCTGCAGAATCCATTCACGATGAGGGTTTAATTAAACACATAGGCCTGGGTCCTTATGTGTAAAAGGAGGAGAATCCTTCTTTGAGAGGAAAAATGTTTTCTTTCTCCCTCTTGAGATTTCTTACATCCTCCCACCTATTTCACTTAAGTGATGGCTCCTAATGGAGTCTGTCTTTACTCTCCTCTCTGGGTTTGAATCTAGGTACTTCCTTAAGCGCTTGGTTCCTTTACCCTCGTTCTCTACAAATATTTACTGTGTACCTGCATTGTGCGGGGTGCTGGGGATCTCTGGGGTTGATGCAGATTCGGTTTGTGCCCTGACAGTGTTTAAAGCTTCTCGGGGAAGAAGGATAGCAGAGACAGCGTCCATTCCTTATGGTGAGAGTGGTGATGTGAGAAGGATGGAGCCGTGGGAGCACCCCCTAGTCTAGAGAAAGAGAAGTTTAATCCAACACCCAGAGGAGGGGGCTGTGGGAGCCTCCCCTAGTCTAGAGAAAGATGTTTAATCCGACACCCAGAGAGTGAGTACAGTGAGCCAGCCAGAGATGGAGGGGAAATGCTTCACTAGGGGCCAGAGAGCGAACTGCAGGAAGTTCTGTGCTCTGAGTACGGGGTACTGAATGCGAGAGGGAGGCGGTGGGTGAGAAACGAGCCTGGGGACGCCGGCGGGACACATCACCCACCTACAGCCTTCAGAGACTTCCTGGCTGGCCTCTCTTGAGAAAATGATTTTTGTCTAGTTTGTCTTCTGAGAATCTGCCAGGCTGCCTCAGCACACTCCCTTAAGCTAGGATGATCTGTGGATGTGCAGCTGGACCAGGGACACGGAGGTCTATTTGAATATAGTCCCATCTCTGCCCCCAGGACAGCTAAGACCAGTCACCTCTGAAGGTTCAGGGACATTGGGAAAGTCACTTCCCCTCTGACCATCAGTTTTCTCATCTTTAATGAAGGGGTTGGACTAGTTCATATCCAATGAGTTGAACTTCCAGCACCCAAACAAGGATATTGCCTGGCTCAGATAAGTGCTCCGTAAACACTTGCTGAATGAATGGACTTACTGTGGTGCCCACCATAGTCTCCCAGGCTGAAGACACCCAGTGGTACTGAGTCAGGGGTGGTGGCTCTGTTTGCCTGTTAGGGGACCACTGAAGCATTTTCCTATAGGGGAGTATCTTTGCCCTGGGTAGAAACTGACTCCAAGTTGGTTTCCAGACTTGGTGGATAGAAAGCTAGCGCCTATGGTCAGGAGGTTAACTATCATCCACCTTTGGCATTCTCTAATTTCCCATCCACGGTTCTTTGAATTTATAAGTGGCCCAGAACATCCCTGAAGGGCAGAAACTGGACATTTTGCTGAACAAATGTGAGTCGTGCATTTTGCAAGGTGGGTGTGTGGGAGAGAGTGGGAAGCCTAGCTGGCCACAAACATCCACACATCCCATGGGGTTCTTATTTAAAACATCTGCACAAAACCCCTGTGAGGTGGATCTAATTACCCTCAATTTTCAGAATAGCAAACTGAGGAAATGTTTCCTTTTGTTCAACAGGTCTTTCCTAGGGATCTGTTAGGTGCCAGGCATTATGGCCACTGCCAACATCTCACCTCTGATGATTCGTTGAAATCATCTATGGGGCTAGGAAAAAGTCTAAAGGCCCAGGCAGCATCCCAGAAACCCTGAATCAGAAACAGAAACAGAGACTGTCTTACATTGTTGGTGAGAGTAGAGATTGAAATAATCTCTTTGGAGGATGACTTGGAAATATTTATCTGCCTTTAAGTATTCATACCCTTTACCTAGGCAATTCTGCTTCTGGATGTGTAACTTTCAGGTATGCCTTCACATTGTACATAAAACTACATGCACAAGAATATCCATTGCAGATAAGGTGTGGTGGCTCATGCCTGTAATCCCAGCACTTTGGGAGGCTGAAGCGGGAGGATCACTTGAGGCCAGAAATTTAAGACCAGCCTGGGCAACATAGTGGGACCCCATCTCAACAAAAAATATGAAAATTAGCTAAGCATGGTGGCATGCACCTGTAGTCCCAGCTACTCAGGAGGCTAAGGTGGGAGGATCACATGAGCCCAAGAGCCAAGGCTGCAGTGAACTGCGATGACACCACTGCACTCCAGCCTGGGCGACAGAGCAAGCCTGTGTCTCAAAAAAAAGAAAAAAAAGAGCCTTAGCTGAAGCTAGGAGGACAGGACTGGGCACAAGGGAAGCTCCAGGAAGGAAGGGCTTAGGGGTCTGTCTGGATTATGGCTTGACAAGGTTGACGTGAAAGAGCTATAGCTATTTTATTACCATGGAAAATGGAGTAGTAGTAGTATTATAAATTCACGGTAGGGGGAAAAAAAAACACCTCACCTCCATGGCCATCCAGTTGTCTATATCATGGATCACTCAACTCTACTTTCCACTCTTACACCATGTGAGGAACTATCCCAAACCATCAGGAAATGTTCTGCATTAATAGTGAGTCTAGAATTTGCTGAGAAAAGCAAGTCATGCTCAGGGCAAACAGGAGGGTCCAACTCGGCTTTGAGCCTCCTCTGCAGCTGTAATTGCAGTTATCAAACTTTTCCCATTCTTCAAAGATTTTGGCAGTGCTTCTCCCCAAAGAAATTCCCTTCACATTTGAAAGCTTGCTGTAGAATATAGCAATGTAGTATAGTCAGAAAATACGGGGATTTATTTATAAGATTACAATTTTTGTCTGGTTCTTTCTCTTGTTAACAATTGGTCTTGACAAGCCATCAGCCTTCCCAACCCTTAGTTTCCCTAGCTGGTGAGTGAGAATAACAACAGCTGCCTTAACTAACCCAAAGGTGGTTCTGAGGAGTCCTCTCCAGAGAGATACTGCAAAGATGCTTTACCAAAAAAAGTGTGTGGTTTGTGCCTGATTATAAAGGTCATTATGTGCTTTGGGGCCTTTATTTAATAATTCCGATTCATGTCCATTTTAGAAATTCTACTCAATCTGAAAGGATTGAGTTAACTTTCAGAAATATGTAGGGTTCTTATAAAAAGTCACCACTCACCTATCCTCAGTATTAAGCTTTTAAAGTAACAGCCTGGTTTTCACAGGTTCACAAACCTTCTAGTCCCCCAGAAGCCACCCAGCCCTGTAAGATGGCAATGCCATCCTTCAGTTGCTCAGTCCAGCAACCTGGGAGTCTTCCTTGACTCTTCTGTCCTATCCATATGGGCTCTTTGTATTAATCCATGAACAAATTTTATAGATTCTACCTTAAAATACAGCCAGTCTGACCACTTCTCACCAGCCTGGTCTGGGCCACCAAGATCTTTGCACAGGGCTGCTCCCAGGTGTCCAAGCTCCATTCTGTGCAGAGCGATCCTTTAAAAACAAACCCATATCATGCCACTCCACTGCTCAAAACACTGCAGTGACTGCCCTTCTCTTTCAGATCTGACCCCCACTGTGAACCCCACATGGTCTGCCCCAGCCAACCTTGCTGGCCTCATCCCCTGCCAGGCTCCCGGATGCTCCAGTCACAGTGGTCTCCTTGCCTTTCCTGAAACACACCAACCAAGCAGCTCCCGTTGCTGCAGTTTGCAAATGCTGTTCTTTCTTGCTGATAATGCTCTTTCCCAGACACCACCACTCACTTCCTGTCTTTCTGCAGGGCTCTGCTCAGTGTCACCATATCTGACACACCATATAATATAACAAGCCCTCCCTACTCTCCAGCCCAGTAGCCACTCTCCATCCTTCTATCCTGCTCTTCCTCCATAGCACTTTTTCCCACATGACATATCACATATTTGTCTGTTTTCCACGCATCCCTCTTCTCCTGACACCTGCTGCCAAATGTAAGCTTCACAAAAGCAGAAACTTTGTTTCGTTCATTGCTATATCCCCAGAGTCTAAAACAGTGCCTGGCTCATTGCAGGGACTCACAAAATATTTGTGAACTGACTGAATACATGAATGAATTGGTTACCTAAGTGTAATATATACATACATACATAAGTAGATATGTAAATAAGTTGATATTATAGTTACATAATAGCCAGTTAGGTTAATCTTATTTTCTAATATTTACAAGTAATTTATCTCTCATTCTGTAACTTGTATTCTCATGTTTTTTGTTCATTTTTCTTGTGGAGATGATTTATATTGTTTGATTTTTATGTGCCATGTGTATATTAAGAATTTTTGCTCACTTTGGGAGTCCGAGGTGGGTGGATTGCTTGAGCCCAGGAATTCGAGACCAGCCTGGGCAACATGGTGAAATCCCGTCTCCACAAAAAATTAGCCTGGTGTGGTGGTGCACGCTTGTAGTCCCAGCTATCTGGGAGGCTGAGATGGGAGGATCACTTGAGCCCGGGAGGCAGAGGCTGCAGTGAGTTGAGATCACGCCACCACACTCCAGCCTGGATGACAGAGTGAGACCCTTTCTCAAAAAAGAATTTTTGCTCATAGACATGCTTTATATTCTGAAATGTGTACTGTAGGATAAGGCACTGTTTTAATTCAAAGTGTCTGAAATGTCTTTTATGATTGAATAAGCCACTAATATATGAGTCATTTTCTTCTTCTGTTTCTCTAATTCCCATTTGATTCTCAGAATTGGACTCTTGTGCTCTGGGGGACCACGGTTGTGAACATTCGTGTGTAAGCAGTGAAGATTCGTTTGTGTGCCAGTGCTTTGAAGGTTATATACTCCGTGAAGATGGAAAAACCTGCAGAAGTAAGTTTGTACTGGAGCTGGCTCCTACTACTATGCCAGACCACTGTGTGAAATCGCTATCCTTATCTCTGTATATATCAGTTCCTCTCAGAAGTCAATGCCACACAGCAAAATGTAATGTAGTGTCCTGGATAGGACCCTGAAAGAGAAAATGGACATTAGGGAAAAAATAAGTAAATGTCAATAAAATATAGACTTTAGTTAATAATCATGTATCAGTATGGGTTTATCAATAATAACAAATGGACCATACTCATGTGAGTTGTTAATAATAGGGAAAACTAGGTGTGGGGTATATTGCAATTCTTTGCGCTATCTTCTCAATTTTTGCGTAAATCTAAAACTGTCCTAAATAATAAAGTCTATTAAAAAAATGGACAAACAAAAAAAGTCAATGCCAGAGCTACTACTGAAGTTCTTCACTTATATGCTCTGTGGCAAGAAACAGTGGTTTGGCAGTATACTCTAGTGGAAAGATGGACAGTCAGAAATCCAAGATTCAGTCAACCTCTGTCTCTGCCATTTATTAGCTGGGAAAGTTGCCTAACTTCTCTAAGCCTCTCTGCTTATTTATCTTTAATAATGTTGTTGTTGTTATTTCTGGTAGCACAAATCCCTCCCAAAGGGCACCTTGTGATGAAGCCAGTTTTGCCTTTCAGAAGGCAAAGCCTCTTAGATGGGGCTGCAGCCAGCCAGCCCAGGACAAGCAGCCTTAGAGTGAATTGCTGGTGTAAATCTCAAGACACATCTCTGAATAATCAAAGGGGAGTGTGTGACCCTGGTTTCCATCCATATCAGTTATCTTTTTCTCAACGTCTCAAAGCACTTTATAAAGAGCAACTCATGTTGACACTTTTGGAAGAAAAGATGGGTAACTGGAATAATTACTCTCTCATTTTTTGGACAGCACAGCTAAGACTCCAAGAAGTTAAGTGATTCTCCTAAGTCATACACTATGTTAGGCACAAAGCCAAAGTTAGATTTCAGTGCTGCTAATCTAAATTGAGGTTTAACCTCCTAAGGAATCATATCAAGTGTTTCCATTCTGATATCAGAAACTATGTCTACAGAAAGTTGATGATGGACTGCATTTTAACACTAAAGTAGTGCTGGTGAACGATGATGGTGAAGACAGTGAAACAGTTTGAAGGGTTAGCCCGAATTAGAGCCGCTAAACTTTGTTCTCAATTGTAACTTCCTGCCCCATGGACCACTGAGCTCAGGTGGCAGATAGAATCCAGTAGCTGACTCCAGTGGATGGGTCCTCCAAGGTGAAGTCCATGTGAAATGTATGTTGTTGAAATTGTTGTAACTTGCTCTCCTGTCTTCAGGGAAAGATGTCTGCCAAGCTATAGACCATGGCTGTGAACACATTTGTGTGAACAGTGATGACTCATACACGTGCGAGTGCTTGGAGGGATTCCGGCTCGCTGAGGATGGGAAACGCTGCCGAAGTAAGTAGCCTCGAGGTGGAGAAGAACTTTTCCCTCTGTGGACTCAGACAGTTAGAGAAGTTCATTTAATCCTTAAAGTCCTCCTTTATTACCACTGTCACAAGTGTCAGTTCCTGCCTTGGGTGCTCTGAAAGTGTTTAGCTAGAGATCAGTTCAGTAGCCCCTTGCTTTTTCGGGAATTTCTCAGTCAAGGCCTGAGTTTTGGGTTCTTTGCTTCTCTTCATTTTCTGCCAGCCATCAGCCCTTTCCACAGTAGCTGTGTGGGTGCCCGGAAACTCGCACAGTGCTAGTCACTGGACTGAATTAGAACCTCTGCCAGCAATCACTACAAGGACTGAAGGTTAATTACAGAGCTTTCTCCTCTTGGCAGACCGTAAAAGTAAGGGCAAAGGGTGAAAGGGTGTATTCGTCCATTTTCACACTGCCGATAAAGACATACCCGAGACTGGGCAATTTACAAAAGAAAGAGGTTTGATGGACTCACAGTTCCACTTGGCTGGAGAGGCCTCAAAATCATGGCAGAAGGTGACGGGCACATCTCACATGGTGGCAGACAAGAGAAGAGAACTTGTGCAGGGAAACCCCCTTTATAAAACCATCAGATCTTGTGGAGACTTATTCACAATCAGAATAGCACAGGAAAGCCCCGTCCCCATGATTCAATTACCTCCCACCAGGTGCCTCCCACAACACGTGGGAATTGTGGGAACTACAATTCAAGATGACATTTGGGTGGGACACAGCCAAACCATATCAGAGGGATTTCCTGTGGGTTTTTTCTATTATTTTTATCATTTGCTTCTATAGGTCACCCAGAACAGGCTCTGAGAGTTTCGTTAGAAGGTGTATTCCCCAGAGTTCTCCAGAGAAACAGACCTTCTCTATGTATATCTTCATCTTCTATTATATATAAATATAATAGAAGACATATATATAATATATATATGTCTTCTATGGTCTGTTCTATCTTCTATTTATATATATCATAGAAGATATATATATATACACACACATATATATGTGTGTGATGTATATATGTATACTATGGTCTGTTTCTATCTTCTATTAATATATCATCTCCACAGGAAAAATGGACATACACACACACACACACAAACACACATATATTGTGAGGGAGGAAAAGATTGGTTGATTTTAAGGGATTGGCTCACACAATTGTCAGGGGCTGGCAAGTTCTAAATCTGTAGGGCAGCCTGGAGACCCAGGCAAGAGCTGATGCTGCAGCCCAAGTCTGAAGGCAGTCTGGATGCAGAATTCCCTTTTCCTCTGAGGACCTCAGTCTTTTTCTCTTTAGGCCTTCAAGTGATTGGATGAGGCCCATCTACATTATAGAGGGTGATCTGATCTGCTTCACTCAAAGTCTACTGATTAAATGTTAATTGCATCTAAAAATTAGCTCACAGCATCATTTAGACTGGTGTTTGACCAAACAACTGGGCACTATAGCCTAGCCAAAGTGACACATCAAATTAACCTTCACAGTACCCAAAGGAACAGAGGGATGTCATACGAGCTCAGTGAGGTGGGCATTAGGAGAGTACAGAGCAGGGATTTTTCCCCACCATGAGATTCTGAGCTGGTAATTCCCTATTTTGGGGGGAGGGGTGGTTGACAAAGTCTACTTGCTTTTGTGACACTTTGCCCCAGTGGGCAAAATAACCCTTTTTCAATTAAGTCAAAATAAGTTCAGTTGCTTTGAGGTTGATTTTTGGGAATTTCCTCACAGACTCCTTTGAGATAACTGGGGATATTCCACAAGCCAACAAGGCTGGGTTGGAGGGATCTCAATACCTCGCTTCTTCCTCCAGGAAGAGGGACTCCTACCTTTAGCAAGAAGTTCTGTGTGAATGACTGACACCTAGGATGCCTGTGGTACCCTGGCCTAACTCTGCAGGGATTCCCCTCACAACTGCAGGTCCAGCTTCACACTGCAGTGGCCCTCTTGTGGAGATTTTGTCTATAATTCTGCCCATTGTGCCTGTCTGCACTGCTTGTTCATGCTTTTCTTTTTGTTTGTTTTTGTTTTGAGACAGGGTCTCACTCTGTCACCCAGGCTGGAGTGCAGTGGCACTATCTTAGCTCACTGTAATCTCCACCTCCTGGGCTCAAGCGATCTTCCCACCTCAGCCTCCTGAGTAGCTGGGACTACAAGCGTGCACCACCACACCCGGTTAATTTTTGTATTTTTTGTAGAGACATGGTTTCACCATGTTGCCCAGGCTGGTCTTGAACACCTGAGCTCAAGAAATCTGCCTGCCTCGGCCTCCCAAAGTGTTGGGATTACAGGTGTGAACCACCATGCCCAGCCCTCATGCTTTTCTTTCTGCAAACATCTGCACACTCACACACACACTGTTTATTCATTCAACACATTTATTGCTCAGTAAATTGAACACAAGGTACAACTTCTACCTCTGGAATTTGATCCTAAATCAGATTTCACCATTCCTGCTTCCTAGAGGGATGTGTTCTCACTGATTCCAATTTTGTGTGAAGCCTCTCCTTTTAAGGGGTAATGACAGGAAAGAGCCATAGGCTCTCATGCTATGGAGGAGCACTCGGGAGACAGCTGTGTCATCAACCTGCCAGATGACCGTGGGCAGCAGTGAAGCTCTCTGAGGATCTAATTCTTCATTGATACCTTGAGAATAATTATCCCTGTCTTCCTTGTCTCACAGGGTGTTGTGAGGGTTAAAGGGCTGTAAGTACTTCGAAGAGTTTAAATTACCTCACACATGAGAAATGTTCATTAGACAATCTGAACTGGAGTGTTTGGGATGTCTGTGGCAAAAGAAATTAGAAGCTAAAGCACATCTAATAATAGGATAGTAAGTCAAGGACACCTAATCACCCATCGTACCATTCAGACTCATGGGAGCTAGAGCTTTCTGAGAGGAGCTTTTTCCCCATCCTGAGTATGAGACTGCAAAAGACATTATGAAGGAGGTTTGAAGAGAGGTGTATTTTCTTTAAAAGAGATTACTTCCACAATCTCTACTCACATGACTATTCAATTCACCTCATTTCTACACTGATGGGATTGTTCAACTCCCTACATTTTCCTCAGGGAAGGATGTCTGCAAATCAACCCACCATGGCTGCGAACACATTTGTGTTAATAATGGGAATTCCTACATCTGCAAATGCTCAGAGGGATTTGTTCTAGCTGAGGACGGAAGACGGTGCAAGAGTAAGTGATCTGAACTTGGCTCTCTGCTTTAATTTTGTTTTGGAGCAACTGCTTTTTGGAGTATTTTCAGGCAACAAATCCCTCACCTCTGCTTCTCCCATAAATATAAATGCATATGCACAAATACAGAATGGGGAAGAGAGGGCTTAACTGCAGCACCTGTGAAAACACTTTCGGTTTTAATTGACAGTAAATTCATTATCAGCCAAGAGGCTAGGGTGATCGTAGGCTGAACAGCAATGTCTGCATGAGGGAGGTGGAGAGAGCTGTGCTCTGCTCTGTGCTGGAGAATTACATTCAGTTCTGGGCATGGTACTTTAGGAAAAAAGAGATGGATCAACAGTTTAAACATAAAAAAAAAAAAAACACAAAAGAGCAAAAGGAGTCTTGAGAGAATTATTTTTTAATCTGAGAGTAGAGAAGATCTTTCTAAACATGACATGAAATTTAAAAGCCATAAAAGAAAAACAAAGGAAAATATCTAGTAAGAGAGTAAAGCTGTGATACCTTTTTTTAACCTATTAGTTAACCTATTAGTTACCAGAGATCAAAAAGTTTGATTCCTTATGTTGGCAAAGGTATATTGTAGTAGGGAATTATAAATGGATCAGTGAGTGTCTGAATTGGTATAACCTTTCAGAGGGCAATTTGGCAATGTTATCAATCCAGTTCTAGAAGTTTATCTTACAGATACGTGCATGTTTACAAAGCCATGTATACAAGGATATTTTATACAGCACTATTTGTAGCAGCAAAAAACTGGAAACAAGCTAAATGATCACCCATGAGCCTGGCTGAATAAATTAAGGCACATCTATGTAATAAAACATGATGCAGCTGTTAAAACAACAAGCAGCTCTGGATGTATCCCCAAGATATTTTAAGAGAAAAAAGCATGGTGCTGAATGTTTTTTATAGTATGTTACCATCGATATATTTTGTAAAACACTCTAACATACAGTCTCTCTTTCTCTATATATGTGTGTGTGTGTGTACCATTATATACATATCTAATGTGTATACCCTTATGCACACACACACACACACACACATACACACACCCTTTTTCTAATATTTAAGTTTTGTTCCAAATGCATGTATTATTTTTTAGAAAAAAATAAGATAAACACGATTTAGAAAGAATTAAGCAGCATGATCTTGTGAGGAAGTTCAGTATTATGTTAAGCAGAAAAAAATTAGGAAACTGGGGATCTTTGTAGAAAAAAATTTTGAGGTACCAAATACCAATGTGACTGTCATCTCACTCATGATTTGTATGATACCCCCACCCCACCCCACCCTACCCTGGAAAGAAAGGACACTTGGAGAAGCTACAGCTTAGCACGAGGACAAAGAAGCTTTCTACCAGGGAAGCTGCATGCCTAATTAGTTCAGAGCATAAGCTTCAGCTCAGACAGATCTGGATTTGAACCCTGATTCATACTACCCGTGTGACCTTGGTCAAATTATTTAATCTCGGCCGGGCGCTATGGCTAACGCCTGTAATCCCAGCACTTTGGGAGGCCAAGACGGGCAGATCACCTGAGATCAGGAGTTCGAGACCAGCCTGGCCAACATGACAAAACTCTGTCTCTACTAAAAATATAAAAATTAGCCAGGCGTGGTGGCACGCATCTATAATCCCAGCTACTCAAGAGGCTGAGGCAGGAGAATTGCTTGAACCTGGGAGGCGGAGGTTGCAGTGAGCTGAGATTGCTCCACTGCTCTCTAGCCTGGGCAACAGAGGAAGACTCCGTCTCAAAATAAATAAATAAATAAAATAAATAAAATACAAAAATTAGCCGGGTGTGGTGGCATGCACCTATAATCCCAGCTACTTGAGAGGCTGAGGCCAGGAGATGGAAGTTGCAGTGGGCCGAGATCGTGCCACTGCACTCCAGCCAGGGTGACAGAGCAAGGCTCTGTCTCAAAAAAACAAATAAACAAACAAAAATTATATAAACTCTTTGAGTCCCAGTTTCCCCATCTATAAAATAAGGATAATAACTCACAAAGCCATCACAAGGAATACATTAGATCGTGTATCCAAAGGTGCTGAACAGCCGGGTGTTGTGGCTCACACCTGTAATCCCAGCACCTTGGGAAGCTGTGGTGGGAGGATTGCTTGAGCTCAGGAGTTCAAGACCAGCCTGGGCAACATGGTGAAACCCTGTCTCTACAAAAATTAGAAAAATTAGCTGGTTGTGGTGGTACGTGGCTGTGGTCCCAGCTACTAGGGAGGCTGAGGTGGGAGGATCACCTGAGTGCAGGAGGTTGAGGCTACAGTGAGTTGTGATTGTGCCACTTCACTCTAGCCTGGGTGACACAGCAAGACCTTGTCTCAAAAAAAATTTTTTTAATAAAAAATAAATAAAGGTGTTGAGCCCAGTGCTCACACACACTAAGTGCTCAAAAAATGATCACTATTACGATTCACAATAGTAAAGACATGGAATCAACCCAAAATGCCCATCAATGATAGACTGGATAAAGAAAATGTGATACATATACACCATGGAATACTATGCGGCCATAAAAAGAAATGAGGTCATGTCCTTTGCAGGGACATGGATGGAACTGGAAGCCATTATCCTCAGCAAACTAACACAGAAACAGAAAACCAAACACTGCATGTTCTCAGTTATAAGTGGGAGCTGAACAATGAGAACACATGGACACAGGGAGGGGAACAACACACACCGGGGCCTGTTGGGGGTAGTCGGGAGTGAGAACATCAAGATAAAAAGCTAATGCATGTGGGGCTTAATACCTAAGTGATGGGCTGATAGGTGCGGCAAACCACCATGGCACACATTTGCCTATGTAACAAACCTGCACGTCCTGCAGATGTATCCTAGAGCTTAAAATAAAATTAAATTTAAAAAACAACAGACAGGCCAGGTGTGGTGGCTCATGCCTTTAATCCCGGCACCTTGAGAGGCCGAAGCGGGCGGATCACCTGAGGTCAGGAGTTCAAGACCAGCCTGGCCAACATGGAGAAACCCTGTCTCTACTAAAAATACAAAAAGTGTCCAGGTATGGTAGCGTGTGCCTGTGGCTCTAGCTACTTGGGAGGCTGAGACAGGAGAATCACTTGAACCCAGGAGGTGGAGGCAGCAGTGAGCCAAGATCGCACCACTGCACTCCAGCCTGGGCGAGAGAGCGAGATGCCATCTCAAACAACAACAACAACAACAACAAACAAACAAAATGATCACTATTGTAATCATCAACAGCAGAGGTGTCCAAAGATGGGGCTTTCGTGGTAAGGTGACAAATTCCTCATCAGGAGAGGCATTGAGGCCCAGGCCGAATGGTCACTGGGTGAGGATGCTGTAAAGAGGATGTAAGCAACAGCAGGGCTGGAGTAGATGATCTTTAAAGGGCTTATCCATGCCTGAAGTTCTAGAACTTTCTGAAAATTACGTTCTGAAAGCAAGTCACAGCTCCATTCCAGTCTTATCAACTTAACTACCAAAAAGAAAATGCCCAAGAAAAGTGGGAATTAACCTCTGGCAAAAAAATAGTCTAATAAGTGGGGCTGTCCTTCCTGTGTCTGAAAGCAAATACCTGGGCCCTGCTCTCCCTGATGCTTTTCCACTCTACTTTGTTTTGTGTTTCCTGGAGAAGCCTTCTGGATGCCATTCTATGTGTGGGGGTTGCAAGTGCTAGTTTTGTTCTGTAAGAAAAATGTGTACAGAAAGGAGGAGAAAACAGACTCACTGCTGGAAAATTATTTCAGTATTTTTGAAATCTGCTGAAGAGCCACATGCATGCTGCCTGAGTCTTTTTTTGGTTCACTCAGGAACAGACTATGAATGTAAATGAAGCTTTGAGTTGGCCTTTTCCTCTTTCACTAATAAAAGATCGATAGGTTGAGTGATGAGGAAAAGCACTTAATGGAGAAACAGAAGAACCCAATCCCCCAACATGTGCGCACTCACGCACACACACACACACACACCACACACACTATGACGTTAAGCATTTTATACTGGCCAGGCATAGAAATGGTTTTGCATGTGTGTGTCTCTACATGCTTATATTGTTGTGCCTCACTTTTAAAGATTAGACAGCTGCTTGATATATAAAACAGAATGTTTATCACAGATTGTGGATTGTTTGAAATGAGATCATCTGGCCCAGCACGGTGGCTCACGCCTGTAATCCCAACATTTTGGAGGCCGAGGTGGGTGGATCACAAGGTCAGGAGTTCGAAATCAGCTTGGCCAAGATGGTGAAACCCCGTCTCTACTAAAAATACAAAAATTAGCCAGGCATGGTGGCATGTGCCTGTAATCCCAGCTACTTGGGAGGCTGAGGCAGGAGAATCGCTTGAACCTGGGAGGCAGAAGTTGCAGTAAGCCAAGATCGCGCCATTGTACTCCAGCCTGGGCGACACAGCAAGACTCTGTCTCAAAAAAGAAGAAGAAATGAGATAATCCATTTTGGATCTGTCCATTTTTCTTTTGCAGTCCTAAATAACAAAAAGCCTCTCCACACCCAAATTGCTTAACATAAAGCTTTTATTTCTGCTTACTATCGACCATCTATTAATAGTTGCCTGAGACCAGGTACAGTGGCTCATGCCTGTAATCCCAGCACTTTGGAAGGCCAAGGCAGGTGAATCGCCTGAGGTCAGGAGTTCAAGACCAGCCTAGCCAACATGGCAAAACCCCGTCTCTACTAAAAATACAAAAAACTAGCCAGGCATGGTAGCGTGTGCCTGTAATCCCGGCTACTTGGGAGGTTGAGGCAGGAGAATCACTTGAACCCAGGAAGTGGAGGTTGCAGTGAGCCAAGATCACACCATTGCACTTCAGCCTGGGTAACAGAGCAAGACTCAATCTCAAAAAAAAAAAAAAAAAAAAAATGCCTGAAAAGCTTCCATGTAAAGAATTTATGGTGATAACTTTTTTTTTAATTTTGTTTTTTTTTTTTTTACGGAGAGATGCAGGGTCTTGCTCTGTCACCCAGACTGAAGTGCAGCGGCACAATCATAGCTTACTGCAACCTGTAATTCTTGGGCTCCGGTAATCTTTCTGCCTCAGCCTCCCAAGTAGCTAGGGCTACAGGCATGCACTACCATGCCCAGCTAATTTTTCTTTTTTTAAGAAAGACAGTCACTCTGTTACCCAGGGTGTTCTTGAACTCCTGTGCTCAAGCCATCCTCCTGCCTCAGCCTCCCAATGCACTGGGGATTATAGGCGTGAGCCACTGCACTAAGGCTAATTATTTTGTAAGCTTTAATAGGTCAGTAGGGTACTTACAGGTGTGCTACCCAATGAACATCACCTCATTCACTTAGTCTGTCACCACACATTTACTGAACACTTTTTTTGTGCCAAGTATTGGGGGGTGGGGCACAAAAATGAATGAAACACAGTCCCTGCTGAGGAGGAACTCACAGACTGGAGGAGGAAACACATCATTAAATAATTATTGTACAATGTGGAACACTATATAGAGTACATTAGATTGTATGCAGCTTGGTGTTAGGGATTGTGTCTTGGTCACTATTGCAATCCTGCTATGCCCATGGCCTTGTACAAAGCAGGTCCTCAATAAATTTTTGGTTGAATAAATTAGTAGTGTTTGGGGTATATAGAAAGCAATACAAGCTGAGTTACTAGGAAGGCTCCCCAGCAGAGGTGATGGCTGAGCTGAAGAAATCTCTTTCTCCATTGACTGTCAGAATGCCAGCACTAGGGTGATGTCACCCTCCTAAAGTTCTAGGAGTCTTTTGGGTATTGTTAGACCCTTCAGTGTACTCTACACCCAGCTCCTCCCAGACCTGTCAGTGTTCCAGGGTACAATGTAGACTTGGTTTCCTAGACAATTGTATATCTGCCGTTTTGCTTGTGAAAAATACTATTTTTATCAATATGACAAGCCAACCATAAAAGTATACGTGAAAATTATTGTTGCTTGTGGCCCTCCCAACAACTCATCTATCCTGTGTATTATCTAAAGAACAAAACTGGTTCCCCAAAGTGGTTATGCCTCCAATTGAAGCATCATTTTATTCTACTCTTGTGCATAAATGATTTTTTATTCAACTATGTCAACTTTCCTTCTGTTCATATAGAATGCACTGAAGGCCCAATTGACCTGGTCTTTGTGATCGATGGATCCAAGAGTCTTGGAGAAGAGAATTTTGAGGTCGTGAAGCAGTTTGTCACTGGAATTATAGATTCCTTGACAATTTCCCCCAAAGCCGCTCGAGTGGGGCTGCTCCAGTATTCCACACAGGTCCACACAGAGTTCACTCTGAGAAACTTCAACTCAGCCAAAGACATGAAAAAAGCCGTGGCCCACATGAAATACATGGGAAAGGGCTCTATGACTGGGCTGGCCCTGAAACACATGTTTGAGAGAAGTTTTACCCAAGGAGAAGGGGCCAGGCCCCTTTCCACAAGGGTGCCCAGAGCAGCCATTGTGTTCACCGACGGACGGGCTCAGGATGACGTCTCCGAGTGGGCCAGTAAAGCCAAGGCCAATGGTAATATGGGGTGGAGGTGCGGTTTACACCACTCAAGGTTCAGGTTTCTTAAACTCACTCAGTGGTCTCAGCTGGCCATAAGGGTAAGCTTCTTTGAGTGTACAGAAAGGCCTCCTGGCAACTGCCATTATACATCTTTACTACCCTGCCACCTAGAAGCCTTAACAGGACCCCACAGGAGTTAAATAAAGTGCTCAGGAAGGAGTCTGGCTACTAGAAGGGTAGGCTAAGCTGACCACAGGCGGGTATCCTCTCACTGTGATTTACTAGCCAGTGTGTGATCTCCAGTGTAAGAATCGCCTAGATATACACAATAGTTCCGAAACACTGGTCGGCTTGCTCTAGAATCAACTGAAGACTTTGTTAAATTGTTTCTGATGGGAACTTTTACTGTGTATATTTATTCTTGTATTTTTTAACCAATACTTCAAGCGAGCATTCTGAAAATGCAATAGCCCCTAGGGTGGATAATACTCTTGTGTTTCCAGGAGGCAAAGTTAGCTTTTCCGAAAATCAAATGATGGAACAGATTATGACTCTAAGCTCTTGTTGCTCAGTAAAGCCCAGCCTCTTCTCTGAGGTTTTCCTGACCTGAGGGTTACTTCAGTTGTACAGATGTGAAGCGTGCTCGAGGAGTATGACCCTTGGCTAAAGGAAACCCAAAAGGTAGGATAATTGGTAGAGACAGTTTATGGTGAAGTTTCTAGATTCCTTGAGGGAGATAAGAAAACTTGAGGTTGTGAACTAGTTTGCTTGAAAACTGCTTTTTTTTTTTGAGATGGAGGCTTGCTCTGTCACCGAGGCTGGAGTGCAGTGGCGCGATGTCAGCTCACTGCAAGCTCCGCCTCCCAGGTTCACGCTATTCTCCTGCCTCGGCCTCCTGAGTATTGGGTACTACAGGCGCCCGCCACCACGCCCAGCTAATTTTTTTGTATTTTTAGTGGAGATGGGGTTTCACCGTGTTAGCCAGGATGGTCTCGATCTCCTGACCTCATGATCCACCCACCTCAGCCTCCCAAAGTGCTAGGATTATAGGCGTGAGCCACTGTGCCCAGCCGAAAACTGCCTTCTTAAAGTACTTGTTGAGGACACACTGCTTTAGCAAGTCCTGTAAGAGGAAATAAGGTATGCACAGATCAAGGCCTCATCTAAGACTTTATGGACCCAGTGCCTAGATCAGGCCTGGCACACAGTAGATGTGTGACAACTACTTGCTGAGTGAATGAAGAAAGAAGTGAGAGTACTGGCAGTCCCATTGGTGAACTCCATTCCTCCTCACAGAAAGGCTGGTTCACATCGACATTCACTCGCTGTCTTTGTGAAGGAGGTCATTTTATTGATACTGCGTACCTTCCTCTTTTTCTAGCCCAAGAGTGGTAGCCACAAAGTGTCCTGCCCTGAATCATCTGGATAGATTGTAAAACTGGCTGTTCACACTAGCCTAGATTGCTAGAGCTCATGTCAAACTCATAGGCCCCCTAGTCTGCATTCTTAAAAAGAATTAATTAGGGGAAGCATCTTAGTCTCCAGAGACAGTGGTTAGCCCTTTCATCTCACTGAGACTAATCTACCTTACCCTTTGCTCCACTCAAATGTCTCTACACATCACACAAAGACAGGTGGTAGCAGAAACTGATGTTTACTTGATTCTTGAATCAACAAGATTTATATGAGGTGACATCCTCTTATGAATTTAACTAGTCTTATGTATAGCAAACAGAATCTTAAAATAGTAGTTATCCTTTTTAGGAAGTCGTGCATAAAATCACTGGGCTCCCGGACAAATATGCTGAACTTGGTTAGTGACCTTACACAGACTCAGAACAAGGCATCACAACTCTTGCCCCTTGTCTTGAAGAGCCATTTTTAAGTACATTTTTAAGAATCTAGTCTAATAAATTAGCTAGAATAAGTTATCAGTGCTGAAAAATGTTTGGACTCCAGCAGAACATATTCTTATTGTGTTTTACTTTCAAATGAAGAGTATATAGGGGAAGGGAGTCTAAGGATTGAGTAAGAAAAGCTTTTAAAGCAAACGCATATCCCTGTTGAAATTTAAGGCTGATCTTGGGTTTGTTCTTTTTCCTGACTTTAGGGGTTTCCAATGGTCTGTAGATTATCCTTTTCAGCTTAGCACTTCCTCACAAAGTTGTGTCATCTTAGCAGAAGTGGGCAAAAAGCAGCTTCACTTGGCCTCAGGTCACTTACGTTTCCTACCCTGTAGCTTTGAGTAGAAACTAGGTTATTAGGTCATAAATTGACTTGATTCTTAGAATTCTTCCAGAAGAGATTCCCATTTAGCAAGCCATAAAATAGGGCTCATTTCTATGAATCCAGAAGGCTAATTCAGGGGGAAGTTGCAGATTTGTTAAATGGCCCAGCCCAGGGCTGAGCAACAGGTTAGTAGTTTAGTTCCCCAGCGTCTCCCAGATGCCTCACTTCTCTCTTGGATCCCTCCCTTTTGTTCATAGGACCAAAATAAAAATGGTAGAAAAATAAAAAGGAAGGTTGGCATGGACTCTTCAAATCATACCACTTAACATCTAACTGGCTTTGGGTGCAGTACACACAACTTCCAGCCCCTGGGAACACAACTCTAACTAACTTGCTCTTAATTTTTCCTGCACCCTAGGTATCACTATGTATGCTGTTGGGGTAGGAAAAGCCATTGAGGAGGAACTACAAGAGATTGCCTCTGAGCCCACAAACAAGCATCTCTTCTATGCCGAAGACTTCAGCACAATGGATGAGATAAGTGAAAAACTCAAGAAAGGCATCTGTGAAGGTACTATAGCTTACGCCGAAGACCTTAGCAAACAAGGCAGCATGAACTCCTTTTTTTTTGTTTTTTGAGATGGAGTCTCACTCTGTCATCCAGGCTGGAGTGCAGTGGCACAATCTCAGCTCACTACAACCTCCGCCTCCTGGGTTCAAGTGATTCTCATGCTTCAGCCTCCCGAGAAGCTGGGATTACAGGCACCCACCACCACACCCAGCTAATTTTTGTATTTTTAGTAGAGATGAGGTTTCACCATGTTGGCCAGGCTGGTCTCGAACTCCTGACCTCAAGTGATCCAGCCACCACAGCCTCCCAAAGTGCTGGGATTACAGGCGTGAGCCACCGTGTCCGGCCAGCATGAACCTTTAGTGATAAATTCTCAACCAAAAAAAAGTGTCTCCTTCATGGGCAGGGCCAGCAATGCCTAGAAACAGTACAAAAAGAAGGGCTGGGCACCATGGTTCCCACCTGTAACCCAACCATTTTGGGAGGCTGCGGTGGGAGGATTGCTCGAGCCCAGGAGTTCAAGACCAGTTTAGGCAACAAAGTGAAACCCTGTCTCTGAAAAAAAATTTAACAATTAGCTAGGCATGATGGCACACACCTGTAGTCTCAGCTACTTGGGAGACTGAGCGGGGAGGATCGTTTGAGCCCTGGAGGTCACGGCTTCAGTGAGCCATGATTGCGCCACTGCACTCCAACCTGGGTGACAAAGCAAGACCCTGTCTCAAAAAAAGAAAAAAAAAAGGTGGGGGAAACAGGGGAGGTGGGAAAGAAAAAAGTAATAGCTACCATTGTTTGCGCCCTTGCTCTGTGCCAAGCAGTATAATAAGTGTTTTGACACACCAGCATGCTTCATCCTCACAAACACCCTAGAGAAATGATCATTTAACTAAAAATCAATCATTATATAAATCAGGAGAGCTGAAGTGCAATTTCAGAATATACCTATAATTGGAGTGGAAAGGGGCGTACCTAGTTCTTCCAAGCCCACTGTTAAAATTAATGCCTTTCTGCATGGACTACTTGTTTACAGAATATCAGACTGCCCTTTAGACTTCAGATTTTGTTATGCATGCTTTTCTCCAGTTTACTAACTGTGCCAGATATGCTTACAGATAGCAGTTCTGCCTATTTTTCCTTGTACTCATGTCCCCGGCTCACCAGTTAGATCCCAGTCTAAGTGCTGTGTCTTACCCCTCTAGGGAAAGAACTCTTGAGATGAGGGGTAACAGGGAGGGAAGGCCTTTCAGATTTCTGAGTAGAGAATGTTTTGCCTCTTGATTGTTTCATGCAAGTTAAAATGCCTCAAGTGGAGCTGCTGCCACTGCAACTAAAATCCCTCAACAACTTCACCTTTTTTTTCTGCCCTACTTTCTAGACATGACATTTTTGGGAGCATTCTTAAGATGTACTTAGGGGGTCCAAGCTTCTCTTACGAGAGAGAATTGCCCTAGAGTGGTCATAAGTATCATGGTAACCAACTGCTTTTTTGAATCTTTGGTGTTACCAAACAAAACTAAAAAACCTTAGGTTATGGCAGGTAGGTAAGGAGGTGGTCTGGGACCAGCTTCCTGAAGAACACACACATGCCTGTGGACAACCATCACTTCTTTTGGTCATCTTTTTCTGCTCAGCTCTAGAAGACTCCGATGGAAGACAGGACTCTCCAGCAGGGGAACTGCCAAAAACGGTCCAACAGCCAACAGGTACAGTTTTTAAGGCAGTGTTTTTAGAAATTTTGGTGGAGGGAACCATGGTTTCCCTCCAGATAAAAGCTGTAAAGAAGTGAATGTAAGTATGTTCAAATTATGATAATGAAGGCCTTTTTTCCCTCAAAAAGATAGTTAACATTTACTCTTACATTAAGCCATATTTGGTAACTAGCATCGTTTCAGGTGACAGTGTTTTTTTGTTTTTGTTTTTGTTGTTGTTGTTTTTTTGAGACAGTTTCATTCTGTTGCCCAGGCTGGAGTGCAGTGGTACGATTTCAGCTCACTGCAACCTCCACCTCCTGGGCTCAAGTGATTCTCCTGCCCCAGCCTCCCGAGTAGCTGGAATTACAGGCACCCACCACCATGCCCAGCTAATTTTTGTATTTTTAGTAGAGACGGGGTTTTACCATGTTGGCCAGGCTGGTCTTGAACTCCTGACCTCAAGCGATCCACCCACCTTGGCCTCCCAAAGTGCTGGGATTACAGACATGAGCCACTGTGCCCGGCTGTTTTTGTTTTGTTTTTTGTTGTTGTTGTTTTTTGTTTTTTTAATAAAGATGTTTACTCCACTGAAGATAACAGTCTTTTTGCTTCAGTATGTCCCAAAGTAAAGCTCTGTACCAAGTGCTAGGAATACCAAGTACCTTACTCTGCTGATGGCTGTTTTATAACCAAAAGCGTTAAGCAGGTTTGATTGCAGTTTTCTTTCTCTTTACAGAATCTGAGCCAGTCACCATAAATATCCAAGACCTACTTTCCTGTTCTAATTTTGCAGTGCAACACAGATATCTGTTTGAAGAAGACAATCTTTTACGGTCTACACAAAAGCTTTCCCATTCAACAAAACCTTCAGGTAATTCCAAGTAAAATATTACTATAAGATAACTTGATCTCAGCCTTTCGGCTTGCCAACAACCTTAGCTTTAAGGAGGAAAGGAAAGAAGGAAGTAGGAAATAGTATAGAGGAAAAGAGAAGAAAGAATTTAAGTAAAATGAGAACTAAAACATAAACTAAAAGAAACTCAAGTAGTGTTCCTCAGTAATCCACAGTAAGGGCCACTTCCAGTGTTGGAAGCATATACAGTGCTTTCCTGGTATTTACTGGATCTGGCTGCATGGAAAAAGTGGAACATGTCTTTCATTATGGTTTCCTCCATATGCTGATTCATTCCTATTATTATGCGTCTGGGAAGTCTGGTGGATTCTAGAGGTGAACACTTTCCATCTGCTTTCTCAGGAAGCCCTTTGGAAGAAAAACACGATCAATGCAAATGTGAAAACCTTATAATGTTCCAGAACCTTGCAAACGAAGAAGTAAGAAAATTAACACAGCGCTATATCCTTTTCTTGCATTATGCTTCTGTATGGAATGCAAAGAATATTATCAAAACTTCACACACTCTATGTAGGTTTTATCAACTGAAGTAAATCCCACGAAGTCACAAAGAACAGTGATCTCCAGGAAAGGCTTTTTGCTTTAAAAAGCAGCCTCACAGGTGTTTGAGAGGCAAGGGCAAGCCAAGCTTATTAGCAGCAGTCAAGCACTTAGTTGCCATCGGCTGTTCTCGGGGGCTTAGCAATAAGGCCTGTCAGTCAGCATACAAAGTAAGGAAAAAAGAGACACTGGCCTAACTCCGTCTCTGCTAGGAAGGTGTGTAGGACATGATGAGGTCTGAAGTGCATCAAAGGTACGGTAAGTATAGACAAAGAATGTTGTAGAATGAAGAGGTTTCAAACTCAGTACTCCAAACTTTTCCTTTAGCCCCAAGGAACACCACAGCCACATATAGATTCAGTGTGTTTAGTTTCTGGAGGACAGGAGTGGTTTTTTCTTTTTTTTCCCTTGGCAGCAGAGATCTTCTCTATCGGCACTCTAAAAAATGAAACACTCCACCAAGGGAACAGCAGGATCCAATGATTCATTTAAACAATATTAAATAAAAGGAATGCTTGGGGATAATAAAGAAAAGAGGATTCGGTGCTTTTACATATTGAACACCCTGCCAAGTGCTCTAAACTTAAAATTACAGTAAGCGTACTAAAGCTGGCTGATATCTCAAGTGCATCAACTAGTCTATAGGGAAATGGCTTAATTCTGAACTATCTCTGTGCCAATGGGCTTATGTAATAAGGAACAACAGCATAGGGCAATTCCATTTCTGAAAGCTGGAAATACGCTCCCTTAAGTAAAATGAAATAATCTTTCTGAGTGGTTAATTGACGAATATGGGCTCTCATTCTGCCCTCAAGAGGGCAGATAGAGGGTACTGAGGAGCTTACAGGGAAGACCAATACCTATTCTAATGCCCTTTTCTTCTCGCTTGCCTGTCCCACCCCAAAGTTCTACTCACAAGAGACTAAAGAAGACATATTTTTACATAGGTCAGAATTCCTCAAAACCGTGGCCTTATGTAGCATCATGGTGAAAACTCCGTATCGCCCTTTGCTTCTGACTTCATATCTTACTTTCCAAGGCCGAATTCTTTCATTGTCTTCTCTTCACCAGATTCCCAACATTATCAATTCTGGCTCCTAGAAGTGTGCTATGGCAAACTAATTTGCAAGCATTAAGGGTGGAAGTGGAATCACAATTAAAAAAAAAAAAAAAAAGACTGCAGCTGGGTGCTGTGGCTCACACCTGTAATCCTAGCACTTTGGGAGGCCGAGGTGGCCTTGCTTGAGCTTAGGAGTTCGAGATCAGCCTGGGCAACATACTGAGGCCTTGTCTCTTAAAAAATAATAAATAAAATAAGGCCGGGCACGGTGGCTCACGTCTGTAATCCCAGCACTTTGGGAGGCCGAGGCAGGCAGATCACCTGAGGTGGGGAGTTCGAGACCAGCCTGGCCAACATGGAGAAACCCCACCTCTACTAAAAATACAAAATTAGCTGGGCGTGGTGGCGCATGCCTGTAATCCCAGCTACTCGGGAGGCTGAGGCAGGAGAATCGCTTGAACCCAGGAGGCGGAGGTTGCAGTGAGCCAAGATCGCGCCATTGCACTCCAACCTGGGCAACAAGAGCGAAACTCTGTCTCAAAAAAAGAGAAAAAAAACAAAAATAAATAAAATTAAAATTAAAAAGACAAATTCACACTGAGCCATCTGGCTTTGCTGATGTTAAAAAAAAAAAAACCCAAAATATTTGTCTTGACAGAATATGTTAAATGAGTTCTACAAATTTACAAGTCAGGGTTTTAACATACTTGACAGAAATGGGAAAAAAAACCAAAACCTTTTAGATTTCAGAAGCCAAAATTTTACGTGGATAAATCAAGTTATATTTAAATGTAAATAAAAATAGACAATTCTTCATCTTCCTTAATTTGAGATTTACTAGAAGAAATGACACAGAGAATGGAAGCCCTGGAAAATCGCCTGAGATACAGATGAAGATTAGAAATCGCGACACATTTGTAGTCATTGTATCACGGATTACAATGAACGCAGTGCAGAGCCCCAAAGCTCAGGCTATTGTTAAATCAATAATGTTGTGAAGTAAAACAATCAGTACTGAGAAACCTGGTTTGCCACAGAACAAAGACAAGAAGTATACACTAACTTGTATAAATTTATCTAGGAAAAAAATCCTTCAGAATTCTAAGATGAATTTACCAGGTGAGAATGAATAAGCTATGCAAGGTATTTTGTAATATACTGTGGACACAACTTGCTTCTGCCTCATCCTGCCTTAGTGTGCAATCTCATTTGACTATACGATAAAGTTTGCACAGTCTTACTTCTGTAGAACACTGGCCATAGGAAATGCTGTTTTTTTGTACTGGACTTTACCTTGATATATGTATATGGATGTATGCATAAAATCATAGGACATATGTACTTGTGGAACAAGTTGGATTTTTTATACAATATTAAAATTCACCACTTCAGAGAATGGTATTCAGTGCAAAAATTCTTAGTTTAACTTTAAATGGAAGATATGTATGTATGAGAAATGGCCAACATGCCTATGAAAAAAATGCTGAATCTCATCAGTAATCAGGAAAATGCAGGTTAAAACAATACCATTTTTCACCCATCAGCTTAGCAAAAATGAGTATATTTTTTAACAAGTGTTGGTAAGGATGTGGAAATGTGAGGTTCTTGTAGTAAGAATGCAAATGGCACTCTTTGTAGAGTAAGTCTGTTGACATCTCATAAAACTGAAAATGCACACAACCCTGTAAATCTAGCAACTGCACTCAGTTGATTTCAGCCCATACATACAAAGAGACCTGCATAAGAATGTTACTAGGCTTTGTAAAAGCAAAAAATAAGGAACAACTTAAACATCATCAGAAGGGGAACTGATAAACTCTGGTGTAATCCATACCACAGAAATACAACACCGCATGTACAGGAATGTGCTACATCTATACAAATAAATGGTCAAACTCAAAACAAAGATGACTTTAAAAAGAATGACAAAATGTTTAGCATACCATTCCTGAAAATTAAAAAAACAAAATAAAAAATGTCACGGTGAAACCCCGTCTCTACTAAAAATACAAAAAATTAGCCGGGTGTGGTAGTGGGTGCCTGTAGTCCCAGTTACTCAGGAGGTTGAGGCAGGAGAATGGCATGAACCCGGGAGGCGGAGCTTGCAGTGAGCCAAGATCGGGCCACTGCACTCCAGCCTGGGGACAGAGCGAGACTCCGTCTCAAAAAAAAAAATGAAAAGAAAAACCTAGATGGGTACCCCACTACACACCGAGGCTGTTTGTTATATACCCCATTGCTCCTAGACTACAAACCTGTACATCATGTTACTGAATACGGTAGACAACTGTAAAACAATGGTAAGTGTTGTATCTAAACACAGAAAAGGAATTTTTCAGCCTTATTATAATCTTATGGGATCACTGTTGTATATGCAGTCCATCACTGACCAAACGTCATTCTGAGGTGCATGACTATCAGTTCTGGCATTGCTGCCAAGGTGGCTCAATTCTACTTTACTCTCTGTTGTGTTCAGGCTCCACCTAGCGGCACAAAAGTCTGCCTCCTCCTTTTTAGCAATTAAATACCTTTCAACCTAACATTTTATCTCTCTGCCATGAGACTATGTATATGTATATATATATATATATATATATATATTTTAGCTATTAAACACATTTCTCCTGGGGGAAGAAAAACCTCATGGCAAAAAAAAAAAAGCCTCCAACCAATGCATTAAAATCTACAGATTAATCCAAGATATTTAACTTGAAGATTGTCTAAAATATTATTTCTCTATTTTGCTTGTTTTTGCCACTTGTAAATCTCAGAGTTCTGCATTCCATTTTCATCACTTATTGGATTTAATCTGCAAAATAAGGCTAATAATAATATTGAGTGGTCAGAGGATTAAATGAGTTAACATATACACTATTTTGTAAGGTACCTAAAACTTTTATTATTTATTTTTTGAGATGGAGTCTCGCTCTTTCACCCAGGCTAGAGTGCAGTGGCATGACCTTGGCTCACTGCAACCTCCGCCTCCTGGGTTCAAGCAATTCTCCTGCCTCAGCCTCCGACTAGCTGGGATTACAGGCAACTGCCACCATGCCTGGCTAACTTTTGCATTTTTAGTAGAGGAGGGGCTTCACCATGTGGCCAGGCTGGTCTTGAACTCCTGACCTCAGGTGATCAGTCAGCCTCAGCCTCCCAAAGGGCTGGCGTGAGCCAACACACCCGACCATATTATTTATTTTTAGAGACAGGGTCTTGCTCTGTCATCCAGGCTAGAGTGCAGTGGCACCACGATAGCTCACTGTAACCTCAACCTCTTGGGTTCAAGCAATCCTCCTGCCTCAGCCACCTGAGTAGCTGGCACCATAGGCCTGTGCCACCACAATGGGCTAATGTTTTTAACTTTTTTTGTAGAGATGGGGTCTCATTACGTTGCCCAGGCTGGTCTCAAACTCCTGGCCTTAAGTGATCCTCCTGCCTCAGCCTCCAGAAGTGCTGAGATTACAGGCATAAACCACAGTGCTGGACCCTAAAACATTTTAAATGCTCAGTATTAACTATTATATTTTTAGTCTTTAGCAGCCAAGAGTATTGGACACAAAGATGGTGCTGAGCTAAGTGTATGTTGAGTAAATGAAAAGACAGAATAAATTCTTTGCTGACCTGAGAAAAGTAATCTGGTAGATTCCCACCCCTAAACTATCTTTTGAAGCAAACAGGCAGTAGTAAATTAAATAATGGTAAATGCATAAGAAATTTAAGAACTACTATTAACAAAATTCTGAACTAGAAAGTCCCAAGTGTATCAATAAGAGAATTAAGTAAATGTTTAAGCCCTAGTAGTCATTATCCACTCTAATTTTTGATAAGTGACACGAAGTTGAATACCTTGAGTCCCTGTCCTGTAGCACCTTAGAGAGAGGTAATCAATGCCATAAAAAAAGGTACTAAGGTAACTCAGAAGCACCTGTTTTAGACTGGGTGCTAGGCTTACCCTCAGAACAAGCACAGGTAAGCCCAGAAAAGGGAGGAGTGGGGGAAGGAAACCAGATTCCACTGCAGGTGAAGGGAGCAGCAAGTCTAAGGAGTAGTTGGTAGTTGGAAGACAGGGGATGGAAAACTTTTCCATGACACAGATTATAATATTATCTTCCAGACGACCCAACTATTAATAGTTATATTCATAATCAGCCTAAAAGTTGGTTTCTTCTCTACATTCCTTTTGTTCCTGCCACCATCCCATACCAACCGCAATTCTTAACACACTCTACAATATCCAACCTCTTCTTTGAGATTTCTATTTCCATATCTAAGAGTTCAGTAGAGGTATGGTATGGAGTAAATCCAATTGGCTGCAATTTCCTACAATCCCCTGAATATTAGAGCTACCCACACACTGCTTTCATTATAATCAGAAAAGAACATTTTAAATGTCACCTTACACTTTCCCAGATCTTCCTGGCCAGTGTCACTTTCTCTCTGACAGCGGTTTAAGAGCACTTAATCAAAGGTAACATAGGCCAGAATGAGTAAGGAATGTTTCCTGTCTACTAGCTTTAAACTTCTTGTCTCTCTGAACTTTCTTGCTGAAAGAAAGAATCGTTGTGACTGCACAAAAAGAACATATAATGAAAAGGCAAAAACCAAATGTAGCATATTATCAACTACATAGACAGCCCTAGAAATCATAAATTTTCTAAAAAACCATCATTCCAAAATGCCTGCAGCCAAAAAACCACAACAGAAACCATGCAAAGAAAGGGTACACCAACATCTGCAATATTGTATTCTTTAGGTCACCACCCCCTGAGAAATTAAACTCGAGCTAGTCAACCTGGAGGAAAAACTAACCCAAATAGTGTGAAAAGTCACTATTTGGGACTTGTGGGAAAAACTGAGCAAGTAGATAAGCACGCAAACTACCTTAACCATGAGATTGAAACATTTTGAACTATGGGAACAAACTAACAAACACTATTAGAGACCAGTAGTCAGACCAAGTAATTCTTATCAAAGATTCAAATATTTTATATCACTTTGGCCACACGGGTCTCTGGATATGTAAACATGAACACCTTAGAACACTTAAAATCTTTCATATATTCAGTGACTCTTAACCAGGAGAGAAGCTAGTTTAAAAATGTGGTGACATTTGGGGGTGATTACAATGACATGGAAGGAAAACCAAGAATGAAAAATACCTGCAGAATCCACAGCCCTCCACAACAAAGAACTGTCCCATTACACAATGTCAGTAGTGCTCCCAAATTGAGAAATACTGAGTAAATGAACTGGTAAAACCATTAAAAACCAGACTCTCCAAAGTATTAATATATCCACAACCTCAGATTAACTTCGGACACAAACTAAAATCATGAGCTATTCCCTTGAAAAAAACTCCTAACCCCCGACTATCAAATTGGGAACATGACCCACCCAGGGCTGTTATATAGCTATTAAGAGCTGGGGTCCTCTGACTCCAAGTGCAGTAAATGCTTGATTTTCTGCATACTATTTAGAAGGCATCCTCATTTACTGTCTCACTCATCTACCATCAAAACTTGCCTGAAAGAGGGGAGGGAGAAAAGGAGCAAGGAGATTGAGTCTAAAATCCAAAAGACATTGTCTTTTCTGACACTTCTGTGGCCTCCCTCCCTCAAAGCCCAGCTGACTACATAGGGCATACCTTACTAGCACCATTCAACTCTGTAAATTAGTATCTAACTAAATCATTATTTCCCCTCAAATTAATTCTTTCGAATGTTCCAAAAGATATTAACATATGAAGGATTCCCTGGGACATACTCTTGGGGGATGCAGTATAGTTTCCAAAAATGTGAATACTTAACGTACTTCACAGTACATCTTTTAGGTGTATGATATAAAACATACTTGGGCAAACATGGACTTAACTATTGATGATCTGGGATTACTCAGAAATCGTCCAAGTGCACCAACCACTTAACTTAGGAAAGATTATTCATTAAAGTAAAACTTTTCTTAACCTATGACAGCATTTTGGATGGGGAAACATTTCAGTTAATCTTTTTTAGCTACTCAAATTTGGTAAATTGCAATTCTGGGTATTTAACCTTGTTACCTCCTAAGCATACTAGAATATAAAATGCAAACAATGTCCTGAGAATGGAATTACAAAACTTGAGCTTTCTAAACATCTAGTACTAGAAAGGAACCCAGTGCAGTCCCTTTACAAAAACTGGGCCAGGAGCAGTGGCTCACGCCTGTAATCCCAGCACTTTCAGAGGCTGAGGCCGGGGGATCACGAGGTCAGGAGATCGTGACCATCCTGGCCAACATGGTGAAACTCCGTCTCTACTAAAAATACAAAAAAAAAAAAAAAAATTAGCCAGGCGTGGTGGTGCGCACCTGTAGTCCCTGTTACTCAGGAGACTGAGGCAGGAGAATCGCTTGAACCTGGGAGGCGGAGGCTACAGTGAGCCAAGATTGCACCACTGCACTCCAAGCTGGGCGACAGAGCAAGACTGTCTCCAAAAAAAAAGAACAACAACAAAAAAACCCTGGAAAACAGAAATCAGGATGTGTAACTTTTTTTTTTTTTTTTTGAGATGGAGTCTTGCTCTGTCGCCCAGGCTGGAGTGCAGTGGCACGATCTCGGCTCATTGCAAGCTCTGTAGCTGGGACTGCAGGAACCCGCCACCACGCCCGGCTAATTTTTTTTGTACTTTTAGTAGAGATGGGGTTTCACTGCGTTAGCCAGGATGGTCTCGATCTTCCGACCTCATGATCCGCCCGCCTCGGCCTCCCAAAGGGCTGGAATTACAGGCGTGAGCCACCACGCCCGGCCCAGGATGTGTAACTCTTTACTGAAAAGTCTTGCCACCACATCTGCCTCATCCTCTCTAATCCAACCTTCAGGAAATTGTATTGAAACAAAAATAGAGAAAAATACTGAAATAGATACAATGTTTTTAAAACAAGCAAATTTTATTAAAGGAAAATTTTGCAGGTTTAAGGTTTGCAGGTGAAATTTTGTAGGTGAAAAGGTTTACTTTTCACCAGTCTGTTCTGGCATGCTTCTAATGATGTCAGAGTCACCTAAAAAATAAAAATAAAAAAACAGTAATTTTACAATTCATTTAATAGCAACTGGTACCATAAAATTTCTCTACCTTTGGTTATCCCTTCTGTAGACAATGGTCTGCAAATTAGCACTGACTTTTTGCAAAAGTTATCACATTAGCTGTACTGTCATTTTTCTTAAGGTTGACCAAAGATAACCTAGAATCACAGCCATTATATAATCACATAAAATGATCATATAATAAAATTGGTTTATCACCAGCATTTATAAAACCAGACCTAGGGAAAGAACTAGGTTTGGGGACACATGCATGGTCTTAATATAGCGAATGTTTAGCCTGTCCTGACTATTACAAAATCAGAACAGCGAGAATATTCGCAGTATTCTATGAATCAAAGATTCACAATTGGAAAACAGAATGATGTAGATTTTTTGGCACTTTTTTTTTTCTCAAGCTAATTTTACATGTCTGTTCTCAAGAAGCAAGAATTACTTTCTTCTGTTTTGCCAGATTATTCTCTCCTTATAATTTCACCTTTTACCAAATCTATGTCATTATTTCATAGGTACTTCATCAAATGAAATTCATTATCTGACAGTAAAAATTTTAACTTATAATAAAGCCAATTATAATGTATTGGCATTCATTACCAATTCTCTACAAAATACAACTACACGATATGCCTTGCTAGATCCATATTCTATCTGAATTTAGGAACCAAAGACATTTGCGTAGTAAGAAATACTTGTCCAGACATTACATTAGAAAGGCAAAAAAAAAAAAGACTTTATGATTTAAAAAGCATACCTGGATCAATGATAGCCAGTGTGCACACTCTGTAGTATTTTCCGCATGCTGTGCCCAGTTCAATATTATTGCCACTGTAGTGATGGACACCAGTTTTAGCCAACATAGCATAGTACTCTATTTCAGATTTCCTTTGGGAACCAAAATGGGCAAATAAATAAATGCGATACCAAGTGACTGACAGACTAAATGTTACTACTTCTTTTACTAGTGTTAATGTTGTTAAGGCCTTCAAAAAGTAACAAAATCACATATTACTCTTAAAAACATCATATTCATTATCCAATACAAACCAACATTTGTATGTATCCCTTGCAAGTGAAGGGGCAACCAGCAAATATCTAATCAACCCCTACTATGTTTAAGACAGTATCAATACTCACGGAAGAGGGTAAGATGCAAATAAAAGAAAGCAAAGCATTATCTAGCATTAGTAAGGACCACATACTTTATATTTCCATGACAATCTCTAAAGTAGGTATTATGTACTTTTTTTTTTGAGATGGAATCTCATTCTGTCGCTCAGGCGGATCGTGCAGTGGCACGATCTCAGCTCACTGCAACTTCCACCTCCCGAGTTCAAGTGATTCTCCTGCCTCAGCCTCTCAAGTAGCTGGGATTACAGGCGTGCACCACCACACCCAGCTAATTTTTTATATTTTTGGTAGATGGGGTTTCACCATGTTGGCCAGGCTGGTCTCGAACTCCTGACCTCAAGGGATCCGCCCGCCTCAGCCTCCCAAAGTGCTGGGATTACAGGTGTGAGCCACGGCACACAGCCCTATTCTTTTTTTTTTTTTTTAATCTAATGAAACTGAGCCACAGAATAGTAAGTGGAGGATCCAGAATCTAAACCTTTAAAAGATAAGCCATTTCTATCACCATCCCCTCAGTGCCCAGAATTCCAGATGGGAAGTGATACCGTTTTAGAGTTAAAATTTCTGGCCTCACGCGTGTAATCCCAGCACTTTGGGAGGCCGGATCACTTGAAGTCAGGAGCGTCAGACCAGCCTGGCCAACATGGTGAAACCTTGTCTCTACTAAAAATACAAAATTTCAGCGTCAAATTAGTAGATACTAATGGTTTTAGGAATCGGAAAGGAGTCCTATACTATCTTGCCACTCAATTATGTGAATCCACATACCAGCAATAGTGCTACAATGTATTAGTTAAAAAAACACCTCAAGCCGGGCACGGTAGCTCACACCTGTAATCTCAGCAGTTTGGGAGGCCGAGGTGGGTGGATCACCTAAGGTCAGGAGTCCGAGACCAGCCTGGCCAGCATGGCGAAACCCCATCTCTACTAAAAATACAAAAATTAGCCAGGCATGGTGGCAGGTGCCTGTAATCCCATCTACTCGGGAGGGTGAGGCAGAATTGCTTGAACCTGGGAGGCAGAGGTTGCAGTGAGCTTAGATTGTGCCATTGCACTCCAGCCGGGGTGACAAGAGCAAAACTCTGTCTTAAAAAAAATAAAATAATAAATGGCACCTCGGGCCCCATCCCAGATCCAATGAAATCAGAACTTGCATTTTAACATCACCCATGTGACTCCTTTGCACAGTCATGTTTCAGAAGCACTACTATAGAAGACAGGCTTTAAAGAAAGTTTCAAAGAATGGTTAGGGAAAAGCCGAACCCATGGGACAAGACAGAAAGGGCCCTCCAGGCTTTGACGGTAACTACAGACACCCTATATAAAATGCTGTAAGCAGCTTATGCATCACCACAGAAAATTTGCTCACATAGCTTATACTCTGCAAGGTCCAAGTTTGTTTGGCTTATTTACAACACCCCCTAAGTTCAATTTCAAAACAGTGAGTCAAGCATAAATCTTGACTCAGAACTGATTTAGCGGGCTAAACTAGGTGATTCTATGATAGCCTGCAACTCCATAGCCCAGCCTCAACTTTTCTTACCTAGTTTTTTGACACTAAAACAAGTTCACACAATGAAGCATCATTAAAGCACCTCAAAGCTAAAAGAACCAAAAAAGCAGGACACAAAATACATGGAAAAAACAGTAATGTGTCTGTGTTTCCATTAAACCTCGATGTTCTGTTTTCACTCCTGCCACACACACACATTTCTCCTCCAAAAATAAGCTCACAGAAGGGGAGCACACGATTTGGGGGTGGGTCGGGGAGACGGGAATGAAGGGCCAAACACCACAATCGCTACCGTAATTATCCTGCAAGTGTTCGAGTTCATGGTACTCAGATTACAAGTTTACACTCCTGTATATTCGTTCACGATGAATTCGCGGTAGGCGAAGCCCGTTCAGTCTCTTCGATTACCTCAAAGCTGGGCAGTTGTTAGCGAGAATGACCAATTTCGCTTTGCCTTGTCTGATCATCTTCAGAGTCTGCTTGTACCCCAGGACGTACTTCCCACTTTTCATAACGAGTTGGAGCCTAGAGTTGATCGACTCCAGCGACTTTTTCTACAAAGCAAACATTAAATACGGACCTAAGGGCCTCGCCTGCAACCGCCTCAAAACCGGACCCAGCTTTTTGAAGCCGAGCCCCTTAAACTTCCGAAGTCGAGGACCCCAAGTCATTGAGAGGGCCACTGGGATTCCTTCTGGGGCCCTCCAAATGCCAGCAGGCATGCTGTCACCCCCGTGGGCTCACATCTGCCCGCCCTGGCCAAGACATCTCTCCACGTGAATCGTCTTCCGGGCCTGGCCCGCCTCACTCACCGTCTTCTTTGCGGCCACCATCTTCCTGCCTTAGGAGCGGGACGGCCCCCAACCTAGAAGAGACAGAGAACAGGACAGGAATTTTAGGATCCGGAGTTACAAATGGCAACCCGCAAAGCTCCCCGCGCTGCCTAAACCTCGGTCGGTAGGAGCCCACTCACCAACAGCAGCCGCTAAGATGGCCGGGGAACGAGAAAGGAAAGACTTCCCACAATGCAAAGCTCTTCACGGCAGAGCCGGAACTGCGGGACCGGAAGCGGAAACAGATCGCAAGCAGAAGGGGCGGAGCAAAAGCGGAGGGCAGCTGCCGGTTGCTATTGGTACCGCTAGCTAGAATGGCTGCGGGGGCCGTACGCGGCTGCTCATACCTTTAATCCCAGCACTTTCGGAGGTTGAGGCGGGAAGATCTGTTGCGTCCAGCTCAAGGCCAGCCTGGACAACATAGACCACCCCTGTCTCTACAAAAAAATAAAAAAGAAATAAAAAAGAAATTAGCCGGGCGTGGTGGCGCGCTCCAGTAGTCCTAGCTACTCCCAGCTACGCCGGAGGCTGAGGCGGAGAGGTCGCTTGAGCTCGGTAGGTCGAGGCTGCAGTGAGCCATGATCGCGCCACTGCACTCAGCCTGGGCGACAGAGTGAGACTCTGTCTCAAAGAAGGAAAAAAAAGAATGACGGCGGGGGTGTTCTTTTCCCCCTCTGCGGGCCTTTAAGCTTCGCGGCGTTGTGTTGCTGTTCTGCTGCGAGCTGCGGTCTAACTAATCGAGGCGCTTAGAACCCGGAGGGAGTTCGAAAAGCCGACTGAAGGTGAGGTGGGAGGGTAGATGAGAAGAGGCTGCGGCGGCTGCGACCACGGTCTCAATGCCGCTGAATTCATCTTTGTCCTGAGGCGCGGCTCTTGGAGAGCCTTGTGGGTGACTCCGATGCGCCGCAGCACCCGCATTTACTCTCCGCTTGGTAGAAGCAGCTGTGTCCTCACCCCTGCGGTCACCCAAGTTACCTGTCCCCTGGAGAACGGTGGCGCCCTGCTCGAGTTTCCCAAAACTCGCCTTTTGTGACTGTGTTAGCGTGAACTTGTGAGCCGAGTTTGCACTGAGAGCGCGATAAACAGGTCTAATTTTTTAAAAGTATTTTTGCTGTTAACGTTGGATCTTGGTATAAATGTCCAGAGACAGACCACTGAAGATATTAGGCGCTGAAAATCCCCACCTAATCAATCAGACCAGTGGATAAGCTATATGAGGGAAACCTCTTCCCCTCCTTAATTAAGCCTCACCAAAAAACGCGTGCTGTACCAGGAATCATTTACATATATTTATTTAATACTCACAAAAGTCCCATGAGATAGTAACCTTTTTATTGTCCATTTTACATATCTAGGCCTATTGTCAGAGCTAGGACCAGAGCCCAGGTAACTTAGGTCTCTTCACAATTAAAGTTGATTCAGGCCGAATGCGGTGACTCACGCCTGTAATCCAAACATTTTGGAAGTCCGAGGTGAGCGGATCACCTGAAGTCAGGAGTTCGAGACCAGTCTGGTCAACATGGTGAAACCCCACCTCTACTAAAAATACAAAAAGTAGCCAGGTGTGGTGGCTCCTGCCTGCAATCCCAACTACTTGGGAGGCTGAAGCAGGAGAATCGCTTGAACCTGGGAGGCAAAGGTAGCAGTGAGCTGAGATCGGGCCACTGCACTCCAGCCTGGGCGACAAAGCGAGACTCCCTCTCAAAAAAAGTAATAAGGCCGGGCGCGGTGGCTCACGCCTGTAATCCCAACACTTTGGGAGGCCGAGGCGGGAGGATCACGAGGTCAAAAGATCGAGACCATCTTGGCCAACATGGTGAAACCCTGTGTCTACTAAAAATACAAAACTTAGCTGGGCTTGGTGGCGCGTGCCTGTAGTCCCAGCTACTTGGGAGGGTGAGGCAGGAGAATCACTTGAACCCAGGAGGTGGAGGTTGCAGTGAGCAGAGATCACGTCACTGCACTCCAGCCTGGTGACAGAGCGAGACTCTGTCTCAAAAAATAGTATAATTACTATTATACTTTAATTATTATTATATTAATTATTATAATTAATAATAAAATATATTTTAAAATAATAAAATAAAAATAACATTCATTCAAGTGTGTGCCCCTCTTTGATGAGAAATTAACCAAGTTGAATTAGATTATCATAGTACTTGCTTTAATATTTAGTCATAAATTACTTAACACTGCAAATCCAGATATCTGCCTTCCTCTATTACTCTAGTTGTATAAACAAACTCTTTTTGTTTTTTACTAATTTTAGAACTAACAGATAACTAGTTCTCTGACTTCAAGAAACTGAGACCTGGAGAAGTTGTGGTGCTGCTACCTGATAGAGTAAAGGTTGAAACACCAGTCAGCCTTTTAATCCTGTGTTATTTTTTTTTCCTGATCCACATTTCATTTGTGGTTGTCATCCTATTATAAAAGTTGAATCCTCAGGCCGGGCGCGGTGGCTTACGCCTGTAATCCCAGCACTTTGGGAGGCCGAGGCGGGCGGATCACGAGGTCAGGAGATCGAGACCATCCTGGCTAACACGGTGAAACCCCATCTCCGCTAAAAATACAAAAAAATTAGCTGGGCGTGGTGGCGGGCGCCTGTAGTCCCAGCTACTCGGGAGGCTGAGGCGAGAGAATGGCGTGAACCCGGGCCCAGAGCTTGCAATGAGCCGAGATCGCGCCACTGCCTCCAACCTGGGTGACAGAGCGAGACTCTGTTTCAAAAAAAAAAAAAGTTGAATCCTCAACAGCATTTTCTATTACAATTCACCCCACGTACCATTTGGAAATGTTTAGAGTCTGCCATTCACATTAGACATTCAGACATGAATCTTTTTTTTCCATTATCATCAAACATTTTTCTTAGACACTTGATATGCAAAGAACTACACCCTACCTTCAGGAGGCTAATAGTCATGTTGAGAAGGCAAGACCTATAAAGACAATTAGTACAACTCTTAACTGCCATATGAAGTCGTCGTTAACAGATGTTAAATGTTCATTCATTCCACAAACAGTACCATGTGCCATCACGTACCTTAAGCCCCTGGTCATATAAGATTCCTTCAGAAATCTTGCTGTCTATTGTCTGAAGGAAGGTATAAGCAAATAGCATAATGTGTTTATTTAACAAATATATATGATGAATTCATCCTCACTCCAGGCACTAAGAATATACAAAGACATGGTGACTGTTCTTAAAGAGCCTACTATCTAGCTAGGCCTTAAAGAAGACTAATATAGGAATAATTAGTTTTGTATAGACTTTCATGTACTTTTCACAAACCTTAACTCATGGTTACAATAACCTCATAGGCATTGTTATCCTTATTTTACAAGGGCTAAGATTAGAGCCAAAAGTTGTTATATTATTTAGTAAAGGTTAGACAGGTAAGCTGAGATTTGAAGTCAAGCACTTTGCAGGATTAACTGAAATCAAGGAGGGGATGCATTCTAGTCAAGAGCAGAAGCAAAGCTAAAAGGTGCTCGCTTCAGCAGCACGTATACTGAAAATTAGAACGATGCAGAGAAGTTAGCATGACCCCTGTGCAGTGATGACACACAAATTCGTGGAAAAAAAAAAAAAAAAAAAGCTAAAACGAGACAAGAGTGGTTACAATTTGGCTGGAATATAGCATTCATGAGAAGGAAGGAGAAAAAAACAATACAAAAGAAAAGTGGAATGTTAAAGCTTTAAATGTTACAAGTGTAAGTTTGCTTTAGAGTGGAATTATAAGAAATTTTATGCTCAAATTTTGCTGCCTTTTCTAACCTTTTCCCAGAAATTTATTTAAATCCCTGGAGATTCCTTGTCCATTACTGAATAGCCTTTGGGAGAAGCTCTCTGAATGGAAGAGGTATGTTGATCAGTGATGCCATTGGGACCTGAAAACAGTGAAGGCTCTAAAATAGCCACCACGGCCAGGCACGGTGGCTCACGCCTGTAATCCCAGCACTTTGGGAGGACGAGACAGGCGGATCACGAGGCCAGGAGATCAAGAACATCCTGGCTAACATGGTGAAACCCCGTCTCTACTAAAAATACAAAAAAATTAGCCAGGCGTGGTGGCGGGTGCCTGTAGTCCCAGCAACTTGGGAGGCTGAGGCAGGAGAATGGTGTGAACCCGGAAGGCGGATCTCTCATTGAGCCGAGGTCGCACCACTTGCACTCCAGCCTGGGCAACAGAGCAAGACTCCATCTCAAAAAAAAAAAAAAAAATTAAATAGCCACCAGGAAAATTAAAGTTAGGTATAAAATAGGTTAAGAAAAAGGCGCTCTCGAAGGACAGATTGACAGTGTGTCAAAACAGAAAGAACATACCTATATAAGCATTTCATATGAGGATATACAAGATGACAGTGGCTTCCTCAGGAAAATGGGATTGGAGGTTGGAAGGAGGTAGAGAAGCACTTTTTAATTATATTCCCTTCTGTGCTATTTGAGTCTTTTGGCCCAGTGATTCAACTTTTAGGAATTTATCCTACAGAAGCAGTCACAGAGTTGCTGAAAGACATGGGAACAAGAGTATTTATTTCAGCTTTATTTATTCATTTTTTGAGACCGAATCTCCCCCTGTTGCCCAGGCTGGAGTGGTGTGGCATGATCTCGGCTCACTGCAACCTCCGCTTCCTGGGTTCAAGTGATTCTCCTGCCCAGCTAATTTTTGCATTTTTAGTAGAGACAGGGTTTCGCCATGTTGGCCAGGCTGGTCTCAATTTTCTGGGCCCAAGCAATCCACCCGCCTTGGCCTCCCAAACTGCTGGGATTACAGGCGTGGGCCACCGTGCCTGGGCAGCATTATTTATAACAGCAAAAAATTAGAAACATCAAATGCTCATCATTCTTAATATACAATCATGCACTGCATAATGTTTTGGACAGTCATGGACCACATATACAACAGTGGTCCCATAAGATTATAATACATTATTTTTACTGTACCTCTTCTGTGTTTAGATACACAAATACCACTGTGTTACTGTTGTCTACAGGCACAGTAACACGCTGTACAGATTTGTAGCCTAGGAGCAACAGGCTATACCATATAGCCTAGGTGTGTAGTAGGCTATACCATCTAGGTTTGTGCAAGTACACTCTGATGTTCAAACACAATGAAATCGCCTAACAATGTAGTTTTCAGAATGAATCCTTGTCATTAAGTGATGAATGACTATATATTTGTATAGGCATAGAAAAAAGTCTAGAAAACTATATATTTGTATAGGCATAGAAAAAAGTCTGGAAAAGTCAGATATCAAAACAGAGAGAAATGAGAAGAGTGAGCGATGAGGAAGGGACCTTTACTTTTTCTTTAGGTTTTTTTAGTACTGCTTGAATTATTTTACAGTAAGCATTAATTATTGTTACATAAAAACTTCCTTTTTAATATTAATAATAAAGTGTTCTTTTACAATAAATGTCTCATGAAACATCAATTACACCTCAATGTAGTACTTCTCAAAGTCTGGCTCTCATATCACCTGCATCAAAATCAATGATTCAAACTCCTGGACCCCACCTAGGCCTATGGAAGAAATCTCTGGGTGTGGGTCCTGGGAATCTGAGTTTAACAGTCATCCTAGGTAATTATTATAATTACTAAAATTTGAGAATTAGAGACCTAAAGAATGAGATAGCCAAATTGGTTCTGAGACATGCCTGCTTAGATAGAGGTATAAAGTAAACAGTAATGATCCCTTGTATTGAGTGTTCTACTTTCTTTTTTTTTAATTTTTTTAAATTTTTTTTAGTATTTATTGATCATTCTTGGGTGTTTCTCGGAGAGGGGGACTTGGCAGGGTCATAGGACAACAGTGGAGGGAAGGTCAGCAGATAAACATGTGAACAAAGGTCTCTGGTTTTCCTAGGCAGAGGACCCTGCCGCCTTCCGCGGTGTTTGTGTCCCTGGGTACTTGAGATTAGGGAGTGGCGACGACTCTTAACGAGTATGCTGCCTTCAAGCATCTGTTTAACAAAGCACATCTTGCACCGCCCTTAATCCATTTAACCCCGAGTGAACACAGCATATGTTTCAGAGAGCACGGGGTTGGGGGTAAGGTTATAGATTAACAGCATCCCAAGGCAGAAGAATTTTTCTTAGTACAGAACAAAATGGAGTCTCTTATGTCTACTTCTTTCTACACAGACACAGTAACAATCTGATCTCTCTTTCTTTTCCCCACATTTCCCCGTTTTCTATTCGACAAAACCGCCATCGTCACCATGGCCCGTTCTCAATGAGCTGTTGGGTACACCTCCCAGACAGGGTGGCGGCTGGGCAGAGGGGCTCCTCACTTCCCTGACGGGGCGGCCGGGCAGAGGCGCCCCCCCACCTCCCAGACTGGGCGGCGGCTGGGCGGAGGCGCCCCCCACCTCCCAGACGGGGCGGCTGGCCGGGCGGGGGCTGCCCCCCACCTCCCAGATGGGGCAGCTGCCGGGCGGAGGGGCTCCTCACTTCCCAGACGGGGCTGCTGCCGGGCGGAGGGGCTCCTCACTTCCCAGACGGGGCGGCTGCCGGGCAGAGGAGCTCCTCACTTCTCAGACGGGGCGGCCGGGCAGAGACGCTCCTCACCTCCCAGACGGGGTGGCGGCCGGGCAGAGACGCTCCTCAGTTCCCAGATGGGGTCGCGGCTGGGCAGAGGCGCTCCTCACATCCCAGACGGGGCGGCAGGGCAGAGGCGCTCCCCACATCCCAGACGATGGGCGGCCAGGCAGAGATGCTCCTCACTTCCTAGACGGGGTGGCGGCCGGGCAGAGGCTACAATCTCGGCACTTTGGGAGGCCAAGGCAGGCGGCTGGGAGGTGGAGGTTGTAGCGAGCCGAGATCACACCACTGCACTCCAGCCTGGGCAACATTGAGCACTGAGTGAGCGAGACTCCGTCTGCAATCCTGGCACCTCGGGAGGCCGAGGCGGGCAGATCACTTGCGGTCAGGAGCTGGAGACCAGCCCAGCCAACACGGCGAAACCCCGTCTCCACCAACAAATACAAAAACCAGTCAGGTGTGGAGGCGCACGCCTGCAATCCCAGGCACTCCGCAGACTGAGGCAGGAGAATCAGGCTGGGAGGTTGCAGTGAGCCGAGATGGCGGCAGTAGAGACCAGCCTCCGCTCGGCATCAGAGGGAGACCATGGAAAGCGGGAGAAGGGGAGGGGGAGGGGGAGGGGGAGGGGTGTTCTACCTTCAAAGCTTTTTTTTTTTGAGACAGTCTTGCTCTGTCACCCAGGCTGGAGTACAATGGTGCAATCTTGGCTCACTGCAACCTCCACCTCCCGGGTTCAAGCAATTCTCTTGCCTCAGCCTCCCAAGTAGCTGGGATTACAGGCACCCGCCACCACGCCCAGCTAATTTTTTGTATTTTTAATAGAGACAATTTTTTGCCATGTTGGCCAGGCTGGTCTTGAACTCCTGACCGCGTGATCCACCCGTCTCAGCCTCCCAAAGTGCTTTTTTTTTTTTCCTTTCTTTCTATTTTTTTTTTTTTTTTTTTTTTTTTTTGAGACAGGGTCTTGCTCTGTCACCCAGGCTGGAGTACAGTGGCACAGTCAAGGTTCACTGCAACAACCTCCCTGGCTCAAGGGATCTTCCCACCTCAGCTTCTGAGTAGCTGGGACTACAGATGTGTGCTGTCATGCCTAGCTTATATATATATTAATCTCTCATATATATTTATTTATTATAGAGACAGGTTTCACTATATTGCCCAAGCTGGTCTTGAACTCCTAGGCTCAAGCGATCTTCCCATCTTGGCCTCCCAAACTGCTGGGATTACAAGAACTTGCCTCAAAGCATTTGTTTTATTTATTTTTTGAGACCAAATCTCACTGTCATCCAGGCTGGAGTGCAGTGGCACAGTCACAGCAACCCCGACCTCCTAGGCTCAAGCAATTCTCCTGCATCAGTCTCCAGAGTAGCTGGGACCACAGGTACATGCCACCATGCCCAGTTAACTTTTAAATTATTTCTAGAGATGAGAGCTCACCATGTTGCCCAGGCTGGTCTTGAACTCCTGGCCCCAATTGAACCTCCTGCTTAAACCTCCCAAAGTACTAGGGTTATAGATGTGAGCTGCTGTGCCAAAGTTTTTATTTATTAATTTAGGGGAGGAGATAGAAGGAGAGGAGAGAAAGGAGCACAAAGCTTTTTTTTTTTTTTTTTTTTTTTTTCTTTTTTGAGACAGGGCCTTGCTCTGTCACCCAGGCTGGAGTACAGTGGCAGTGATCTTCACTCACTGCAGCCTCCGCCTCCCGGGTTCAAGCGATTCTCCCACCTCAGCCTCCCTAGTAGCTGAGACTACAAGCACTCGACACCATGCCCGGCTAATTTTTGTATTTTTTGGCGGAGTTGGGGTTTCACCATGTTGGTTAGGCTGCTGTCGAACTTCTGACTTCAAGTGATCTGCCTGCCTTGGCCTCCCAAAGTGCTGGGATTACAGGTGTGAGCCACTGTGACTGGCCGCAAAGCTTTTAAATATTCACTTTCCTCCAAAGTAATCAGGATAGTTGCTGTCCCTGTTTTAGAGAATAAATGATTAAAGTGCATGAGGTAACTTTTCTGAGGCACTTTTCTTTATATGATACCAAGTATCCCATCCCAATTATGTGCTATGGTTTGAATATTTGTGTTCCTTCCAAAATTTATAGGTTGAAACCTAATCCCCCAATGCGAGTGTTAGCAGGTGGAGCCTTTAAGAGATAATTAAGTCATGAGGGCAGAGCCCCGATGAATGGATTAATGCCATAAAAAGGGCCATGAGAAGGTTCATAGTCTCTTTTGCCCTTCTGCCTTGTGAAGATGAAGTATTCATACCTGCAGAGGATGCCGCATTCCAGGCACCATCTTAGAATAAGAATCACCAAACCTGCTGGCACCTGGATATTGAGCTTCCCAGCCTCCAGAACTGTGAGCCAATAAATTTCTGTTTATAAATTAACCAGTCTCAAGTGTTCTGTTAAAGCAGCAGGAAAAGACTAAGATACTATGTGTCCTCACTATACTTTAAAGAAAGGACTTAGTTGCTTTCTCCCAAGGATCTTACCATGATTTTGTACTGGAAACCAGTGAAGCCCAAAGCACTCATTTTGTGTCTGAATCATGACCACAAAATGGGAATGCCTCCTAGGGAATCTTAACTGAATCCATTCTACCTCTCTTTGGAGACAGACTTGGGGCCTTGGTTTCTCTTTCTGTCTCTCTCTCTTTTTTTTTGTTTTTAAAGATGGAGTTCTCATTTTGTTGCCCAGGCTGGTTTCGAACTCTTCCTGAAGCAGTCCTCCTGCCTCAGCCTCCCGCAGTTCTGGGATTACAAGTGTGACCCACTGTGCCTGGTTAACATTTCTCTTTCATACCTGCATGACTTTGAGCAATTTTTAAAATCTCTGCAGCCAGGTGCGGTGGCTCACACCTGTAATCCCAGCACTTTGGGAGGCTGAGGTTGGTGGATCACCTAAGGTCAAGAATTCAAGACCAGCTTGGCCAGCATGGTGAAACCCAGTCTCTACCAAAAACACAAAAATTAGCCGGGCGTGGTGGTGCACGCCTGTAATCCCAGCTACTTGGGAGTCTGAGGCAGGAGAATTGCTCAAACCCGGGAGGCGGAGGTTGCAGTGAGGTGAGATCATGCTGCTGCACTCCAACCTGGGTGACAGAGTGAGACTCTATCTCAAAAAAAAAAAAAAAAAAAAAAATCTCTGTAAGCCCCAGTGTCCTCATCAATAAAACTGGATAAAATAGGATAGGCCAGGCGCAGTTGCTCATGCCTGTAATCCCAGCTCTTTGGGAGGCAGAGGTGGGTGGATCACTTGAAGTCAGGAGTTCGAGACCAGCCTGACCAACATGGTGAAACCCCATCTCTACTAAAAATACAAATATTAGCCGGGCATGCTGGCATGCGCCTGTAATCCCAGCTACTCAGGAGGCTGAGGCAGGAGAATCGCTTGAACCCAGGAAGCAGAGACTGTAGTGAGCTGAGATCGTGCGACTGCACTCCAGCCTGGGCAACAGAGTGAGACTCTGTCTCAAAAGCAAACAAAAAAACTGGATAAAAGAAAGATGTGTACCTCATAGTATTGTTGTGAGGATCACAGTAAATATAGCGCCGATCACAGGGCCCTGTACAGGAAAACCAGGCAGTGGATATTCCTCAATCTCACTCCTACCACCACACCACCGCAACCCACACATACCTTCTGCAGTTAATCACAACAGAACAAAACCTATACTCTAGAGGGAGAAACACTTGCAATGCAAAAAAGACAGCCAAATTTCTTTGGTTCATGAATATTTTGTAAATATTTCCACACACATACTTATTAGAGCAGGGGCTGGCAAACTTTTTGTTGAGAACAAAATAGTAAATATTTTAGGTCTTTAGGTCCATATGGTCTCTGTGACTACTCAGTTCTGCAGCTGTAGCACAAAAGCAGCCATAGACAATATGTAAAGGAATGGGCACGAATGTGTTCCAATAAAACTTTATTCACAAAATCAGGCAGCGGCTGAATCTGGCGTGCAGACTATAAGAAGATTACTATTATAAAACATAACTACTTTTAAGTCATATAGAGAATACCCTTATTCTAAAGAGATGTACATTGACATATTTGGGTGAAATATCATGATTTCTTCCATTTATTTTCAAGCAGTTCAAATAAAAAGTGATGTAGATAGGCAGGTAGAACAAATGCAGCGAAATGTTAATTGTTGAATTTAGGTGGAGGATATATGAGTGCTCATTTTACTGTTCAACTTTTTGTAAATTTAAAAACCTTCATACCAAAAAGTTGGGAAATGTGTATGTTTTAAGAAAGGACTTTGCCATCTAGATGTTATTTTTTCTGATGCTAGGCTAGCATTTCAGAGTGACTTTGAAAGAATACCAACAGGTAAATGTTGGACAGAATTAACACAAGGCCCTCCTTTGGTTTTCCTTCACCAAAATGGCTGCTCCAAGTTTCTGAGAACTCTGTATGCACCTGAAATTATTGTGCTTCTGGCTTTTATTTGCTAGGAGAATTAAAAGTGACAAGGCTGCATTTGCTGTTGGAGCAAGTGCTAACAAGTTCATCTGATTTGTATTGGCCCATCTACTTATTGTCAAGCAGTGAAAACTATCATATTCATTGTCATCTAATATTTAGTGTTCAGATTAGGAAGCAGCCTATTAGTGATCTGGAACTTAATTTGCCTAACTCAACCTTCATATTCTTACCAGTCATCCTGGACATTAAACATGCTCACAAAGATCAAGAGAGGGAAGGACAATGAATCCAAGTGAGAGGACCTTGTAAACTCAGTGAAAGCTCTTGGCCTTACAGCTAACTAAAACATACATAGGCTGGGCACGGTGGCTCATGCCTGTAATCCTAGCACTTTGGGAGGCCAAAGTGGGAGGATCACTTGAGCCCAGGATTTTGAGACCAGCTTGGGCAACATAGTGAGACTCCATCTCTATTAAAAAAAAATTCTTTTTAATTACCCAGGCATGGTGGCTGGCATGTGCCTGTGGTCTCAGCTATGCTGAAGGCTGAGGTGGGAGGATTGCTTGAGCACAGGAGGTCAAGGCTGCAGTGAGCCGTGATTGTGCCACTGCACTGCAGCCTAGGCAACAAAGCAAGACTGTCTCAAAAACAAACAAAACCCACAAAACATTAAAACATATATACACCTAATCAGAATTCTGAATAGGGGACAAGAGGGAATGAAGGTTACCTATTCATCTCTACCATTTCTGCCTCCACAATAATACGGAATCTGAAATATTTCTTCAATATTTCTTTCTGTTCAGACTAGGAGTGCTCTAGACTCTTAACAGTTTTGTTTTCTGGCCTTCACACTCTACATATCCTGCTGGACTTGGTTAAAAATAGGCCAGATAATGCTTTCTCCCATTTTTTTCTAAAATGTTTTTTAATCCAAGGAAGCATATGCTTTTTATATTCTGGGGTACAGAGAGCTCACAGTACTTTATTCACTATTTTACTGTGGAGAAGTGACACTTCTGGAAAGTAAAACGGTATCTAAAAAGGTTGGTTTTTTGGTTGATTTACATTTCTTAGAGTCAGTTTTTGAAATTTTAATATAACTGATATTCCTGTGTGTCTTTGTCCACAAAAGTATGAAGTTTTACGTATCATTTGCAATGATTTGAAAAGTCTACAATGTACTTTTGTCCTTAATAAAGCCGGGAAGCACAAGCTAAGACATCACATGTTTTTTTCTTTTAATCAGAATAATATTAATGTAACACTGCATGTCATGCTGATCAGAAAATATCAGTGATTACTTAATGGAGAAATATAAATGCAATCTTGTGATAAAATCAAAACGTAAGTATGTAGAAGAAAAATGATAAAAGGAGTCCTTGGAGGTGAAAAGATTTATGAATTACTGTCTGAGATATTTTCAGCTATAAAAATCACAGTATCAGGCCAGGCTAGGTGGCTCACGCCTGTAATCCCAGCACTTTGGGAGGCCAAGGCAGATGGATCACTTGAGCCCAGGAGTTCAAAACTAGCCTGGGCAAGATGGCAAAACTCCATCTCTATTAAAAATACAAAAACTTAGCCAGGTGAGGTGGCCCGTGCCTGTAGTCCCAGCTACTCAGGATGCTGAGGTGGGAGAATCACCTGAGCCCGGGAAGTCGAGGCTGAGGTGAGCTGTGATCATGCCACTGCACTCCAGCCTGGGCAACAGGAGTGAGACCCTGTCTCAAAAATAATAATAATAATAATTTTTTTTTTTTTTGAGACGGAGTCTCACTCTGTTGCCCAGGCTGGAGTGCAGTGGCACGATCTCGGCTCATTACAAGCTTCGCCTACTGGGTTCACGCCATTCTCCTGCCTCAGCCTCCCAAGTAGCTGGGACTACAGGCATCCGCCACCATGCCCGGCTGATTTTTTTTGTATTTTTAGTACAGACGGGGTTTCACCATGTTATCCAGGATGGTCTCGATCTCCTGATCTCGTGACCCGCCTGCCTCAGCCTCCCAAAGTTCTGGGATTACAGGCGTGAGCCACCGTGCCTGGCCAAATTTTAATCACAGTATCAGTTATGACCTGGTATTAAGCTAGTCATCAAATAAGACTAAAGGAATAAGACAGGACAGGTAATTGTTGAGAAAGCAGTCAGGAAAAGGGGAGGTGGTATAAGTATGTGTATTAGTTTGGAGACTTGTAAGCAGCAGAAACAAAGTAGCTCAACTAAGCAGAAAGGAAATTTACTTTGTAGTTCAACAGGCACAGTGGCTCATGCCTGTAATCCTAGCACTTTGAGACGCCTAGGAGGGAGGATCACGTGAGCTCAGGAGTAGTTTGAGACCAGCCTGGGCAACATGGTGAAACCTCGTCTCTACAAAAAAAAAAAAAAATACAAAAGTTAGCCAGGCATCATGGCATGCCTGTAGTCTTAGCTACTTGGGAGGCTGAAGTGGGAGGATGGCTTGAGCCCGGGGGGGGTGGAGGTTGAGTCAGCTGAGATTGCGCCACTGTGCTCCAGCCTGGGTGACAGAGCCAGATCCTGTTTCAAAAAAAAAAACAGACAAAACCAAAACCAAAACAAACAAACAAACAAAAACACAAATGAACAAGAAGCCAGATCTGCATATACAGGTCATGAGAGAAGCAGCACAAGTTGTTAGTCACTGATTCAGAGCACACCATGCAAACTGCAGGGTGGCACCTCAGTCTTACCTTGTCTGGTACTATAATTGAGTGTTGTTGTTTTTTTGACAGAGTCTCGCTATGTCACCCAGGCTGGAGTGCAGTGGCGTGATCTCGGCTCACTGCAACCTCTGCCTCCCAGGTTCAAGCGATTCTACTGCCTCAGCCTCCCGAGTAGCTGGGATTACAGATATGTACCACCACTCCTGGCTAATTTTTGTATTTTTAGTAGAGATGGGGTCTCGCCATGTTGGCCAGGCTGGTCTCGAACTCCTGGCCTCAAGTGATCTGTCTGCCTCAACCTCCCAAAGTACTGGGATTACAGTCATGAGCCACCACACCTGGCCAATTTTTTTTTTTTTTGAGATGGAGTTTCACTCTTATTACCCAGGCTGGAGTGCAATGGTGCGATCTTAGCTCACTGCAACCTCCACCTTCCGGGTTCAAGCGATTCTCCTGCCTCAGCCTCCTGAGTAGCTGGGATTACAGGTGTGCAGCACCACGCTCAGCTAATTTTTTGTAGTTTTAGTAGAGACAGGGTTTCACCATGTTAGGCAGGCTGGTCTCCAACTTCTGACCTCCGGTGATCTGCCCGCCTCTGCCTCCCAAAGTGCTGGGATTACAGGCGTGAGCCACCGCGCCCGGCCCTGGCCAAATGTTCAATGTGCCATTCCACCATTGTATATGTTTGGCTGCTTCTGGATGATGAAGTAAATGGAAAGACCAGTAAATCACACAGAAATTAACCTATTGCCTTACTTGTCTCACAATACCTTACTCACAATAAAATGAGTTCCTTGATAAGATACAGTACGGTCGTCCATCAGTATCTGTGGGGGATTGGTTCCAAGGCCCCCTCCCCTAGGATACCAAAATCCATGAATGCACAAGTCCCTTAACGTAAAATGGTGTGGTATTTGTATATATTTTATGCACACTCTCCTGTGTACTTTAAATCATCTCTAGATTACTTATAATACCTAATATAATGTAAATGCTCTCCAAATGGTTGTTATACTGTATTGTTTTTTATTTGTATTTTTTATTGTTGTATTGTTATTTTTATTGTTTTTTTCTGAATTATTTTGATCCACAGTTGGTTGACTCGGTAGATGTGGAGACTGCAAATATGAAGGGCCAGCTGTACTGAATGTACCATCTTGATGGTATGCACACTATTGGGTGACGCTGGCAGAGGCATGATAGGCAGGAAAAGCAAATCTAACGCAGTGTCCATTACAGTAAAGATCATCTGCTGTCCTCTCAAAGTATGGTACCATTTCAGCTTCTTGCTGCTGCTGGCAAATTAGGCACTTAGCCAGGTAAACCTTGGTAAGAGGAAGAGCATGGTGTTGAGCCCAGAATTATGGTGGTTCACCTAATTATAAAATGCTTCCTCTGAAGAAAATAGAAGATACCATGGCTTGGCTGACAAATTACCCTTAAGGAAAAGTGAGAGATCCCAGGGAACTCCTAAAAGATAATTGACGGGGAAAAGTGGGGAACTTAACTGGGCTCAATAAGCCCTGGTTTAACATGAAAGTATTAAGATTCAGAGAATTTTAAATTACATATTGATATTTAATCTGTGAGGTTATTGCATTTCTCTTTTGGGAAGAATGGAGTTTTTAGAAATTTCACTATCTAATAAAATGAAATGTGATTTTAATTTTAAAATGCTCCATCAGAAGTAGAAGCCTGCTGTGAACTGAATTGTGTCCCCCCGCCTGCAACCCGAATTCATATATTGGAGTCCTAACCCCAATGTGACTGGGTTTTTAGGAGGTAACTAAGGTTAAATGAGGTCATAAGGTTCGACCCTAAGTCAATAGGACTGTGGCCTAATAAGTGTAAGAGAATAAGTATAAGAAAGAGAGAGAGAGGCCAGGCGTGGTGGCTCATGTTTGTAATGCCAGCACTTTGGGAGGCTGAGGCAGGTAGATCACCTGAGGTCAGGAGTTCAAGACCAGCCTGGCCAACATGGTGAAACCCTGTCTCTACTAAAATACAAAAATTAGCTGGACATGGTGGCCCACACCTGTAATCCCAGCCACTCGGGGAGCTGAGGCAAGAGAATCACTTGAACCCTGGAGGTGAAGGTTGCAGTGAGCCGAGATCGTGCCACTGCACTCCAGCCTGGGTAACAGAGGGAGACTCTGTCTCAAAAAAAAAAAAAAGAGAGATCTTCCATGTGAGAACAGAGCCAGAAGATGGCTGTCTGCAAAGCCAGGAAAAGGGGCCTCATCAGGAACTGAATTGACCCCCATCTTGATCTTGGACTTCCCAGCCTCCAGAACTGTGAGAAATAAACTTCTGTTGTTTAAGCCACCCAGTCTATGGAATTTAGTTATGGAAGTCCAAGCTGACTAATACAGGGCCTTTTGTAAGCATTTACATAAGACACAAATACTCCCCAAACCTAGACTCACTCTGAAAGGTCCATCTAATTCCTTTCCCCTAAACTCCTTGTGCCAATCCTGTAATCTTGTTCCTTCCACGTCTGTAACCATACGGCCAAATCATTAGCCACTTTCAACATATTTCTCTTTCCTTGAGGCACAATAACCCTTGGTGGAGGGCTAGAAGGTAGAATCACTGTACATATTGGTATTGTTATGAAGGACACTTCTTCAAAGGTACCCAGTCTCCCTGCATTCAAAGGGATTAGTGATTCAATTGCTGGGTGGCCAAGATTTTTCAGGCCTGAATTACAGGGGAGAGAAGGAGAGGAAGACAGAGAAAGTAAAAAAAGGAGAGGAACAGGAGGAGGAGAAAGAAGGAGAGAGGGAGGAAGAGAAGAAAAAAAAGAAGGAAGGGAGGGACCTCTAAACATATAGTAAAGCCCAGGGCTGTGTATCCAATGAGCCGTATAGACAAATATGGCAAATTTTAGGCAATTTGAGCATCAAAGTAAATAATTATGGTGTTGTAATCCCAGCTTTTAGAGGTCAAGGCAGGAGAATCACTTGAGTCCAAGAACTTGAGACCAGCCTGGGCAACATAGCAAGACCCCATCTTTATTAAAAAAAAATTTTTTTTAATTATCCAGGCATGGTGGCACATGCCTACAATCCTAGCTACTCAGGAGGCTGAGGCTGGAGGATTGCTTGAGCTCAGGAGCTTACGGCTGCTGTGAGCTATGATTGCACCACTGCACCCCAGCCTGGGTGACAGAGTGAGACTCTGTCTCAAATATTTTAAAATGATGTTATTATGGGCTGAATTGTCTTCTTGGACACTTATATGCTGAAATCCTAACCCCCAGAACCTACGAATGTGACTGTACAGTATTTGGAAATATAGCCTTTAAATGGGTAATTAAGGTAAAATGAGGTTATATGGGCCCTAATCCAATATGACTGGTGTTCTTATAAGAGGGGGAGATTAGGACACAGACAAGCACAAGGGGGAGATCAAGTGAAGACATGGAGAAGATGGCCATCTACCAGCCAAGAAGACAAGCCCTCAGAAGAAACCAGTTCTGCTGACATCTTGATCTTTGACTTCTAATCTCAAGAACTATGAGGAAATACATGTCTGTACTTCAAGCCATCCAGTCTGTGGTACTTTATTATAGCACCCCTAGCAAACTCTCACAGATGGTAACATACTACATTGGATAGTGTGAGACTTCATGAGTGCTCACTGATGTAAGTGAATAAATGGGGGGAAGGAAAAGCACTTCCTTACTTTGTAGTAGAATGGCAGCTAATCAATATAGAAGGAATAATGTAATTAGAAAATCACAGGCACACTGTCTCATGCCTGTAATCCCAGCACTTTGGGGAGGCAAAGGGAAGAGGATCCCCTGAGGTAAGGAGTTCAAGACCAGCCTGGGCAACATGGCAAGACTCCTGTCTCTATAAAAAAATTTTTTTTGGATGGAATCTTGCTCTGTCACCCAGGCTGGAGGGCAGGCTTGGCTCACTGAAAACTGCACCTCCCGGGTTCAAGAGATTCTCCTGCCTCAGCCTCTCAAAGTGCTGGAATTACAGGCATGAGCCACCGCGCCCAGCCTCTTTCTCTCTAAAAAAAGGCCTGGCCAGGCGCGATGGCTCATGCCTGTAATCCCAGCACTTTGGGAGGCTGACGCAGGCGGATCACCTGAGGTCGGGAGTTCGAGACCAGCCTTACCAACATGAAGAAACCCCATCTCTACTAAAAATACAAGATTAGCAGGGTGTGGTGGCGCATGCATGTAATCCCAGCTACTCAGGAGGCTTAGGCAGGAGAATTGCTTGAACCCAGGAGGCGAAAGTTGTGGTGAGCTGAGATTGTGCCATTGCACTCCAGCCTGGGCAACAAGAATGAAACCGTGTCTCAAATTAAAAAAAAAAAAAGCCTGTTCTCACCGGGTGCGGTGGCTGACATGTGTAATCCCAGCACTTTGGGAGTCCCACGCGGGCGGATCACCTGCGATCAGGAGTTCAAGACCAGCCTGGCCAACATGGTGAAACGCCGTCTCTACTAAAAAATACAAAAAATAGCCAGACGTGGTGGCGCATGCCTGTAATTCCAGCTACTCAGGAGGCTGAAGCAGGGAGAGTTTCTTGAACCAGGGAGGTGGAGGTTGCAGTGAGCTGAGATCTCGCCACTACACTCCAGTCTTGGTGACACAGTGAGACTCCATCTCCGGAAAAAAAAAAAAAAAAAAAAAGGCCGAGCGCAGTGGCTCATGCCTGTAATCCCAGCACTTTGAGAGGCCGAAGCGGGTGGATCACCTGAGGTCAGGAGTTCGAAACCAGCCTGACCAATATGGTGAAACCCCGTCTCTACTAAAATTACAAAAATTAGCTGGGCACGGTGGCAGGCGCCTGTAATCCCAGCTGCTCTGGAGGCTGAGGCTGGAGAATCGCTTGAACCCGGGAGGCAGAGGTTGCAGTGAGCCGAGATTGCGCCACTACACTCCAGCCTGGGCAACAGAGAGAGACTCGGTTTCAAAAAAAAAAAAAAATCTATTCTCTTAATAAATGTCAAAGTCATAACGACAAAGCAAGACTGGAGGAACTACTTCAGATTAAAGCAAACTAAAGAGAGACACAACTAAATGCAACGTGCAGTCCTGGATTGGACAATTGGCAAAAAGGGAACATGGAGGGTGGATTAAATCGTACTGTATCAAAGTTAAACTTCCTTGTGGTAATTGTAGTTATGTAAGAAAATAAGACTGTCATCGCACATCTAGTCTACCAATCAATAGCCCCTAGTCCCAAGGCCGCCTCGCCTCCCTGGCTATTTAGTGATGAGTCAGATGATACCTCCCAGCGCTTCGCCCTCGCCCCCTGACATCCTCCCTATCCCTGCTTTAGGGGCTTTTCCTCTCTTACTGTGCCATACCCTCCACCGTCTCCCCTCCTGTCTCCTGGGCTCTACTCCTCCCTGCCCTCCTCTGCGTCCTGGCCCTCCCGCTCTCTTCCGCTTTGCGCTCCCAGGCTCCTTCCACCTCCTGCCAGCTCCCTTCCTCCTCCAGGTGCGCACCCCCTACCATTAGCCCCGCTGCGCGCTTGCGCTCTACGCCCAAGGGAGCCGGGCTGCAGAGCTGGAGAAACTTCCGCGGCTACGGGTGCAGTTGCCTTCGGTTCCCGGTTCCGGGCCGACACCCGCGCAGGGCTGAGACAGGTGTCTGCGCTCCCCGCAATGGGCTGCTCCAGCAGCGCCCTCAACAAGGCCGGCGACAGCAGCAGGTTCCCCAGCGGTGAGCAGGGTACCGGCGCCGCCCGCGCCCGGGCTGGGGACTCGGGTGGGCTAACTCCCCAGGAGGTCCAAAGGGTGTGTCCCGTGGCCACCCCGCCTGGCAGGAGCCGGGCCTTGTCCCGGAGGATGCGAGCAGAACCCGGGACAAAGCGCGATTTCCTTCCAAATCTGGAGCGGCGCTGCTGTGACCGCGGGTGCGGCGGCCCTGGTGCGCTCCGCGGCGCTCGCTGCGAGACGCGCGGGGCCCGAGGCCGGGCGCTGGATTCACCCTGTCCGCTGATGGGATCTCGGGGAGTTGGTGTTGAGGCCCTAAGGCGGTTAGCCTCGGCATTGCCTTAAACACAGGAGAAATGTCCTATCAAGGCCTTCTACCAAGGCTGGGGGCGGTGGCTGACGACTGCAATCTCAGCACTTTGGGAGGCTGAGGCGGGACGATCTCTTGAGACCAGAAGTTCGAGAAAAACCTGGGTAACAAAGCGAGATCTTCCGCTCCCCCGTCTCTACTAAAACACCAACAAAAAAGACTTTTCCCCATTTACCCTCCCATTAGCGTTTCAGCATCAAAGATGGCAAAAGATGCGGAGAATCCAGAGGAGCATTCACTCCATCAAATGGGTCCCTGCACTCTGAATAGGTCAGACACACTTTCCCCTATCTTCGGCTTAAGTATCAGTTGAGAAGTATGTGTGATCAAAAGTGGTCATCACTGACTCTTGCTGAAGAAACTCAACAAGGACATTTTGAGCATCTGCTATATAATACCCCAGTGCTTGGCTAGATGCTGGAGATACAAGTGACCCTGTTTGTAGAGATTGAAGATAGAAGAGACAGAAAAGAAACACGTGAAACAATTGGCTAAGATCGTTTCTGACAGTGATAAGTACTGTGAAAAGTATAAACGCAGTTACATGAATTAGAGAATGACAGGGTTTTACAGCCGACTCACTTTTCTTAGATTTTGAATGGCTAAAATTTTGGACAATGCTATGGAGGTTAAGCAAACTCCGTCAAGCTAGTTTACAGTCTTCTGCAAGGCGAACTTTAGCGGGGATTTTGTACTGGAGTGAATTCCTTTTCACAGATTTTCTCTTAGCACCTTGTGTTATTGCAGTAACAGAAATGTCTTCCTCTGATGTTGTTGGTAGAGCGCACCAGACGGTGAGGAATGCTTTTCAAAGCTCAGCCGCTGTGTCCTAGTCAGAAATATGTTGTGTTGCTGTTATTTTTGTGGTGTATGAGAATTTATTTCTAGTTTCCATAGATAACGGAAAGCAATGACAAGTCAGGAAGTAAACAAAAAATTAAAAGCATTATAAAAGTAAACCCCTTCTCACTGACAACAATGTGAAAAGATGGAAAAATTCATTTCTAATGCACAGTGCTCACTAACTTTTCTCCTAAAGAACCCAGAGCTTCCATACCTGCAACAAGAGGACAGAGCAAGGAGTTTCTCCGATGTTTCGATGTTTCGTGTTTTATGTTATGAAATTAAGTAGAGTTTTGCATTCTGTTCTATGATAGATTTTTGTGGGTTTCAATATGAAAAGCCGAGGGAAAACAGATGCTTCAGGAAGATACATTTTATTATTCTGACTTCTCTACCCCATGCTGTGCTTCAGTTATCCTAGGAGTAGCATCCTGGTTTAACAAGCAGAGTACTGAGTCACCATTACATAGTTTTAAACTGATTAAAACATGTATTTCAGGGAATGTAACTTTGGGGCAAAAGTATTCAGTAGGTGGAATGCAGTTTTTAATCCTCTCAGAAAATAATGAATAACTTTATCTTTAAAAATATTTTATCATCAATATTAATAACTATTCCACGTGAGTTACACTCTTCCATTTTTTATTCTTGCTTTCATTGCTGTTCTGAGTTTTCATAGGTGTTGTTATGGAAGAGATGTTAAAATGCCTGACAGCCAGTTCTAGCCCTTAGAAAATTAACCTAATATGCGGCGTAAATTGCTCAACACACACGTTGAATCAATCAACAGGTCTATTTGCTTCTAACCCTCGATCAAACAATACTCTCTTGTAATTAGATACTATTCTGTGTTCATCAACATTTCAGCTTCATGATCTTAGGCCCGATAAATAATTCATTCCTGTTTCTGCACCTTGCAACTTCTTTAAATCCTATATACAACCTCAAGCTTGTGTGTACATACTTTTAGACAAAAACAGTTCAAGTTTATTACATGTCTGGTACATGCATTTATTCACTGTACTCTCAGTGCCTAACAACGCTTGGCATATAATAGGTCCTCAGTAATTATTTGTTGAATGAATTACTTCATTTAATCCTTATAACAATGTTATGACTAAATATTATGGTTGTCCTGTTTTTACAGATAAGAGTAAATAATTTATCCAAGGTCACAGAGCTTCTAAGAATCAGAGCTGGGCTTTGAACTCATATGCTTTGTTGGGCACAGTGGCTCATGCTTATAATCCCAATGGCTCTGGAGGCTGATATGAGAGGATTGCTTGAGGCCAGGAGTTCAAGGCCAGCCTGGGAAACATAGTAAGACCCTGTATCTAAAAATTTTTGTAAAAAAATTAAAACATGTATTTCAGGGAATGTAACTCTTGGTGGTACAGGCCAGTAGTCCCAGCTACTCAGGAGGCTGAGGTGAGAGGATTGCTTGAGCCCAGGAGTTCAAGGCTGCAGTGAAGTATGATTGAGCCATTGCACTTCAGTCTGGGCAACAGAGTGAGACTCAATTAAAAAAAAAAAAAAAGAAACTATATGTTTAAACCAGCTTCTGCTAACTAGATTTAAATCTGTTTTTGCCTCAGATCACTCTGGATCCCCATTAGGTGTGTGGTCACCCACTATCTAAAAACAATGAAATCAATACAATACAATCAACAAATTATACTATGTATCTTTTTTTTTTTTTGAGACGGCATTTCGCTCTTGTTGCCCAGGCTGGAGTGCAATGGCATGATCTCGGCTCACTGCAACCTCGGCCTCCTGGGTTCAAGTGATTCTACTGCCTCAGCTTCCCGAGTAGCTGGGATTACAGGCATGTGCCACCACACTCGGCTAATTTTGTATTTTTAGTAGAGACAGGGTTTCTCCATGTTGGTCGAACTCCCGCCCTCAGGTGATCCACCCGCCTCAGCCTCCCAAAGTACTGGGATTATAGGCATGAGCCACCACGCGTGGCCTATACTATATATATTATTTAGGGATAGAATAATCCCTTATTATGATTCTAAATATTAGTCTAATCCCTAAATAAGATATATAGTATAATGTGTTATACAAATATTATATATTTATTTTATTTTTTATTTAAAAAATTGAGACAGGGTCTTGCTATGTTGCCCAGGCTGGTCTTGAACTTCCAAGCTCAAGTGATCCTCCCACCTCGGCCTCCCAAAGTGCTGGGATTACAGGTATGAGCCACTGTGCCCAGCCTATGTTATAAATTTAAATCAGACAGCAGCTACTAGTAGGTAGACATTAGGTTGCACAGGAATAATCTATTCTACTGATTATGTGGGGACATTTGCCCTGACCCATTAGACACTGAATCTCACGGAGCTGCTTCCTATCACCTCCCAAGATGACTGACCAGATAGGTGTGTGTGTTTGGGAGAACAGAGGTGAAGACTCTGATTGTTAACAATTATTAGTGCTCCTCACAGCGTAGAACAGTGCCTAATATGTGGTAGTCACACATCGATTTTTATGACGTGCCCTGAAATGTGTGAGGAAAGAGACTTTTCATTCCAAAGGATAATTAGACAGATTGAGTTTGGAATTTCTTGTGTTTTTGGAAGCAAGTTTTAAATATTAGGACAATTTCTGTTGTTTTGAGTGTCCTGAGGATCCGATGCAATCTGAACACAAAGGTTTTATTGACTCCACAGACCTTAATGTGCCTGAAGGTGTCTATAGACGTTCACATCCAAACCCTCCTCCCAGTGTTCCTAGCCCTCTGCTAACATGGATAATCACTGCTCGAATCTTTCCTAATATAAATGGGATCTGTTTTGGCAGACTTCTTTCCAAGGTGTTACAGCCCAAGCACCAAACATGGACAAAGTAAATAGGTGGTAATTATTGACAAGTTCATTGCTAGGTTAATGTGTACATTTCCACTGACAGCTATAATCATTTGTTTGTTCTAACCTGAACTTTCACTAGCTGCTTGCTGTCCATGCGGCCTAGGCAATCAGATGAAGCTTGAATTTCACAGTTATGTGAATTGTTCTTTGTACTGCAGTCATACCTTCAGTTTTCACCCAATATTTCACACTCTGACATCTAGTTAGGTCATCTGGTCCTAACTAGACAAAAGTTTTCCTTTTGAATTGAAGAACAAACATCATAAACATTAAATTTAATTTGTATAGGCTTTTCTTGCATATAGAAATTATATAAATGGGATTTTTTTTCTTTCAAATGTGTGCCTTGTGTCATTTCTGGAGCCTGGCACTTAAATAGCATTTGGTATGTCTTTGTGATAGGCCTGGCGATTGCATATGGCTAATTGAAATGGAATAAAAAAACTACATACATGGTTCAAAAATGTGAAAATATTTGGAAAAGGCAGGTCTGAAAAGTATACCTTCCACCCCATCCTCATCATCTATTTAGTTCGAATCACACCTGTGAATACACACTTATTATTTTAGGGTTTTTTTTTTTATATATTCTTTTGAAGTTTATTTATGCATTGCAAATATTATTTCCTTCTCTCATCTTTATTTATAAAATGTAGTGTACTATACCCACCGTTCCTCACTTTGTTTTTTTCACCTAACACTATGGAGATTTTTCCACATTTATATGCAGAGAACTTCTTTCTCCTTTTTTATACCTGCATAATAATATGTTCCTTGATTTATTTAACCAGCCCCCCTATTGAGGGACATTTAATTTGTTTACAGTCTTTCCCTGTTGCAGACAAGACTGCCATGAATTCCTTTGTGCCTACATCATTTTGAATGTGTGCAAGTATATCTGTAGGACAGTTTCCCAGGAGTGGCATTACTAGGTCAAAGGGTGTACGCACTGAAAGTTTTGATAGATAACTGCCTAAATGTGTTCTGTAAGACTTGAAGCAGTTTACACTGTCATCAACAATAAAGTAAATCTTTTTCTAAAACAGAAAACTTTCAGACATTTGTGCAGCCACATCGAAACATACACATGGGACAGAAGTCAGGAGATAAGGAGGGAGCATGCACTTGGTTTCAGGTGCTTTAGTTTGTGATCTTATTTAATCCTCACAATAGCCTTAAAACACAAACATTAATTGCACCAAATACAGCTAGAAAACGAAGCTTAATACAGATAAGTCACTTGCCCTGGTCTCAGAGCTAGTAGGTCTAGTAAGCCTACTTACTAGATGGATGGATGGACCTGGGGCACATGGCTAATGTGTGTGACTCCAAAGCCCCTGTTCTTTTCACAACTTCCAGTTCCATCTGGGATCTGGTCCTAGTTCTGCAAGAAACTTGTAGTGTGGCCTTACACATAGAACATATGCAATCAGCTGAGTGTGGACGCTCGAGCCTGTAATCCCAGCTACTTGGGAGGCCGTAGTGGGAGAATCAGGAGGTCAAGCACCACTGTACTCCAGCCTGGGCAACACAGTGAGACTTCTCTCTAAAGAAAAGAAAAAAGAGGCCGGGCGCAGTGGCTTACCCCTGTAATCCCAGCACTTTGGGAGGCTAAGGTGGGCAGATCACCTGAGGTTGGGAGTTCGAGACCAGCCTGACCAACATGGAGAAACCCCATCTCTACTAAAAATACAAAAAATTAGCCAGGTGTGGTGGCTAATTTTTTACTGGTATGCTGATGCCTGTAATCCCAGCTACTCTGGAGGCTGAGGCAGGAGAATCGCTTGAACCAGTGAGCCAAGATCGCGCCATTGCACTCCAGCCTGGGCAACAAGAGTGAAACTGCATCTCAAAAAAAAAAAAAAAAAAAAAAGAAAAGAAAAGAAAAAGAAAAGAGAATGAAAGAAAAGAAAAAAAAGCAAGCAATAACTGTTGAGTAGATGGATGGGTGAATGGGTGATTGACAGAGACGGGGATTCAGGGAGGTAAGAGTATTACTCAGAAAAGCAGAGGAGGAATCAGAACCTAATGAATACCAGAAACTGAAAGGTAATATTGGCCAAGATGGGCTTAGAAAGAGTGTCGGGTTGTGTATAGAGCCTCCTAGCTATGCAGGAAAAGGTTAGCACTGTAAAACAACGCTTGATTGTCTGCCATTAAATCATGCTTCTGGGCTGAGTGCAGTGGCTCATGCCTGTAATCCCAGCACTGTGGGAGGCCGAGGCAGGTGGATCACCTGAGGTCAGGAGTTCAAGACCAGCCTGGCCAACATGGTGAAACCCCGTCTCTACTAAAAATACAAAAATTTTCTGGACGTGGTGGCAGCTGGTGGTAGCTAGGACCCGTAATCCCAGCTACTCGGGAAGCCGAGGCAGGCGAATTTCTTGAACCTGGGAGGTGGAGGTTGCAGTGGGCAGAGATCACGCCATTGCACTCCAGCTTGGGTGACAAGAGCAAAACTCCCTCTCAAAAAAAAAGAAAAAATCATGCTTCTGTAAGGTGGCCCCACAACCAGCTCATGTGTACAGTTTCACTTCTATGTTAATGTTTTACAATATCAAGTTGAAAGAAACCCTGAATACGTGTGGGGGTTAATGAAAGTCTCACCAAAGCTGATAAAAACTTGATGAGGCTTCTAATCCTAGAGTGTGTGTGAGTAGTACTAGGTAATTTTTTTTTCTTTTTTAGAGACAGGGTCTTGCTCTGTTGCCGAGGCTGGAGTGCAATGGTGCAATCATAGCTCACGGCAGCTTGGACTCCTGGACCCAAATTATCCTTCCACCTCAGCCTCCTAAGGTGCTGGGATTACAGGCATGACCCACTGTGCCCCACTGTAATTTTTTTTTAAAGCAAAGTGCCAGACTATAGCTCTCCAGGTGTGTTTATGTCTTGAAAGTCCTGTAATGACTTCAGAAGCTTCTTCACCCATCTCAGGGCTATTGCTGTTTTTCACAGTCCTTGAACCACTTCTTGGGAATTGCCTTCGGGCTCTCAAGTTCATTCATTGTATATAATCAAGGGTGTCTGAGCTTTGTCCTTTAAGGATGAATATTGAAAAAAACAACAATCCACATTGTTTTTATTTTATTTTTTAAGTTTTATTTTATTTTTTTTTTTTGGTAGAGACTGGTTCTCACTATGCTGCCCAGGCTGGTCTCAAACTCCAGGCTTCAAGCAACCCTAATACCTCAGTCAGCCTCCCAAAGTGCTGGGATTACAGGCATGAACTACCGTGCCCAGCCCCACATGGTTTTTAGCAGCTAAAACCCCCTAGGAATTAAACCTTATGAAGGTGGGTGAAATAAGACAGTCAATGCTGGAGTGCATGATTTAGTACTACCTAAGTTGTTTATATCAGAGTTTCCCAGCCTGTGAGAATGGTTTATAGCCATGCCAGCATTTCTCCTAGCCTTTAGGGCAGCCAGGTGGGATCCTGACAGCCTGAGCCATCTGGAAGCAGCTTCCTCCATTTGTTGAAGTGTGATGCACAAATATCATATTCTGTGTATGTCATGACATTGAAAAGGATCAGGAAGTGTTGGTGGCCGGGTGCAGTGGCTCATGCCTGTGAGCACAGCACTTTGGGAGGCCAAGGCAGGAGGATCACCTGAGGTCAGGAGTTGGAGACCAGCTTGGCCAACATGGTGAAACCCCATCTCTACTAAAAATACAAAATAAATTAGCTAGGCATGGTGGCACACGCTTGTTGTCCCAGCTACTCAGGAGGCTGAGGCGGGAAAATCACTTGAACCTGGGAGGTAGAGGTTGCAGTGAACCGAGGTTGTGCCACTGCACTGCAGCCTGGGTGACAGAGTGAGACTCCATCTAAAAAAAAATTAAATTAAAATTAAAATTAAAAAGGAAGTGTTGGGATGTGCATTCCAGCTGCTCTGTCATTTTCACTAGTAGTTTCTTTTGCTTAGAGATAACATCTGCCTTCAGCCACCCCAGCAAGGACTTTTGTTGAAATGTTCTCCCTAAAACATTCTCTTTGCTTATTTCTTTTCCTCACTGTTAATGATAATTATAATGAACCTTTTGTCTTTTATTTTTTTTCTGTAAGGTGATTTTTGTGTGTGTGCCTGTTTCTGCCTCTTCCCATTTTCTCAAGACTCTGATATAAACCACAGAGTTTCTTTTTTGCTAATTTCCTTTACTTAGTACTTAATCTAAAGGTATAGCACCTGTAGACTAGATGTTATGGGAGGTTCTGGTTACCTGTACACCTTGCATTAATGTATGGGTATGAAGTTCAACATTTCATTTCAACTGAAAGACAGTATAGAGTGCTGATTAAGAATGTGGGCCTGGAGTTAGACTGGGTTCAAATCCTCGTTCAGGATCAGTTATTAGTTGTGTGACTTTGAGCCAGGTACTGACCCTCTCCATGCTGCTTCATCTACAAAATAGGATCAACAATAGTACTTCATAGAGTTGAGGAATAAATAAGTTAATACATATAATGCACTGAGAATATAGTCTGGGCCAGGAACGGTGACTCATGCCTGTAATCCCAGCACTTTGGGAGACTGAGGCAGGAAGCTTGCTCTTTAGGCCAGGAGTTCAAGACCAGCCTAACCAACATAGTGAGACCCTCTCTCTCTCTCTCTCTCTCTCTCTCTCTATATATATATATATATATATATATATGTATATATATATATATATATATATATGTATATATATATATATATATATATATATATGTATATATATATATATATATATATATATATAATTTTTTTTTTTTTGAGGCAGAGTTTTGCTGTGTCGCCCAGGCTGGAGTGCAGTGCTGTGATCTTGGCTTACTGCAACCTCCTTCTCCCGGGTTCAAGTGATTCTCCTGCATCACCGTCCGGAGTAGCTGGGATTACAGACGGGTGCCACCATGCCCGGCTAATTTTTGTATATTTAGTAGAGACAGGGTTTTACCATGTTGGTCAGGCTGGCCTCGAACTCCTGACCTCAGGTGATCCACCCACCTCGGCCTCCCAAAGTGTTGGGATTACAGGTGTGAGCCACTGCACCCAGCTTTTTGTGTTTGTTTAAAATCAAGTTCTAGATCCCTGAGTTTGTTGATTTCCTCACTTTTTAAATTTTTCTCTCTTTTTCTTTTTTTTTTTTTAGAGACAGGGTCTCACTCTGTCACCCAGGCTGGAATGCAGTGGCGCTATCACAACTCACTGAAGCCTCGACCTCCCACCTTAGCCCAGCAGCTGGGACTATAGGCATGCACCACCACACCTGGCTAATTTTTTTTTGTTTTTTGGAGAGTTGACATTTTGCCATGTTGCCCAACCTCGTCCCTAATTGCTGGACTCAAGGTATCCGCCTGCCTCAGCCTCCCAAAGTGCTGGGATTATAGGTGTGAGCCACCTCACCTGGCCTTCCTCACTTTTTAAAAAAGTAAATTTATTTAAAGAAAAATGGTGACAAAAATATTAAGTCAATAATAGCACAAATGGTAAAGAAATATTCAAAAATCATAAAAGTGGTATGCGAATGGCTACAGTTTATGAGACAGTTTTTCTAAGGCTACCAGGTCTTCTTATTTAGCTAGATTACTTGCTCTTATATTTTTGCTTCTATAATTTTTTTATTTTTCATTTTAATTTACTTTTTTTTTTTTTTTGAGACAGGGTCTCACTCTGTCACCCAGGCTGAGTACAGCCTCAACTTCCTGGATTCAAGTGATCCTCCTGCCTCTGCCTCCCGAGTAGCTGAGACTACAGCTGTGCACCACCATACCCAGCTAATATTTTTATTTTTTGTAAAGACAAGGTCTCACTATGTTACCCAGGCTGGTCTCAAACTGCTGGCCTCAAGTGATCCTCCTGCCTTGGCCTCCCTGCTATAATTTTTAAAAATAAATTTTATTTTAGAATAGTTTTAGATTTACAGAAAAATTATGAAGTTGGTACAGAGAGTTCTCATATACTGCACACTCACTTTCCTCTTAACATCTTATGTTAGTAGGATATGTTTGTCACAATTAATGAACCAAATCTGTTACATGATTACTAACTAAAGTCCATGCTTTAGTCAGATGTTCTTAGTTTTTCTCTAATGTCCTGTTTCACTTCCAGCGTCCCATCCAGAATCCCACATTGCATGTAGTCATCATGCCTCCTTCAGCTCCCCTTGGCTAAGAGTTTCTCAGATTGTCCTTGTTTTTGATGACTCTGACAGTTTTGAGGAGCACTGGTTAGGTATTTTGTGGAAGATTCCTCAACTGGAATTTGTCTGGTATTTTTCTCATGATGACACTGGAGTTATGGGTTTTTGGGAGGAAGACCACAGAGATAAACTGCCCTTCTCATCACATCATCTCAAAGGTACATGTGGTTGACTTGACTTCTCACTGCCCCCTAGACTTCTCTAATATTCCTCCTGGAGACTCTGAAGTTTGATGATGGGCGAAAAGGCAGATTTTTATTTTCTGTTCTAATCTTATTGAAATCTTCCAGTTTAATTATGTTCATGATTCTTGGTCAAACCTACTTCCTAAGTTGCAGCTTTTTCTTATGCTTTGCTTTATGAAGAAGCTCGTTCAATTCAGTTTTCAAATGTTTACACCAGGAGGCTTAATGGTGGCCTCAAAGGTGTATCAGGTTGTGAGTGGACAACCTGTGCTTTGTTACAAGTGGCTTTTCATTCTGGAAAAGAAAATCCCCCCTTTGCTTAATGTGATCTATTATGTTTCCTAAGCATGGAACTGAAGTCATCTGAATTGCATGTAGGTGCCTAACCTGAGAGAGTGGTGGCAGCAATCAGTCAGCGGAAAGACCTTAGATCTTTCTCCTCCTGGGTCTCCCCAGTGCTCTCTCTGGTGCCAGTGGCTTTCAGGGTGCACAGAGCCCCCACGCTTGAGGCCCAAATGTCTGGTGTGAATAGGACTGCTCTGTTGTAAAATTTCAGTCTTCCATCCCAGCCACACAGTTGCTAACTGCTAACTCCCATCTCAAGCACACCTGCCTTTTTTTTTTTTTTTTTTTGAGACAGGGTGTTGCTATGTTGCCCAGGCTTGTCTCCTGGGCTCAAGTTATTCACCCATCCAAAGTGCTTGGATTACAGATGTGAGCCACCGTGCCTGGCCACAGACACCTGCTTTTGACCATGGGCCTTTGTACTCTGTACTCAGACAGAGTGAAACATAGACACAGTGACCGAACCTGGCAAGCAGCCACATCACATTGGTGAGGTGGGTCTGTCCACCCCTCTTAGAGTGCAAAGCAGAGCAAGCATTTACGCTTTTTGTGAGATGGAGTCTCTCTCTCTCTGTCACCCAGGCTGGAGTGCAATAGCGCGATCTCAGCTCACTGCAGCTTCTGCCTCCTGAGTTCAAGCGATTCTCCTGCCTCAGCCTCCTGAGTAGCTGGGATTTCAGGCGCCCGCCACCATGCTCAGATAATTTTTGTATTTTTTGTACAGACGGGATTTCACTATGTTGGCCAGGCTGGTCTCGAACTCCTGACCTCAAGTGATTCGCCCACCTTGGCCTCCCAAAGTGCTGGGATTACAGGCATGAGCCACCGTGCCCAGCCGTATTAACCTTAATTTCAGAAGAGAAATTAGAAGGCCTTTTTTTTTTTTTTTTCCTCGTGATCTAGCCAAGGCAGAGGCTTAGCAAACCCAGCTAATTCTGTGAAGTGAAGGAAGCTTGGGAAAAAATCTCACTCCCCAGCGTGGAGCTCACTTAAACCAGCTCAGGCCTTTGATTCATGGCTAAATCAATATCCTTATATTATCTTTCATGCTGACCATGGCATGTTAGTGTGAGGACAGAGACCACACTAAGATAGGCAGCAACGCCTGTGGAGAATGAAGGACATCCCCATCCAGCAATCCTGTATATTCATATAGGATTGTTCAATCTAGTTCAGTCTCTCCAAGTAGCTCCTGTATGCCTTCCCTGGTGACTCCATAGGTAACCTAATCATCTGGGGATCTTGTTAAAATACAGAAGAATCTGGTTAAGATTCTGGGGTGGAGCCCAAGATTCAGCATTGAAAAAAAAAATTCCCAGGTCATGCTGATGGTGCAGGCTCTGGGACCGCAATTTGCTTTTAAAAGCAGCTAAATCTTCAAAGTGGAATCAAACTTCCTTGGGGTTAAGCCTAAGCTGTGCCACTCACTAGCTGTGTGCCCCTCTTAGATAAAGATGCTATAATGGCCGGGTATGGTGGCTCATGCCTGTAATCCCAGCACTTTAAAAGGCCAACGCAGGAGGATCGCTTCAGGCCAGGAGTTTGAGACCAGCCTGGGCAACATAGCGAGGCCCTGTCTCTATTAAAAAAAAAAAAGGATGCTATAATTTCCTCAACTATATAATGGGGATAACAATAGTCCCCCTATGGAGTTGTTGGAAAGATTGAATGAGATAATCCACACAAAGCTCCAGGCTCAGTGCCTCAGTGAATGTCAACCACTGTTCCCCTTCCCAGAGGAGCATGGTGGCAAGTCCTATTTGGGTTGGTGAAGTGTCATTATATATACAGAGACAGACATCATCTTCCTTCCTGTCTCCTTTCCTTGTTCAGTGAGATGGCTTTGATTTTATAAACTGGATTTCTATGCAAATGTTGGATTTCCTTGTGCTAATAATGACCATCCATCAATGAAACTCTCTTTTTTCAGTGATGAATGCTGTCAATAATTTCTAAAGTGATGTTTTGTGCTATCATGTTTTTGAAATAAGAGTTTATCTTATAGGAATCTAAAAGAAATTAAAGAAAATAAAATTGGAAAAGTATATCTGAAGGAAACAACTCTTTGTCATGGTTTGATGACAGACTTGCCTCTGTAGCTCTTAAAGTTCAGCCTCTCCCCTAGGCAGGCGTCCACATCTCCATGTGAGTTCAACAATTGTTCCAAGAGTACCTTTCTAATTACTAATTATGTTCTTGTTTCTCTTTCTCTCTCTCTGTCTCTTTTTCTTTCTGTAGAGATGAGGTCTCACTATGTTGCCCAGGCTCATCTCAAACTCCTGGGCTCAAGCAATCTTCCCACCTCAGCCTGCCAAAGTATTGGGATTACAGGCGTGAGTCACCATGCCTAGCCTATTCTTGTTTCTCTATATTTAAATTTCAACATTAAGTTTATCATCCAACTTCATCGCATTTACTTTGTGATGATCAAAACGAATTCTAGATATGTAAATTCAGGTGCTTTTATTAAAAAAGAAAAGTGGTCTGACTGATTTTTATTTACCCTCAAATCATTTTTTTGGTTGATAATTTTATATGTCAGTTACATGGAATATAGCCTAAGTTCACCTTTCTTCAAAATGAGTGCCCTGTTAGCATCTACCAGCTGATGGAATGCACACTTGGGAATTAGCATTTGTGCCATGGCACAGAAGAGTGTTCGTACATGCTTTGATGTGGGAAAAGGGAAAAAACATCTAGAATAATGCTGCTCCACAAATGTTGATTGGATGGATGGATGAAGGATAGAATGGAATTAAGGCAAAAGCAAAGTAAGAAAATGAGAAGGAAGATGAGTGGACTACTCCTCTGGGGTTGACTCGTGCTACATTCTTGGTTCCAAAACCTCAAAAGCTCCAGGAACCTAGAAATGATGACAGCAAGGAAAAACACCAGGACCCCCTTCCTTACAAATTCGCTCAAAAACCCAGCAGACAGGCCAGTGAAGTCTTTAGGATGTCTGATATGGCATAGTCATAGGAAATATTGACAAGATTTTCTTTTTGTTGGGTAGAAACTTTTCATTTCCGATTAGGGTAATGAACTGAGTTGAAAAGCTTCCATCATAATGTGAATTTCAGGTATGTTAGCTTTAGTTCTAATCCCTTCTGTAATGTTGCCTAGTATTTAGTTTCTTTGTGTGCTTATCACAACGGTGCTTATAACAAGGGTTCTGTTAGTTCAGCTGTCACAATGAATTTGTGCATGGATCAATTTACAACAGAATCAAGGGAGATAATGAGCACCAAAGGATTAGGCTCAGAGCAGTGTATGATTTGATGAAATGTGGAGTTCAGAAAACAGACACATCTTTAAACAAATTCAGATGTGAAAACAACGCATCTGTCTACAATATTTATTATATAATAACGTAGATTAGGCATAGAATGTCTCCTGTTTGTGGACAAAAATATATCTCATTGCTTTTCAAGTTAGCCTGCTAGAAGAAATGATGTAGTACCTTTTTCTACTTTGAGGAGGTATGGTGAGGATTCACAAAATCATACGGACAGAGTGTATAGAAATACTTGGGTAAGAGGTAATGTGTAGCCACCAAGTTGTGCTTAATGAAGGGAGTAGCTATTTGAATTTCCCCGAAGACAGTAAACCCTAGGATACCAGGGACCACATTTTCCTCTTTTTTTTTTTCCTTTTTTTTTTTTTTTTTTTTTTGAGACAGGGTCTCTGTCTGTTGCCCAGGCTGGAATGCAGTGGCGCAATCATGGCTCACTGCATCCTTGACCTCTGGGGCTTAAGCAATCCTCCCACGTCAGCCTCCTGAGTAGCAGGGACTACAGGTGCATGCCACCATGCCCAGCTAATCCAAATCTTGTTACCTGCTAGAACCCCTGTGCCCACCCAGATCTTGCCTGTAGTATGCACTTGATGAAAATGTGATGAATGAGTGAAATCAAAGCCAGCAAACAGAATGAAACATTTATTTATATATAATTTATGAATGGCCTTTATTAACACCAATCAAGTTTAGTTAAATCATTGCTAACATTATAAGTACTTTTATTTATGTATTTATTTATTTTGAGATGAAGTCTCGCTCTTGTTGCTCAGGCTGGAGTGCAGTGGCGCAATCTTGGCTCACTGCAACCTCCGCCTCCTGGGTTCAAGTGATTCTCCTGCCTCGGCCTCCCGAGTAGCTGGGATTACAAGCATCCACCACCAGCCCGGCTAATTTTTTGTATTTTTAGTAGAGACGGGGTTTCACCATGTTGGCCAGTCTGGTCTCGAACTCCTGACCTCGGGTGATCCACCTGCCTTAGCCTCCCAAAGTGCTGGGATTACAGGGTGAGCTACCGTGCCCGGCCTACTTTTCCATTATTTATCAATAATCATGTTTTAAACTGTACCATGATAACAATACAACTTTGTAGGTCAACACTGACAACTTCATAGTGTTTAGGAGACTGTGTATCTAAGCCCTTTAATGTTGCAAGTTAGCTTTTCTGTTGCTAATTTAGCTATAATTTATTGACAGGTCACTCCTGGTACTCAAGGGAACTTTGTACAATTAGAAAGAGGCCTTCCCCACCAACATCACATGCACCCTTGCAGATGCACCAAGGCTGCATGCAGTTCTGCCCCGTGCAGTGAGAAGCTTGTACAGCTGTGCGCTGTGTCCCTGTTTAGTGTGGCTACCTTTTCATGTCAGATACCATGCTGGGCAAATTACACACATTATCCACTCTGTCAATTCTAACAAGCCTGAAAGGCAAACAATACCCACATGTTATGGATAAGGAAACAGATCCAGAGAGGTTAGGAACTAACTTGTCCAGATTGCACAGGTAAGTAAATGGTGGAGTCAGGATTCACACCCAGTGCTAGAACAGTCTCAATGCTCTGCTTTAGGCTAGAGGGAAGGGAGGGAGATCAAACACATTAAAAAATGAACTTCCTTCAGCAGCGCAAGAGTAAGAATAAGCTGAGGGTTATGTAATCTGGAGCCAGAAAGGAAGTTTGAGTGGTAATTGTAGACTTTATTGTGTTCTCTGAGAGATGGTTCAAAACAACTATTTGTTTTCCAATCTTTCATTTCTTCTTCTCCTTCTCCTTCTTCTCCTTCACCTTCTTCTCCTTCTCCTTCTTCTTCTCCTTCACCTTCTTCTCCTTCTCCTTCTTCTTCTCCTCCTTCTCCTTCTCCTTCTTCTTCTTCTTCTCCCCCTCCCGTCCCCCCTCCCCCTCCCTCTCCTTCTCCTTCTTCCTCTGTTGCCCAGGCTGGAGTGCACTGGCATGATCTTGGCTCACTACAACCTCTGCCTCCCAGGTTTAGGCAATTCTCCAGCCTCAGTCTTCCGAGTAGCTGAGATTACAGGCACTCGCCACCATGGCCAGCTAATTTTTTAATTTTTTTAGAAGAGATGGGGTTTCACCATGTTGGCCAGGCTGGTCGAACTCTTGACCTCAAGTGATTTGCCCGCCTCGGCCTCCCAAAGTGCTGGGATTACAGGCGTGAGCCACTGTGCCCAGCCTAATCTTTCTTCTATCACAGAAATGTACCAATATTGGAATGAATGAAATCACCTTACTTTTCTGTTTGTACATCATAATTTCTTTCTCTCTCTCTCTCTCTCTCTTTTTTTCTTTTTTCTTGAAACAGGGTCTTGCTCTGTCTCCCAGGCTGGAGTGCAGTGGCACAATCATGGCTCACTGTGATCTGAACCTCCTGGGCTCAAGCTATCCTCCCATCTCGGCCTCCTGAGTAGCTGGAACTACAGGCCTGCACCACCATACCCAGCTAATTTTTAAATTTTTTGGTAGAGACAGGTTTCGCCATGTTGTCCAGGCAGGTCTCGAATTTCTGGGCTCAAGTGATCCACCTGCCTTGGCCTCCCACAGTGCTGAGATTACAAGTGTGAGCCACCACACCCAGACACTGTGCACCTAATTTCACCCTTGTTTGGGCCACTACGGGAGGTATAACAATAGTGATGCTAAGATTGACAAGATTAGTGGGTGCTAGTCTCTGTACTAGTTCTTTCTGAGTATTATCTCATGTAATCCTCATGTCAGTTCCCTGGTTCAGTAATAACACTATTCCCACTTTACAGGTGATGAAACTGAGGCAGAGAGAGGCTAGTAAGTGCAGGAACTGGAGTTATAATCCACTACACTGGCCGGGTGCTGTGGCTTACGCCTGTAACCCCAGCACTTTGGGAGGCCAAGGCGAGCAGATCACGTGAGGTCGGGAGTTCAAGACCAGCCTGAACAACATGGAGAAACCCCCATCTCTACTAAAAATACAAAATTAGCCAGGCATGGTGGTGCATGCCTGTAATCCCAGCTACTCAGGAGGCGGAGGCAGGAGAATTGCTTGTACCCAGGAGGCGGAGGTTGCAGTGAGCTGAGATTGCACCATTGCACTCCAGCCTGGGCAACAAGAATGAAACTTCGTCTAAAAAAAAAAAAAAAATTCCCCTATACTGTAGGTCTATAGGTGTCCTTTTCAAGGTCATAAAGTGTCTGTCCTCTTAGAGCAGATTTGTCTCTTCTATCACATAGGGAAAAGAACTTCTGAGCTATTCCTTGAGAGCTACTGCCTCTGAAATACAGCCATTTCAAAATTTAGAGTGCAATTAATCAATATAAATTACGAAGTAAATGTGGCCCTGCCCTTCTAGCATTTTCCCTATTTTGTGTGTGTATGGTCATTTTAAAGGTATTATATGTCCTTTGGGCTACCACAAAAAAAATATTAAAAGACAATGACATTCTTTTGTAAAGTTGCCCAACTTGGTTGACTATTTTCAGGTTGTGTTTTATAAAAGTATACGCTGTGGACACTTGCCTACTTCCAGTGTACCAGTAAAATTGGGAAAGTTACATAAGAACTGGCTGGGCACGGTGGCTCCTGCCTGTAATCCCAACACTTCAGGAGGTGGAGGTGGGTGGATCACCTGAGGTCGGGAGTTCGAGACCAGCCTGACCAACATGGAGAAACCCCATCTCTCCTAAAAATACAAAATTAGCCAGGTGTGGTGGCGCATGCCTATAGTCCCAGCTACTCAGGAGGCTGAGGCAGGGGACTCGCTTGAACCTGGGAGGCAGAGATTGCAGTGAGCCAAGATCACACCATTGCACTCCAGCCTGGGCAGTAAGAGCAAAACTCCATCTCAAAAAAAAAAAAAAAGAATGAAAATGGATCGGCCTGGGCAACATAGAGAGACGCTGTTTCTAAAAATATTTAACACTTAGCCTGGCGTGGTGGCACATGTCTGTAGTCCCAGCTACTTGGGAAGCTAAGGTGGCAGGATCACTTGAACCTGAGAGGTTGAGGCTGCAGTAAGCTATGGTCATGCCACTCCACTCTAGCCTTGGTGACGGATTGAGACCCTGTCTCAACAACGACAATAAAAGAATGAAAGTGAATGGATATTGTGATCATGGGTATAAATATTATAGCTATGGCAAAAATTGACGGATCACTTGGACACTTATGACACCATCTGTGGAGAAATCAATTTTCTCAAACTTTCGCAAAGCTTTTTATTGTGGGAGAAAACTTAGACTGATAGCATAATATGTTTTTCAGAATGTAAAATTGTGTGGCTGTGTTTTGGGTGTGTCGGCACATTTTTTTCTGCACAATTTTTGCTCTAGGAGAATAATGCCTTTCGAATGTACTCATGATTGGCACAGGTGGATGAAAATGGTTTGTCTCACTTAACCGACAATACTAATCACTGTAATAACAATTTTACCAGAAAATATAATTTGGCAGACATCTGTGATTAGTACATTAACACATTTCCTGGTTTATTCCCTAAGGCAATTATCACCAGACCATCATTTGTGTGATATCTAAATGCATTGTTTTCTCAGGATGAATTTCTTTTTAGACCTGAAAAATCACCTTGATTAAGTCACCTTACTTGCAATTAATTTGAAGTCTTCATTCATGATGAGGCAGGAGGGGGAGGTGAAAAATAGCCCTCCCCTCAATTCTAATTGAGCCCTAAGTCTCATCAGGTTTTTCTTGAGTTCTGCTTCTCTACTTCCAGCTCTATTCCCTCTCTGCAGGAGGATTCACACCTAGTCTCTGAGGCAGGGTGGGGATGCAGATATTGACACACATGCACACACACACACACCACTACCCTCCTCATTTCCCCTCCTCACAGGAACCTCTATGTAAAACTACCCCTTTCTCAAAAAGCAAATTTGTTAATAAGATAGAGAGCTCAGCTCTAGGCTGTTACATATATTTCCAGCCGAGATTTATACGTCCAACAGCCTCCCGGATTTGCCACCAGGATGTAAAATCTACAACCATCTCCAAGATACCATGCCCCAGCCTGAGCAATTCATGTGTCTCTCACTGCCCTAAATCCATCTATCCCTCTTCCCATCCCTCGAACACATATTTTTAGAGACAGGGTCTCACTCCCTTGCCCAGGCTGAGTGCAGTGGCACGATCACAGCTCACTGCAGCCTCAAACTCCTGGGCTCAAGTGATCCTCCCCCATCAGCCTTCTAAGTAACTGGTATTACAGGTTCACACCACCATGCCCAGCTAATTTTAATTTTTTTTTTTTTTTTGTAGACATCAGGTCTCGCTATATTTCCTAGGCTGGTCTTGAACTCCTGGCCTCAAGTGATCCTCCTGCCTTAGCCTCCCAAAGTGCTGGGATTACAGGCATGCTGTGCCCGGCCTATCCTATATTTTCTATCTCCAGCATCAGAGCTATGAACCAGTGTTTCTCTAGACCCTCCCTGTCGCTCTTTTCAGCCCCTGAACTGTCATTATGTCCAGTCATTTTTACTTCTCATTTCTGAGTCCTATTTGCCCTGTGTCACTGGACACATTGACTTCTGTGTTGCCTGCCTCTAATTCATTCTGCAGCGGGAGTATTTTGTTTGTTTGTTTTTGAGTCGAAGTCTCGCTCTTGTCCCCCAGGCTGGAGTGCAATGGCGTGATCTTGGCTCACTGCAACCTCTGCCGCCCGGGTTCAATTTTCTCCTGCCTCAGCCTCCCAAGTAGCTGGGATTACAGGTGCATGCAACCACGCCTGGCTAATTTTTGTATTTTTAGTAGAGACTGGGTTTCACCATGTTGGCCAGGCTGGTCTCGAACTCCGGACCTCAGGTGATCCACCCGTCTCAGCCTCCCAAAGTGCTGGGATTACAGGTGTGAGCCACCGCACCCAGCTGGGAGGTTTTTAAAATCCAGATTGGATTGATTCATTTCTCTGCTCACAATTCTTTTTTTTAGTTATCTTTTATTTTTATATTTCAAAAATGATCAGTTTTTTGGAGGTATAATTCACTTACAATAAACTGTACATATTTATAGTGTACATTTTAGTAAACTCTGGTTTATCTGTACACCATGGGAGCATCAGCACAATCAAGATTGTGCCCCTTTGAAATCTCCCTCCTGTCTACCCAATCCCAGTCTCCAAAGAGCCACCGTTCTGCTTTCTACCACTGTAGATAAGTTAGTATTTTCTAGAGTTTATATAAATGGAATTATATGCTATGTAATCTTTTTGTCTTCTTTTACTCAGCATAATTATTCCGAAAATCATCCATGTTGTTGCACTTATCAATTGTTCATTTCTTTTTTATTACTGGGTCGTATTCCCTGGTGTGAACGTTCCACAGCCTTTTTTTTTTTTTTTTTTTTTTTTTTTTTTTTTTTTTTTTTTGAGACGGAGTCTTACTCTGTCGCCCAGGCTGGAGTGCAGTGACGCGATCTCGGCTCACTGCAAGCTCCGCCTCCCAGTTTCACGCCATTCTCCCGCCTCAGCCTCCCGAGTAGCTGGGACTGCAGGCGCCCGCCACCACGCCCTGCTAATTTTTTTTTGTATTTTTAGTAGAGACGGGGTTTCACCGTGTTAGCCAGGATGGTCTCGATATCCTGACCTCGTGATCCGCCCACTTCGGCCTCCCAAAGTGCTGGGATTACAGGCGTGAGCCACCGCTCCCGGCCGTTCCACAGATTTTTTGACCTATTCACCTGTTGATGGACACTTGGGTTGTTTCCGGGTTTGGGCTGTTACAAATAAAGATGCTATGAACATTTGTGTATAAATGTATGGACATGTGGTTTCTTTTCTCTTGGGAAAATACCTATAAGTTAAATGGCTGAGCTATATGGTGCATGTATATTTATTTAACTTTTAAAAAAAGTCCTGCTAGAAATTCTTGTTCTTCTTGCTTCGAGGATAAAAATCTAAACTCTTTAGCACCACCTGCAGGGCCCTCCATGACCTGGCTTCTGCGCCAGCCTCCAGCCGCACTATCCTTTCCTGAGTCCTCCAGGCTTCCCCACGTGTTCTCCTGGGGCTCGCAAACTATCTCAGCACACTCAACTCATGTGTGACTTCTTGCCACTGTGTGCACACAGGGGTCACACAGCGTTTATCGCATGGGATTGTTTTTGTTAGATTACTGCTTCTGATGGCTTCACCTGTGGTACCAGAGAGCAGAGCCTGTAGTTTTCATCTTTGTACGTAAACTGCTTTTGTACATCCCATGTTTTCATTTGGAAAGTTTTCTTTTTTTCATTATAAATAATCATTAAAGCATCTTCGGAGGTGTTGGTGAAGGTGGTAGATTGAAGATATGGATCTAATTTTGTGCCTTCCTGAAAAACCACTAAAATGACAGTAAAGAGATTTAAAAAATAGTTTAAACCCACAGAGATAGGAAGAACAGAAAAAAAGACAATAATAGAACAATACTGGAGTTTAGGAAGCAGACAGACATGTGATAACTCACTTAACATGCCAAGGAAAGCTTAATTTGATTAGCAGTAGAGAAAACTGAGAACCACCCCTGATACCGCAGGATCCTTAAAATGCTCTGGAGCTGGTGGCTTGGTACCTCAGTAAGTCCTTCATCTTCATGAAGATTAAATTGATAGGCTGTTTGATATGAATACATGTGTTCAAAAGAGAGAAAAATGGCAGTGAGTTGAATAAATGATAATACGTGAACTCCTAGGAAATGAAAAAGTATGATAATTATTAACTCGGGGAAAAATAAAAAATTGTAATAGCTTAATATATGGCTCAGTTCTTCATAGAAGACACAGTCATTATACAGACATACATTTGGATATTGATATAATCCAAATTACAACATTAGTATTTTAAATAATTAATATATAATCACTGAACTGAAAGGAAATGTGGGCCGGGTGCGGTGGCTCACGCCTGTAATCCCAGCACTTTGGGAGGCTGAGGCGGGTGGATCACGAGGTCATGAGATCGAGACCATCCTGGCTAACATGGTGAAACCCCATCTCTACTAAAAATACAAAGAAATTAGCCGGGCGTGGTGGTGGGTGCCTGTAGTCCCAGCTACTCGGGAGGCTGAGGCAGGAGAATGGTGTGAACCCAGGTGGCGGAGCTTGCAGTGAGCCGAGATCGCGCCACCACACTCCAACCTGGGCAACAGAGCAAGACTCCGTCTCAAAAAAAAAAAAAAAAAGGAAATGTGAATGTGTAATTGGAGAGAGTGGCTGGTGGTCAAGGAGAATAGGAAAAGAGCTAAGTTTTTATCTTCCATAGTAAAAGTTAATTGAGACGGGCGTGGTGGCTTACGCCTATAATCCTAGCACTCTGGGAAGTCAAGGCAGGTGGATCACTTGAGCCCAGGAGTTTGAGATCAGCCTGGGCAACTCGAACCACGTGGGACCACATCTCTATTTAAAAAATAAAAAAAGTTAATTGAAAGGTCCAAACTGAAAAATCCTGAAGCACAATTCATTTAGCAACATAGAAAAAAAATTCCTCCAAAACAGCTAAAAGAATTAAAATATTTGCTTCTATAAGCAAATATTTCTTTTTTAGAAGGGTAAATGGGAGAGGAGACCCGAGTATTACTTGTTTTTAGCTTACACTAGATAAGCAGATAACTCTTTAAACTGCATGCACATATGACTGAGGTGGATGGTAACTTAGAGGGAAAAAAGAAAAGAAGAAAAACAATCTTTGGGAAAAAAGAAAAGAAGAAAAACAATCTTTGGGGGAAAAAAGATGAAGAAAAAGATCCCCTAGAGACCCACTTTAACTTTTGACTTATTTTCTTCCAGCTTTCCTCCCCCATCATTTGTGATTTGTTTTCCCCCTTTTGCCCTCCCTCCCCTCCCTGCCTTTCTTTCAACATTGCCATAATCATACTTTATATAAAATTGATAGCTAACTTGTTGAGCACTTAATCACACAGTAGACTTTGGGTTAATAAGTACTTTATATGCATTACTTTATTTGATCAACCTAATCATGAGTGATTTCTAAACTTATTGTATCATAATTATTTTCTTATTTTAGCATATGGTCTTCATAATCATCTTTTTTCATGGTATAATAATATTCCACACCATGGAATATTTATGTGTTCTTGAACTTATTAGACTTTTAAGTTGTTTTCTAGCTTTTGCTGCTATAAAAAACAATGTGGGGTGGGTGTGGTGGCTCATGCCTATAAATCCTAGGACTTTGGGAAGCTGCAGCAGGAGGATCACTTGAGCCCAGGAGTTCAAGATCAGCCTGGGCAACATAGTGAGATCCTGTCTCTAAATAGAAAAGTAAAACAAAAATAAAAAAATGGAAGAATATTGGGATTATATATATATATATTCTCTCCCAAAGCATCTTCATAAGGTTTATGCTTTTAGATTAAATTTTCAAGAAGTAAAACAACAACAACAAAAATTTCCAGAAGCAGAACTGCTGGGTCAAAGAGTATTAACATATTGCCAATCTTAAACATATTGCTTATCTTAAACTATCCAACTCACTTTTGCATCTTTTAAACTATCACGCCTCATGCAACTCTGAGATCAATATGAAGGAGAGAAGAGAGATTCACTGCTGTTTTAGAGACAAGATCATTGGGAGCTAAGTTTCCAAGCTCATACAGTTGGAACAATGGCCAGAAGTAAAATGCATGTTTCTCTGCTTTCTGTTGATTTCTTTTCCCACTGTGCCCCCCAAATGACATGAAACTCAGGCTGAACTGTCTCTGCTACTTCCCTTCCCAGACATCTTAGCCTTTACCTATTAGGGCTTCTCTGCCACAGTCCTTTTTCCATTTGCTGGGGGCTTTCCTGTGTTAGAAGGAAAGTAAGACCTCTCTAGCAGCCCAAGGACCTCGCATCATGAAACCTTCTAAGTTTGGGAATCTTCTATTGCCCTCCCCGCCAAAACAAAAATGGAAAAAAAATTTTTTAAAAAGGAAACCTTCTAAGTCTCAAGAGGAGAAAGTGTGAGACAAGGAAAAGAAGAGAGAAACAGAGTAAGCTCAGTTAGAATCTGGGACAGGAGCCATGAAAAGATGCACAAGGAGCAAACAGGAGAAAACTGTGGTTTTGGAGGACTTCAGCGCTTAAGATTAAATGTTTGAGCTGAAGACAATAAAGGGATTTGACTGGGAGAGTGTTAGGGTCATGGTATGGCCTTTCTGTACTCAGATATATTTGGAACTGTCTTGAACTGTTAAATCTACTTTGTGATGTCAATTCACTTTTCAAGATAAAACTAAACAATAATTTGTGTTTTCTCTTTTCTTTTTCTTTTTCAAATGAATAACCAAAGTAACTTCAAATGAGCATTTTTCAACTGCAGAAGAAAGTGAGTCCTGCTTTGCCCAACCAAAGCCACATGCACTGGGAAGAGAATCTACTGTTGATGGCAATGTACAAAGGGAAAGCCGTCCTCCCTTACAAAAGCTCAAGGTTTCAGCAGAGCCTACAGCTAATGGTGTTAAACCCCTCCAAGAACAGCCCCTGGCCAAGGACGTAGCCCCTGGAAGGGATGCCACAGACCAATCAGGGTCCACAGAAAAGACTCAGCCTGGAGAGGGACTGGAGGAATCTGGGCCGCCTCAACCAGGTGGCAAAGAGGATGCCCCAGCAGCAGAAGGAAAGAAGAAAGATGCAGGAGCAGGGACAGAGGCCGAGTCTCTAAAAGGAAATGCTGAAGCTCAGCCTTTAGGACCAGAAGCCAAGGGTCAGCCTTTGCAGGCAGCAGTAGAGAAGGACTCTCTCAGAGCAGTGGAGGTCACTGAGAATCCACAAACTGCTGCAGAGATGAAGCCTCTAGGAACAACTGAGAACGTTCTGACTCTGCAAATAGCTGGAGAGCTACAACCTCAGGGCACAGTGGGAAAGGATGAGCAGGCCCCGCTTCTAGAAACAATTTCCAAAGAGAATGAATCTCCAGAAATATTGGAAGGAAGTCAGTTTGTGGAAACAGCTGAAGAGCAGCAACTTCAGGCAACATTGGGAAAAGAGGAGCAGCCCCAGCTTCTAGAAAGAATTCCCAAAGAGAATGTAACACCAGAAGTATTGGACAGAAGTCAGCTTGTGGAAAAGCCTGTTATGAATGATCCATTCCATAAAACTCCTGAAGGTCCAGGAAACATGGAGCAGATTCAACCTGAAGGAATAGTTGGAAGCATGGAGCATCCAGCACGAAATGTAGAGGCAGGAGCATATGTGGAAATGATCAGGAACATCCATACTAATGAAGAGGACCAACGCATTGAAGGTAAAAGTTATGCTGGCAAACCTGGATGTTTAGATGTGCTCCATAGGAGACCAGCTCTGGGGAGTGGGATGGGGTGACTGACACACAGTCCCTGAAGTCACTTTCAGGTGGTTGAAGTTCGTTTGACCAAACCAAAAAGGCTTCTGTGCCTGGGAAAGAGGCATTCTATTAATGCTCAGTTTGTCAGCAAAACTTTTCCGAAACATCATCTCTGTCCAAAATTTTAACCTAGTGTTTAAATAGTGTCTAACATTGAAGGCAACATGTGAAACTTTCTGAATTTTTCCAAGTTGACACTTCATCAGGCCCCATGTATGAAATCAGGATCCAAAGTAAAGGTGAATAGATGATTACTGGAGGAATTCACCTTCCAATGAAATGATATATACATAATGGATCTTAGAATGTTATTTTCATCTTTGTGAAGCTTATCTTAGAAAATGACTGTCAGGACAGGGTGCAGTGGCTCACACCTGTAATCCCAGCACTTCAGGAGGCAGAGGTGGGAGGATAGCTTGAGCCCAGCAGTTCATGACCTGCCTGGGCAACATAGTGAGACCTTGTTCTCCAGAAAAAAAAAAAAAAAGAAAGAAAAAAGGAAAAAGAAAATGACTGTCAGTCTGCTCTTGTTCTTCTGCAGTTTTAAAATCTGTATGAGAAGACCAGAGAAAATGTACTATGTCTTAGCATATGGTGTTTTAAAATTTTAACTGTATTTTACCAGCATAAAACAAATGATGTTTACAGTGTTCTTTATTGGTGTTATAATTTAAAAAAATATTTTCTTCTGGGGTATGATTTACATTTTGGTAAATTTTAGCTTCACAGTTCAGTATACTTAAGTGAAGCATTCATTATAATCATCCATCTGTTTTTGTTTAATTCTTTCATTTATTTATTTTATTTAATTAATTTATTTATTTTTTGAGATGGAGTCTTGCTCTGTTGCCCAGGCTGGAGTGCAGTGAAGTGATCTCGGCTCACTGCAACCTCCACCTTCTGCGTTCAAGCGATTCTCCCGCCTCAGCCTCCTGAGTAGCTGGGACTACAGGCGCACACCACCATGCCCGGCTAGTTTTTGTATTTTTAGTAGAGACGGGGTTTCACCACATTGGCCAGGCTGGTCTCCAGCTCCTGACCTCATGATCCACCCGCCTCGGCCTCCCAAAGTGCCGGGATTACAGGCATGAGCCACCATGTCTGGCCAATTCTTTCATTTATTAACTCAGCATTTTTTGGCATGCCTAAACATATGCTAGGTGCTGAGATGCAGACTGAGGAAGAGATAGTCTCTGTCCTCAAGGGGCTCACTGTCTAGTGTGGGAAGGCAGGATGTGCGTGCATCACCATAGTCTGTTGTGGGAACTGCTTTCCTAAGAATGTGTAAGAAGGGCCCTGGGAACAACTTGGGAGAGGCAAATAAAAGCAGGTAGTTTTTACATCAGGATTGGCAAACTCAAAAGTCTTTAGGCCTAGGATACTGAAAATGAGTGAGGTGAAGGACACATGTCATACTGTGGGAGCCCAGGGGACCTTGGCAAACAGGAGAGCACAGCCTTGTCAAAAGAGGAAGCTCCGCACAGCTCCAGCCATGGAACTAGGGCCAATGTTGCCAAAGCCAACTTCTCAGGGAAACAGGGTTTCCTGCAAGTGTGTGCAATGTCCAGACTTGTTAGTGTTGGCTGTCTGTAAATGTTTAACGATTGTTTTTAAACACATAATGGCCAAGCCAGACAGGTTTAGGGGCACCCCTGGACCACCCTTTGATTTAGATACAAATTAGACTTTCTTTTTCTTTCTTTTTCTTTTTCTTTCTTTCTTTCTTTCTTTCTTTCTTTCTTTCTTTCTTTCTTTCTTTCTTTCTTTCTTTCCTTTCTTTCTTTCTTTCTTCCTTTCTTTCTTTCTTCCTTTCTTTCTTTCTTCTTTCTTTCTTTTTTCTTTCTTTTTCTTCTCTCTCTCTCTCCCCTTCCTTCCTTCCTTCCTTCCTTCCTTCCTTTCGAGACAAGATCTTCAAGCTGGAGTGCAGTGATGCAATCACAGCTCACTATAATCTCCAACTCCTGGACTGAAGGGATCCTCTTGCCCCAGCTCTCAAGTAGCTAGGACTACAGGAATGTGCCACCATGCCTGGCTAATTTTTTTTTCTTTTAAAAAATTATTACTTTTGAGACAGAGTCTTGCTCTGTTACTCAGGCTGGAGTGCAGTGGTATTCTTAGCTCATTGTAACTTCTGCCTCCCAGCTCAATCCATTCTCCCTCCTCGGCCTCCTGAGTAGCTGGGCGCCACCATCCCTGGTTAATTTTTGTATTTTTTGTAGAAACAAGGTTTTACCATGTTGGCCAGGCCGGTCTCAGACCCTAGGCTCAAGCAATCTGCCTGCCTCAGCTTTCCAAATTGCTGGGATTATAGGCGTGAGCCACCACGCCCAGCTGTCCAGCTAATTTTTGAAAAATATTTTGTAAAGACAGGAGGTCTTGTTGCCCAGGCTGGTCTTGAACTCCTGGCCTCAAGTGATCCTCTTGCCTCAGCTTGCCAAAGCATTGGGATTACAGGTGGGAACCATCACACCTGGCCATGAACTTTCTATTATAATCTGTTCTACCACCATTTCTTTGGTAATTTTGCATCCTGATTTTATAGAGAGCATTTCTTTCATAAGAGTATGCCAAGACTCGAGATGTTAATTGACTCGACATTTCAGCCATTCAGAGGCTCTGAGAGAATCGAGATGATTACTTTTCTTTTCCTTTTTTTTTTTTTTTTGAGACAGAGTCTCGTTCTGTCGCCCAGACTGGAGTGCAGTGGCGTGATCTCAGCTCACTGCAACTTCTGCCTCCCGGCTTCAAGTGATTCTCTTGCCTCAGCCCCCCGAGTAGCTGGGATTACAGGCTTGTGCCACCATGCCTAGCTAATTTTTGTATTTTTAGTAGAGACGGGGTTTCATTACTTTGGGCTAGGCTCCTGAACTCCTGACCTCAGGCAATCCGCCTTCCTTGGCCTCCCAATGTGTTGGATTACAGGTGTTAGCCACGGTGCCCAGCTGAGATGATTACTTTTCTTGATACCCCCAGAGAAACTTACTGCTTAGACCTGAAGATCAAGAACTGCCCCCATTGGAGACAAACTGTGGGATAATTTATGTTAATTCTAAATAAATGTCTCTTAGTATCTCCTTTGGTTACTTTTCCAGGTGAGACAGGGGAAAAGGTGGAAACAGACATGGAGAATGAGAAAGTGAGTGAAGGGGCTGAAACCAAAGAAGAAGAAACAGGAGAAGTGGTGGACCTTTCAGCAGCCACATAGATAGAAGAGTGAACCGACACAGTGTGTTATCATAGAGGAGACAAAAATGGTAGTGAAGCTTGTGGTTATGTATCTTATCTTTCTACATTTACATGTTTTCTGTAAGGAGTGTGGTTATAGAGAGACTGTTGGAACCATGAGAAGGATGTTTCTGTGTTCTTGATTATATTGTTCTGCAAAACTGCTAAGCCATGAACAGTTTTCTTAGCTACTTAGAATGGTTATACATTTAAAAGTATAAAAACCAAAGCCAATAAAAATGATGTGATTATTTAAGAGTGTGAGGGTGACTTTCTTCATTGTGGCCATGGGGCCATTCAGTATAGAAAATGAGACCCTAAAAAGAAAGTGTAAACCTTTAGGTACAAGTGGCTAGAGAAAGGAGTTAGCAAATTTTAGGGAACTCACAATAATAAAGTCACACAATTATAATCATGATGGAATGAGAATGAACAACAGCAAAAATAATAGGATGAACTATACCAAATATTTCTGTCTTGTTATAGAATTCAGAGCTGATAAGAACCTTAGGAAGTATGTCATCTACACATTTGCTCTCCTTTAAGCTTGTCAACTACCACAGATCCTTATTTATCATGGAATATTAAATATGTTAACAGAATCCTTTGCAAAGGATTGCAACTCTGGTGCTATCACAAGGTTAGACATTTTTCATGATGAAAGGCTACACATTTTCCATGTGCCATTTCGAATCAGCTGTTGATTTTATACTCACATGAGGTTTTTCAATTGGTGTTATCCTTTTGAATAACATTAAAAGTATTTTTAATTAATTCACTTTTAAATGTATTTTGGAGACAATAAACAGCAAGGATTAAAACCTAGATTGTTGCTTATGTAGAGTCTATTCCTGGGCTCTACTCTTTTTTTCTTTTTTTTTTGGACATGGAGTCTTGCTCCGTCACCTAGGCTGGCGTGCAGTGGTGCGATCTCGGCTCACTGCAACCTCTGCCTCCTGGGATCAAACAATTCTCCTGCCTTAGCCTCCCGAGTAGCTAGGATTACAGGTGCTTGCTACCATGCCCAGATAATTTTTGTATTTTTGGTACAGATGGGAATTCACTATGCTGGCCAGGCAGGTCTTGAACTCCTGACCTTGTGATCCGCCTCCCAAAGTGCTGGGATTACATGTGTGAGCCATTGCACCTGGCCACTCTATTCTTTTTTAGATGACTGCAATTTAATGGTAGGCTTTAGTGATGGAAAAAGGCTAAGAAATCAAGATTTTAGAAGCATTTATGAGATTTCTTTAGTGATGCACCACAGAGTCAGTTTTTGAGAATTCTTCTGAAGTTGGCAAGGGATTTTGGCAAATGATTGTATGTGAATAATAAAAATAATAGCTAACTTGCCTACCAGTGAGTGTCTTGTGTGTTTGAGTATCAGAATAGAATTCTGGAAACATTTTGTTTATTTATCTTGTTTGTAAATAGGTATTTTTCTTTTTTAAAAAAATTCCTACTATTTCCTAAGTAAATATGTATTTTTAAGGTAACTGCTCAGATGAATTAACTAGTCTCTTTATTTTTATTTTTTATTTTTTGAGACAGGGTCTTGCTCTGTTGCCCAGGCTGCAGTGTAGTGGTGTGATCATGGCTGACTGCAAACTTGACTTCCTGGGCTCAAGCAATCCTCCCACCTCACCTCTCCTGAGTAGCTGGGACTACAGGCATGTGCCACCATGCCGGGCTAATTTTTGTATTTTTAGTAGAGACAGGGTTTCACCATGTTGCCCAGGCTGGTCTCGAACTCTTGAGCTCAAGCAATTCACCTGTCTCAGTCTCCCAAAGTGCTGGGACTACAGGCGTGAGCCACCCGGCCTAACTAGTCTCTTACTTTAGCTTCTACATTAAAATAACTACTAAGATGGCCTATAATTAATTATAAGAATATAGGATACAGGGAAAAACATATTCTCTTGATTCTGATTTTAATATTAATTTATGTTCTGACTGTAAAGTGCCGAGGAAGACAATAAAAGGAGTTCCCTGAGGAGATGACATCATCCTTTCTGCAAAGTAAAGGCACTGGATTGTGATTGCATTGAAGGCAAGCACTGTGTTTTATGTATTTTTGAATTCAGGCATTTAGCTCCTTTAATGGAATGTGGTACATACTTGATAAATATTTGTTGAATCAGTAAATGAATAACAAATACCAAGGAGTCCCATTTATACTTAATTCATTAAAAAATAATACATATAAAATATAAATTTGGCTGGGCATGGTGGCTCACGCCTGTAATCCCAGCACTTTGGGAGGCCAAGGCGGTGGATCTCTTGAGTCCAGGAGTTCAAGACCAGCCTGGGCAACACGGTGAGACCCCATCTCTACAAAAAATATAAAAAATTAGCTGGGCATGATGCCATGTGCCTGTAGTCCCAGCTACTCAGGAGGCTGAGACTCAAATCTTTTATTTTCATAAAATTTTGGAAATTTATAAAAATTTCTGGTACTTTCTCTACTTTTGTCTTTATTCTTTAATGTGGTAACTAAAACACTTTTGGAAACTTTTTTTTATTCTTTTAGATAATATTCAGTTTTAACATTAAAAACCTATAAGGAAAATTTAAATATTTCACAATATCTGAACATTCCAAAATTTAAATATTCCATCAAAATAACCTGTTAATTTTAAAAAGTAATAAATATCTATGGTAAAAGTGAAATATAGAAGGGTATAAAATAGGTAGTGAAGTTTCCTTCCCATATCCTTTAGTCCTTCCATGAAAAAATAATATTTCTTGTGTATACTTCCAGAAAAAAAGGTATATGTATATACCAGGCTATATGTATATGCTAAAATATAAGTGTATATTTACATATCTACATTTTGACTTTTTTATAGATGGGGTCTTGCTATGTTGTCTATGCTGGTCTCAAATTCTTGGCCTCAGATGATTCTTCTGCCTGGGTCTCCCAAAGTGCTAGAATTACAGGCATGAGCCACCACGCTCAGTCTACATATCCACATTTTAAAACACAAATGACAATTTACATAGCCCCTGTACTGTGAAGACTGCATGTAAAACCACTGCTTGATCCTTTCCTATGTTAGAAATTTTTCCTTTTGCCCAAGACTGAGTCTTAACAGAGCAAAATGTATTCTGATCATAGGTCCCCAGACCCTGAAAGAAGATTACCGGTTTTGCCCTCAGATTCAAAATGCACAAGATGGACAAAAGGCTTGAGTTGTTCATAGAGAAACTGCCAGCAGGGCTGGATTTTTCTATCCCTGGGGTGCTGTGCAACCACTTTGTAGTCCAGTTGTGTTCTTTTAATTAAGATAACTTCATTATTTCTGTACCTGATGTACCTAACTGGGATGGAAATGAACAAATTTCCCAACTCTCATTCTTGGGAGTGAACATTTGCATTTACCAGCAGTGGGTGCCAGTTTGCAAATCTAGGAAATACCCAGACCAGACTCAAATTCTTGGCCAGAAGTGCCAACCCCCTGAGGCACCCACAGGGTAGAAATGTGTAGTCAATGGCTGGGTGTGGTGGCCCATACCTGTAATCCCAGCCCTTTGGGAGGCCAAGTCAGGAAAATCACTTGAGCCCAGGAGTTCGGGACCAGCCTGGGCAATATAGGGAGACCCTGTCTCTACATTAAATAAATAAATAAATTATTTTATTTATTTATTTTTTTAAAAGAAGAAATGTGCGGTCAACCTATTATATTACCTTACTGCTTTTTCCATTTAGACTGTGGAGTAAAAGCTCTTACCATATTTTGAGCAGTCAAAACACCCACACCACTCTGAACAAATGCTTTATTCCACATTGGGCCTTGAATTAAGAATTGCTTAATTAAGAAAATGTTTCTTTCCACATTTAACTAATCAAAGAATGTTGGATGGTCATGGTAAAATAATCCTAGTAGGGTTTACAATGTACTCTTTTGGCAAATACAATAGCTTGTTAGAGATGGCAAATATCTTTTTTTTTTTTTTTTGGTCATCCAGGCTGGAGTGCAGTGGTGTGCTCTGGTCACTGCAACCTCTGCCTCCCAGTTTCAAGTGATTCTCCTGCTTCAGCCTCCTGAGTAGCTGGGATTACAGGCAGGCGCCACCACGCCTGGCTAATGTTTGCATTTTTAGTAGAGACAGGATCTTACTATGTTGGCCAGGCTGGTCTTGAACTCCTGAGCTTAAGCAATTCTCCTGCCTTGGCCTCCCAAAGTGCTGGGATTACAGGCTGAACCCCTGCACCCGGCTGAGTATCCTATTTTTATGAAGATAGTTTGGTGATCCAATTCCGAATTCTCTTTCACAAAGGCCAGCGATGTGGACATCATAAAGCCATTCATTTGCCCACACACATTTGTAAGGTAAAAGGAGAATGACCCTTCCCTTCTTCTTTCTTCCCACACCAGATAGCAAGGCATGCTGTGTTTGAAATGTTGAAAGCATTTGCTTATAAGATGTCATTACATCTAAAACTATGTCAGCTTTTCACCTCTCCAGAGTTTATAAACTTATGAGTGTTTGGTTATAATCTCAAGGCTTTAATTGCCTATGCAGAATTGGTGTAATTTTAGAGAGCAGCTGACAAGTATGGAATTTCCCTTCCAGTTCCTTTTAGTATCAACAAAAGTTGGCATTAGTAATCCATGTACAGGCAAATTGCAGGCTTTTTGCTTTACTGGTCAGTACCACCACTCAGCACATTTATTGGGGAACATTTGAGTTGTTAAAAGTTAACAACCATATCATTATTCTTGTGCCTAATGAAAGAGGTCTCTGGACATCAAAGCCAGGGTTTAATAACTCCCAAAGGTAGAAGAAAGGCCAACCTATATTATTCTAAAATACTCCTTCGGTTTAATAATGTGCTACTGAAATTAATAAACATGCTACTTCCATCCACCACTGCGGACAGAGGTCTGCAAACCTCACTAATTTCCAGAAAAAGATTTCTGAGAAACCAACTGGGGATACCAATTTTGTTTTGAGATCTGCCTCATTTTGTTTTCTCATAGAATATAGACATTTCTAAAATTTCTTTTCTTTTCTTTTCTTTTTTTTTTTGAGACAGAGTCTTGCTCTATCTCCCAGGCTGGAGTGCAATGGCATGATCTCGGCTCACTGCAACCTTCACTTCGTGAGTTCAAGCCATTCTCCTGCCTCAGCCTCCCAAGTAGCTGGGACTACAGGCATGTACCACCAGGCCCGATTAATTTTTGTATTTTTAGTAGCGAGGGGTTTCACCATGTTGGTCAGGCTGGTCTCGAAATCCTGACCTCGAGTGATCTGCCTGCCTCAGCCTCCCAAAGTGCTGGGGTTACAGGCATAAGACACCACGCCTGGCCTTAAAATTTCTTAATAAAAGTAAGTATGGCGATTCATACTATCACATAAATTTAAAATGATGCATGTTGTATTGAATTGATTTGTGTGATTCTAAACACTTTTTTTTTTTTTTTTTAGACAGAGTCCCACTCTGTCACCCAGGCTGGAGTGCAGTGGCTCCAGCAACTTCTGCCGCCTGGGTTCAAGTCATTCTCCTGCCTCAGCCTCCCGAGTAGCTGGGACTACAGGTGCACGCCACTACACCCACCTAATTTTTGTATTTTTAGTAGAGACGGGGTCTCACCAAGTTGGCCAGGCTAGTCTCGGACTCCCAACTTCAGGTGATCCGCCCGCCTTGGCCTCCCAAAGTGCTGGGATTACAGGCATGAGCCACCACACCCAGCCCTGATTCTTTTTTTTTTTTTTTTTTTTTTTTTTTGAGATGGAGTTTCACCCTTGTAACCCAGGCTGGAGTGCAGTGGTGCGATCTCAGCTCACTGCAACCTCCGCCTCCCGGGTTCAAGCGATTCTCCTGCCTCAGCCTCCTGAGTAGCTGGGATTATAGCCTCTAAACACTTTTAAAAGAGTCATTTTGGCTGGGCACGGTGGCTCACGCCTGTAATCCCAGCACTTTGGGTGGCCGAGGCAGGCAGATCACGAGGTCAGGAGTTCCAGACCAGCCTGGCCAACATGGTGAAACCCCGTCTCTACTAAAAATACAAAAATTAGCTGAGTGTGATGTCGGGCACCTGTATCGGGAGGCTGAGGCAGGAGAATCGTTTGAACCCAGGAGGCGGAGGTTGGAGTGAGCTGAGATGCGCCACTGCACTCCAGCCTGGGCGACAGGGTGAGACTCCATTTCAAAAAAGAAAAAAAAAGAGTCGTTCAATGACAAGAGAAGAGGCTTTCCATGGCAGCTGTACTGTTGTAGAGTAGCTTTGGGTTGGAGAGAGGGTTTGGGGCCCAGCACCTCACTAGAAAGTCACAAGGCCCAATGGTGACTTTTCCAACCACCACCACACCCTTAGCAGTTCAGTGGAGAACAAAGTAATAGTGATTTCAGATAGCAGTTATTTAGTGGATCAGTATAGATTATCTTCAAGTTTCTGGATATAAGAGTTTTTAAACAACATTTTTTTGGTGTTCTTGGCGGGGGTAGAAATAACACTTTCTGCCTAGGTACTTATATGTAACAGAATGACTATTTTAGGCAATAATTACAAAAGAAGGATGTTATTAAAATAATTACTTTTTTCTTAGTATAAAACAATACATGTTCACTGTAGAAACTTCAGAAAATATAAACTTTAAAAGATGAAATATTACCCATAATTCATCAAAGATGATCACTGTTAGTATGTTGATGGACATGAGGGATTATTTTTTTAATTGCAAAACTTGTTGCAATAACAAGTTAGTCAAAGCACAACTATCAATAGAATTTTGAGTCTGTTGAGTCAATGAGTCAGCACTTAATCCATTGGAGATAATAGGTCATAGAGAATGTTCCAGTAATTCTTGCTATATTCATAAACATTGATTAGTGCTGCAGAGTAAGCAACTCTGCCTAAGCACATTAGCACTTAGCTGACCACAATTTATGATTTATGCCAGATGAATAATTCACTGAAATGGAATCCTTTATTTGGAGTTATTTTTCATGCTTTCCAATTGCTAAACACATGGCAGAAGTGAGAAAAATTGTAAGCTCTTCTGAGGATAGGAAAGTTAGTTCAAACTTCATTCTCCTCCCCTAAGTCTAGTACAAGTTTGTCATTCTGTAAGTATTTGTTGGTAACAAATGCTCTTTTTTCTTATGTAATCATGGCAATTTCCTTATAACTAAAAATAATTGGCTTTATGGGAAATTATGGCCAAAATTTTAATGAAATTATTCATACTGCTGGGTCAACATTTATAATTTTGATTGAATAAATATGTTATTAGAACTAATAAAGTGTTAAAAAGTTGATCTTGCTGTATTTTTTATCTGAATTGTTTTACAGAAACCATTTCATTTGATTTGTTGTGTTCTTCAGAAAAAAAAGCAGACTTTAAATTAATCTTGGGAGGCTGAGGTGGGAGGACTGCTTGAGGCCAGGAGTTCAAGACTAACCTGGGCAATATAATGAGACCCTGTCTTTACAAAAACATAAAAATATTAGTCAGGTGTGGTGGTATGTGTCTGTAATCCCAGCTACTCAGGAGGCTGAAGTGGGAGGAATGCTTCAGCCAGGAGACTGAGGCTACCATGAGACATCATTGTGCTACTGCACTCCAGCCTGGGTGACAGAGTGAGAACATCTCAAAAAATAAAAAAAATAAAAAGACCAACATGCAATGTTCCCCACTCCCCCACAAAAATTTAACAAATTCTAGTGATTCTCCTTCAGTGTGGAAAAAAAGCCAAGCCAAGACCCAGCCACTAACAAATTAATTAACATGGGTACCAGCATCTTATTTCCAGCTCTTTCATTCTAGAGTTTGATTTTGAAGTCATGACGTATATACAAGTATTCCCCCTAGACCCAACCTGGCCAGGGTGTCTAATTTCCTGGCTTTGGCTTAGGAACGGGAACTTAAGCTGAGCTGGACCAGAGGCTTCCCTGAGATTCTCCTGCCAGAGAGATCAGGAAATGGTTATCTTTCTGCTGGGGTTAGTGCACTCATAGCCTGTATCTGGGGTCTGCAGCATCTTCCCCCAAGAGACGGATGGAGCCACGAGGTTTCTGGGCTACATGTGCCTAAAGCCAGCTGTACTCTGGCCTCTGTGGCCTAAGCCTATGCATTTATCTCTTTTCTCCACTTAATACTAGTTTGAGTTGGGTTTCTGTAACTTACTAATAAAAGACTCTTAATATTAAAAGTAGAAAAAAATGACTTATCAATGAGCTGGAGAAAATAATACATATAAGAGCAGAAATAATGATAAAGAAAAGAAAGATATAATAGAAAGGATCAACAAAGCCAAAAAGTGGTTCTTTAAGAAGATTAATAAAATTAATAAACTTCTGGCAAAGACAGATAAAGAAAAAAAAAAGAAGCCCAAATAAATCATATCATTGATGAAAAGGGGGGACAGATATAGCAGAGATTAAAAAGATGTCTACAAATGTGAAAATTTACATGCAAATTCTGCAACACTGTAAATGGCCAAAACTGCTGAAGACTAGAAAGTTTAAATGAGGTTTCATGTAATAGCTGGCCATAACTGTTGAAAAAAATAAACTGTATAAAAGTGTATGAAGTCAGCTGGGCACGGTGGCTCACAGCTGTAATCCCAGCACTTTGGGAGGCCAAGGCAGGCGGATCATGAGGTCAGGAGATCGAGACCGTCCTGGCTAACTCGGTGAAACGCTGTCTCTACTAAAAATATAAAAAAAAAATTAGCCGGGAGTGGTGGCGGGCGCCTGTAGTCCCAGCTACTCAGGAGGTTGAGGCAGGAGAATGGTGTGAACCCGGGAGGCGGAGCGTGCAGTGAGCCGAGATCGCGCCACTGCACTCCAGCCTGGGAGACACAGCGAGACTCTGTCTCAAAAATAAAAAACAAAAACAAAAACAAAAAAAAGTGTATGAAGTCAGAAGTAGGCTTTGAAAAATGAAATAGTTGGAGATTTTAACTTTACCTGCCCCCACTAGGCAATACGTTTTAATGTATAAACTGTTAAGAAATAAGTGAACAAAATCACACCAAAGGAAATCTGCCTATTTTATTTCCATTAGAAAAATATTATCTATATAACATTTTGTTCCACTATCTTCTCCTTGATCTCAAATTTAAACACTTTAATTTTACTCAAGTAAAAGCAGAATCACATAACGGACATCAAAACTAAATAGTTCACATCATTAGTTTAAATTAAATATGTTCTTGATTATTTCTCAGGAATAGTAACTCTTCTTTCCTACCTGGTATTTCTCTTTTGTTTACTGAGTAACTATGTAATGGGTATCTCTTTCCTATATTCAGTAATACAGGTGCACACAGGTGTAATTTAAAAAAGTAACTGGATTCCTTCTCTAATATTCATGTTCAACTCTCCCTATTACATGGTATTTCCATAATAGCTTCAGATATTTTCATCAAACTCACACTGTCATCAATTGTGAAAATTAAAAGGTTAATTAAGATGTTACATCAATTGTAAAAATTAAAATGTTAACAATTCCAGACTACACAGCACTGGGCCCACTTATAGTGATGCCGTTGTCAGTGGTCCTTGGATAGCTACTGCTTCAATTTCAATTCGGCTGCCCTGTGAGGAAAATGAAAGAATTTGTTGTAATCATTTTGTACAAATTGCAAACTCTATAATACCTACTAAAAACATGCAACCAACAGCAATATAACATTTTTAACATTAAACTTTTCAAGGAAGGAAAGGAGAAGGAAATATTCACCAAGAACCTATAACAGACCAGGTTACCATGCTAGGTATATTCATATACTATATTAGCTTATGTGATTCTCACAGAAGCCCTATTAGAGACGTATTTTCCCCTCAATTCACAGAATGATATGCTGAAGTGTAGAAGGAGTAATTAAGTCATCCCAAGTCACAAGCTAGATAGCAGAGGTTGAACCCTTGTCTTGTGATTCCAAGTTCAGAGCTCTTTCTACTACACCCAGTACCTTAATAGGTTTGATAATGATCATTCCAAGTAACAACTAATTAAAGCAATACAAATGACACTCTTAAAACATAAATTTTCTTTAGTAGAAACTGCAAGTGGAAGTCAGTAAGAGCTGCTTTTTTATAGGCAGGAATATTGTGCTGCTAAGCTTTGAGTTAAAAGTAGCAAAATCAAAATGGTGAGAAATATGTGTGCCCCTGGTTTAGAGATTATTTTTCTAGTGGAAGGCTTAGATTTTTAATTGTACAATATCCAGGTGAAATTTTTACTGCAGAACTCACAAACAAACCTGGCTCAAATTTATAGTCCCCTAAGTAACACTACAACAGTACAGCTGCTATTTTATTTTTTCTCACAATTTTTTTTTTTTTGTGATGGAGTCTCGCTCTGTCGCCCAGGCTGGAGTGCAGTGGCGCGATTTCGGCTCACTGCAAGCTCTGCCTCCTGGGTTCATGCCATTCTCCTGCCTCAGCCTCCCGAGTAGCTGGGACTACAGGCGTCCGCCACCACACCCGGCTAATTTTTTTTTGTATTTTTAGTAGAGACGGGTTTCACCATGTGAGCCAGGATGGTCTCGATCTTCTGACCTTGTGATCCGCCCGCCTCGGCCTCCGAAAGCGCTGGGATTACAGGCGTGAGCCACCGCGCCTGGCCTTTTCTCACAATTTAAGTATTTTGATTCTGATTCTATGTTCATGTGCTGTCTTAAAAGGTTTCTTAATTTTTTTTTCATGCATGTAATATGGGATATTTCCTTTCAGACTTTAAGTCCCTGGGGAAGCAGGGTCTATTTCTTTTCTTTTTTTTTTTTTTTTTAAGAGACAAGGTCACACTGTTACCCAGGCTGCAGCACAGTGGTTCGATTATAGCTCACTGCAGCCTTGAACTCCTGGGTTCAAGTGTTCCTCCCACCTCAGCCTACCAAGTAGCTGGGACTATAGGTGTGCACCACCACCATGCATGGCTAATTTTAAATTGTTTTTGTAGGGATGGCTGTCTTGCTATGTTGCCCAGGCTGGTCTAGAACTCCTGGCCTCAAGCGATCCTCCTGTGTTGGCCTCTCAAAGCACTGGGATTACAGGGGTAAGCCACCCTGCCCAGGCTACTTCTTTTAAGTTTCCTTTCACAGTGCTTAGTTTACTTATAGAAGGAAAACAATGTAGAAACTGAAAACTGTGTACATTAGTCATTTAAAGTGTACTTACTTTGGGTAAAGCAGCAACTTGGTAAGCAGCTCTAGCAGGAAAATTACTCTTGAAATCTGAATTTAAAAGAATTTCATTTTTTTAATAGAGAAGAGTTGAAAAAATAAAGATCAAGTGAAAATTTTTATTTTAGTTTTCAGATATTCTATTGTTATTCAATATCTACAATTAATAATCTGGCAAATATTTCATATACTAGTCAGTTCTTAGATATAAGCAACATTTATTTTTATTTTTTTGAAACAGAGTCTTGCTCTATCGCCCAAGGCTGGAGTGAAGTGATGCGATCTCAGCTTACTGCAACCTCTGTCTCCCATGTTCAAGAGATTCTCCTGCCTCAGCCTCCCGAGTAGCTGGGATTACAGGTGTGCACCACCATGCCTGGCTCATTTTTGTATTTTTAGTAGAGTCGGGGCTTCACCATGTTGGCCAGACTGGTCTCAAACTCCTAATGTCAAGTGATCCACCCACCTCAGCCTCTCAAAGTGCTGGGATTATAGGTGTGAGCCACTGCTCCTGGCCTTAAGCAACATTTTAAAAAAGAGGCTCACTATCAGATTTGTTTGATAAAATATTTTGCCATATGATTCCTATGATAGTTAATACTTTTTAAAATCTCTTAGCTTTCTGGCAAAAAAAAAAAAAAAAAAAAAAAAGAAATACATACCCTAACATTTTGATCTTGTTTGATGTGAATGGAGTTTTGTTTTTAAAGTGATATTTATAAACTATTTATCTAAATAGGGAACAAGTGCCCATCTCCAGAAATTTTGGCAAGTACTTCCTCTGCCAACTTTGGTCTTTTCTAATAATTTCTTCAGGAGAGAATAAGTAACGATGCTTTTTCCAAGTTATACCTTTGCCTCATCCCATTAGGTGTTGGGGACACCAATTTTCCCTACTATAACATCAATGTTAATAATAGCTAACATTTACTCAGTGCTTATAACACACCAGCATCTAAGTGCTTTACATGTTGTACTGACTCATTTAATCATTCCAACAACCCTATAAGTTAGGAGTATATTATCTCCATTTTGCATATGAGAAAACCAAGGCATAGAAATATTAAGTAACTAACTAATGAGTCTGAGAGAGCCAGGATAAAGATGGTGGCTGCACCATACAGCCACAGTAAATAAAATCTATGCATAAAAAACTTGTTAGGAGAGTTTAAAAAGCCTGAGAAGGATTTAATGAAATTAAGCTTTTGAAAAATGGATATGTAGGATTTCAGTATATTGTTTTAGGGAATGCAATAGAAATGTCTTAGAACTTTTTCATGGGGGGTATACAACATATTTCCAATCAGATTATTAATTCTTTTAAGATCTATGACCATTTCTTTAGCATCTCCTACCACTCTTAATTCATAATGCACATTCATTAATGTGACCAGATTTCTTTCTTTTTAAAAATGGAAAATAGGAATAAAGCCAAATTACTTACACTGTTTGTAGATTTCATTGACAGTATTGAAGTCATTTATGTCAGCCAGAAGAACAGTTGTTTTCACCACTAGAAGATATAAACATTGTCATTAGGTTTAGTTATTTGGTCTGACCCAAAACATTACTTAGAAAAAGAGTGTATGAATCTGAGACTGTCTTGATTAAAATGGGACTGAAATGGGACCAAAGAAGTGAAGTAGAACAGTTGCTATTTAAAACAACTTTTAAATAGCAACAAAGATATGGCACGGCATCTTACTGGATGCCATATATTTTTCAAAAAGACCAAAGAAATATCAAAAAGAAATGTGAAATAATATCAAATTGCTCACCGTTAGTGAAGTCACAGCCTGCAGCTTTCAGAATTTCACCCATGTTTTTAAGAGCCTGTGAACCAAGCCAAGAAAGGCCTAAGTCACTGATGTTAGATTTAAAGCTTTAATTAAATTCAATTAATCATCTTTTACTAATACCTCCTTAAATAGCCTATGTTGCAGAAAAATCCTCCCTACTCGCTTACAAGTGTGTTTCTTGGCTTTCCTTTAATAGAATGAGTCTTTCTGATATATGGTGAAAATGTTGTCTCCTTTTGTGCGTAAAAAGACTAGGTTGAAGTTCCTTCTTCAGTGCTAAAATGTGTTAATTGTTCAGCCAATGTCCACAGAAATAATTTCTGGTGTTCTTCATTCGATATCACGTCAAGGATAAGGATGAGCTAGTAAGCATTAAAACATATTTTCTTTTAAAGCAATATTTGACTTCAAAGGGTTCTTTTTCCTTTTTCTCAAAAAAACAATATTAGTAAATTATATAACAGTTGGAGACACTGGCTTCTGGAAAAACATTTATCTTTTTTTGGATTCACTCTTCCCACTTTGCTGGTCACAATGCAATATTTCATTATATTCTTGTGTCTTTTAAAATAATCTTCTAAATAGGTAATACATGGATATGGCAACAACAACAACAAAAAAACTCAAAAGCTATTAAAAAAGCATATACCGTGTAAAGATATCTCTCACCCCTCTCTCCCTCTCCCAAGTTTCCCTCCTCAGAGGTAACCACTGTTCCTAATTTATTGTATATCCTTCTAGGTACAGTCAATGCTTATGTTACATATTTTTAAACACACAAGCACACATGGTAGCATACTGTGCATGTTGTTCTGCATCTTGGTTTTATTACCATGGAACAATTTACCTCGGAGATCTTTCCACATTACTTTAGTTGTATTGATCTAGCATAATTTATTCAACCAGTTCTTTATGAGTGGATATTTAGGTTTTTAAAAATCTTTCAGCTAGGCCGGGTGTGGAGGCTCATGCCTGTAATCTCAGCACTTTGGGAGGCTGAGGTGGGTGGATCATGAGGTCAGGAGATCGAGACCATCCTGGCTAGCACGGTAAAACCCCGTCTCTACTAAAAATACAAAAAATAAGCCAGGTGTGGTGGCGTGTGCCTGTAGTCCCAGTTACTTGGGAGGCTGAGGCAAGAGAATTGCTTGAACCTGGAAGACAGAGGTTGCAGTGAGCTGAGATCACGACACTGCACTCCAGCCTGGGCGACAGAGCAAGGCTGTCTCAAGAAACAAAACAAAACAAAACAAACTTTCAGCATTATATGACTCAGTAAATGCAGTAAATTATAGTTTATTGTTTTATTTTATTTTATTTTTTGAGACAGTGTCTTGCTCTGTGTCCCAGGCAGGAGTGCAGTGGCACGATCTTGGCTTCCTGCAACTTCCACCTCCCAGGTTTAAGCGATTCTTCTGCATCAGCCTCCTGAGTAACTGGGACTACAGGCATGTGCCACCTGACTGGGTTACTTTTTTTTTCTATTTTTTTTTTGAGACAGGGTTCTTGCTCTGTTGCCCAGGCTAGAGTGGAGTGGCACAATCTCAGCTCACTGCAACCTCCGCCTTCCGGGTTCAAACGATTCTCATGCCTTAGCCTCCCGAGTAGCTGGGACTACAGGCACATGCCACCACACCTGGCTAATTTTTGTATTTTCAGTAGAGACGGGGTTTCACCATGTTGGCCAGGCTGGTCTTGAACTCCTGACCTCAGGTGATCTGCCCGCCTCGGCCTCCCAAAGTGCTGGGATTACAGGTGTGAGCCATTGTGCCTGGCCTCCCCCAACTAATTTTTGTATTTTTAGTAGAGATGGGGTTTCACCATGTTGTCTAGGCTAGTCTTGAACTCCTGACCTCAAGTGATCTGCCAGCCTCGGCCTCCCAAAGTGCTAGGATTACAGGTGTGAGCCACATCGTGCCTGGCCTAAATTATGGTTTAATTATATTTATTGGATTAAAATTATATTCCCCATTCTTATTTTTAAAAATGTTGACTTTTTACTTCTGTGGTGGTAATTTTTTTTTTTTTTTGAAGAGGGGCAGGTCAGTGGCCCTGAGAAGAAAATTTCCCAATCCATGTGGAAGTGGCAACATGTCATCTGACGTCAATAATTCAGGTTTAAGGTCACCTTAGTGTTAAGGAGGTGGAATCTCTCTTTTGGTTGTTAGATGATTCATGATCCATCAAATTTCCAACTCTTAGATCAAAAACTATGTTAAATCAAGCAGTAAGTAGTTTAAAAAACATTTATCTGTTAATCTCTATAAAACAAATCAGGCAAGTGGATTCTTAATGCTCTTCAACATTAAAAAGGTAGTAGAAAAGGGAACCTTAAATGTGGAAAATAACTTACTTGTTTAGCTTCTTCTGCTACCCCTCCTGACACAAGCTGTCCACTTGAAGGGTCCATGCCTATCTGTCCTGAAATGTAAATGGTCCTGTCGACTAATACAGCTTGACTGCAATAAACAGAAAGCTAGTGTATTTATGTAAGTATAAAACATAAAATTCAATGCTAGAAGACTTTTTTGATAGGACAGAGAAGTATAAATTGTAAAAAAAAAAAAACAGATACATTGGACTTCATGAAAATTGAAAACTTTTGTTTATCAAAGATATCTTTAAGAAAATGAAAAGGGGCTGGGTGCTGTAATCCTAGTGCTTTGGGAGGGTGAAGCAGGAGGATCGCTTGGGACCAGGAGTTTGAGATCAGCCTGGGCAACCACTCAGTCTCTACAAAAAACAATAAAAAACAGCCAAGTATGGTGACGCACACCCGTAGTCCCAGCTACTCAGGAGGCTAGGGTGATTGAATTGCTTGAGCCCAGGAGTTGAAGGCTGAAGTGAGCCATGAGTATACCACTGCGCTCCAGCCTCAGTGGCACTGAGTAACAGAGAAAGACCCAAAATAAAAAAAGGGGTCGGGGGAAGAAAAGGCAAGTCATAGATTGGGAGAAAAATATTTGCAAAACATATACCTAATAAAGTACCTATATCCAGAATATAAGAAGAACTCTTAAAAGTCAATAATGTGAAGACAAACCCAATAAAATATGAGCAAATGATACTTCACAAAAGAAAATATACAAAGAGTTAGAGTACATGAAATTTGCTCAACATTAGTAGTCATTAGAGAAATGCAAAGCAAAACCACACACTAAGACATCACTGATAAAGTAAGCATTGGCAATGATGGGGAGCAACCCTCATACATTGTCGGTAGTAATGCAAAATGGTACAGCCACTTTAGAAAATAGTTTGGCAGTTTCTTTAAAAATTTAAACATATATTTAACATACAACCCAGCAAACTCTTCTTTTAGAGACAGGATCTTGCTCTGTCACCCAGGCTGAAGTGCAGTGGTAGGATGTTGGCTCACTGAAGCCTTGACCTCCCAGGCCCAAGTGATCCTCCCATCTCAGCCTCCTAAGTAGCTGAGACTAAAGGTGTGCACCACCATGCCTGGCTAATTTTTTATTTTATTATTTACTTATTTTTATTTTTTGTAGAGATGAGGTCTTGCTATGTTGCCTAGGCTGGTCTCAAACTCCTGGACTCAAGTGATCCTCCTGCCTTGGCCTCCCAAAGTGCTGGGATTACAGGCTTGAGCCTCAACTCAGCAATTTCTTTCCTAGGCAACTATCCAAGAGAAATGAAAACATATGTCCAAAGAGTTTACGTGAATGTTCAGAATAGCATTATTTATAGCAAAAAAGCAAGACACACACACATGCACCCACTGATAGATCCAACAAAGGACTATATATTGTCTTATTTCACTTAAATGAAACCTTAGAAAAGAAAATAGCAGCAGCAGATTATTAATTGTTGTCTAGGGCCAGGGGTGATCATAAATGGGTACAAGGGAATTTTTTGGGAGTGATAGAAATATTCTAAAATTTGACTATTATAGTGGATGCATGATTCTATACATTTACTAAAACTCATGGAACACTACACTTAATTAAAATGGGTGACTTGTTTTTTTGAGATGGAGTCTCACTCTGTCACCCAGGCTGGAGTGCAGTGGCACAATCTTGGCTCACTGCAACCTCCGCCTCCCGGGTTCAAACAATTCTGCCTCAGCCTCCCAAGTAGCTGGGATTACAGGTGTGAGCCACCACGCCCAGCTAATTTTTGCATTTTTAGTAGAGATGGGGTTTTGCCATGTTGGCCAGGCTGGTCTTGAACTCCTGACCTCAGGTGATCCGCCTGCCTCCGCTTCCCAAAGTGCTGGGATTACAGTCGTGGGCCACCACACCCAGCCATTAAAATGGGTAACTTTTATAAGTAACTTATACCTCAATATAGCTGTAAAGCAAAAAAATGCAATTTCAAGAGCACTTTTAAAAACATAAGTAGTCATCTTCAGACAAGATTAGTCACTGCTTATTGGAGGATCAATTAAGGATATACTTTTGAGGGTCCACTTCTGATATGGCTTGGCTGTGTCCTTGCCCAAACCTCATCTGGAATTGTAATGCCCATAATCCCCACATGTTGAGAGTAGGACCTGGTGGGAGGTGACTGGACCATGGGGGCAGTTTCCCCCATGCTGTTCTCATGATAGTGAGTTCTCACGTGATCTAACAGTTTTATAAGTGTCTGACAGTTCCTCCTACACATGTACACTCTCTCTTGCTTGCCATCATATACGATGTGCCTCTTCCCCTTCCGCCATTATTGTAAGTTTCTTGAGGCCTCCCCAGCCATGTGGAACAGTGAGTCAATTAAGCCTCTTTATAAATACTCGGGTTGTATCTTTATAGCAGTGTGGAAACGAACTAATACAACTTCATTTCTGCAAAGTGCTTACTTCTGTAACTGACTTTTTCTGTTATGAGGATGCTAAATTTCAGAAGTAGGATAAAATCACAGGAAAAAGAAAACAATACATTGATACCTGAAAAAAAGCCAAACAAGTCTACTTTTTATAGGAATGATATTAATTTTGGGATGAAGAAAGCCTATCTGTTTTTTTAAAATGTTGAAGAAAGAAGACTTAATGTAATTTTAATTTAGAAGTGAAATGTGGCAGGGCATGGTGGCTCATGCCTATAATCCCAGCACTTTGGGAGGCTGAGGCGGGCAGACCACTTGAGGCCAGGAGTTCAAGGCCAGCCTTGCCAACATGGGGAAATCCTGTCTCTACTAAAAAACACAAAAATTAGCCAGTGGTGGTGCACACCTGTAATTCCAGCTACTTGGGAGGCTGAGGCATGAGAATCACTTGAACCTGGGAGGTGGAGGTTGTAGTAAGCCAAGATCACGTTACTGTACTCCAGCCTGGGCAACAGAGCAAGACTCTGTGTCAAAAAAAAAAAAAAAGAAGTGAAATTTGTTTTAAAATTTCTATGCTTATTTATAAATTTAAGATAGTCTCATTTTAATCATCTTCTTTTAGTTCCCTATTCTTCCATTTTCCAACATGCTCCAAACTTTCCTCTTTTATTTCATGAAGTTTTCCTGGTCTTCTTGACCACATCTTTTTTTTCCCTTTATAATTTATTTTTGAATAGGAGTTCATATGGTTCAAAAATCCAGAAAATACACAAAGAATTGCAGTGAAAAGTCTTTCTTCCATTCTTGTTCCCTATTTGCTCAGTTCCCAGCCCAGAACCATTGTTCTTCTTTATGTATTCATCCAGTTTTTTTAATGAACAGATAACCAAAACAAATATATATTTTCTCTCTTCTTTTACATAAAATATGGTATATTAAACATTCTTGTACACTTTGTTTTTTTCACTCAACAGAATATCATGAAGATCTTTCCATAAGTATATGTAGAGTGCTTCCTCATTTTTTTTAACAGCTACATATGTTTTACAATATAGATGTACTTTATTTAATGAGTCACCATTGCTTCTGATATTTTGTTATCATAAATAAAACTATACTAAACACACACACACACACACACACACACACTTTCTCTAAGTAACTAAGCTTTTCTTTCCCCTGGATCCCAGGAGTGCTTTGGTTGTATCTTCCTTATACTATGTACAGGATCCTGCCTCGTGTTGTAACTCATCCTGTTATTATCCTGTCTCCCAAGGTATCTTAGACTCTAAACTCCTTGAGGTCAGGGTAATGTCTTACCATGTCTCTGTAGCTGTGTAGGGTGTAGGTGATTCCTTGCATACAGTAGGCACACTATAACTACTTGCTGATGTTTTGCTCTTTAACCACTTAGTAGCATAAACAATTTTGGTTGTCAGTGAATCTCTTTTTAGCAGGACCTGTTGACTTACAGCAAATGCTTTGGAGAGAGCTAAGGAGGTATGTTTAAACTTGATAACATGATTCAGAAAGTCTAGAAAGTCTTCTCAACTATCTGGCTTTCATACTGGCCCACAAATAGATAACTACTGAGTTTGTTAATTTGTAATCTTTTCTCGGGTTAAATAATACCATCAGTAACACTGTTTTTTATTAACTGTCCTGTGTAGAATTAGGCCGTCTGCCCTAGGTCCTGTGCAAAGTGCCTTCAGCTTTCCCCATATCTGAAACACACTTTAAGACCATATGCATTATTATTTATCAGAAACTTCATGATAGTAAAAAGAAACTCTTTTATTTTCAAAATATAAAAAGCAAGCACTGGAGCTGAGACCATCTGAGCTATGTGAGTTATCTCTTACAGATCTAAAGAGGTTTGTTCATAAGAATAATTGGCTAGTTGACACTTTCTGAGCATAAGAATCCTACTATCCAAAGACAAGTGGTTGGACTTCAGAAAATTTAAAAGTGCACTGTTCTACTACCAGGTTAAAGGGTAATCACACTTTCAAAAGCATTCTAATAATTCTCACATCATAGTCTATACCACACGGGCTACTGCTTCAAAAATTTATAATTATGAGGACGGTGTGCAAAATGCGCAATGCAAAGCAATGCAATGTTGAAATCTTTCAAGGTTCTGTCTGGAAGTATTCCTGAAATGTGCTGAGCTGATTGGCTAATTAGTGACAACACCCCATCCATCCCAATGCCAGGGACTGAAAGTTCAACACATTTGAATTCTTCCTGGAGAGGACCCAGGATTTTCAAAAAGTGTACTCACTACACACTCCACGCACAAAAACTCTTGTTCCCAAAAGGTTCCTAAAACATGTCCAATTAACATAAGTAGTTAGTTGCAGTCTGTTTTTTTTCTTAAACATTAACTATTGAAAATAAGCACCATTTCTAGTCACCTAGTGCACAAGAGGCACAATGTCCTGGAAGTCTCCACACCATGAAGCTGGCTGGTGGCTTTTTTTCTTGTCATACTGGCACATTCATATGATGATTCCCCTCTTTTTAGCTTTCAGCTTTATAAAGACAGTTGACTCCCACCTACCTTCAAGTCAACCAGGAACATTACTGTTATGCTTTCTTTCCTGAACAAAGTCCACAGAGTATCTCTAAATAGGTCAAGGAAGGGGTATGCTCTTTAGCAGGCTCCAGGACAAAGTGTCTCTAATAATCACTTTGATTTGGTTGTGTCCCTCTTGTTTGGAGGTAAAGATGTTTTTCTAAATGCTACCACTGTGTGATTGAGAGAAAGACATTAGGGCAGAAGGAGAAAAAAAATCACAAATTTTTACTTATAATATCCCCTAACTATTCTCACTTTCTTTACCTCCAAATTTCTATCAGAATTACTATCAGAATTCTTTTTAAAAGATCTGATCATGTTCCACCCTGCTTAAAAACATTTAGCCTGGGCAACATGGTAAAACCCCAGCTCTATAAAAAATACAAAAATTATCTGGGCATGGTGGCCTGAGCCTGTAGCCCCAGCTACTTGGGAAGCTGAGGTGGGAGGATGGCTTGAGCCCGGGAGGTTGAGGCGACAATAAGCTGTGATCCCGGCTCCAGCCTGGGTGACACAGCGAAACACTGTCTCAATATACACACATACAAACACACAACCACAACAACCACAAGAAAAAAACCACATTTAATTGTTCCTTATTATATACAAAATAAAGTTTATATTCTTCCATTTAGTATTGGAAACCACCACAACCTGTACCCTGCTAAAATCTTTTTTTTTTTTTTTTGAGACAGAGTCTCGCTCTGTAGCCCAGGCTGGAGTGCAGTGGTGCGATCTTGGCTCACCGCGACCTCTGCCTTCCAGGTTCAAGCAATTCACTGCCTCAGCCTCCCGAGTAGCTGAGATTACAGGCATACGCCACTATACCCAGCTAATTTTTTTTTTTTTTTGGTATTTTTAGTAGAGACGGGGTTTCACCATCTTGGCCAGGCTGGTCTTGAACTCCTGAGCTTGTGATCCACCTGCCTCGGCCTCCCAAAGTGCTGGGATTACAGGTGTGAACCACTGTGCCTGGCCAAAATCTAATTTTTGTTGGTCACTTTTATTTAATTCCCACAATAATCTTATCAAATGGTATTATTTATGCCCATTGAGAAGACAAAGAAGCAAACTAAGAGAGGTTAAGTCACTCTGCAAGATCATATAATTAAAAAGAGGCAAAACAAAAATTCAAATCCAAAGTCCAACTCTTAATCAGTATTTCTCAAAGGAGTCAGTCATACACAGTAAGACTTATACACAGTCTTACATAGTAAGAAAATGATTCCTTTTCCAATTTTTTTTTTCAATCTACACCAGGGACAACAAAGTAAATGATTAAGACTAGGCTCTAGTACCCATTTCCTAAATTCAAATTTTGTTACATCACTTTTTAGTGGTGTAACTTTTGGCAAATTATTTAATTTTGCACACATCAGTTTCTTCATCTGAAAAATAGGGACTATAATATAACCATGCACATAAATAACTTAGAACAGTGCCTGGTGCTGGCCAGGCATGGTGGCTGACACCTGTAATCCGAGTACTTTGGGAAGCCGAGGTAGGTGGATCGCTTTAGGTCAGGAGTTCAATACCAGCCTGACCAACACAGTGAAACCCTGTCTCTACTAAAAATACAAAAATTAGCCGGGTGTGGTGGCACCTGCCTGTAATCCCAGCTACTTGGGAGGCTGAGACATGAGAATCACTTGAATCTGTGGGGTGGAGGTTGCAGTGAGCTGAGATTGCACCACTGCACTCTAGCCTGGGCAACAGAGTGAGACTCTGCCTCCAAAAAAAAAAAAAAAAAAAAAAAAAAAGGGATAGTGCCCAATGCTGCTGAGTAAGCATCAGTAAATGTTAGCAATGATGACTCTACCCCGTTTGATTACATTAAGGAGAAAAAAAATCATCTTTAGAAAACAAATTAAAACATCACTTGAAAGTTTTTAATTAAACTTTTTTTTTTTTTTAAATAGAGATGGGGGTCTCACTATGTTGCCCAGGCTGGTCTTGAACTCCTGACCTCAAGCAATCCTCTTACCTCGGCCTCCCACAGTGCTGGGATTACAGGCGTGAACCACAGTACCCGGCTAAAGAAACATCACTCTTAACAAAGAGAGAGCAGGCCTCAGGTTTTGAGCCAACTGCAATATCTAGCTAAAATTTAATAATACCTTTTTTTAATTGAGTTTATTTTTTACTATTACTTTCTATTGAATTGTTTTCTATTTAGTGTACTGTTGTAAAGTTTCCTTTTTCAATTAACTTGTTAAATAAAATGAAGTGAGCCATCTCAAAGAAATAGGTTAAGTAAATTATAAGTGATATACAGATTTGGCAAACAAACAAACAAAAAAGACAGAAGTAGCACTTGAATTATGAAAACTTTCTCCCCAAAATCTTTATACCATGCATTCTTCTACCTCCATGCCCTCACTCAAGCCATTCCCTCTACCTGACTTCTACCTCCATGCCCTTCACTCAATGACTTCCTGTTGAAATCCTTAATAAATTAATTTAAAAATCAAACTTTACAACACTACTATAAATGACAAAACCAACCTTCAAAACCAAAGGACTACCTCTCACAAGGAACCTTCCTAAATCTTCTTTTTCCTCTTCCACCCCAAGTTAAAATCAATTTGTCTTTTTTCTCCTTTACTCCCTACCCCACTTGCCCTCTCACTTCTACTGCATTTTATTTATTTCCAAGTTTTCTATAATAATTCCTGTTCTGCCACATCTCAGTGCCTTTTCTCACAGCAGTAGGTTTAAAGGAGGGAGCTGTTGATGGGGCTCTTTTCAGTTGGGAGAGAGGCAGACCAAGTATGAAGCTAATGAAAGAAGTTGGTCATAAAGGACTGCATGTTTTATGATTCAATTTATAGGAAATGTCCACAACAAGCAAATCCATGAAGATGCAAGTAGATTGTCAGGGGCCGGGGGAGAGGAGAATGGGGAGTGAATGCTAATGGGGATGGGATTTATTTTTGGGGTGATGAAAATGTTCTGAAGAAAGTGGTGATGGCTGCACAACTCTGTGAGTATGGTCAAAACCACTGAATTGTACATGTTAAAGGGGGTGAATCTTACGGTACGTGAATTATATCTCAATAAAGCTGTTACCAAGAAAACAAAAACGACCCCCTCCCCCAAAACAAAACACAGGGTCTGAAGGCTTCTAACTGGGGAGAGCTTTCTGGCAGGCTGTGCTCCGCAGCGAGGCAGCCCCAGAACGAGCAAAGTCCCATGGAGTGCAGGTTCCTGGTCCCATCGTGGCTCCCAACTCTCTGTGGGTCTTCGGGCGCGTTGCTTACTTTCCAGGCTCAATTTCCTTGCGTGTTAGCTGGGGCTCCGGCCCGGAGTGGCCCCAACCCCGAATCCCCGAACCCGCACGCCCTGGGTCCGACACAGCTTCCACCAGCCACGTTACCTGTAGGGTCCAATGGCCCCTGGGGCTTTCGCGGTGCTGATCACCCTTCTGATCAAGGACGACATGGCTAAGCCTTCCCTCTTGCAGCCCCTTCAGGAGAAGAAGCCCCAGCACCAGCCCTGCTGGCTTCTTACTGGACTGACCAACCACAGCAGCGCCTCTGCCCCACAGCTCCCGCTGGGGGCGGGCTCGTGCGGCATTCTGGGAACTGTAGTTTCGGCGACGCTCCAGGCCACGTGGAGGAAGCGCCCGGTCTGGCGCATGCGCTCTCCAGCGCGCTCTCCAGGAGCTTTGGCTCGGTGGGTACTGTCGCGGAGGCTTGTCATTCTGACCCGGGGATTCCTCACAGCGTCTGGCAGGTTGGTCGTGAGGGGCTGGTGCCTTCCAGGATGCGAGTGTCGGGGGAACTGTATGCGGCGGCCCCCCTCCCGGCGCCCGTCTCCCCTCTTCATCGTTTCTCTCTCAGACTCCGCTGACCTCTTTCCTTGCTGCCTGTGCCCGGGGCCCCTCTCCCTGGTGTCGCATCTCCTTCGGCCCCTGCGCTGGAGCCCCCTACGTCAGTCATTTCCCTTCATTGCCCCGCCGGGTGGAGGCCGTCCTGGGAATGGGCTTGCATCCCCTCTTCTGCAACCCCAAATGACTAATATGGGTCATTCTGGCGACCACGCTGAGATCTGGGCGTTGGTCCTCCCGTGTTCCCTTTCCTGCTCCTCCTGTGTTCCCTTCTCTAGGGTGCTCCTCGGGCTTTACAAGGTCACTGTCTGAACAGAGCCCTAGTGATTGGGATATCATTTCAGAAAGAAAGATGGTGATCTGGAATGGCCCAGATCCCTTGTAAGTATTCTGCTGTGTCAGAAGGGGTGGTACTTGGCTAAATATTTCTTATCCTGTTAATATTTGCATTGTAAGTACGCTTCGTTTCTTCATTTATGCGGGCACTCATAGATATATGAGTCCCTACTTTGTGTAAGGCACTCTGCTAGATGCTAGGAGGAATGCAACAGTTAAAAAAAATAATAATAAAATCTCTGCCTTCCCTGCTTCCTAAAGATAATACAAGAAAATCTGCTTTATTCCCTCTCATTTTGTCCTACATACTGCTAAGGTTTTGGCCTTCCTACTTCCGGCTCAGGAACCTTCTGATCTTTTTCATTGGTTTGGGGCCTGGAATAAAAGACCTTTCAGTCTGGCCTCCCCTTGCCTATTCAAGTTTCATTGTCATCTACTCCCTTTTCCCACTAGAGTCCTCCTGTATTCACACTGTGGATTCCTGAATACTCTTTCTTCCTTATCTGTGCAAATTCCAGCTAACTGAAATTCTATTTTCTCTTTGACTTTTCCTACCAATTCACATTTTTTTCTTTTTCTTCTTTCCTTCCTTTCCTTTTCTTTTTCTTTGTTTTCTTTCTTTCAAGACAGGATCTCACTCTGTCACCCTGGCTGGAGTACAGTGGCATGATCTTGGCTCACTGAAACCTTGACCTCCTGGGCTGAAGCAATCCTCCAGCCTGAGCATCTCAAGTAGTTGGGATTACAAGTGCACACCAGCACGCCCGGCTAATTTTTGTATTTTCTGTGGAGACGGGGCTTCTTCATATTGGCCAGGCTGGTCTCCAACTCTTGGGCTCAAGCAATTCTCCCACCTCAGCCTCCCAAAGTGCAGGGATTACAGGTGTAACCATTATGCCCGGCCTCATTTTTTTTCTTTCCCTTGTCCTGTTTCCTATTGTGCTGTACCGCATAATTTAGTATTTTATTATATGAGATCCTATTTTCTAATTGTTATGTGTTTCAAGAATAGTGGATTGGAGAGGGAAGGGGTGGAAAAAAAAAAAAGAATAGTGGATAGAGTCAGACTGCCTGGTTTGAATCTCAGCACAATCACAAGCTTAGTAGCCTTGGACTGGTATATAAAATCTCTGTGCTTCGATTTCTTCATTTATAAGATGAGAATAATACTAGTGACCACAGAGTTGTGAGAATTAAATGAATAAGTCATGTAGAATAGTGCCTGCCACATCAAGTTCTCAATGCTGCCTAAGATGACAAAATTCTTATTCTACTTTGGAATTATACACAGCCTGAAACTATTGGGCACATAGTAGGTGCCCAAAAGTTTATTAAATCTGATTAAACTAGATAATTAAGACATATTTTTATTTACAAAATAATTCACCATTTAAGTTTTTAAATAAGAAGCTATTTTGGAGCATTACAAATGATTCAACTTGTGTAAAATATTTCTTGTGAAACAAGGTACCTTTATTCTTAAGACAGATTTTATATCAAGTCTGAATCACCAACTTTTTAGATCTGGAAGAAAATAGACATCATCTAGTTAGTTCCCAGGTTCTCAAACTGGGAACTAACTAACACCAAAGGTTGTGTCTGGCCAGAGGATACTAAGCTGTATCAGAAAACATAACGTATCCATTTTATTTGAAGATTTGGCGAAAATATTTTTATAAAGGCAGCACATATTTAGTGCTTATTAAAGTTTGACAAAACTGACTTGAAGGTGAAGGTAAGAGTTAAGATTCCTTCTGGAAACTTTTTTTTTTGAGACAGGGTCTTGCTCTGTCACCCAGGCTGGAGTGCAGTAATGTGATCAAGGCTCACTCACTGCAGCCTTGACCTCCCTGTCTCAAGCGATCTTCCCACTTCAGCCTCCCGAGTAGGTGGGACCACAAGCTCATAACTATGCCTAGCTTATTTTTTGATTTCTTTGTAGGGATGAGTTCTCACTATGTTGCTCAGGTTGGTTTCTCCTGAGCTCAAGCAATCCTCCCGCCTTGGCCTCCCAAAGTGCTGGGATTATAGATGTGAACCACCACACCAGGCCTCTGGAAACTTTTAAATTAAATCCTCAGACTTCATAAAGATGCATCCTATATTCATTCCCTTCTGCTGTTAGAGGACCACTGCCAGTTTGATTTCCTCATATTTTAGTCTGGACCCAAAGCTCAGGGATGTTCCCAAGGTTATCCTAATCCTCCAGCACCAACCTTTTCTTGGACCATTCTAATACTGAGGGGAGCTAGAGTTTCTATGGTGTTCTTGTCTAGCCTTGCTGGTGAGTTCTGATTCAAGCAGGTAACAGTAGGTTAACTAAGTTGTTTTGTAAAATATTTGGAATGGCTTTTAATGCAGACCGATCTGAATCATGTGCTTCACTAGCCAGCCAGTTCTGCAGAACTCCATTTACTTCCTTCATACTGTTTAATTTGAAAAATGTTTTTGCATGTAGATATAGCTGTCTTTCATTTAGTTGAAATTAGTGGAGTGAGACAGTGAAATGGCATCAATCCCTGCTATTTCATTTATTATTTAAGAATAATAGCTACCATAAACTGAGCATTTAGTTAGCATAAAGCCCCATGCTAAGTGAGTTGTGTATATGCATTTTGCAAAGCCAAAACCATGTACAGTATGTATATGTTTGTTCATTTTTTTATTTTGAGACAGAGTCTCACTCTATCGCCCAGGCTGGAGTGCAGTGGCGTGATCTCGGCTCACCACAATCTCCGCCTCCTGGGTTCAAAGGATTCTCGTGCCTCAGCCTCCCGAGCAGCTGGGATTACAAGCGCATGCCATCACACGTGGCTCATTTTTGTATTTTTTTTTTTTTTTCTTGAGACGGAGTCTTGCTCCGTCGCCCAGGCTGGAGTGCAGTGGCGCGATCTCGGCTCACTGGAAGCTCCGCCTACCGGGTTCACGCCATTCTCCTGCCTCAGCCTCCCGAGTAGCTGGGACTACAGGCGCCCGCCAACACGCCCGGCTAATTTTTTGTATTTTTAGTAGAGACGGGGTTTCACTGTGTTAGCCAGGATGGTCTTGATCTCCTGACCTTGTGATCCTTCTGCCTCGGCCTTCCAAAGTGCTGGGATTACAGGCGTGAACCACCGCTCCCGGCCTCATTTTTGTATTTTTTAGTAGAGATGGGATTTCACCATGTTTGCCAGGCTGGTCTTGAACTCCTGGCCTCAAGTGATCCACTCGCCTTGGCCTCCCATAGTGCTGGGATTACAGGCATAAGCCATCCCACCTGGCCTGTATATAATGTTTAATTCTCACAGCAACTTGTAGAGGAAGAGGCTGAGGCTGAAAGTGAGAAAGTAATTTTCCTAAGATTATGTAACTAAAAAGTGTAAAGAAGGAATTTGAACCCACATCTTTCAAACTCCATAGTGAAAGCCCTTAAACACTATACCATATAGGCAAGTCTTAATTTTGTGTGAGGTCTTGCATTGGAAAAGGAAGTAAGTGAATGGGGGGTAATTTAGTGGCTCTCAGTGGAAGTGGGCAAATTCTGATGTGGCTGGCATTTTGGAAGTTTGTGTAGGTGTTTTGGTTGGCATAATTGGGCTAACATTGCTGGCATTTATTGGGCAGGGACCAGGGATATTAGACAGCCTGCTATGTGCAGAAAAGCCCCACAGTAGCCCAGTACCTAATTTATATAAAATTATTGGTTACACGGGTTTTTTTTTTTTTTTTTTTTGAGATGGAGACTTGCTCTATTGCCCAACTTGGAGTGCAGTGGTGTGATCATCTCGGCTCAATGCAACCTCCACCTCCTGGGTTCAAGCGATTCTCCTGTCGCAGCCTCCCGAATAGCTGGGACTACAGGTGCGCGCCACTGCACCCAACTAATTTTTTTTTTTTTTTTGAGATGGAGTCTTGCTCTGTTGCCCAGGCTGGAGTGCAGTGGCACGATCTGGGCTCACTGTAAGCTCCACCTTCTGGGTTCACACCATTCTCCTGCCTCAGCCTCCTGAGTAGCTGCGACTACAGGCGCCCGCCACCATGCCTGGCTAATTTTTTTGTATTTTTTTAGTAGAGACGGGGTTTCACTGTGTTAGCCAAGATGGTCTCGATCTCCTGACCTCATGATCCGCCCGCCTCAGCCTCCCAAAGCGCTGGAATTACAGGCGTGAGCCACCACGCCCGGCCCACCCAACTAATTTTTGTATTTCTAGTAGAGATGGGGTTTCGCCATGGTGGCCAGGTTGGTCTCGGACTCCTGACCTCAAGTGATTCGCCTGCCTCAGCCTCCCTAACTGCTGTGATTATAGGCATGAGCCACCGCACCTGGCCTGGTTACACCGTTTTAATATGCACTGAATTTTCCAGTAATGCAGTAAATCAAAGCAAGTTTGTACTTTTTTTGGCAGGGTGGCGGGGGTGGGGGTAGTTTACTAAGGAGTGTTGACCAATTTGGAAAATTACGTCATTAGTGGCATTGCTACCTTCTCTTTGAGGCACTGGTACAACACACCTGTGCTGCTTTGCCTTTGTAGCTGTTGAATTCATGGTAATTTTATGTATAGGTAGAAGTAAAGACTGGTATTAAAATACTGAACTGCTTTGAGAACAGCTTGGTAAATACCAGCTGCTCTGAGCTTCCCTACCTCCTAGTGTGTCCATGTATAGGGCCCTTCGGATTTCCTGCAGTTAGCAATGAAAGAGTTAATCACTGGTACCTTGGGGTTGAAGGGCTTCCAGGACCATCCAGCTTTATGGATTGTGCCAATGCCTGTGCTGGTGCCTGTGTGGATGTTATTATTCCCTGGGTTCAAAATCTATTCATAATATCATCTAGTGTAGTTGTGGTGAAATAGTTACATACAGAAATACATATTATTTTATTAAAATTACTTCTTAGGTCTCCTTTATGTTACATTTAGGGCATCTATTGTAGGGTATGTCTCGATATGTGTCTAATAGGTTATAACATTCATTTCATTTAAAAATAGAGAACAGCTGCTTCAAACTGAATCAGTAAAAATAGGGGATGTTGAGTTTGAGAGTTGGGAACTACTGACTGGTAAATCAGTCGGGGTCCCACTGTTTTTGTCCTTTATCTTGCTTCAAATTGAAATCATTATCTATTGCTATTATAAATTAAATATATAGCTGGCATCATCTGAGTAGTAGAAATGAAAGCGTCAGTAATTTGTGTTGTTTTTAATAGAGTTTCTCCTTTTGGAATAGGGTGTTCTGTATTTCATTGATTCAGGTGGCTCTTATTTCATCTAATAATCAAGGTAAAGTATTTGAACTAATTAATTTTTTATCATCCATAGCAATCTTATCTCATTTTTCATTCTTCTAACAGACTTTATGTGGTATCAACAGTTGTATATGATTTAATTATTTGACAGTGCAAACTGCAATATACTAATAGGGTCTCTTCCATCAATAGACTTATTTTGAATCACATGAATATTTACTCATTAAATTTATTTTTATTTTTGAGTGGAAGTTTCCTTTCCCTGTATTAAATGTATTACTTCCTTTCCAGAAATGTCAAATGCAAAAGAAAGAAAACACGCCAAGAAAATGAGAAACCAGCCTACCAATGTGACTCTGTCCTCTGGCTTTGTGGCTGACAGAGGTGTAAAGCACCACAGTGGAGGTGAAAAACCTTTCCAAGCTCAAAAACAAGGTAAAATACACATAAGAGACCAGGCATGGTGGCTCACGCCTGTAATCCCAGCACTTTGGGAGGCTGAAGTGGGCGGTTCATGAGGTCAAGAGATCAAGACCATCCTGGCCAACATGGTGAAACCCCGTCTCTACTAAAAATACAAGAATTAACTGGGTGTGGTGGCGCGTGCCTGTAGTCCCAGCTACTTGGGAGGCTGAGGCAGGAGAATCGCTTGAACCTGGGAGGTGGAGGTTACAGTGAGCTGAGATCATGACACTGCACTCCAGCCTGAAGACAGAGTGAGACTGTGTCTCAAAAAAAAAAAAAAAGATACACATGATGCTCTCTCCACTCCCATTTTGATCAAATTGCTTTTGTCAGCTCTTTTGATAGTCATTATCTAAATAGTAAATGAGCTGAATTAAAAACAGATACAGTAGACCCTTATTATTTTTGAGTTTCCTATTTGCAAGTTTGCCTACTTGCCAAAGCTTATTTGTAACCCCAATATTAATACCCATGAAGCTTTGGCTATCATTTGTGGACATACATAGAGCAGGAAAAATTTGAGTTTCCCTGTGTTTACGTTCCCAGCCGAGCTTCCCAGCTGTCATGCAGAAATGGGCAGAGGATGGAGGCAGTATAAGGGCAGGGCAGTACAGTGCAGGAAGCTCCAGCTCTCCTGGGGTTTGAATCTCAGCCCTGGGGCAGCCTCATGCAGGTCACTTAGCATTTCTAGACTTCATTTTCTCTTTTGTAAAATAAAGGAAATAAACTCTACCAGGAGGAGTTGTTTTTTGGATTTAAGATTATAATATGGCCAGGGGCGGTGGCTCACACCTGTAATCCCAGCACTTTCAGAGGCTGAGGCGGGCGGATCACCTGAAGTCAGGAGTTCGAGACCAGAGTGGCCAACATGGCGAAACTCCGTCTCTACTAGAAATACAAAAATTAGCCAGACATGGTGGTGTGTGCCTGTAGTCCCTGCCACTTGGGAGGCTGAGGCAGGAGAATTGCTTGAACCGGGAGGTGGAGGTTGCAGTGAGCCAAGATCGTGCCACTGCACTCCAGCCTGGGTGACAGTGAGACTGTCCCAAAAAAAAGGAAAAAAAAAAAGATTATAATCTATGTGAGATGAAGATATGTATGTATCCCCACTAGGAGGAATGGTTCAGTATTCACTAATTCATTGACGTAATTCAGGGACGTATGAAACATGACTACTATAAATAATGAAAATTGGCTATGCATATTTTAGAGCTGGTATATTTTATTTCTACCTTAACATCAATGATTATTATACTTCTGTGTTTCCTAAGAGAAGTGCAGTATAGTCATCATATCTGTATTTCACTGGTGTGCTGATTTTAGAACCTTATGAAGTGATAGGAAGATCACAGTTGTTCATTAGGGCAGCGGTAGAAAGTGCTAATTTGGGAAGACAGCAAAAGCAAGTGTCCAAGGACTTGTTTGGAGTGCTTTAAAAAACTGCATTGGGTCTGATTAAGTAAATTTTAGAGTCAAGTTCATAAGGTCTAGATTCAGATCCTACAGTTGATGCCTACCATGCCATATGATAAGGCTTTCACATTTTTTTTATCTCATTTAAACCTCACAATGTTCTAAGATTTATAGTGGCTTAATAATTAACACCACAATTGAAATAAGCAGAAACACTATAAAATTCTCTACTGATCTCTCCCTTAATTTACAGACAGTTTTTTTTTTTTTTTTTTTTTTTTGAGGCAGAGTCTTGCTCTGTCACCCAGGCTGGAGTGCAATGGTGCGATCTCGGCTCACTGCAACCTCCACCTCCTGGGTTCAAGCGATTCTCCTGCCTCAGCCTCCTGAGTAGCTGAGACTACAGGCGTGTGCTGCCACTCTTGGCTAATTTTTGTATTTTTAGTAGAGACAGGGTTTCACCATATTGGCCATGCTGGTGTCAAACTCCTAACCTCAAGTGATCCACCTGCTTCGGCCTCCCAAAGTGCTGGGATTACAGGCGTGAGCCACTGTACCCGGCCACAGACAGATATTTAATGTTGTCTTATAGTCATAATGCCCAGACACTTGTATGGAAATGTTGCCTTTTTTTTGGAGATGGAGTCTTGCTCTGTTGCCTGGGCTGGAGTGCAGTGGTGCGATCTTGGCCCACTGCAACCTCTGCCTCCCGGGTTCAAGCAATTATCCTGCCTCAGCCTCCCGAGTAGCTGGGACTACAGTCACATGCTGCCACACCCAGCTAATTTTTTGTATTTAGTAGAGACGGGGTTTTACCATGTTGCCCAGGCTAGTCTTGAACTCCTGAGCTCAGGCAATCCACCCACCTTGGCCTCCCAAAGTGCTGGGATTACAGACATGAGCTACTGTGCCTGGCTGGAAATTTTGCTTTTTAAAGTTTTAAGACAGGATCCCACTCTGTCACCCATGCTGAAGGGTAATGGCACAATCGTGGCTCACTTCAACCTTGACCTCCTGGGCTCAGGTGATCCTCCCACCTCAGCTTCCCGAGTAACTGGGGCTACAAGCATGTGCCATTATGCCCAGCAAATTTTTTTTTTTTTTTTTGGTAGAGACAGGGTTTTGCCACGTTGACCAGTTAGTCTCAAACTCCTGGACTCAAGTGATCTGCCCACCTTGGCCTCTCAAAGTTCTGGGATTAGAGGTGTGAGCCACCACATCCATCCTGGAACTTTGCTTTTAGTTATTTATTTAGTATAGTGGCTCTCAATTTGAGTGTGGCAGAGAGTTAGGATAAAAGACTGTACACAATCATGTGGATTATAGTATTAAGGGAGTGTCGTTTGGGCTGCTGTAACAAAATACAGGTTGAGCATTCCTAATCCAAAAATCTGAAGTCTAAAATGCTCCAAAATCCAAAACTTTTTGAGCGCCGACATGACATGACAGGTGGAAAATTGCACATCCGACCTCATGTGATGGGTCACAGTCAGAATGAAGGCATATAACACACAGTTTATTCAGCATTCCCATGGGAAAAAAGATGTTCCCAGCCCCCTTCAGCTGTGATATAAATATTTCCAAGCACTCCCAGATTTCACCACGTAAGCACACCCACAAAGACAAATAAAATACATGTAATTTTTACTGTTAAATACTTACATGTGAGTAAGTGTAAGAAAGTGATTGCTTATCAGTAGCATATAGATTCAGAGTCAGGAAGGATGCTGATGCCAGCCAACCACAGATTGTCCACAGGGTGGCTGAGATAGTGGCACCTTTGCTTTCTGATGGTTCAAGTATACAATGTGCAAAAAGTTTCATGCACAAATTATTAAAAATATTGTATAAAATTACCTTCAGGCTGTGTATGATAAGGCGAAAGAAGTGTAATTGAATTTTGTCTTTAGACTTGTGTTCTATCCTCAAGATATCTCATTTTATATATATACGAATATTCCAAAATCCAAAAAAATTGGAATTTGATACACTTCTGGTCCCAGTTATTTCAGATGAGGGATACACAACCTGTATCTTACTGGGTAGCTTATAAATAACAAATGTATTTCTCACAGTTCTGAGGGCTGAAAAGTCCAAGATGAAGGAGCGGGCAGGTTTGGTGACTGGTGTGGGCCTGCCTTCTGGTTCATATACAGCACCTTTTCACTGGTTCTCACATGGTGGAAGGAGCGAGGGTCTCTGTGAGCACTCCTTTATAAGGATACTAATCTCATTCATGAAGGCTCTACCCTCATGACCTAATCGCCTCCTAAAGGCCCCACCTCCTAATACCATCACCTCGGGGGTTAGGATTTCAACACTGGAATTTTGGGGGACATAAGCATTCAGACCATAGCAGGGAGCTTAGATTTGAAATTCATGTTGCACCGTTTATAGGAGAAAATTTCACCTGTATCTGTTATATCCAAGGTCCTTTATATGTCATCCTGACATGATTACCTTGTGTGCTACCTACTAGCTTTGTGACCTCGAGCAAGTTAATTCACCTTCCTACGTAAGATTCCTCTTTAAAAATAAGTAGTAATAGCCACCTTACAGGGTGACTATAGGATTAAAAACATGGTCAATGTTGCCACCCAACAAATATTAGTTCTCCACTATAATGTTTATCTCTGATAAAGGTGACATGTTTCTTTTTGAAAATATACTAGAGCCTCATCCTGGAACTTCACGACAGCGGCAAACCAGAGTCAACCCCCATTCTCTGCCTGACCCTGAAGTGAATGAGCAGTCTTCCTCCAAAGGGATGTTTAGAAAAAAGGGAGGATGGAAAGCAGGTCCCGAGGGCACGTCTCAGGAGATCCCCAAGTATATAACTGGTGGGTACTCATAAAGAGGTGCAGTTTGCTTGTATTTTGAACTCTCGTGTCTAGTGCAGCAACAAACTGCCCTCCTTGTGGTCCTGGCTCTGCCTCCCCTACCTCTCCTCTCCTCCTCCTACTTTAGACCCTTCTCGCCTCTAGCCTGGACTTTGGCCAGAGCTTCCTTGGGCTTGATGGCTCTCCCTTCTTCAGTTTCTCTCCCTGTCTCTTACTCTTCTTCTTACAAGTCTTTGTGAACTGTTCCTCTTTGTCTTAGCCCCCGTGCCCCTCTTGTTTTAAATATGCCATCCACACTCAGCACAGCATTCTCCAAGGATGGAAAATTGAGTACACACAAATGGCAACCAAACCTTTATTTAAAGGGCCTGTCTCCAGGCCCTTTCCATCCTCTTCTGTTCTTCACCCTATGATCCCCATCCACACTACCACAATTAAACCCTATATTCCTTGTACCTTGTACCTATACCTTAGATATGCTTTCTGGTCTCTCTTTACGCCTTCTTGGTGGAGGAATTCAGTTAAGTTTCCCCAGCAGCCTGTTTATTCTCCAATGTTAATTCAAGATTGGTGTTTAATGACTTTGTCATCTCCTTCAACAGCTTCTACTTTTGCTCAAGCACGAGCTGCTGAAATCAGTGCTATGTTAAAAGCTGTGACCCAGAAGTCTTCGAATTCACTGGTTTTTCAGACTCTGCCACGGCACATGCGACGAAGAGCCATGAGCCACAACGTCAAACGCCTTCCCAGACGGTTACAGGAGATTGCCCAGAAAGAGGTAGGAGTTCCACTTAGTGTAAATGTTTAGATTAGTAGCTCCTAGAAGAAATTGAGAAGTATTGACCTAATAGAATTTATTAAAAATGAAAACCAAGGCTGGGCATGGTGGCTCACGCCTGTAATCTCAGCACTTTGAGAGGCTGAGGTGGTCAGATTGCTTGAGCCCAGGAGTTCAAGACCAGCCTGGGCAATATGGCCTAACCTTGTCTCTACAAAAAAATCCGCAAATTAGCTGGGCGTGATGGTACATGTGTGCCTGTAGTCCCAGCTACTTGGAAACTGAGATGGGAGGGTACCCTGAGCCAGGGGAGGTTGAGGCTGCAATGAGCTGTGATCATGCTACTGTACTCCAGCCTGGGTGACAGTGAGACCTTGTCTAAAAAGAAAAAAAAAACTCAGAAAACATCACCCTTATGGTTTTTGTTTTTGTTTTGCATATATTTGATTTAATCATTATCCAAACTTCTTCCCTTCAAACGAAATTCACAGGCAATTGGCTATTATGGGTGCTTTGAAATATAGGATTTGATACTCCTCTCTTGTAAGGGTGTTGAATAGTTGATGTTCCCTTCCCAGATGTTAAAAAAAAACTCTGACCCTCTTACCGAGTGGTTTTGGATCTGTGTTTCTAGGGTGTGCCCAGCTTGGGGTAGGAAGGTTAAAAAAAAGCAATGTCAATGCTTAGCATTTGCTTTCTGACTTTTTCGAAGTTGAAAACTTGAACTGGGTTTTAATTTTTGTACAAGTCTAATTGTGTTTTGGCTTCACCAGAATTCTAGACTTGAACATTCTAAGATTAAGCCCATGTCTTTACTAATTGGTTTAAAACCTATTTATTGAGCAGCCTTCTATGTACCATTGCTATGCTGGTGGTGGGGTTTGAGTTCAAGAGGGAAAACTAACAAGGAATTTTATACTTTCTAGATTTAATATAAAATCTGTTTCCCAGTGATAGCATTCAGCATGTGTATGTCTGTAGCTTAACTGAGATGAAATGTATGGGTTTTCCTCACTTGTATTATTTTTGGTCTTAAGTTTTTGGTTTTAGTTACAATTCTACAGGTTAAAATGACAACAAGAAGCTAGCATTTGATTTCTTCTTTCTTGCCCTCTAATACTAATAGCCATATTAAGCTTGTGTTACTGTGTTGAACATTTTATAAGTATTCTGATCTTCATATTCCATGAAACTTGCCTAGTTAGTGAGTGATGGAACTGTGCCTCCTTCCTAGGTCTCCTAGCTCTAAAACATTCACTCTTTCCATTGTCTTCCTTCTCTACTTACATTGAAGAAACTAAGTTAACAATTTAAGCAAACTAATGGGATCTATAAAATATTCCACTTAATCTAAAGTTATTTGTTTGCATTCCTGACCGTTAACTCTGTTTTGAGATTCTTACAAACTGGGATATGTCCCTCTACTTGAAACTATAGGCGGAGAAAGCCGTACATCAGAAAAAAGAACATTCAAAAAATAAATGCCATAAAGCTCGAAGATGTCACATGAACCGGACGCTAGAATTTAACCGTAGACAAAAGAAGAACATTTGGTTAGAAACTCACATCTGGCACGCCAAGCGGTTTCATATGGTCAAGAAGTGGGGCTACTGCCTTGGGGAGAGGCCAACAGTCAAGAGCCACAGAGCCTGCTATCGAGCCATGACGAACCGGTGCCTCCTGCAGGTGAGCTTTTCCAGTGGGCTTTTTTTGTTATTTTTGTTTGATCCTTTTCCATAGAGGCCTTTAGAATAGTTTATGATGTGCCAAGCCCCGTTTATGTGATTATTCATTTTAAAAATAATTCCTGAGCATGAAGCCCGGGTCCTTTGCCAGATGCTGGAGATCAGGCAGCCTAAAGTTAGGGGGGTGACTGACATTAATCAAACGATTTACCAGATATGTGGTTGTAAGGGAAAAGCATACAGTATGATGAGCATTTCTAACCTAACTGGAAGGCGTCCCCCAGAAGTGCTGTTTGAGCTGAGCTCTAAGGGATAAGATGGGAGGAGAGGGGGAAGGCAGAAGGAAGCCAGGTGAGAGTGAAGAACTGGAATCAATTCTGTGTGACAGAGAAGAAGAGAAGGAGAACAAGGCAACATCAGGGCAAGGTTAGCCTAGAGAAAAGAGTAGGAACCAGGTCGTGCAGGTCTTGTTGATCATGTCAAGTTTTATTCACTATAGATTAATCTAACAGTCGTTCATCAATAACAGATATTTGAGAATCAACTGTGTACCCTGAACAGGGTTCAGAATGCTGGTCTAGGTGTTTATGGGTCAGTGGGATGCTGGGAAGGATGTTTTAAATTTTAAACGCTTTGAGAGGACAGATTATGTTAGAGCCTCTTAATAGTATTTATCTGATTGCTCCCTCCTCTCAGAAGCTAATTCAGTTGCTTTCTATTTCTTCCAATACATACTTAGACATTTGTTCTTTGCAGAAGGGCCTATCTTTCAGTGGCAGAATGGCCTTGGCCAAATTTTGAAAGCCATTACTATTGGTGTCCTTTGATACCCCTTGAGAGTAATGTGGTAGAATAAGCAATACAAGAATCTTTTTAAAAAATTGTGGTCAAATATACATAACAAAACCATTTGACCATTTTAAGTGTATAGTTCTGTGGCATTAAGTACGTTTACGTTGTGTAATCAGTACCACCATCCATCTCCAGAACTTTTTTATCCTTCCAAACTGAAACTCTCGACTCATTAAACACTAACTCCCATTCCTTCAGCCCCTGGCAGCCACCATTCTATTGTCTATCCAATAATTTGATCCTATAGGTGCTTCATAGGGGTGAAATCATACAATATTTGTCTTTTTGTGACTGGCTTATTTCATTTAGCATAATGTCTTAAAATTCATCCGTGTTGTAGCATGTGTCAGAATTCCCTTCCCTTTTAAGGCTGAAGATGTATTCCATTGTAGGTATATACCGTATCTTGATTATTCATTTATCTGTCAGTGGACATTTGGCTTACTTCCACCTTTTGGCTATTGTAAATAATGCTGCTGTGAACATGGATATGCAAATATCGTTACAGTCCCTGCTTTCAGTCCTCTTGAATATATCCCCAGAAGTGTAATTGCTGGATCATATGATAATTCTATGTTAATTTTATGTTTAATTTTTTGAGGTACTGCCTTACCATTTTCCATAGCAACTGTATCATTTTACATTCCCACCAGCAATACACAAGGGTTCCAATTTCTCCTCATCCTTTTCAGTACTTGTTACTTTATTTATTTATTTGATCACAGTCATTCTAATGAGTGTGAAGTGAATAAGAGGACCTTTTAGGAGTCTTTGATTTGAGAACTCAGCAGCAGAAATCATAGATAATAGTCAAGTTCCTCATTCACATTGAGGAAGCTGGGTTCTGGAGAGATGAAGTGACTTGCCTGGGCTCACACAGCTTGTTGGTGGCCTACATAGCACTTGGGTGGCTGATTCCCCTGGCTTGTGCTTTTTCCACTGTCCTCTGCCAATGAGTTACTTTTCATTTTGGGCATAATTTTTGCTGAAGTTATCAGATATTTTCTCTAAAATTTGATCAGCCCTAAGTAATAAAACTAATAGCTAATAATAACAAATATTAGTGAGTGCTTAATATATGCCCTACCCTGTTTTAAATGGTTTGCATGTGTTTACTCATTTAATCCTCAGAATAGTACGAAGTAAGGAGTTACCATTATTTCCATTTTACAGATGGGGAAACTGAGGTACAGAGAGGTTAGGTAGTTTACCCATGATTGTATGGCCAATGAGTGTTGAGGTTCAGATTTGAGCCCAGTTGCCTGACTCCAGGGTTCCACACTCTGAACCATTATTCTCTGCTGTCACTTGTTTGGGTGAGGTTCCTCTGGCCACTGACAGCTGAGAGCTGGTCACTGGATGGGAAGATTTCTTTGTGTGAGTGATCATATTGATTGACATGCGTTGTCAGAATCATAGCTATAATTTCCCTTTTAGTTCTAGTTACTGAGTGCACTGAAATTGCTTAAAGATGCTATAGCAGAAGGGTTGGTTTGGCAGATCACTGAGCCTGATTAGAATGCTGGCTTCTCCACTTAATGACTGTGTCTTTGTTCAAGTAACAATCTCTGTGTCACAGTGTCCTTGTCTGTCAGATAAGATAACCATACTAGGTACATCTGGTTGTCAGGAAGACTAAATGACTGTTCATGTAAGGAGTTAACTCATTGCTGGCACTCAGTAACCCTTCAATGACTATTAACTATTATAGGCCAGGCATGGCAGCTCATGCTTAGAATCACAGCATTTTGGGAGGCTGAGGCAGGAGGATTGCTTGAGCCCTGGGGTTCAAGACCAGTCTGGGCAACATAGTGAGACTCTGTCTCTGCAAAAAAAAAAAAAAAAAAAAAAAAATCTGGGTGTGGTGGCTCGTGCCTGTAGTCCCAGCTACCTGGGAGGCTGAGGCAGGAGGATTGCTTGAGCTCTGGGGTTCAAGACCAGTCTGGGCAACATAGTGAGACTCTGTCTCTGCAAAAAAAAAAAAAAAAAAAAAGCTGGGTGTGGTGGCTCGTGCCTGTAGTCCCAGCTACCTGGGAGGCTGAGGCAGGAGGATTGCTTGAGCCCAGGAAGTTGAGACTTCTGTGAGCTGTGATTGCGCCTCTGTACTCTAGCACTGGCAACAGAGTGAGACCCTGTCTCAAAAACAAAACAAACTGTTAGAATTATTATTATAATTATTATTATGGATACTATAACTATTGAAACTTTTAACATTGATTTCATTAGCTTAGTCTGATCTCTCTTCATCTTACTTGAAATTGTATGTTATTACTTTTACTTTCTTTGTACTGTGCTTAAAGTTGCATATCATGGTCAAGACTGAGTATGGGAGAAATATGGGATGGATTAATTGCAATATTGTATCTCTAGGCTTAGTGTTAAGTAATCTTGAGGTCCTGAATTAGCTAACCAAATTGAGCAACCTGAGCATAATTTTGCAGAATTCATTACTGTTTTGCTTATTTTACTCTGGTTTCTTACCTTAGGTAGACTTTGGGGGTGAATGGTTCTCTACTTAGAGGCAACAGTTATGTACCCTCCGTAGAACCTGTCTATGAATATGGGATAAAACATAGATTACCTAAAAAGTAGGATACCGTAACTTACATTTTAAATGGAGATTCATTTTTATTTTGGTTCGGGTTGGTTTAAAAATATTTGTTAAGGTGACAGGAATGGACAGGTTTAGATATTTTTTCCACTAAACCATCGGGCAGGAGAAGGTTTAGATTTTGACTTATGAGAACATAGCTTTAGCAATTTGTTTTGTGTCTTAGGCCTCTAAAGGTTTTGTGATACGGCTTTTGGCTTCTTAGCAGTTTTGCCTGTGTAAATTCCTAAGTACTTAATTGTGTCTCCCGCTTTGTGCAGGATTTATCCTATTACTGTTGTTTGGAGTTGAAAGGCAAAGAGGAAGAAATACTAAAGGCGCTTTCTGGAATGTGTAACATAGACACAGGTAAACTTGTTTTAAAGCTGAGTTCTATTTTAGTCTATGTATATTTATTCATTTCATAAAGAAGTGTCTACTGTAAGCATTTTGGAATTCAAACATATAGAAAAGTGTGTGAGACACTAATCATTCCCAATGAAAATGTTAACTTAAAAACAGTTGGGTTGGCTTTTAAATAATTTCTAACATTGTCAAGTGTAAAGTGATAGAGTCATTTTTCTGGTGGAGTGAACTTGACAGAAAGAAACTTGAAGCTCTCATTACTCATTTAACACATATTTGTTGAGAACTTATTGTGTGCCAGGCTTTGATCTGAGCAATCCTCACAACCAAAACTTCACCTCTCATGGAGGCAGACAGTAAATGACAGTGTGGTTATCAGGAAATAGGACTGCAGTCTCAACACCCGGAATTATGGAATTTTGCTTTTGTTGATGTCAGGGCTGACGTTTGCAGCAGTTCACTGCTTGTCTGGAAAGCGCCAAGGGAGCCTTGTGCTTTATCGGGTGAATAAATATCCCAGAGAAATGCTTGGGCCTGTTACGTTTATCTGGAAGTCCCAGAGGACCCCGGGTGACCCTTCTGAGAGCAGGCAGCTGTGGATCTGGCTGCATCCAACCCTTAAACAGGTATAATCCTTCAGGTTATCTCCCGTCATTCTGAAACTGCATTTTTAATTACTGCTGGAAGTCAATACTGTAGAAATGTAAATAGTGTAAAGGTTTGTCTGATAGTCTGATATTTGTATATGGGGGGCTCTATGATTATTGAATGAAGTGAATTTTTAAAAAACTTTAAAAATTTGTATTTAAAAATGTCTAATTGACAAAAAGCAAATATATTCAAAGTATATAATATGATGATTTGATATACATGTTGTATACCACAATCAAATAACACATCCATCACCACCCATGCTGTACATTATATCCCCGGAACTTGTTTATCAAATATAATGAAGTCAGGGCGGGGCATGGTTTCTCATGCCTGTAATCCCACCACTTTGGGAGGCTGAAGCAGTTGGATCACTTGAATCCAAGAGTTTGAGACTAGGCTGGGCAACACGGTGAAACCCTGTCTCTGCAAAAAAGACAAAAATTAGCTAGGATTGGTGGCATGCACCTGTAGTCTCAGCTACTTGGGAGGCTGAGGCGGGAGGATCACTTTGAGCCCAGGAGGCAGAGTTGCAGTGAGATGAAATCGTGCTATTGCACTCCAGCCTGGGTGACAGTGAGACCCTGTCTCGAAAAAAAAAAAAACTAATCTTGACATCTCATATTTTTAGTAAGTCATAAGCAGAAGTAGAGATAAAAACCAGCCTTATGCTAATTATTTGAAATGTTGAATTTGAACTAATGTTTCTACCATGACTGAAGTGGTTCACTAGTATCTAGGGGCTATTTGATAATGAAAAGCTATTTTTGAGTAATTCTAATGATTTTTCACACTGAATTTAGCTTAGCTTCCCTTCTTTAGCATACTCACTACTTTAAAAAAATGTAGTCAGAGTGATCATGTTGTTTTCATAATATTTGACTAACCCTACCCCTAGCCCCAGCCCTAATTAACCCATTTGAAATTTTCAGTTTCAAAATTTTTTTTTGTTTAAAGTGGCATACACTACTCAGAACACCCAAAAAAGCTTTTTTTCAAAAATTAAAATTAAATTAAAAAAAATTTTTTTTTCCCAGAGGGTTTTGCTCTGTCATTGAGACTTGAGTGCAGTGGTGCAGTCATAGCCCACTGCAGCCTCTACTTCCCAGGCTCAAATGATCCTCCTACCTCAGCCTCCCCGAGTAGCTTAGACTACAGGGGTGCACCACCTTGTCCAGCTAATTATTTTTTTATTTTGTGTAGGAACAAGGTCTCCCTATGTTGCCCAGGCCATGGTCTCAAACTCCTGGGCTGAAGCCATCCTCCTGCCTCAGCTTCCCAAAGTGCTGAGATTACAGACGTGAGCCACCACACCTGGCCGAAAAAAGCTTTTTGATGATAAATTTAATTTAAGTTAATTTGTGAGGGAATACAAATGTGATTTTTTTTTATTTTTTATTTTTTATTTTTTTTTGAGACGGAGTCTTGCTCTGTTGCCCGGGCTGGAGTGCGATGGCACGATCTCAGCTCACTGCAACCTCTGCCTCCCAGGTTCAAGTGATTCTCCTGCCTTAGCCTCCTGAGTAGCTGAGATTATAGGTGCCTGCCACCCAACTATTTTTTGTATTTTTCAGTAGAGATGGAGTTTTGCCAGTTGGTCAGGCTGGGCTCGAACTCCTGATCTCAGGTAATCTACCCACCTCGGCCTCCCAAAGTGCTGGGATTACAGGTATGAGCCACCGTGCCTGGCCAAAAATGTTAATTTTTAAAGAGATTTAAAAAAAAAAACCCAACTAAATTTGTCGTAATATATTTAAATTTCAAGATTTTAAAGTGAATGTTTAAATATATTTTTAGGATATCTTAGAGGAAATAAAAGCAGCGTGCCAGTGTGTGGAACCCATCAAATCAGCTGTCTGCATCGCTGACCCACTTCCAACACCATCCCAAGAAAAAAGCCAAACTGAATTGCCTGACGAGAAAATTGGCAAGAAAAGAAAAAGGAAAGATGATGGAGAAAATGCTAAACCAATTAAAAAAATTATCGGTGATGGAACTAGAGATCCATGTCTACCATACTCTTGGATCTCTCCAACCACAGGCATTATAATCAGGTATGAGTTGAATTTGCTTTGAACCTACTGAACATTTTCAGTGAAGACCTGCTCCATTTTTGTCAGTGGCACAGATGTTGTGTGATGAAAGTTTCCATTTTAAGATGTTCTTTCTTTTTCAGCGATTTGACGATGGAGATGAACAGATTCCGGCTGATTGGGCCACTTTCCCACTCCATCCTAACTGAAGCAATAAAAGCTGCTTCTGTCCACACTGTAAGAGTAAAAGTGACTGTAGTGTTTTATTCTAATCATGTTTTTCCTGTCAAATTTGTGAAACCTAATATATAATTTGGTAACATTTTGGGCCATGGCTTTTAGATGTTTATTTCCCTACTTATTATGCTTATTATCAAAGATTTTGTTATCTTTCACTTCTCCTAGAAGACCACAACTAAGTGGATATGATCAGTAAACTGACTGTTCTTACTTAAATACAGACTGCTCTTGCATCTGTGAGTCTTGTAGAGGGTCTTAACTTCTGCTTCATAGGTAGGGAGTCTCTAAAATCCCTGAAATTGTGTGCCAGATTTTGTGATGTGTGCGTGTGCCATGTAGGTTTTCTTTTCTTTTTTTTTTTCTGAGATTGAGTCTCATCCTGTTGCCCAGGCTGGAATGCAGTGGTGCGATCTTGGTTCACTGCACCCTCTGCCTCCTGGGTTCAAGCGATTCTCCTGCCTCAGCCCCCCGAGTAGCTGAGACTATAGGTGCACACCACCAGGCCCAGCTAGTAGAGACAGGGTTTCACCATGTTGGACAGGCTGGTCTGGAACTCTTGACCTCAGGTGATCCGCCCACCTTGGCCTCCCAAAATGCTGGGATTACAGGCATGAGTCACCGCACCTGGCTGGTTTTCTGGGGCTAGTTTTAGGGGTCTAGAATCTCTAAAAAGGTTAAGAGCAGTATGTCTAGGGCAGCACTTCCAGTAGAGCTTTCTGTGAGGATGATGTTCCTTTGTGCTGTCCAGTACGACAGCCATTAGCCACATGTGGCAGTTGAATACTTGAATTGTGGCTAGAGTGACTGAGGAACTGAATTTATACCTTTACTTAACTTTAATTAACTAAAAATTAAATTTGAGTAGCTCTATTGGCAAGTGGCTAGCATAGAGACTAGATTAGGAATCTGCACCCTGGGTTCAGATCCTGTTCGTTTTCTGGTCTTAGTGCAATTAACTTTTCAATGCCTGTGCCTCTCACTGACTTGACGTGGTCAAATACGATGATAGAGCTGAACAGATTCTGAGTTTTTAGAAGAAAGATGCTTTAAAATACAAAAGCTACTTTTCTCCATCTTCACTGCTTCTGCTGTACTCTCAACCAGTGTTGTCTCTTGCCTGAACAATTGGGGGATCAGGAAAGGATTCTAGAGGGAACCTTAAGTTTCCTCCATCCTTCCTCCTTTTCAGCCCATTCTCCACACAAGAGGCAGAGTGATTTTTTGATAATTTATTCCCTCTTGTTGCTTCCTGATGAAAAGTTTTTGAATAGCTTCTCATTGTAATTAAGATAAAATCCAAAGTGCTCAATGTGACCCGTGTAATCTTGTGCCTTCTTGCCTCTGAGGCCTCATTTCTCCTCACCCTTCTACACTTCAGCCACCCTGACCTTCTTTCAGGTTCTGGAATGTCAGTTCTTGTCTCCCTTAGAGCCTTTGCACCTGTTTTTTCCTTCCAACTACTGAGCATTCTGCCTCCACCACTCTTTACTTTGCTGAACCTTCCTCATTCTTCAGATTTCAGTCTCTAGCATTTCCCTCTAGCATCCTTTCCTGATCCCCCAAGTTAAACTAGATCCCTCCTGTTGTTTTCAGAGAGAGCATCTTGCAAATTCCCTCAATTTATTTATATAGATTTGTGTATTTATGTAATGTCCATGTCTCTCATGAGACTGTGAGCTTCATAAGGGTGAGGATAGAGTTGGTCCTGTTTTTCACTCTCTCCCCAGTGCTTAGCACAATGTCTGGCACAGAGAGGGTGCCCCGTAGTAGCTAATAAGTTGTGGAGCAAAGATTTGAACCAATGAAGTTTGGTTCCAGAGCCTGTACTGTAAACCACTAAGCTGTGCTACCTGAGTTTCTGTGAGTAAATGGTACCTTTGTTATGATTGCTTTTTTTTTTTTTTTTTTTGTTTGAGACAGAGCCTCACTCTGTCACCCAGGCTGGAGTGCAGTGGCACAATCTCAGCTCACTGCAACCTCCACCTCTCAGGTTCAAGCAATTCTCATACCTCAGCCTCCCGAGTAGCTGGAATTACAGGTGCCAGCCAACACACCCGGCTAATATTTTTTGTATTTTTAGTAGCGGTTTCACTATGTTGGCCAGGCTGGTCTCGAACTCCTGGCCTCAAGTGACCCGCCTGCCTCGGCCTACCAAAATGCTGGCATTACAGGCATGAGCCACTGCACCCGGCCATGATTGCTTCTTTAGGATCCGTAAGTGCACATCCTACTTCAGTGAACTTCAGCATGAGTTGTGGCTATAGATTCCCTTCTTGCCATGCATGTGATACTTGAAGGACTTTTTGAAATCTTCCTCAATTCCTAGTTCCATGTGGAAAAAATATACATTTCTAGGAATAATGTAGTAGTAGTATATCTTTTATCTGGAAAGTTCTTCAAAAGGTACTGGTTTGATTTTCCTTTGGTGAGGAACATTTTATTGCTTACATTGGAGATGATGAAGTTAGCTCTAGTGGAAGAGGACCAGGCGTGTGGCTCACACCTGAAATCCCAGCTCTTTGGGAGGCTGAGGTGGGTTGATTGCTTCAGCCCAGGAATTCAAGACCAGCCTGGGCACCATAGTGAGACCATATATCTACAAAAAATAAGTTAAAAAAAATTAGCTGGGCATGGTGGCATGTGACTGTGGTTCCATCTCCCAGCCACTTGAAAGGCTGAAGTGGGAGGATCACTTGAGCCTGGGAGATTGAGGCTGCAGTGAGCCATGACAGGCCACTGCACTCCAGCCTCAGTGACAGTGAGACTGTGTCAAGAAAAAAAAGAGAGAGGAGCGAGGCCTCCTTTGTTGGTACTGCGCTCTGGAGAGACTTTGAGTGTGAAGTATCTTAGTGAGTTAGTCTATGAAAACCATAGATGATTTTCTTCATATGTGAAATCTTGAGAGAAGTGTAATACTATATCCTTGCTGCTAATTCAAAGGGTAGTTAGTCTGGTATTAATTACTATGTTAAGTATAGTGGCAACTTCCCTGGTTCATCCCATAACACATACATTTCCACACATAGAAGAAGAAAGAGTGGGGGCTGATATCACAACCATGACAAAATTATGAAGGTGGATTCATTGTTCGTCCAGTGAATAGTAGTTGTTATTTTTCAGGTGGGAGAGGACACAGAGGAGACACCTCACCGCTGGTGGATAGAAACCTGTAAGAAACCTGACAGCGTTTCCCTTCATTGCAGACAAGAAGCCATTTTCGAGTTGTTGGGAGGTATACAAAGGGAAGACTGGGTTGTGTTGGGGAGGGAAGGGGGCCAAAAGAGCCTTTTGCAGTTGGGCCTCCAACATGTAGTATTGCTTTTTAACCTGCTGCTATTGTGACACAGCAAGAGAACCAAGTAAGAGAGGGACTGAACTCAGTGAATAAACACTATATTCATGCCTGGTTATGAAACAACAAACAAATGGTATGTTCATATTCTAAGTAACTGGCATTCTGATAGTGGAGATAAATGCATACACCAGGTACTGACCTAAACTCTATGCTTACCTGCACACAACTGCATTTTTGCTCATAGCTGCTGTAGTTATCACTGATAGAAGCATATGTGTTCATTTCATAAAAGAACCTTTTTTTATGTTGGCCTCATGTTTTTTGCAAGAAACCTCATTCTTTATGAATGTTAACTTATTCTCTAAAAGTATCAATGGGAAGAGAGGGAATACATGTTTTTAAGTAATTAGTCCAAGAAAAACGTTTCATTAGGAAATCTGAAAGATTTAAAAATACAAGCAAATACAGATGTATTATGAATGACTTTCTGTAAACTTCTTTTTGTTGTTGTTAAAGGAATAACATCACCAGCAGAAATTCCGGCAGGTACTATTCTGGGACTGACAGTTGGGGATCCTCGAATAAATTTGCCCCAAAAGAAGTCCAAAGCTTTGCCCAATCCAGAAAAATGCCAAGGTAAAGTTCCAAAAACACCCCAGGTTTTCCTTACTATTTCGAGCAGTCCAGTCTTATTAGAAGAAGAGTTCTTTCTCTGACACCTCTCCAGTAACTTCATCTGTAAAAAATTAGGGCAGTCTCCTTACCTGCCCACTTTACAAGCTGATTATGATCTAAGGAAATGGTAGGTGTGGAAGTGTCTTTTAGCAGTAAAACACGTAGCCTGATACTTATGTTCATTTTATTTTCCGAGTTCTCTTTTTTTAGTATCTAGTAAAACCTGTCTCTCTGCAAACTACGTTCTCTGAAAATGTCTGGCGTTTCAGAATTTTAATTGTGAGGAAGGGATCTGCACCCGAAGCTGGTCTTGTGCTCAGTGGAAGCCTCTGTCTGACCATACAGATGATCCAGGTTCGAATCCTGGCAAGGCCATCCCAGGTGCTGAAGTATAAGATGTCTTGGTTTAGACTAAGTAGTACTAGAGGCCTGAGAAAGTTGTTTGGCTGGGGTGGCACAGGAGGTGGGTAAGGGGCTGGCTAAAATTTTGTTCTGATATGAGATTGGCAGCAATTTTGATAATGTCTCATTGTATTTACTGTCATTTAAACATGATTAATTGGAAGAATAATTAAAATTACCATGTGAGTCTTTGGAGATAAAGTAAAGGTTTGTGTTGTAACGACTTCAGAATTTTTTTTTTTTTGAGATGGAATCTCGCTTTTGTCACCCAGGCTGGAGTGCAATGGATGGCGTCATCACTGCAACCTCCACCTCCTGGGTTCAAGTGATTTGCCTGCCTCAGCCTCCTGAGTAGCTGAAATTACAGGCATCCACCACAACGCCTGGCTAATTTTTTTTTTTTTTTTTTTGTATTTTTGGTAGAGATGGGGTTTCACCATGTTGGCCAGGCTGATCTCAAACTCCTGACCTCAGGTGATCCACCCACTTCAGCCTCCCAAAGTGCTGGGATTACAGGCATGAACCACCACGCCTGGCCCAGAATTTTTTTTTTAATGTAGTTAGATAGCTTATTGATGGGGCAATAAATTACTCTGTCAGAACTTCACATAAAAGGTGGATTGGATGAGAGAGGAGTTTGAAGATATATAGGTAAGTTAGTTAATTATGAAGCCTAAGACTTTACTCAATGAGTCATTGCCTCTTTCTTTTCTTTTCTTTTTTACTACGAATGTGGTCTGGTGCAACGTAAAAGTTGCAGCATTTACTACACCATTAAATGTTGACTATTATAATTGCCTTGAAGCTATAAACTCTACTTAGTTTCTCTTGCTACCTCAAATCCTTTTTTGGAATGAGGTGATTATTAAATCCTCTCTAAGGCTTTTGTTTTAATATGAATCAGCTCAAGGAAAATTAAAGTCTATCTTGAAAAACGTGATTTAATTTGACGCCTGAAGTCAAGCAATCCTTCTGCCTCGGCCTCCCAAAGTGCTGGGATTACAGGTGTGAGCCACCATTCCCAGCTAGAGAGCTTTTAAAAGGGAAGGTACATGAAGAAAATGAAGTGATAATGCATATTCTTAGATGCTTTGAAAAAGTTTGCTTGATAGCTGGTTCTAGAATTTGAATTAAATATTAATAATGTGTTTTTGCAAATCTTTTCAACTTTATTAACACAATATTTCACTATATAGGTAACTGGTTTTCTAGATGAGATTTAAAAATATAGTTTCTGCCGTACTAGCTGTTGTTTTATTTGCTATCCTTAGTATTTGCCAATTTGCTTTGATGGATTATTTTGATTAGTTCTTATCTGTGAGAGATCAATTTCCTTTAGGAAATACTGAATTTACCTTGTGCTCGTGGGCTTATGATCTTTCCCTTTAAACACTCTTTGGTAGTATGACTTTCCCATACTACCCAAAACATGGAAGGAGGATAGCTGCCTTTAGAGTGATAGGTTAGAGGTCATCCCTTTATATTTTATAGCTCTTGCAAGCACTTTGAGAGCACTGATCTGCAGCAGACTTGAGCAGTGCCCAGTTAGCAGCCATGTTCTCTGCTTCCCCTGGGCCCTTTGAACTGTTTTACATATTTTATTTAAAATACTTTAATCTGAAGGCTGTAACTTTGGTTTTATTTGATTTCCAAATGAGAAAGCCTTTTACTGGTTACCTTTGCTTCTCTGAGTAAAACTCATTAAAAGAAAGTTCAATTTAACATTTGGTGATCTTTAAATACATTTAAGAAAGGAGAAAGCAAGCTCCTCCCTTCAGTCTTCAAGTCACATTCTGGAGTTAATATAATCAATTCAAGAACTTTTGTCTGTGTATGAAAGAAAACATGCTTTGAGTCTGGGGGAAGGACTTAGAATTACATTCAGAAGTGGCAGTCATTCTAGGCCCACTGATGTGTGTGCTGACTCAGCTGGGGATATTCTTTTTCTCTTCCCAGTAAAGACTATTGACCTAAGAGGGCCTTCCCCTTAGCCTTCAGACGTACTCCACTTTGTTGTAAATAGACTTTATTATTTTTTAGCGCAGCTTTAGATTCACAGCAAAATTGAGCATAAAGTACCGAGATCCCATGAACCTCCATCCCCTTCCATGCACCGCCACCACACAGTCTATGTCCTTAGTAGAGTGGTACGTTTGTTACAATCCATGAACCGACATTAACACATCATTATCACCTAAAGTCCTTAGTTTGTATTAGGGTTCACTCTTGGTGATATATATACTCTAAGTTTGTATTAAGGTCCACTCTTGGTGGTATATATACTCTTACCGATTTTGACAAAGGTGTAATGACATACTCACCATAATAGCATCATACAGAATAGATTCACTGCCCCCCAAATCCTCTGTGCTCTGCCTATTCATCCCTCTTTTCCCCCTAACTTCCGATAACCACTGATCTTTTTACTACCTCCATAGTTTTGTGTTTTTTAGAATATTATATAATTGGAATCATACAATACATAGCCTTTTCAGATAGGCTTCTTTCACTTAGTAATATGCACTTAAATTTCCTCTATGTAGGCCAGGCATGGTGGCTCACGCCTGTAATCCCAGCACTTTGGGAGGCCAAGGCGGGCAGATCACCTGTGGTCAGGAGTTCGAGACCAGCTTGGCTAACAGGGTGAAACCCTGTCTCTACTAAAAAAAAAAAAAAATTAGCTTGGCATGGTGGTGGGTGCCTATAATCCCAGCTACTTGGGAGGCCAAGGCAGGAGAATAGCTTGAACCTGGGAGGCAGAGGCTGCAGTGAGCTGAGATCGCACCACCACACTCCAGTCTGGGCAACAGTTGAGCAAGACTCCATCTAAAAAAAAACCCAAAAATTTCCTCTGTGTCTTCTCATGGCTCAATAGCACATTTCTTTTTAGCTCAATAATACTCCTTTGGACATACTGTCTACTTTGTTTTATCTATTATTATTAATATTATTTTATTTATTTTTGAGACAGAGTCTCACTCTGTTGCCCAGACCCGAGTGCAGTGGCGCAATCATGGCTCACTGCAGCCTTGAACTCCCGGGCTCAAGCGATCCTCCCACCGCAGCCCCCCAAATAGCTGGGATTACAGGCACATACCACTATGCCTGGCTAATTTTTAACTTTTTGTAGAGACAGGGTCTCACTAAATTGCCTAGGCTGGTCTCAAACTCCTAGGCTCAAGTGATCCTCCCATCTCAGCCTCCCAAAGTGCTAGGATTACAGGCGTGAGCCACTTTTGCCAGACCTATCTATTATTATCTTTTAGAATATTTGAAGATGAGGTAGTACTTTCCTGTATCTTTACACTGTGAGTATCAACTATCTCTTTTGTCTGCAGCTTAGTCTGACTAAAATCCCAATCATGTTCCCGAAATCCGTGGCAGTGCTCCACAGGAAAGCACTCTGGGTACCCAGGCTGTTGGAAGTGGAGCTTGACTACCCCTAGACAGGCCATGTGAACTTGCAGCACACAGCACTGTGGCTTGAGGATCTGATGGTGGTTATCTCTGTGAGGAAGAGCAGTGTAATGAAGCTGCTGTGGCTTTTAAAAATTTTTTATTTTACTTTATTTTTTTGAGACAGGGTCTGGCTCTGTCACCCAGGCTGGAGTGGAGTGGCGCGATCTCAGCTCACTGCAGCTTCCACCTCCTGGGCTCAAGCCATCCTCCTACCTCAGCCTCTCAAGTAGCTGGGATGACAGGCACACACCACCACAACCAGCTAATTTTTGTATTTTCCTGTAGAGACACGGTTTCGCCATGTTGCCCAGGCTGGTCTTGAACTCCTGAGCTGAAGCAATCTGCCTGCCTTGGCCTCCCAAAGTGCTGGGATTATAGACATGAGCCGTTGCACCTGGCCTGTTGTGGCTTTTAAACAGTTTTAATCTCAGATCTTTTCATCAACTTAATTTTTTCTAACTTCGTTCTGCCCTAAAATCTGTCACACTATGGCCCAGTTGCTTCCAACTTATTCTTTCCTAGCCATCAGACCCAGCAGGCAGGTATGTGCCTTTGAGTGATGTTTCTGTGTGGACAGTTTAGAACCATAACGCAAACTCACAAATTGTCTTTTTTTCTAATGAAAATTCTTCAGTTCAACAAAATAAGATTTGGGAGATGTTTTTCCCTGGGGATTAAATGACTGCATGTAGGAAGTTCCTTCTATCAATATAGAAGTTTGTCACTGATAAAGTTTGTTCCCCTTCCTGCTTGAGTACTTTCTAGCACGGTACAGCTTATTTAAAGGGATAAAACACTATGTATCACTGAAAATATGTTTATTTTAAAGGGATGAGGCTGGGCACGGTGGCTCACACCTATAATCCCAGCACTTTGGGAGGCCGAGGCAGGTGGATCACTTGAGGTCACGAGTTTAAGACCAGCCTAGCCAACACGGTGAAATACTGTCTCTACTAAAAATACCAAAATTAGCCAGGCATGGTGGCATGCGTCTGTAATCCCAGCTACTTGGGAGGCTGAGGCAGGAGAATTACATGAACCTGGGAGGCGAAGGTTGCAGTGAACCAAGATTGCGCCACTGCACTCCAGCCTGGGTGACAGAGCAAGACTCTGTCTCAAAGAAAAAAAAAGGATGAAAAAATACATTTTACAGAAACGAATAAATAGTTCAATATAAATAGGTTATCAGAGACTTAAAATAATGGACAGAAGAGAAGATGATGATATCTGTTGGCTCACCACCATTGGATGAGGAATGATACACAAAGCCCTGAAGCCAGTAGTTGAAATATGACATGTATTTATAATATGGCATATTATTATTTAGAGATGGGGTCTTGCTATGTTGCCCAGGCTGGACTTAAACTCCTGGGCTTAAGTCACCCTCCCCCCTTAGCCTCCCAAGTGGCTAGAATTACAGGTGTGCACCACCATGCCTGCCTTAATGTGCCGTATTATTTGCCTTTGCCGTGGCTCCTAGAATTTGATTATCTTACATGTGGAATTAGACAGTTATTTGGAGGCAATTTAATATTGTGATATTTGCATCTTATACATGAAAAATCAATACCAGAAAAAACTGCTTAGGAGCCTTTGCTATGTCATAGACTGTAAAACCGACTATAAGAATAACTTAATTTCTTGTCAAGTAAATTCTTCTAAGTTAAGTAAATGCCTATGAAATATTGTTTTGTAACAAAAGGCCTATTGCCAATGTTTGGAGTTTGACTTCATTGATCTGAAGGATGTGGTTTGAAGGCTATTTCTTTTCCCTCTTAGATAATGAGAAAGTTAGACAGCTGCTTCTGGAGGGTGTGCCTGTGGAATGTACGCATAGCTTTATCTGGAACCAAGATATCTGTAAGAGTGTCACAGAGAATAAAATCTCGGATCAGGTAACTAATAGTGTAAGGGTTATTGGTAAAGTCATGAATGACAGGTTAAATATATCATTCTAGAGACCATAAAAAGTTATTCATACTTCATAGAATTCCATAGACTTTCTTTTGTTTTCAAACAAGTTGTTGATCCCTAACTCATGATATGTACTGTGATTTTCTTCTGTTCTTATGGATAATCTAAGAATAAGGATAGGGATCTAAGAATAAGATAAGGATCTTGTCTATTATCCAAGGATAAGAATCTAAGAATAAAGATACATACTGTGATTTTTTTCTGTTCTTAGAGATAAAGTAAGAATAATCTCTAGAAAATGTTAATACAAAGACTTTTTCTTGAAATGATGATCTCATGGTTGAAATATGTTTTTCTTTTATTGTTTTCTTTTCCCTTAAATGTTCTCTGTCTTTAATTTTACTATGACTGGGGACCTTCCAGGGCCAGACATTGTGTAAGATGCTGGGATAGATGACTTAGATGTGGTCAAAGAAGTACAGGGCACTCAGGAAACCTCTAGAAGGGGTACTGAGCTCAGATGAGAAAAATGAGGCCAGCCTCCTGATGGAAGAGCAGGCATTTGAACTGACTCTCAGATGGGAGCCAGAAGTCACCAGACTTCTTGGGGGCAGGGTCAAGGTTTCAGTGAAGATAAGATTGCAGGAAGTAAGAAAAGCATGTACAGGAGCCCAGGCAAAAACCAGGAAGACTCTACAAGTGGATCAGGAGCTAGGAATCAGGAATGGGGTGAGAGAGGAAGCTGAAGACACAAATGGGGCTACAGCATGAAAGACCTTGAAGCCTTTTCAGGATTTGGACTGGAGATGTGGGACACCCTTGAAAGTTTTAAGGTTGGCTGTGACATGATGAGATTTCACTCTGACAGCAGTGTGGGGTTGGAGATGGGGGGTGAGGAAGCTGGAGAGAGACTGTGGGTTGGATGGCCTTAAAAAGACCCTTGAAATATTCTAGGTATGACATAATGGGGGCCTGAATTGTGGCAGTGTGGCTAGAGTGGAGAGGGTGATGTTTAACGCATATTCCTGGAAGGTGAAATTGACAAGGCTTGGTGGTTGGTTGGAAGATAGGAGGTAAGAAAGGAGGAGGTGTGTCGATTAGGTCCTGATATTCTAGCTTGGATTTAGGATTTCAGCTAAAAGAGAGCCAGAACCATGTCTTACTTGCTCACTGATGTATTTCCAGGTTCTAGAAAAGTGTGTGGCACATAGAAGTGCTCAGTAAATATTTGAATGGCTGAATGAATGGAGTGTGTGAATTGTGGTGTCATTCAGCTAGGTGAGGAATATAGGAAGAGAGCAAATACAGTGGGAAGGGTGATGAGTTCAATCTTGAGCTTGAGGGGCTGTGGGACTTCCCAAGAGCAGAGGTCCAGGAGACAGGTTTTGATCCCGGGAGGAAAAGTCGGGGCTAAAGAGATATAGTTTGGAATTACTAACACATAGATGGTAGTGGAAACTCCGAAAGTGAAAAAGAAGAATCAGGATTGGACCTGGCTTGAAGAGCGTTCATGAGGTAGCAGTTAGACTATGGCCTGGAGGCAGTCTCTTGCATAGTTTTTCTAAACAGTGATAGCCCTCTTACCTACCTGTTAATCTCTTTTTACAGCTCCAAGAAAAGTCTGAAAGGATGTTATCCACCCCCTACATTCCCCTTAACAATAATTTTAAACATCTTCTATTTAATTCTTGAAGATCTGATGAGCAATTTTCTCAAGAGGCAGTGCATTTCTCTAGTTGCCCATCCTTGAGAAGGTGTCACTTAATTGTTTATATCTTTTTTACTTCATGACACCAAATCTTAATCAAAATCAATGTAAGGACAGAATATCAACATACAAGATTAATCTTGATATAAGAGATCAGCAGAATGAATACTGATAATGAATGATATAAGATAATTTCGAATTTCTACCTAAGCACTTGTATAGAGGAAAATATCTGTAGGAGGAATACCTTATACTTAAAATGGCTCACATTTATTTATTTAGAACGTTTTTCTCTTGCTTTTTTAAAAGAGCATTTAATTTTCTAAAGCTGCTTATAGGGAGACCCAGGAGGATCTCCCAGAAGACTAGGGCTATTTGTCTTGAATTATTTTCTTCCACTTTAGGATTTAAACCGGATGAGGAGTGAATTGCTGGTGCCTGGGTCACAGCTTATTTTAGGTCCCCATGAATCCAAGATACCTATACTTTTGATTCAGCAGCCAGGAAAAGTGACTGGTGAAGATCGACTAGGCTGGGGAAGTGGCTGGGATGTCCTACTCCCAAAGGGCTGGGGCATGGCTTTCTGGATTCCATTTGTAAGTTACTTTTTGATTCTAACAGTTGCAATATTTAAAATACATTCCTAATAAATGCTAAGTACTCAAAATGTTCCAGACTTTATGTACAACTTAGGAGGAATTGAGTGGTGTATTTCTGCCCTTAGAGCTATAGTCCTGGATACAAGATACTTCATACATATAGTCCCTGGAGCCAGGTTCTCATTATAAGACCTGTGCTGACATATCGTCAATTGTTGAGGTTTTTAAAGTGGCCTGATATTCGAATAGTAGTGGCAACAAAAATGTTGAGGTATTTGATTTGAAGAAATTTGTTATAAGTTTAAAAGCAAAGGACTTAACTTTTACAGATGGATAGAATACTTTTTTTTTTGTTTTTGAAATGTTAACTATAACCATATACTCCTATTTATCAACTGCAGCTAAAAATTTTATTAGAATCGAATGTGTCTTTTTTTTCCTGGTTATTTCAAATATTACTTTGAAGGCTGGGTGTGGTGGCTCACTCCTGTAATCCCAGCACTTTGGGAGACCGAGGTGGGCAGATCACTTGAGGTCAGAAGTTTGAGGCCAGCCTGGCCAACATGGTGAAACCCCATCTCTACTAAAAATACAAAAACTAGCTGGGTGTGGTGGTGCATACCTGTAATCCCAACTCCTTGGGAGGCTGAGGCATAAGAATCCCTTGAACCTGGGAGGCGGAGTTTCAGTGAGCTGAGATCATACCACTGCACTCTAGCCTGGGCGACAGAGCGAGACTCTGTCTCAAAATAAATAAATAAATAAAATAAATAAGTAAATAAATAAATAAATAAATATTACTTCGATTCTAGAGAGTGTAAAAGGCATGTGAGACTTTTAGATTCATGCCGGTAATTAATTTTTAGCATGCCTAGTGCAAGGGACATCCAGTTAATCATTCAGGAGTAGGAATATTTAAAAATAATCCTACTTAATTTTTTACTATGAGATGCTTTCAAGCATACAAAAAAGAATAGATGCTGATATAGTGAATGCCTGTGTGCCATTTACCCGCCATCCGGCTTAAGAAATATAACATTACAGATGCATTGATGCACCCTGTGTACCTCTCTCCAGTTTCATTTCCCTCCCTCCTTTTAAAATAATCACTCCGCTGATTTCGGTATTTGCTACTACCATGCATATTTTTATAGCTTTATTAAAGTATGTTTGTATCCCACAATAAAATAACTATTTAGACTTGACATGTTTTTAAAGTATATACCTTACTGTATATATGATTTTGCAACTTGCTGTATTCACTTGGCATTGAGATTCTTTTCCATATTGGTTAATGAAGCATGACGAAGCTCGATTTTATTCATTTTTACTATTGCATGGTAATCCATTGTGTGTATTTCTATCCATTCTCCTTTTGAGGGGCGTTTAGGTTGTTTCCATTTTCCCCCATATAAACATTAAGCAATTCACTTTAAGTTGGTAGACTGACAGTATCTTTTTGACATTTCTTTTAGATTTATCGAGGTGTGAGAGTCGGAGGGTTGAAAGAGTCTGCAGTGCATTCTCAGTATAAGAGGTCGCCTAATGTCCCAGGCGATTTTCCAGACTGCCCTGCCGGGATGCTGTTTGCGGAAGAGCAAGCTAAGAATCTTCTTGAAAAGTACAAAAGGTAAGAAACTGGCTTCTCTAATTTGATAATGTATTAAGGAAAAGAGAAGTGCCTGCTTATATTGGTATCCCAAACATTAGGATGGCTTTGGTAATTTCATAGACTTTTCAGTGAGTTCAGCATTACTGAGAAATAATTAAGAAGATATTACTTAAGTGAGGAGATTGTCTTATATCTATTTGGCTTTTGTAGGCCCATTTTGGTTATAAACCCTTCTGTTTGTTATTTATTTCTATCAATAATGATGTACACTTAAACTTGGACATGAGTCTCAGACACTTGTTAATAGATTTCTACTACCAACCCGTGTCTCCCTCCAAAATGGAAATTGTGTTTTTAAAACTTATTATAGAAGTAATATATAGTTATCAAAATTTAATTAAACTATGAAAATATATAAAAAGATAAATTGGTATAGTCCTGCCACCCAGAGAGATAAGTACTGTTTGTTTGTTTGTTTTTTGAGATGGTGGTCTTGCTCTGTTGCCCAGGCTGTAGTTCAGTGGCGTGATCTTGGCTCACTGAAACCTCTGCCTCCTGGGCTCAAGCGATTCTTTCACCTCACCCGTGTAGCTGAGAGTAAAGGCATGTGCCATTGTGCCTGGCTAACTTCTGTATTTTCTGTAGAGACGGGGTTTCACCATGTTGCCCAGGCTGGTCTCGATACCAATTTTCCATAGATCCACCGGCCTTGGCCTCCCAAAGTGCCAGGATTATAGGTGTGAGCCACTGTGCCTGGCCAAGCACTGTTTTTATATCTTAGTACCTATCCATTTAGACTTTTCTTTTTTCATTGGAAGTGTGGCCGATGAGGGTCATGATTTCCTTTATATTGCAAAGTATATTCTAACATTGGGAATTTGTTGCCCCCTAAATTGTAGGCTCCCGGAAGCACAGAAGCTGTCTCTCTTTATTGTGGCATTTGCAGTGTCTAGCCAGTGCCTGGTGCACAGTAGGTCTTAATAACCTTTATTTGTTGTCTGATGAATGACTGGTTGAATATTGTAGTTCCTTGATGGTGAGCTTCATGAGGGCAGAATTGTGTTTTCTTGTTCATTGCTGCAACCATAACTATAGAGACAGGCAGTCTGCCTGGCTTGCTTTTTTTTTTTTTTTTTTTTGAGGCAGGATCTCACTCTGTCACCCAGGCTGGAGTACAGTGGCGTGATCATGGCTGACCACAGCCTCCACCTCCCGGACCCAGGTGATCCTCCCACCTCAGCCTCCTGAGTAGCTGGGACTATAGGCACCTGCCACCATGCCTGGCTAATTTTTGTAGAGATGAGGTTTTGCCATGTTGCCCAGGGTGTTCTTGAATTCCTGGGCTCAAGTGATCCACCTCCTTTGGCCTCCCAAAGTGCTAGGGTTACAGGTGTGAGCCACCCTGCCTGGCCTGTGCCTGCGTTTCAAACTATTTGCTGAGTGGTGGATGAATGAGTGACTAGTGATGTATTCCTGGATTGCTACCTTACCAGCTCTTTGAGGGCAGCAATCACATGTTATACATCCTTGTGCCTCCCATAGTATGTAGTTGAGAGGCTTCTATGTGTTTGTTAAATAATAGTTAAAAATAATACTTATTTCTTACTCTTCAGAGCTTTTTATGCATGCAAATTTTCCATAGATATACATATTTTTTTAAAGAATGGTATTACATACATTATTTTGAAACCTGTCTTTTTCGTTTAACAATATGGTATGTATGGTTTTACCATATCAAAAAATATGACTCTAAACCAAGTGTTGACAAACTTTTTTGGTAGAGGGCCAGATGATAAATATTTTTGACTTTGTGGAGCCCTCGGTCTCCATGGCAACTACTCGACTCTGCCACTGTGGCTCCAAAGCAGCTGCAGATGACACGTAAGAGAACGAGCACGGCTGTGTTCCAATCGTGCTTTATATATGGACCCTCGGATTTGAATTTCATATAATTTTCATGTGTCGTGAAATATTATTCTTTTGCTTTTTCAACCATTTAAAAACGTAGAAACCATTCTTAGCTCATGGGTCATACAAAAACAGACAGCAGGCCACATTTGGCTTGTGAGTCAGCCTGCCAGCTTTGTTCAAAATGTCACTTTGAATGCTCACATGCAATTGCAGTGTGGATGTCCTGTAATTTATCAGTGGCTTTTGAGGTTATTTCTGACTTTTTGCTGTGTGTTTCTGTGAACATCTTCCTGTATGCATCTTTATATATTTGTCTCATTTATTCCTTCATTTAACATACATTTCTTTAGAGCCTACTGTGTGTCAAACACCATTGTAGGCGGTGGGGTGACAGCAGGGACAAGGCAGACAAGTCTGTCTCTGCCTTCATGGAGCTTATATTCTTCTTTTATTTTTTGAGACGGTCTCGCTCTGTCACCCAGGCTGGAGTGCAGTGGTGCGATCATAGCTTACTGCAGCCTCCAACTCGTGGGCTCAAGCAATCCTCCCATCTCAGCTTCCTGAGTAGCTGGGACTGTAGGTGTGCACCACAACTCCTGGCTAATTTTTAAATTTTTTGTAGAGACAGCGTCTCGCTTTGTTGCCCAGGCTGGTCTTGAACTCCTGGCCTCAAGCAGTCCTCCCATCCCAGCCTCCCAAAATGCTGGGATTACAGGAATGAGCCACTATACCTGGCCACGTAGCTTATGTTCTTGATGGAGGCACAAGTTTCTAGGCTGGTTGGGGGTACCCAGGAGAGGGGAGGGAAGCTAAAATGTAAGAGCGAAGTCCTTGGACAAGGAAGAAGGGGGGGATTCAGGGCACACGTGGAGGAGGCAGCATCTATTGGGATTGAGTTCAGTTCTTCTGAATATAAGACTGTGAGACTGCCACTGATACAGTTTAATCTGCTTTTATTTCTTTGGCTATCTTCCAACTAGATTTACAAACAGTTCTGACTCTTTTTTTTTTTTTTTTTTTTTTTGAGACAGAGTCTTGCTCTGTTGCCAGGCTGGAGTGCAGTGGCGTGATCTCGGCTCATTGCAACCTCCACCTCCCAGGTTCAAGCGATTCTTTTGCCTCAGCCTTCCGAGTAGCTAGGATTACAGGTGCCCACCACCATGCCCAGCTAATTTTTGTATTTTTAGTAGAAATCAGGTTTCACCATGTTGGCCAGGATGGTCTTGATCTTTTGACCTTGTGATCTGCCTGTCTCGGCCTCCCAAAGTGCTGGGATTAGAGGTGTGAGTCACCGTGCCCGGCCCTGGCTCTTAATCCTATTTTCCAAACCACTTTCTTTCTGTAATTCTTAAGTTGGCTAGTTCTCCTTCCTCAGAAAAATTAATATAAGGCTGTTAGCCTGCCACTGACATCTGAACATGGATTTATTTAGCTAGGTTAGATTCTGCAGTGGGGGGATTAAGTAGCACACTCCTGATTGTGACTGTCTTCATGAAAAAAGAGGCACAGCTATCAGCCAGCAGTAAGAAGGGGAGAGAGGCTGTTGGAGATTTGAGGAGAGAGGAATTGTAAGCAGTTTCTGGGAGAGTGGAAGACGGAATTGAGAGGAGAAACATGGGATCTGTAAGATGTAGAGGGCACCTACTTGAGATTTGTGTTTATAAAGGAAGACCGTTAAGAACCATCATGAGTTCTTCCTCCGCTGTGCTCTGCCACTCGGGCTGGCATGGGGTCATTGGAGAGTTGGCTGCGCCCAGGTCAGCTTTCCAGTGGAGGGAGTGGGGGTGTTTGTAGGGGAGGGACGGTGGTGTGAGCCATCTAGGCTGATGAAGAGCGAGGCAGCTGCTGCGAGCCGCAGGGAGGTGCTAGTGTAAATGGGTGGTTGGGGCATTGTTGTGGGAGGGTAAGTGGGTGGAAAACAGGAGGCATGGCTCTGAGAGCAGGATACTGACATCGCAGTTTGAAGCTGGAGCAGGTGTTGGCAGTGACCACACCTAAGGTATGAGCAGGGAGTGGGTGCTTGAGGTGGGGTGAAGTAAGACATGCGAAGTGAGGGTGGGAAGGTGACTGGTGGGTTATTGGAAGGATGATTTAGGCAGATGCTGAAGCCACTGGGAGTGACAAGAGTCATAGTGGTGCAGGGGAAGGCAGCATGACCGTCAAGATCATTAATTGCAGCCTTGTTTGGAGGAACAAAAGCTTAAAGACAATCAAAATGTCCTTTAATAGAGGACTGTCTAAATCAATTAGGGCATATTCATTCAGTAGAGTAAGATACAAGATACACAGCCTATTAAAAAGAAAGAATGAGGGAGCTTTCAGTACTGGTATAAAGTAATCAAGATATTTTGTTAAATGAAAAAAGTGAAGTTAAGCAAAAAGTACTGTACCTAGTATGCTGCTATTTGTATAAAAATAAATAAAAAGAAAGAAATATGTAATATCTGCTTGTGTGTACATAAGATGTCTCTGGAAGGCTATGTAAGAAACTGATAATGATATTTATTACCTTTGTGGAGGATAGCTGGGTCACTAGAGGTCAAGAGTAAGACAGAAACTTCATGTAGCCTTGAGCTTAGAACCTCGTAAGTGTACAGGAAAATCGTGGCACAACTCTAGGGGCACCAGTTCCTTGTAGCTTTCAGGAATGGATCCCCTGGTGTGGTTCAGTGGCCACATGGGGCTACATTGTTTATTGAAGACCAAAGAAAACAAAAAAGCTTGGCCAGTAGAATTGGTTATTATTATTATTTTATTTTTTATTTTTTGGAGATGGAGTTTCGCTTTTGTCAGGATAGAGTGCAGTGGCATGATCTTGGCTCACTGCAACCTCTGCCTCCTGGGTTCAAGCGATTCTTCTGCCTCAGCCTCCCTAGTATCTGGGATTACAGGCATGTGCCACCACACCCAGCTAATTTTTTTGTATTTTTAGTAGAGACAGGGTTTCACCATGTTGGCCAGGCTGGTCTCGAACTCCTGACGTGACGTGATCCATCCGCCTGGGCCTCCCAAAGTGCTGGGATTACAAGCATGAGCCACCATGCCTGGCCTATTATTATTATTTTCTGAGACGGAGTCTCACTCTGTTGCCCAGGCTGGAGTGCAATGGTGTGATCTCAGCTCACTGCAACCTCTGCCTCCTGGGTTTAAGTGATTCGTCTGCCTCAGCCTCCCAGTAGTTGGGATTATAGGCACCCTCCACCATGCCCGGCTAATTTTTGTATTTTTAGTAGAGCTTTCACCATGTTGGCCAGGCTGGTCTCGAACTCCTGACCTCAGGTGATCGCCTGCCTTGGCCTCCTAAAGTGCTGGGATTACAGGCATGAGCCACTGAGCCCAGCCTATTATTCTTTATCATATGTTTCTTGGAAAGCTTTTGTGTGTGTGTGTGTGTGTGTGTGTGTGTGTGTGTGTGTGTGTGTGTTTTAAAATAGAGATGCATTATAATGGTTATAATTATTTTAGTTTTCCAATCCTAAATTGTTCAACATTGGTTCTCCTGTATGTTTTTCTTTAGACGCCCTCCTGCAAAACGGCCCAACTACGTTAAGCTTGGCACTCTGGCACCTTTCTGCTGTCCCTGGGAGCAGTTAACTCAAGACTGGGAGTCAAGAGTCCAGGCTTACGAAGAACCTTCTGTAGCTTCATCTCCAAATGGTAAGGAGAGTGACCTAAGAAGATCTGAGGTGCCTTGTGCTCCCATGCCTAAAAAAACTCATCAGCCATCTGATGAAGTGGGCACATCCATAGAGCACCCCAGGGAGGCAGAGGAGGTAATGGATGCAGGGTGTCAAGAATCGGCAGGGCCTGAGAGGATCACAGACCAGGAGGCCAGTGAAAACCATGTTGCTGCCACAGGGAGTCACCTCTGCGTTCTCAGGTAAGTGTCGGTGACTTCTGGGTACATTTTGGATTATTTATTTTAATATTGAAGAGGCTACAGGATGTAAGCGTTATCACTGTTTGTTTATGCAAAATCCAAGTGAATTTATAGGCTTTCTGGAAGGGAAAGCCAGTCTTTTATATTTCATAGAGGGCTCAGGGAAACAGCTTAATAATATTTGATGTAAGGCATGATGCTAATTGATGAAATGATTTACAATATTGTCATCAATAGATCCAAGCCAAGGCAGTTTTTTTTCTGACATATTTTATGCAGTTTGAGCAAGGATTCTTTGCTTTAAATTACCAAATTAGATTTCTTCTAGTTCCTTTTGAATTATATGGATTTGTGTTAGAGCAGCAACCCATTAGATGTAATATAGTCCTAGCCAGAGAGGCTACCGGATACACTATGTTCTCCTCTCAGTATTGGTGTGGGCCAGGTTCTGCTCATCAGTGACCCTGCATTCTGTGCTTTGCTCTGATTTTTTTTTTTTTTTTTTTTGAGATGGAGTCTTGCTCTGTCACCCAGGCGGGAGTGCAGAGGTGTGATCTTGGCTCACTGCAACCTCGGCCTCCTGGGTTCAAGCGATTCTCCTGCCTCAGCCTCCCAAGTAGCTGGGACTACAGGTACATGCCACCACGCCTGGCTAATTTTCACCATGTTGGCCAGGCTGGTCTCGAACTCCTGACCTCAGGTGACCCGCCCACCTCAGCCTCCCAAAGTGCTAGGATTACAGGTGTGAGCCACTGCGCCCGGCCTGTGCTTTGATTTTTAAAAAGTGCTTATCCCTCTAGCCTTGTGCTTACTTTTCCGTATAGTAGCCTCATAATTTCCTATCATTCTTTCTTACTTTACATGTAACAGTCCCTTACAGTTCCTTTACTCATTGAAATCTTAGTGGCTCTTTATTTTCACCCTCACTGTGATTACAATCCTAGATTCTATCTCACTGTCTTGTTTTCCCTGCCTTCAACTTCTTAAATCTTTAGTCCCTGAGTTTCAGAATGGCAAACACATAAAAAGAAAAATATAAGTACTAAAATGTACTACAGTGTATTTCTAATTTTTAAAAAATTGTAGTTTTGATTCTTATATAGTATAAAAGAATCAAATTAATTCTAGCAGTGTCTAATCTTCTGATTGCATATTTTTTTCTGGAACAAAATATCCTCAAACGTATGTCTCCAACTTCATGTAGGAGTAGAAAATTACTGAAGCAACTGTCAGCCTGGTGTGGGCCCAGTTCTGAGGATAGTCGGGGAGGCCGGCGAGCTCCCGGCAGAGGCCAGCAAGGATTGACCAGAGAGGCTTGCCTGTCCATCTTGGGCCACTTCCCCAGGGCCCTGGTTTGGGTCAGCCTGTCCCTGCTCAGCAAGGGCAGCCCCGAGCCTCACACCATGATCTGTGTCCCAGCCAAGGAGGACTTCCTCCAGCTCCATGAGGACTGGCATTACTGTGGGCCCCAGGAATCCAAACACAGTGACCCATTCAGGAGCAAGATCCTGAAACAGAAAGAGAAGAAGAAAAGGGAGAAGAGGCAGAAGCCAGGACGTGCCTCTTCTGATGGCCCGGCGGGGGAAGAGCCCGTGGCTGGGCAGGAAGCTCTGACTCTAGGGCTGTGGTCAGGCCCTCTGCCGCGTGTGACGTTGCACTGCTCCAGAACTCTCCTAGGCTTTGTGACTCAGGGAGATTTTTCCATGGCTGTTGGCTGTGGAGAAGCCCTGGGGTTTGTTAGCTTGACAGGCTTGCTGGATATGCTGTCCAGCCAGCCTGCAGCGCAGAGGGGCTTAGTGCTACTGAGGCCTCCCGCCTCTCTGCAGTATCGATTTGCGAGGATTGCTATTGAGGTGTGAATGCGTGCTTGTATCCCAGCAGGGCATAGATAATACGTTATTATTGTCTGCCAAGTTCTACATGTGGAGAATCTGCTTCTGCTTTAAAATATCATGTGAAACTCCCTGGAAACAAGAATAAAAAATTATGTATTATGCAGATGATGAAATGTTTACATCATTCCAGTAATGTCATTGATTTTCATCTTTCCCTGTCCTTGCTGTAATACTTTTAAATTATTTGGCCAAAAGCTTTGTATTATGATCTCTTGGTCTGTGTAGTTGTGGCTGAAAATAATGAGAAGCTCTACGAGTTATCATCCCCTTTTTTTGTTAGAAACAAAGGGCTTGTCAGGTCTATTTGAAAAACCTCATAGTCATGTGATAAGCAACAATAGATGTTTAATGATTTCACTGTTATAGCAGAAGACAAGAGAAGACGCTTGGCCTCTGTACATGAAATATGGGCTCCTGATGGACCTCATTCAATTCTGTACTGTGATTTCCATGCCGAACAACTCAAGCCTTAAAGAGAGAAATCATGGACAACTGATTTCTGCCTGTTTTCAGGCAGGCACAGTTTATGGCGTCAGTGCTAGGCTGGAATTAGAAAGTGGGGGTCTATGACGTGGACTTCCTGACTCTTTGATCTCTTTGTTGTTGACCAACACTTGATCCTACTAGTTACTTAATTTTTTTAAGTAAAAAATTATTATTATTTTGTTTCTGCAAAGATTTTCTCAAAGCCATAGAGGAGCATTTCTCAGAATATGTTCTATGATATGTGTCACCTAAAAAAGTAAGAGATTCCAAGGTCAGGTTGATATGGAAACTCTAGGTTAAATAAAGTTAAGCATTTCTTTATGAAAGAACTTCTGGAAACTTCCATGTGATAATGTGCATTGCGGATCTCTAGGAAGGAAATGATAGTGTATAGTATTTTCTAAATACTTGTGATTCCTAAAGTTCTCTTACAAGGAGCCCTTTGTAGGACCAGTGTTCTTAGTAGCGCGCTTTGGGCAGTGTGGCTGTGTAGTGCATAGCTACCTCTGCAAGGTGATAACTAAGCCGGCAAGCTGCCTTTCAACACTCATGCAGTCACGTTGTCCACCTGAGATTCTCAACAGGGTATAAAAGGAAGGTCTCATCTTGCCTCACAGGAAGAGTGGGCTCAGTGTGGCTTTTTTCCAACTATGGAGAAACTCAGTGCTCATCTACTTTAAGTTTCCACATATGGCTTGCTCATAGCCTTGGTCCTTACCTTTCCTGCCATAACTTTCTAGAAGAGCTTAATGGGATTTTTTTTCTAAAAAATGTAAATATGCAGTTAGGCATTATTTTATGTAAATGCATTGGGTTTTTACTGTAGCATTTGGCACTAAATGGCTTTGGGGGTGATGAGGTGGGGAAGGATACAGCAGGTGGTACAGTAGTCAGGAAGTACCTGCCACCAATGAGATGTCTGATGCTTTGCCTCTTACCATGCCTCTGAATGTCTTTGGATCCAACCCAGATGAGACTGAAAAAAAAAAAACAGTGTAACTAAGTGGCATCTGTAAACAGAATAAATGAAAATGTCACCTGATGTTCAGTTGTGAATATTTATATTTATTGGACCATTCCTTATTTGTTTTCTGGGCTCTCAGTCACCTCATTTGTGGCTGAGCTCACTCGATGACAGAAGTCTGAGTGTGCTGCGTGGTCACCTAACCTCATTCTGTACAGCCCTGCCTAGGGCCTGCTGCCCCGCCCTCATTATAGGGGACAGGGCACGTTTGCAGCCACTCTGCCTGGTGGGTGGTAGGTCAAAGAGCTGCGCACCAGAAAGATAGATTAGCATTTCCCAAAATGTATTCCTGGGAGTACTAGTCCCTGCAGCTGTTCCTGGAGAAAAGTATTTTATGGCTAAATAAATATGGGAAAAGCTATATATGGTATCCTCCTATTATGATTCACAATGAATACTTGCAGAGTCAAAGCTCTGCAAAGCTCTTTAGGAAAGAAATCTGTCTTTCAGACTCCCACACACGTACCTTTTTTGGTTTTTGCATACCTATTGTCCAGAGAACACTAGTTTCACAGAAGATACGTTGAAAAACTAACAGACTCTGCAGAGGCAGTAAAGAATCCATGTTCCTTATGAAAAAGACTGATAGGGGAATGGCTTACTTTCTGGCAGTTGAATTGATTAGCGTGTTGATCTTGATCCTTCCAAGTGCCTGCCATGCTGTACTAGAGCTACATAGCTACCAAATAAGTGCAATGTGGCCCTTGTCCTCTTGTTGAGGGAGCAATGCTTTTAGGGTTCTTGAAGCATCCTGACCAACATGGTGAAACCCTGTCTCTACCAAAAATACAAAATTAGCCAGGCATGGTGGCGCATGCCTGCCATCCCAGCTGCTTGAGAGGCTGAGGCAGGAGAATTGCTTGAACCCGGGAGGCGGAGGTTGCAATGAGCCGAGATCGCACCATTGCACTCCAGCCTGGGTAACAAGAGCAAAACTCCATTCCAAAAAAAAAAAAAGAAAAGAAAAGGCAGAGTTGTGAGCTGAACACTTACAGACCAGCTATGCACTTGAGTTCTGTAAGAAACAATGGATTCCTTTTGGTGTTTATGCTCTAGTAATATTGTTCATATCAGTCATCCATATTCATCATAAAACAATTAGAAAATGAAGATGAGCAACAATAACAAAATTTAAATCACCTGGATTTTCACCATGCAATATAACTAGTTACCTTCTGTTATGTATCCTAGACGTTAAGATGTATGTGGGTAGTTTTCTTTTAATAACATAAGCCGTTGCTTATATAAAGAGCTATACCATGCAAGTGCAGCAGAGTGCATGTTACCAGTTTTTTTGTTGGTGCTTGACTGGCAAGAGCTTTAAGGATAATACTCCTTTTTTTTTTTTTTTTTTTTAAATGGGAAGTTAGTATGTAACCACCCATCATGTACTAAGTGTAGCATTGCCGTCTTGGCGGCCACATGCCTTGCGTGAGTTCTTTCTTCCCAACCAGTGGGAGGTGAGGGGGGCGGTTGACAAGCTATATGGACTCCCTCATAGTCTTAACTGGCCTACTCGTAGCCAGCCGATCTGAGGCCTGGGGAGCACAGAGATAGGTCCAGGATTGAGCTGTTTAGCAGAGAATACATAGCCTGTAGCAACTGTGGGCCACTCAAGCATCAACCCCAGTTTCACAGCGGTTCTGGTTATTATAGGCCTCCTGAGGACACAGAGGAATACAGGCACTGCCTTTTCTTTGGCAACAGCAGCTTCCAGTCTTGGCACCCTTCCCTTCCCCTCCCCTTCCCCTCTCCTTTCCTTTCCTCCCCTTCCCCTCTCCTCCCCTCCCCTCCCCTCCTCTCCCCTCCTTTCCCCTCCTCTCCCCTCCTCTCCCCTCCTCTCCCCTCCTCTCCCCTCCTCTCCCCTCCTCTCCCCTCCTCTCTTCTTCTCTCCTCTTCTCTCCTACAGTCTTACTCTGTCTGCCCAGTCTGGAGTGCAGTGTCACGATCTTGGCTCACTGCAACCTCTGCCTCCCGGGTTCATGCGATTCTTCTGCCTCAGCCTCCCGAGTAGCTGGGATTACAGGTACACGCCACCATACCCGGCTAACTTTTGTATTTTTTAGTAGAGACGGGGTTTCACTACGTTGGTCAGGCCGGTCTCGAACTCCTGACCTCAAGTGATCTGTCCACCTCGGCCTCCCAAAGTGCTGAGTTTCAAGTGTGAGCCATTGTGCCTGGCCTTTGGCTGCATTTTAGAATCACCCAATAGCCCAAGCTGCAGCCCAGAAATCAATCTTGGGTTGGGCCCAAGGATCAGTATTTATGAGCTCCCCAGGCCGTTGTGATGTGCCGCTCAGTGGAGAATCGCCGCTTTCGGAGGTCTGGCTCTTGGACCCTCTGCACCTTGGGGAAGTGTGACTGAGTAACAAGGCCATGGAAACCCAAGAACTCCTGTGCCTGTAGCAGGCCTGCTTGCCATTACGAAAAAGTACATGTCTGCAAAGTCCGCTCACACGGTCTGTTGACTGCATGGTGAAGCGTCCAGGTGGGAACGTAATGAGAGCGTAGTGTCGAGGGCTGGGTGGCCCAGAGTCAGGGCTTCCACCTGGGGAAGAGGCCTGGTAGTGAAAAAGAAAACAGCCTCATTACTTCTGTAGCCTTCTCTACTTGAGAATATCAAATGAGGTCTCTTGTTTTTCTTTTGGTGAGTATACTTCCAGACCAGCTGTTCTCAGCCTTGGCTGCACATGGGAATCACCTGCAGGCTTTCAAAGCACTGGTGCCCAGGGCCTACCCTCCTGGGATGAAGCTTTAACTGGTCAAGGGTGTGAGCTAGACTTTGGGGGTTTTAACAGCTCCCAGGTGATTTGCAGCCAAGGTTGAGAACCACTCTTCCAGACTTTAAAAATGAGGTTCCAAAATAAATAATCAAAGATGCAGCTTATCAGTAATGGGGACCCTGAAGCAGGGTGTGGGGAGCAGATGCAGCTCTCTTGAGTGGGGCACACAGCTGTGACCCATGGCCCTGGTAGGGGCCTCCTGGACTTGGGCACGTGGCCAAGTTCATGTCAAGGCATTTTCCCTCTCCCCATGTTTTGAAAATTTAAATTTAATTAGATATTGTTCTGGAAGAGCCCACCCTAACCATTTGTGTGCTTTCACTTGAGGAAATGTTTACGAACATGGAACTCCCCTCGTTTCTCTCTCCAGTCCTACTGCGCCCCTCTGGGCTAACCCACTGGGCTCTGAACATGCTGGCCTCAGCTCCTTGAATGGCCAAGCTCTTGGCTCCTCCACGATTGTCCACATGCAGAGGCTTTCTCTGCCCACCATTTATTTTATTTTATTTTTTATTTTTTGAGACAGTGTCTTGCTAGGTCTCCCAGGCTGGAGTGCAGTGGCGTGAACATGGCTTACTGTCGCCTTGACCTCCCAGGCTCAAGTGATCCTCCTGCCTCAGCCTCCTAAGTATCTGGGAGCCACACATGCGTGCCACTACACCCAGCTAATTTTTTTTTTTTTTAAGACAGTCTCGCTCTGTTGCCCAGGCTAGAGTGCAGTGGCATGATCTTGGCTCACTGTAGCCTCCACCTCCCGGGTTCAAGTGATCCTCCCACCTCAGCCTCCTGAGTAGCTGGAATTACAGGCAGGTGCCACCATACTTTGCTAATTTTTATATTTTTTGTAGAGACAGGCATCTCACTATGTTGCCCGGGCTGGTCTTGAACTCCTGACCTCAAGTAATTCACCCACCTGGGGCTCCCAAAGCGTTGGGATTATAGATGTGAGCCACCGCACTGGCCTTGCCAATCCTACTTAAAATAGCCTCTTCCTGCTTACATTACTCTATATCACACAATGGGTTTATTTCCTGACATCACAATGTATAGCAATTAATTATTTTGTTGTTTACATGTTTATTGTCTAGTCCATTAGAATATGAGCCTCATGAAGGTGAGACCATGTCTTGTTTGATTAATGCTGCACCCCAGGTGATAGCACAATGCTTAACCCGTAACTTGTATTTAATACATTTTTGTTGAATTGATGCTTTAATCAAAAAGGGTGTATGTATTAAACTTTACAGTTAATACTCTTGTTGGCCAGGCACATGTTGTAATGAACAAAAGAGCCCACTAGGTGGTGCCAAGACCTCATGAGTAAACAGCCTACTCAGGAAAAAACAGCGGAAAAGCACAATTCAATGTCCTTGGACTGGGGGAGTTTGTGAGGTCACTTATCAGTTGACATTCCCCCTTTTTGGGGCAGACTTATACTAACAGAATCCTAGTTTGAAAAGGATCCGTGATTTTTAAAGAGGTGCCTAGAAAAGGAACAACTTTAGGCTGGGCGTGGTGGCTCACACCTGTAATCCCTGCTACTCAGGAGGCTGAGGCAAGAAAATCGCTTGAACCTGGGAAGCGGAGGTTGCAGTGAGCCAAGATCGTGCCACTGCACTCCAGCCTGTGTGACAGAGTGAGACTCCATCTTAAAAAAAAAAAAAAAGGAATAACTTTAAAAGCTTTATCCAAAGAATGAATCCCATCCACATTATCCCCAGTAAGTCTACCCCTCTGCATCACAAGCTGAATGCCTCCGATGATGGGGAGCTCATTACTTCACCGGGAGATGCCATCTCCACTTTGGCAGCATACCGACGGGTGAAATGGCCCTTCAGCTCCAGGTCAGTCCTATCTCCCTGCATTCTTACATCAGCTAACATTGAGAAGCACCCATTTATTTTTATGAAGTTGGTTATTAACCTTTTCTCCAGGCTAAACAAGCCTTGTTTCTTTAGCTTTCCTTCTCTTGTTTCCAACGTCGCACAGAGGACCTTAAATTATTTTTTGGACTCAACATAATTTGTTCTCAGAAACCTGCACAGCTGCAGTGAGCCTCAGGCAGGGGCTGTGGCTTTAGGGAGAGCCTCTGGTGTTCTGGGTCACTGTGGGCCAGCCCTCTCTGAAGTCTGCAGCCTCCTCCTTCCTTGTTCTGCAGGATTTAGCCACTACCACTGGAGGGCATGGGTTAGTCAGGTTTTTCTCTAAAACAGAGCCTGGCATGGCTTTCATGTAGGGAGTTTATTTTAGGGAGGCTGGGAAAGTGAACCAGGAAAGGAGGAAAGCCAATCCAAGTGTGCATTGTGAGCTGGTTACCCTTGGAGGCAATTGGGGCTCCATCCCTCTGGGGACAGTCTGATGAATGGAATGCTTTGTCTACATGAGGCCCGGGAGAGGAAAGTCTTTATTTACCAGCTCCCATTCCTATTGCCTAAATGAACAGTTCCCCCAGGGACTGTTCATTTCCGCCAGGTTTGCACAGGTGCTAGAATGGCTTGGCCTGCTCAGTGAGCATCTCACGGAAGGCAGGCCAAGAAGCCCCAGGGGCAGAAGACTAGGGGTGGCTAAGGCAAGGTGCCCTTGGCCTACGCCTGTGCCCAGCCAGTTGCTGCAGCAAGGGCTGAGCACAAAGTGGGTCAAGGGAATGAGAGACGGGATAGATGTCCAGCACAGGGCCCTCAGAAGACAGGGTGATTATTTCCTGTTGTCACTTGTGAAGCATGTGTATGTGCACACTGTATACACCAGGTGGAGGGGTGTCTGGAGCCACATTTCTGTGTGTGTGTGCACGTGCACACTTGTATACACAGGGTGGTAGGGTGTCAGGGAGTGCCTGATGAGCACCCTGGAACACATGCCAGAGGTCGGCATGTAGACTCTAAAGTTGATTTTGCCAAAGAGTGGGGCAGTTATGGTTCAGCTGCACAGCAAGCTCTCAGTCCCAGGGGCCTGTGCAGAATTCTAGTTCCCATTGTATACCTGCAATGATCACTAGGAAACAAGCCCCAAGACTGTTGTCTGGTAAGAAAATGACCAAGTGGAGATTCTGGGGCTGGCTTTGAAACCAGCTTTACCATCATTCTTTTTTTTTTTTTTTTTTTTGGGTTGGGGGGAGGGTCTTGCTCTGTCACCCAGGCTGCAGCAGTGGCACAATCTTGGCTTACTGCAACCTCCGCCTCCTGGGCTCAAGGAGTTTTCCTGTGTCAGCCTCCCACGTGGCTGGGACCATAGGCGTGAGCCACTATGCCTGGCTAATTTTTTTATTTTTTGTAGAGACAGGGTTTTGCCATGTTGCCCAGGCCAGTCTCAAACTCCTAACTCAAGTAATCCTCTTGCCTTGGCCTCCCTCCAAAGTGCTGAGATTACTATCATTCTTGATCAATTAGCTTGCAGCTTCCTTTCGGCTCAGCTCCCACCCACGTCATTTTTTTCTCTTCGCTCACCTCCCACCCACGTCATTTTTTTCTCTTTTAACTCAGCAGTTCTCCTCTCGGCTTCCCTTATATCTGCTACTCAGTTTATCTGTTTCTCAGTCAAGTGAGGGAGGTTGGAGAACAGTCCGGATATTTCAAGTATGGCTTTAGGACCAGCAGCATCAGCAACAGAAATGCAGAATCCCAGGCTCCACTCAGACCTGGAATAGAATCTGCATTTGAACAAGATCACCAGGTGGTTCGCATGCACAGGAAAGGTTCAGGAGCAGTGGGCCACCAGTGGTTTCCAAACCTCATTATCATCAGAGCACCTGGGGAGCTTGCTAAACTCACAAATACCTTGGCATCGGTCCCGAGAGATTCCAGCCCGACTAGGTCTGTAGGGTGGCCCTGAAACCTGTGATTTTTATTAGGCTCCCAATGTGATTTCATGGGATCATGTTTGAGAATCACCAGGAAAGATAATCTTTTGAATTTTTTTTCCACTTGTAAGATTCTGATATTTTTGCCAGAATTGACTGTTCAGAAATTTGAATGTCACTCTTTTTGGGTGTTATGAATTAGGGCACAAAAGTTAAAATTTTTTTTTTTTTTTAACATTGAGATCTGGATCATTGTAGGCCTTTTCCTCCTTTCTCTCTTTCTTTCCTTTCCTTTTATTTTTTTTTAAACAGTGAGGCCTAGCTTCTGGTTGCTGAAGACTGAATATTCTGGCCGGGAACTTGTCTTTCTTCTAACATCTAGCAGCTGCCCCTTTACGTAACTTCTGGGTATTTCACCATGCCCTGTAGGCTCCCACGGCATCACACTTCTGCAGGGACATGTAAGTTCTGGTGGAGCCTGGGATGGCATTTTGCCACCCTCGTTCAGCTGCTAGACACTGGAGGGGATGTTTCTGAGACACCCTGTCCTGACTCTCTGTGTGGCTGTTGAGAGATGAGGCCTGGGGGAACTGCAGAGGGCGGACAGAGTGTGTTTTCTTCCGGTCTTGGCATCTTGGAGTCATTCCTGTCCCGCTGCGTCACCCCACACAAGCCTGAGTGACCTTCGAGAAAGTAACCTCGATCCTTTGCCCTGAGAGCCTTGGCTGGGGCATCTGGAGGCACCCCCACCTCCCATGGCTGGGCATCATGAGAGGAGAAAAACCTGCCGGATGGGGCACTAACTGGCCCCAGGGAGCACAGGGCACTTCCAGGTGAGCAGAGAGAGGATGAAGACCTCAAGGGCACCCCCACCAAGCTGAGATGTTAGAACGTATCGGAGGCTCCAAACCAATAGAAAGCCTTCCTTAGAAGGTCCTCCTGAAGCGGAGGGTCCCCTGCAAAGCCTAAGTAAGTGTCTCATCCCATACATTTCCTTTTTGAGTCACTAATTGTTCTCTGCCTGTGAGGGGCTGTAGAGCTCTCTTTGTGGAGCAGGGAGAAAAGGTAGAAATTTCTTCTTACTCAGGGCAGAGCGTGGCTCCCGCAAACACTTGTTACTGGCTCAGGGGCACCCTCCAAGGCAAAGCAAGTGGCAGGCAAGGGGAAGCTGGCCTTCAGCATGGGGCCAACATCACTCACAGAGCTGCCTGGCTCTGCCCCTCCACCCTGAGGCCAGGGGCAGGGGTGGCTGTGGTCTGGGCCTCCACCGTGCTCCCAAGCAGAATCTGCGGACCCTCCCCTAAGTCTGGAGGGCATTGGGGAGTGGTTGGAGGGGAGTGTCTGTCCCTACTGTGGTGACCACAGAGTCAAGCTGGGAACAGAGACAGCTAGGGTTCCCCAAACGCCAGCATGAGACCCCCATCCTCATAGTCACCAGTGCTTCCTCAGACTCCATCTCCCTGAGTGTGAAGAAAACACAGTTGTTCCACCAGCGTGGCATTTGGAATGGCTTTTAACATTTTCAACGGCTTTAATCAGTCATTAGGAATAGAAGACAGGGACACTGACTGAGTCTTCCCTACACAGGCTCCGACTTGTCCTTAGGCAGCTCGAGGACAACAACAACTCCCTGCTTCAGGGCCATGTGTAGAGTGTCGAGGATTTTGACCCCTGGTCTGGCACAGGAATCCGGTCTTTCTCATCCTGACGTTTTCCTCAGAAAGATGGCCCTGGAGTCCTGATAGATTTATTTTGTTTGTTTTTCTCTCTCTTTAATTCTGCCCTGATATGCTGCTGTTATTTTCGACTAGAGCACCACCCAAGCCATTCATCTTTGCCTAGTTAGGCAGCTATGAAAGGCCCATGTTTACGTCTACCAATTGGCCCGCTCTTGTCTGAAACATCAGCCAAAAGCAAAACAATGAAACATAGGCACACAGCTGTCCCGCACCCAGAAAGGCGTGGGTACACCACACGGCGATCTCCTCTCAGGTGAGAGGTGGCAGCGAGCAGTGACCTCTCCTCCCGCTCTGCTCTGCCGTGGGTCGGCCTTTGGAGCCTCTGCAGGTTGAATTCTTTTAATCTGGCTAGTGAACGGCCGGGCTCCCCGCCCGCCGTGCTCTGCGCCTGCCGAGCTCCTGGCCCTGCGTGCAGCGTTTTGGGCACAGTGATTCAGTCCCCACTGGGGATTAATGCTAATCTCCTGTTCATATGATCGAGTTAAGAGTTATTCTTTCCATCTGTCACGCCCTGGGGCACAGTTCTGGGTCCTTTCTTCCTCCTCGGAGGTCTCTGAGGGCAAATGGTGACACCCCTTGGCCATGGACGTCCACAGAGTGGCAGTGGGCAGCTTCCCCACAGGGCAACTGAAAGGCATGGGGAGGGACCAGTATGTGGCTGAAAGGCCCCAGAGCAGGCGTCTTGACCCACCCTCTCCGTCGTTTTGTCAAGGAGGAAACTGAGCCGCAGAAAGGGGGTATCATGTGTCCAAAGTCACCCAGTCACACCACTGCTTAGTAGCAGGGCCAGGACCAGAGCCCAGGCCTCCTAACAGTGCTGGGTGCTTCTCAGGACAAACTTTTTGTCTTTTTAGTTTTTTTTTTTGTTGTTGTTTGTTTGTTTGTTTGTTTTCTTGAGACAGAGTCTTACTCTGTTGCCCAAGCTGGAGGGGAGCGGCACAGTCTTGGCTCACTGCAACCTCTATCTCCTGGGTTCATGCAATTCTCATGTCTCAGCCTCCCAAATAGCTAGGATTACAGGCTAGCGCCACCACACTCAGCTAATTTTTGTATTTTTAGTGGAGATGGGGTTTCACCATGTTTTTTAGTTTTTTTTTTGTTGTTTGTAGAGATGGGGGTCTTGCTATGTTGTCCAGGCTGGTCACCAACTCCTGGGGCTCAAGGGATTCTCCCGCCCTCAGCCTCCCACTATGCCTGGCTGAACTTTTTGAATAAAGCATTTTTTTCCCCCCAGAAAGAGGGTCTAACATCCATAAGGGAAAAGAGCAGTTTGCTGTCTTGGACTTAACACTGTGTCTCCTCTCTCTTCTCTCTTTTGACCTTCCCAGCTTTCCTTCAGCATTCTGCCCTCTGCATCTTCTTTCAGGGGGCTCCTGGAATGTTGGCAAGCACAAAAAGGCACGGCTTCAAGCCCATCATTCCCTGGCTGAAAGACCTCGGGCCAGTGCCTTCCACTCTCTGAGCCTCAGTGTACTTGTCAATAAAATGGAAATATTAATGTTCACCTCACTAACCTGAAGCAAGGCTCTGATGGAGCAACAGAAGCATAGGTGCTTTGAATTTGTATTTGTTGAACACTTGCTATGTGCCAGCCATGGAGCCTTAGCTTATTTTATATGAATTGTGTCTTTTAATACAGCGATTCTGGGTTCTATCATCCCCATTTTACAGAGAGGGAGACTGAGGCCCGGCGAGGTGAAGTAGCTCTGCAGGGTCCGAGCTAGGGAGTGGTTGGGTTGGGCTCAAACCCCTCTCTGCCAGCATTCTTTACCAGCATGCTCTTCAGTAAGGGATTACCACGTCCTGTCTTTGTCCCTTTCTCTCACATGTGCCTTGAATTCTCATTGTCACCTCCCACTCATAATCTGACAAGCGGGGCTTAGGATGTCAGGACCCCAATAACCATGGTGAAGCAGTGCCGGGACATTGTAGGAGACTTTATAGAGGGAAGGAGGTCGGCTGAGGATGCCAGCCCCAGAAGGGGTGACAATGGCGGGAGAGCGGGGCTCCCCGGTGTAGTCCGGGAAGGTGCAGTTCCCAGGTGTGACCGCGGGGTGGCGCGGTGCGCCGGCGCCGGCGCTTGCAGACTTCCCGGGAGAGAAACCTCCGTGCAGCCCTGGGGCTGACGTGGATGCCACCCTGGGGTGGGCATTCAGTTTTGTTTGTTCCAAACTGCAGCCCAGCAGGAGACCTGTGTTCCTTTCCATCCAACAGGCGTTTGTAGGGGCTCCAGGCGCAGCCCAGGCCCTCGGCTCAGGAAACCCAGGGGGCTACATGACCAGGTCTGTTTCTGCCTCTGGGAGCGCACATTCGCCTGGGGGACGGTGGCAGACGCCCCCACACACGCTCCCTTCTAGATGAATATGAAGAAAGCAGGGCATTTTGCCATAGCCTTAAAAAAGAAAAGAAAGCTCGCATTTTCTGTACCGAGAGTAAATGACACCTTCACGCTTTCCCAGACCCTCACCCTATCCCTGGAGCCACTCGGAGTGACCCAGCCTCAACAGAATGTGGCATCTGAGAATCCCAGGCCTTCCTTGAAGGTTCTAAAAACCAGCAAAGGGCCCTGCTACACACATCCCACCATTCATAACCAATTCCCCGCATCTCCCCTGGGGCACCCTGGCTCATTCAACCTGGCAAGCTCTACTTCTTCCTCAAAATGCTGCTCATCCCACCCTTTTATAGTGTTGCGTTTCCTGAATCCTTCGGAATGAACTGCTGCCTCCTTGGTGTTGTATATGCTCCCGCTCCCGGAATTGTGCATTTACCATGTAGGTCAGTTTCCACATCTGCCCTGCAAGAATAAAATGTCCATGAGGACAGGGTCCCTGGGCTTGTATCCCCAGCACCTGGCACAGGGCCAGGCTAGTAGAGCGTGCTTATTAGGCACTTGTCCAATTTTAAAAATTGATAAGTAGTATTTTTGCATATTTATGGGATACATATGCTATTTTGCAACATGCATAGAATGTGTAATGATCAAGTCGGGGTATCTGGGCTATCCATCACCTCGAGTATTTATCATTTCAATGTGTTGAGAACATTTCAAGTCCTTACTTCTAGCTCTTTTGAAATAAATATAGAATACATTGTTGTTTACTGCAGTTACCCCACACTACTTGGAGAATGCACACATGATTTTTAAGTTATTAGCTAATTCAGTTCTAACAAAAACCCTATGTACTTGGTATTATCTACATTATTATTATTATTTTTGTAATCCTGGAAGATTATCTGCATTATTTTATAGATGAGGCAATGCTGGTTGCTGCAAAAGAGAAAGCCTGAAATCTCAATGGCTTAACACACTCAGAGGTTCTATCTCACATCACAGCCTGTGTGAGTTGGGCACCTTCTTCCATCTTCATGCTAATTCATCTAGCATGCATGTCTCCAAAGCTCCTGGTTTAGTCTGCTTGAGCTGCTGTAACAAAATACTATGGACTGGGTGACTTAAACAACAGACATTTATTTCTCACAGTTCTGGAGGCTGGGAAGTCCAAGATCAAGGTGCCAGTAAATTTAATTCCTAGTGAGGGCCCTCTTCCTGGGTTACATGTGTCCTCACATGACTGAATGAGAGAAAACTCTGGTCTTTCTTTCTCGTCTTACAAGAGCACTAATCCCGTCATGGGCCCTACCCACTAATCTCATCATGGGGCCCTACCCTCATGACCTCATCTACACCTAATTACCTTCCAAAGGCCCCACCTCCAAATACCGTCACATTGCAGGTCAGGGCTTCAGTATGTGAATCTTAGGGGACACAAACATTTAGTTCATGACAGCTGCCACTACAAGGGCATGTGGGCACTAAGTTGCCCTGGCCAGAAGTCACTTCTGTTCACAATTCATTGGCCAAAACTAGCCATACTGCCCCAGTATAAAGACCAGGGGGGCTGAGAAACGTAAGAAGCACAGGCATAGTGGGTGGGCGCCATCCAACTCTGCCACGAAGCCACACACACCTGTGCATACATGCCCGTATCCACAAATGCACACATATCCGCATACATATGCATACACAAGGGTACATACCTATCAATCATGCCCGAACACATGTAATAAATATTACAGTGACCTACATAGACACATGGAGCCTGCAGAACATCATGTGTCCAACAAAAAGCACATGCAAAATAATCCCCATGTGAGAAGGGCTGCATTTCTTAAAGAAGATTTTTTTTCACCATTATTGGCAAAGTTGTATGCTTAGGACTGAAAAAAAAAGATGTTTTGGGAGAAAAAGAACAGCAGGCAAAAGCAATGGCAACAAAGAAGAGATGATAATGTTCTCTCTGTTTTTGAGGATAATAGAGTTCTGGAGGCAAGCAGTTCTTGGGCGGTTCATATAGAGAGTAGTGAGACATAATCTTTGCAAGATTTAGCTTGAGAGCCAGAGACAATTGTTTTATTTCTTATAACTATTTTGCATATATATATAGAAACAAGAGAGGCAGGCAGAGGGGATGATACACCCACTGCCTCACCGCTGCTTTGTGGCGCCGCAGCTGTGTGGGTGTTGATGCCGCCACAGAGGTTAAACGCGACTTTGGGGAGGTTACTTGATGACATTTTGACATTGTGGAGACTGGAGGTGACACATTTGTGTGGGAATTAAAATATTTGGACCAATTATATCAATAAACATGACTTAAGGGGAAAAACAGCAAAGATTGGCAGCCCCTGGCATTGATTGATCTCGCGTTCTCTCTCTCCAGGAGATCTAGAGTGAGTGTGGGGGACAAAGGCCTTCTTTTGCTGGGGCATTTCTGGTCCTGCTCAGGGAGAATGAGCTTCCCTGGGAGTTTTGGATTTCACTTCAACAGTTCAACCCAATTTGATCAATATTCATGGAGTGACTCCTGTGAGCCTGGTACCTCTCTGGGTGCTCAGCCCCCAATGTTCTTGTAGTTTCTGCCTGCAGGGAGCTTGCGGTTTGGCAGGAGAGAGAAGACATGTGCTTTAATATCTGTAAGCCAGAAGAAAGTGGGGAATTCTGCAGAGATGGGCGGGGCGGCGGGTTGTGTGGAGTTAATGGGGAGTGATTCAGAAGTCTCCAAAGGAGGTCTTGGAAAGTGGGTAGGATTTACTCCTCTGGACCTGAGAAGAACATACATGAAGGCATCCAGGAGTTGTCCAGGGAGTGCTGCAGGGTGCAGCGGACTCCAGAGGTCAATGAAAAGGTTGGGAGGGAGGCTGGAGCCACAACTTGGCGGCTCTGCCTGCCATGACATTCAACGTCCCCTGTACCATCAGAAGCCCCCACATCAGCTGTTTAGGAAGCTGCATCTTGTAGTGGGGCCATGGCTGACTGGAGGGAGGAAGGATCAGAAGCTGAGACAAGAATTTAAGAGGGGTGGTGGGCGTGGTTGCGGGGGGGAGAGATGGGGACAGGGGTTTATCCCTCTGGGGTCTTCCCTTGGAATCCAGGCAGCAGCAGCAGGGGCAGCTGCTTGAATGAGAAGGAAACATCATGACTGTCAGCAGCAGCCAGCCTTACGCCTCAGAGTGTCTACCTTGTGTGAGGAACTGTACCAAAGGCTCTCCCAAGGTAGCTGAGAATCAGGGAGCCCAGCTTACCCCTCCAGCAAGTTTCTTGATGTTTTTAAGGCTCAGTTTCTTCATCTGCAAAGTGGAGCAAGTAATAGCAACTGTTCGTTAAGCACTTACCATATGTCAGGCAGTTGGTTTCTGAGCCTGTGCTGTTAGCCACAAAGCTCTGCTCCTTAACGCTGCCCTGTGAGCCTGGGCTAGGGGTAAAGCAGTTAGCATAGTCTGGCACATGGAGACTCCTCTGGTAAGTTATGGACTGTTGCGGACTCAGTATGCCCCCAAGAATTCATAGGAAGCCCAGCTCCCAATGTGATGGTATTTGTATTTGGAGGTAGGGCCTTTGGGAGGGCAGTAGGGTTAGATGATATCATGAGGGTGGGGCCCTCATGATGGGATTAGTGCCCTTATAAGAAAAGACACCAGAGAGCTTGCTGTGTCACCCACCCCCAATGTAAGCACAAAGAAAGGTCATGAGAGCACATAGCCAGATGGTGGCCTCCTGCAAGCCAAGGGAAGAGGCCTCAGAATGAAACCTACCTTGCCGACACCTTGATCTTAATCTTGGACTTCTCAGCCTCCAGAACTGTGAGAAATAAATTTCTTTTATTTAAGCCACCCAGCCTGTGGTATTTAATTATGGCATCCCAGGCCGACTGGCAGTTACCTAACTCAATCCTTAAATGACTTCCAGATCATCATCATTAGACCCATATTCAAGATAAGAAACTGAGGCAAAGGGAGTTTAAGTCACATGATATAGGTGACACAGGTATCCAAGTCACAATTCTTTTTTTTTTTTTTTTTTGAGATGGAGTCTTGCTCTGTCACCCAGGCTGGAGTGAAGTGGCATGATCTTGGCTCACTGCCACCTCTACCTCCCAGGTTCAGGCAATTCTCCTGCCTCAGCCTCCCAAGTAGCTGAGACTACAGGCACCCACCACCATGCCTGGGTAATTTTGTATTTTTAGTAGGGATGGGGTTTCACCATGTTGGCCAGGCTGGTCTTGAGCTCCTGACTTCAGGTGATCCGCCTGCCTCGGCCTCCTAAAGTGTTGGGATTACAGGCGTGAGCCACCACACCTGGCCTGCAAGCCCCAGTTCCATCCCAGGCTTTGAAACACGCCTCCTGGGGGGAGATGAGAAGCTTGGCTGCTTGAATTCAAGTCTGGAGTTCTGACATTTCACTCTGTTGCCCTTGGCAAGTTCCCTTTCATCAGTGCAACTCAGGATTTTCATCTGTGAAATATGCATAATTTGGGAAGGTTAATGGCAACACTGAGTGCCAGCAAATGAAGACTGTCTGTTGGGGTATTGCCTTAGACAATGAGATTGGATGAGAAAGACCTGGAATGAGTGACAGGGCTTTGCAGGATGGCTACTGTTCACTAATCATTAAAATATTAATAACTATTATATAATAACGATTACAGAAAACAGTATAGTGGTCCTTCAAAAAAGTAGAGACAGAATTATCATCTGATCCAGCAATTCCATTTCTGGGTATACACTCAAAAGAATTGGAAGCAGAGTCTCAAAGAGGTATTTTTATACCCATGCTCATAGTATTATTTTCAATAGCCAACAGGTGAAAATAACTCACGTGTCCGTCTGACAGATTGATGGAGAAGCAAAACGTGGTATATACATGTAATAGAATATTACTTGGCTTTAAAAAGAAAGGATATTCTAATGCCTGCTGCCACATGCATGAACCTGGAGGATGTAAGTCAAGATGAAATAAGCCTGTCAAAAAGACAAACACTGTGTAATAACTCTTAGAATTCTCATGGTAAGAGGAACCGCCTTGAACATCTAGCCAGAGAGACTGGACTTGAGCCTTTGGGAGGATTTCCTGTGAGCGAGGGCTGCTTGCCTAGACGAAGTTGGGTGAGGATACTGCCAGGGTTTCTCTCCCTGGTTATTTTTGTGATAGGATAGAAAGCCGCCAGCCCGTAGTCCTGGGCCTAATGTTGGTAAATGGCGGTGGTGGCCACGCAGCTCCAACCTTGCCACACGCAGTCTCCTTGCCACAGCATGAGAGCTGTGTCGAACATGATAGTCTGTGGGATGTGCTGTTTGGGTGCTGAGGGCAGAAGATCAGGCTGTGATGCTCCTATCTGTGACAAGGAATAAGATATTCAGCCTCGTTCTGTCTCTCTGACTGTACAAGGGCTGGGAAGCTTTACTTCATGGGTGTGTGGAGTGACACCTCCTCTGTGAAGCCCTCCCAATCTTCCCCAGCATAGACTTCATGCGCTTCTTCCTCTGTGCTCCTGGTGGACCTTAGAACATACCTCCATGAGGACGTATGCCATACAGAATCAATTTTGGGTGGGAGGTCTGGGTTACTACTGGGTCCCCAGCACATTGTTGATGCAATTAATATTTATTCAATAGGTGAATTCAACAGGGGGTCCTGAGTGTGGAGGGAAGAAGACCCTCGTTTGGCTTTTCCTCTCACTTCCCTTCCCAGCCCCCACCTCACTCTCACTGCTATATCATTTCACTCTCCTCTTTGATTTCCTCTGCTGCCTGTGGTGGGGGTGGGGGTCGGGGTAAGGGGTTGGGGGGCTGGAGTGGGATGGGGGAAGGGAGGCTAAACCTAGTTGGAAAGGATGGTGTCATGAAGTCAGTCCTAATAAGATGTGAATTGGATTGATAAGATTTAGCAGCTACGTCTCCCGGAGGCCCTTGCACCCCAACTGTGTCAGTGACTTGATGTCACAAAAGACAGTGTGTGGTAATGGGCCCCCATACACACATTTCCCAGTGATCCTCACTTCTGGGGATTCACACCCCATGTAGCCCCTTTCCACATGGAATCTGGGCTGGCCTGTGTGATGAATAGAATATGATGGAAGTGAAAGTGGTGACCTCCAAGGCGAAGTCAAAAAGGCATTGCAGCTTCTGACATGGCCCTTGGGTCAGCTGCTCTGCAGGAAGCCAGCTGCCATCCCATGAGGATGCTCAAGTAGCCCTGTGGAGGGGCCCCAGGGACACCGGGCACGGATCAACAGCCGGCACCAATCTGCCAGCCATGAGTGAGCCACCTTGGGAGGGGAACCTCCAGTCCCGGTCCAGCCTTCAGATGACTGCAACCTCAACTGACATCCAACTACAACTTAGTGAGTGACTTTGAGCCAGAACTGCCCAGCCAAGCTGTCCCTGAATTCCTGACCTACAGAAATCATGAGAGATCATCAGTGGTTATTGTGTAAGTCTCTGAATATTGGTGTGAGTTGTTATGCAGCATTAGCTAAGACAGACAGGAACTCCAATAGTAGAATTTCAGATATAAAGACCCCTCCCAGAATTGAACTGCCCACTTCCAGAGTAAGGCAGGGGCTGTGTGGTCTGAGAGTGGGCTACAGTCATCTTGCTGCTGTATGTGCTCTGTGTTTGTGCCCCCCTGCCTGCCCCCTGCTTCGGCAGCCTTGGCATTGCTCCCCACTCCCTGTGCCTGGATTCCTCAGGCCCTGCCCCAGCACTTGGCACTGTCAGCATGGTTGGCTCTGCTTGCTGTCAATATTCTTCCTAGCCCCCAGGCCAGGCTGGTTTGGGTGAGGACCACAATGCAACAGATGAGTTTCCTCCCGAAACCCTTCAGATTCTCAGTCACAGTTTCCATGATTGTTTTGGGAAAAAAAAAAAAAAAAAAAAAAAAGAACCAGGTTAGGTATAATTTCCTGCTAGAATCTGGAGGGAAGAAGAGCTGAAAATGCTGAAAAAATTTTTAAATCTTATATGACCAATGAACTTATTTTGCTCCTAAGTTATTCTAAGCAAAAAGACATACTCAACCAGAGAGCAAAGGCCTTGAGGGCAGGCACTGTGTGTGTCTTCTCCCTTTCTCTCATTCGTTCACTCATTTGTCCACCTGTTCGTTCATTCATTCATTCATTCATTCATTCATTCAACAATGTGCATGCAAGTACTAGCTATCAGGCACAATGATAAACACTGGAGAGACAGCAACAGCTAATAATTTCTGCCCTTGGGGAACTTACAATAGACAAAAAAATAAGTAAAATATACTCAAGTTGAATATTTGCTGGCAAAGCATATTGTGAAGAAAAATAAAGAGGAGAAGGTGGAGAGCAAGTGTCAGGGGGTGGCTGCCATGTTAGTGAGTGAGCCGGGAAGTCCTCTTTGAGCAGGTGACATTGAGGACAGGCTGACCGAGGTGAGGCCTGAAAGTCCTGTGATTCCTGAGGGAATCCAGGCAGAGGAGCAGTTCGTGCAGAAGCCCTGCGGTGGGAGCACCCAGAAGTTTTCCAGAGCTGGTGAAAAGCCTCTGTGGCTGGAGCCCTGTGAGCAAGTGCCAGAGTAGCAGGGGCTGGGGTCACGGGGCAGGGGGTAAGATGTGGTACGTGGGCGTTTACTCGCAGTGAGCTGGGAGCCATGTAGAATCTTGGCAGCAGTGTTTTGTGGCAGAGCACATTCTGCCTGTGTCTCATTTACCCTGATGTCTCCTGTGAGATGCAGACAGGGACCTAAAGTTCCAGTTCCCATCTGCTCATGCAGGGCCTTCCACCCTTCCCCTGCCCATGGAGTGTCAGGTGTATTTATACAGTAGGCCCTTGGCAAGGGTTGCAGGTAGCAGATATGCAAGTGTGTGGGCATTCAGATGTGCAGGTGTGCCAGCTTGGGCCTCTGTAATCCCTGACATCCATTCTCTGAGAGCCATATGGAGCAGCCTTACCAGGGCCTCACTGCTGAAGCCCATTGTGGGAGCACCCATGTGGGTGCTCCTAAGTCGCCTTCTCCCAGGGAGCTGGCAAAGTGTAGACTCTGTGCAGGGGCAGCAAAGAGACCATCTCCCCCCATCTCTGGGACACCTGTGTCACCTCTGTGCCCATGGACACTGCTGTGGGACCCGGCTAACCCCATCTTTCCACCAAGAAGCACCTCTGGATATGGCTCTTATCCACCTGTAAGCCCATGCAGGCACAGAAGCCAGGGCGTCCCCTGCTCATTCTCACTATTCTTTTGCCCAGCATGAACTCCACCCTTCTCATGTGATACAGAAAGGCCTGGATTCTGGTGGGTGCAGAAGGTGATGAGAGCTGTCAACACTAGTAGGATCTGTGGACCCCGGGCCAGGTGGCCAAATGCCTAGGATGCTCACATTTGGACACTGGTGTCACTGCTTTCTGAGATCCCTTCACACTCATCTCCTCTGGTCACTTCTCATGTCACCACGTTTGGTTTGGCAACTCTTGCGGGTGGCTGCCAGGCCCTCTTCTCCTCTGCAGGCCCCTTCTGCTTCTCCAGCGCTGACCAGAGTTTTTGCCTTTGATGTCACTTCAATGTAATGTTCACCACCTGAGTCACGTAGTAGGTGCTTGGCCACTTCTGGAGACAGCCTGAGACAAATGTTGCGTGACAATCTTAGACACCTTCGAGGGGTGTCTTCCTGTGTTTGCACTGTGCACGTTACACAGTTGTGTGCATGCCAGCACCGACAAAGCCCCCATGTCCCTTTGCTGAGCAGTTTTCAAGCAGGGCTGTTGTCCTTGCTGCTCTGACATGGTCTCCTTGCTATTGTTTTCATCTTTATCCTTCAGACCTCAGCTGAGATAAATCTTCAAGCTCTTCCCCCACCGCCTGAGCGAGCCTATGACTCATGAAGCCCCATGCTTGAGAACAAACAGGCTGTCTCCTCTTCCCCGCCTCTGCCCTCTGTGACCCAGTGCTCTTTCTCCAGCAATGATGAACCTTTATTGCAGCGACAGGGCAGGGTTTGGTCCTGGGATGGTGACATTATTAAAAACAGATTTAGCAATGCTCCAAGTAGTTAGTCCGCCTGCTCTGTAATGGTTTATCATAGTCATAAAGCTGACTGTTGGGGTCAGCTGATCTCTGCTTTTAGACACGACCACACCTACGTCATTCCAATGAGATGGAATTATCTTTTATTTGTTGTTATTTTTTAAAGGCCTCCAGAGAGAGCTTAGAGCTCCCCCTCCTTCAGAAACCTACTCTGGCGTTACAATGTTGCTGGGGCCATGTCATTGATCTGTGTGTGTGCATGTGTGTGTGTGTGTGCATGCATGTCATGTGTACACGCTGGGTTTCTACAGTGATTTCTGCCCCCACCACTTGCTCTCTATCCGCCCTTCTTCAGGCACAGGGTCTGAGACAATCACAGCAGAGGAGCCTGCAGACAGCAGCGCAGGTGGGAGCTCATGGCGTGGGAAGAGGCTACACATTTCGGTGCCTGGATTCCAATCTACCTCCTTCACTGACTTGCTGTGACCCAAGGCAAAGCTGATTAGTCTCCCTGAGCCTCAGTTCCCTCAAGTGTGAAAGTCATAATAACTGAATTTTCAGTGCCACCAGGATTGGAGGTAATATATGCAAAGTGCCTCGTCCATAGTAGGTGCCCCATAAATACCTGCTATTATTGGGGATAGAAAGAAAGTGCCTGTGGGTGGCAATGGGAACATTCTGACTTGAGCCTCTCCTGAGAACAGAATGTGGTCTGTGTGGGCATCCATCAGTCAGGGGTGAGTCCTCCTGGGAAGCCTCCACTGCTCACTGCATGGGGACCCGAGACTGCCTGAGCTGGGGTGGTGCTGGCCCCAGGGCCATTTGCACCCCTACACGTCCAGCTGACTGGGCGGAGCATCCCGTCCCCTGGCTGTGGAGGACATGGTGCAGGTCCGTGTGTTCTGCGGGGTGTGATGCACGTTGCCTGACTTCATGAAAAGCAACCTGTCCCTAGGCTGTTGGTTTCCATGGCAGCGCAGGGAAGAGCAGCCAAGCAAACAGGCAGCTAGGCTTAAAAAGAAAAGTAGCATGATTTGGGAACCTAGTGACTGTCGTAGTCAGGAGTATGCAGAATTCAGAGATTTGTTTATGTAACAAATATTTATTGGGTCTCCCCCACGTACCAGGCACCCAGGATACATCAGCGAGCATAACAGATCAAGATTCCTGTTCTTGAGGGGCTCACTTTGTGGCAGGTGGGGATGGGGAGGCAGACAATGATCAATAAACATAATAAAAAATTATTCATTATTCTAGGAGGTGATCTTTGCTACAGAGAGAAAGAAAGCAGGGCAACAGGACTAAGGGTACTGGGTGGAGGTGGGGTGGGTTGCAAGATTATAAATAAGGAGGTCAGGGCTGACCTCCTCAAGAAGGTGACATTTGGGCAAAAACTTAAGCTGAGGGACTTACCCTGTGCAAAGGCCCTGAGGCAGGAGTGTGCCCGGTGTGTTCAGTGAACAGGGAGGAAGCAGTGAAGCTGGAGAGTAGGGAAGGATGGAGCAAGGAGGAGGCCTTCTGGGCAGGGAGGTCATGGAGGTTGGATCACGTCTAGTCTTTTGACTGGGGCTTTTCTACTGAATGATCAGCTAGGGGGCTGTGAGTGATCATCACTGAGAAGTGACGGTGGTGGTAGTGGAGCTGGAGAGGAGTCCAGGGCAAATCCTGTCCCATAGATAGTGGCAATTGAATAGCAGGAACCAGATGAGCATGTAGATGACTGTAACGCAACGTGGAAGACACTGAGTTGCATCCAAGAACGTAAAGGGGATTTGAAGGTGGGAAGGAGCACCTCTGGCTGATAAGGATCATAAAACTGGCCAGGCATAGTAGCTCACACCTGTAATCCCAGCACCTTGGGAGGCCAAGGCAGGTGCAGGTGGATTGCTTGAGCCCAAGAGTTTGAGACCAGCCTGGGAAACATGGCAAAACCCCATCTCTACAAAAAAATACTAAGATTAGCAGAACACGGTGGCCTTCACCTGTGGTCTCAGCTGCTTGGGAGGCTGAAGCGGGAGGATCGGTTGAGCCCAGGAGGTTGAGGCTGGAGTGAGCCGAGATTGTGACACCGTACTCCAGCCTGGGTGACAGGGCCAGATCTTGTTTCAAGAAGAAAAATTATAAAACTCTTTATCCGTATTAGAGATGGGCTTTGAAGGAGGGCTGGACTCCAGTGGAGTGCAGGTGAGCAGATGGTGAGGCCAGGAGCAGTAGCAGGGGAAATGCATGCTGGGGGTAGGATCAGATCTTTCTCTCTCTCCAGGACTCACTGCCCCCACCAGCATGCATGGGAATCTGAGATGCAGACAATGGCTCAGACCAGTGTGTGGGCTGGCGTGGTGTTTCAGGTGGGAGGACCTGACATAAGGGTGGCTGCTGGGAGCCTGGGAAAAAGGGGAAGCGTGTGTTGTATGGGACCTATCTCATGGTGGTCAGGGGAGCACAGGGGTGCCGTGAACAGAGGTAGTTTGGTGGCGACTGGAGAAAAGATGGAGGGTAAATGTGGGGAGTTTGCCTTTGTTTGCACTGAGATTAGGATGTCTCACAGGCCATGGTCAAGGGGGTGGAAAATGCCAGACAAACTGTGTGGGATGCTCGGCTTTTTATTGATCTGCACTGATGTCCTCGTTTGCTGAGGTGCTTACAGAATCCATGGGAAGTCTGCAGGATTGGGCTTGGAAAAGGGGAAGGAACCAAGTGAAACCAAATGGCCAGATGTACGGCCAAGGTCAGGTTTCTGGCAAATGCTGGGTGGCATCCTGGCATCATTACAACTGGAGGTTAGGAGCCACCACTGCAGGCAACGAAAGAATCCATTCTAAACTGCCCAGTGCTCTAGCCCCAGTGCCCTGGAACAGAGCATCATCTGCCAGGGGTGGGGGAGAGGGAAATCTTGGCTTTCAGCTTTTATAGTGAGGTGCGGGGTGGCTCTGCTTCCCAGCAAGGTTTGCACCATGGCAGATTCTCCGAACAGAGCAGAGCGTCAGCCTCTGGGAGCAAAGGAGATGAAAGTCCTTGTATGAGTTTGCTACATCCGCTGTAGTAAAGTACCATCAACTGGGGGACTTAACAGAAATTTATTGTCTCACAGTCTGGAGCCTAGATGTCCAAAATCAAGGTGTTGGTAGGGTTGGTTCCTTTTGAGGTCTGTGAAGAAGATTCTGTTTCATGCCTCTCTGCTGGCTTCAGGTGGTCACAGTTGTCCCTTGGGCTTGTTGATGGTGTCTCACTGTGTCTTCGCCTTGGCTTCACTCAGTGTGTCTCTGTGAGCATGTTTCCCCTTTTTCTATGGACACCAGCTGAACTGGTCAGGGCTCAGTCCCTAATGGCCTAATTTTTAACTTGCTTACCTCTGTAAAGACTCTATTTCCAAATAATGTCACATTCTGAGGTAGTGGGGGTTAGGACTTTAATGTTTATTTTGGGTGGGGGCCCCAATTCAATCCACAAGAGGCCCCCGATAGCAGTGTCAGTTTAGCTTTTTTTGTGACTTCACTTCCTGTCAAGAATGGGATGGTTTTCATCCTGACAGTTTTAGAGATATATTTATGTAACTGTCAATTTTTATATGATGGAAATCAAATAAATCTGCTTTGCTCTTTCAATCATTCATAAAAATCAGTTAACAGGCTTTGGTTTGCTCTCAGCAGTTTCTGTTGATAGATGGTAGATCCAACACTCTGCTGTGCTCGCTCAGAGTGTTCCTGGCCATGGGATATGTTTTTTCCATTATTAACTTTATTGTTGTGGTGCAAAAATCAGTAGGGAAAGTGAGGCTGCTCCCATTGTTTTTGGACCGAAAAAACATGTTCAGCACGTGGGCTGTGTGCAGGGGCCAAACACCAATTTGCAGCACAGACCCGTCACTCCTGGCCCACCCAGGAGTTGCTTGCTCCTCAGACGGAACTCTCCCCGAACATGTTTGATGTCTCCGTGGTTTTAAGCAAAAGCTTAGAGTCACACACAGCTCCGTTAGGCTCGATGTCTGGGACACCTCTGCTCTTCTGTTGGATGAGCTTTTCCTGTCTTGTCACCTGTGTCTTTGCTGTCAATTCTGTTCTCTCCTGAACATTATTCTGAAGGAGGATGTGAAATCTTTGTGCCAGGCCTAAACCCCCTTTTTTTGTTGTGTTTTGTTTTTTGAGACAGGGTCTTGCTTTGTTGCCCAGGCTGGAGTGCAGTGGCGAGATCATAGCTCTCTGCAGCCTCGACCTCCCAGGCTTAAGGGATCCTCCCACCTCAGCCTCCTAAGCAGCTGGGACCACAGGCACACATGTGCCACCATACCTGGCTAATTAATTTTTTTTTTTTTTTTTTTTGCACAAACGGGGTCTCCCCGTGTTGCCCAGGCTGGTCTGGAACTCCTTGGCTCAAGTGATCCTCCTACCTTGGCCTCCCAAAGTGCTGGGATTACAGGCATGAGCCACTGTGCCTGGCCAGGGCCCCTCTCTCCACAGTCCTTTTATATTTGTGTCACCTACTCTTTCTCCTACATCTTCCTTCTGAGGCCCAGCAGGCCGGACATGATTGGCTCTACTTTGTGAGAGAACAGGGCCGTGGAAAGCAGAGAAACACCCTGCAACCTTGTCTCCCTCTAAAAAGGGCTAGAAAAAGGAGACTTGGGAGTTAACCCAACAGACCCCCAAACTAAACTTCTGTGGAACACAAGGAAGAGAGTTAGAAACACAGAAGAAGAAAGCAAATCGTCACTTGCGGTGTTCTTTGGAGAGGGGCTTTCTGTGCAGACGTCCAGTGAAGCCCCCAGGCCGTGGGAAGCCCGCAGAGCAGAGTAAACAGGAAACGCCGGGAAGCTATTTTTATTTGGTGCCGTCTTTACTTTCCCCTGTTTCAGTGGAAAATGAGTCTGAATTCCACAAAACTCCTTAGTGAACAACAAATATAACTGGAGGCAGTGCCAAGACTGTCATTCCTCAGCAGTGGTTTGGACACGTTTCTTTTCTGCGGACATCTTGGAAGGCTCAGGCCCATGCTGGGCAGGAAACAGGTGGTTTGCTTTAGAGAAGGCCCGTGGAAAGGCCAGCAAGGCAAGCCCTGTGCCCCGGGTGACAGATTTCTGTCCTCCCCTGCAGAATCCTGTTTTCCTGTTAGCGACTGAGAAGCAGGGTGGGCCCTGTCATGTTCCGGACAGCAGTGTCCCAGGTTGCCACCCCGAGACCCCCAAGCCAAAGGAGAAAGGTGGCCATTGCGTACCAGGTTCCGTGGGGGTGCCCACCCTGTTCCAAGGCACAGCAGCGGAGCCACAACCTGGTGCAGGAGTTCCTAGCTTGGGGGTGGTGAGAGCCCAGGGGATGGGGCTGCGCTACTTGGAGGCGCCTCTTCTCCCGCGACCCGGTTCATTTCTCTGGTTTTGCCCTAAGAGCCACCTGCTCAGATTTGCATTCCTAGGTGGACAGAGAGTCAAGGAAGGAGGTGTTTAAAGGGCTCTTTTGCTGTTGTGCTCCCCATTTTTATCCTGTCTGTGGCTGAGGGAGTTGACCTTTCTCTCCACACTGAAAAGGGTTCCCAGTATGTCCCCTGCTCCCTCAATGTCTTTTTATGCATCATCGCACCCCACTCCCAACACACACACACACACACACACACACACACACACACACACACACACACACACAAATACTCACTCAGCAGATGCCTCAGCCGTCATCCAGTGACCATGCATTGAGAGTACTCTACATACCTTTAAAAAATAAGGGTATACCGCTCATTAAGATTAGGCCTGGGATCCACCAGGGACTCCTGATCATTTTCTTGGGCCCACTTTCTTCCATCTTCTATCTGAAGGTTGTCCCCTGCCACTATGGACTCTCACTGAACAGTCCTGCACCATAGTGTGAATACTGGAAATGATGGTTTTCATGAAGTATTTCTCAAATGAACTCATCCCTTCCCTGTCTGGTGCCAACAGCCTGATCTATCTATTGTCTTCTGGAAACCCAGTGACTCCCATGGAACTCAGGCCCTTTGGTGGCTCGGAAGAGTCTCTCCAGCCAGCTGGAGGGAGTTGGCTGTTACTGTAAGTGTGCCATGAACTTTATACACCTGCAACAGGTCCTGGGCTTTGCTCTCCTGGTCACCTCTCTCAGAGTCTTTGTTTTCCTTGCAGTATTTTCTTACTTCCCCTGTCTCTGCCAACAGATTTGGCTCTTAGCTCATTTACTCTCATGATTCACTCTTCCTTGTATACTATTAACCTTGGCTTGCCAAGGCCCTCTGTGGTCCCCTTGTACCTTTATATCTCTCTGGGAAGCCTTCCAGTATCGGCTCCCACTCCTACCTCCTTGACTGTCTCCATGCCTCTCACCCCAAGTTCTGGAGAGTGAGATTTTGGATGGCCCAGCCCATTCTTCTCTGGAGACAGCTGTTTTGCTCGAGGCCATCTCAGAGGTCACTGTTCAGCTCATAGCCTCGTTATGCTTGATCATTTCTGGTAGGATGTGATGAGCCACAAATGCAAAAGTAGAGTTCAGTCATTATTTCCTGAATATCTTTTATGCCATCTTATACTGAGAGTGACTGCCTAAGGAAGATGTGGAGTAACGTCCTTAAATTTTTTTTTTCAGACGGAGTCTCACTCTGTCACCCAGGCTGGAGTGCAGTGGTACCAGCTCAGCTCACTGCAAGCTCTGCTTCCCAAGTTCACGCCACTCTCCTGCCTCAGCCTCCCGAGTAGCTGGAACTACAGGCGCCCACCACCACGCCCGGCTTATGTCTTGTATTTTTAGTAGAGACGGGGTTTCACTGTGTTAGCCAGGATGGTCTCGATCTCCTGACCTCGTGATGCACACGCCTCGGCCTCCCAAAATGCTGGGATTACAGGCGTGAGCCACCGCGCCCAGCCCTTAAATTCTGATAGGTGAGTTTTATTGTTGTTGTTTTTGAGTGTTATTTGCCAGTGTGCATGGATAGGTGAGTTTTTGGAAAGATACTGATTATGTTCGTTAAGTTCAGTCTGCATCCCTGGAAATGAAGTTAATACAATCGTTTACCTCTCAAATCAAGCCTGAACTCTTAAATCTGTGTTATAGCTGGCCACTCAGGGCCTTCTTACTTGCTTTTCTAGCCTTACCGAGTTGCCTTCCTCTTCGTGTGACCCCATGTTATAGATGTTTACCAGGCTTGAACTATTCAGTTTCTTCTTTGCTCATGGGGCTTCCCCTTATGTCCAAATTCTACATGCACTTCAAAGACCAGGTCAATCCCTGTTTTAGTTTCCTAGAGTTTCCACAATAAATCACCACTAAGGAGGTCAGAAGTCTGAAATCAAGGAGTAGTCAGGGCTGTGCTCCCTCGGAAGGCGCTAGGGGAGAGTCCTGCCCTGTCTCCTCTAGTTTCTGATGGCTCTAGGTCTGCCTTGGCTTGTGATTTCAGGACTCCAGTCTCTGCTTCTATCTTCACAGGGCCCTCTCTGTGTCTTGCCTTTTCTGTCTAAGGACACTTGTCAATGGATTTAGGTGCCACCCAGGTAATCCCGGTTGCTTTCATCTCAAGATCCTGAATTTCTTTTGCAAAGAACTTATTTCCAAATATGGTCACATTCACAGGTTGCAGGGTTTAGGACATGGACATATTGTTTCAGGGGCCACCATTTAACCCACTACAATCCTGAATCCCTTTGAAGACTGTGCCCTAGACCTTTCTCTCCTCCAAGCTCCCATGCCCTTTAAGTCTCTTAAGGCATTTTCAACATTCAGTTGCACAGTGTAGGTACTTTGGCCACTTGTGCTAAGAGTGTGGGTTACAGAGCTAGATGTCCTGGGTTCAAATCCCAGCTCCGCCACTTGCCAGCTGAATGATACTGGTCAAGTCACTTAACTCCTTTTCCCAGGACTGGGACACAGTGAGGCACCTAGGGCACAACATTTAAAGAGGCACTCACTCTCAGGGTCCTCTCACCACCCCACAAGTCAGATTTTCATAAGCTTCATTAAATTGTGTGCCTTGGGCCTCTCTTGACTTACCCTAATCCCTGCCCTGCCTCTTATCATGGTTTTCTAATCTGTAAAGTGGGGATCAGGACCTCTCTAATAGAGAATTTTAAGGATGAAATGAATAACACAAGTAAAAGATTAGCAGTAAGGGCTCAATAAATGATAGCTATGGTTTCTCTAACTAGACAGGCAACTCACAAAGAGCTGGTCTAATTCATCATCATATTCCCAATAACTTTAAATTGCAAAAACTTGGAAGCTTTTTGCAATTGCAAGATGTCCTTCCAAGATGATATCTATTTATCTACTTGTCCAACCAAGTAGACGAATAGGCGAATAAACTGTGGTACGTCCAGGCAATGGAATACTATTCAGCACTCAAAAGAAATGGGCAACTAAGTGTAAATAGCCATGGAGGAACCTTAAATCCATGTTACTAAGTGAAAGAAGCCAATTTGAAAAAGCTACATACTATATGATTTCAACATATGACATTCCTGAAAAGGCAAAACTTTGGAGACAGTAAAAAGATCAGTGGTTGCCAGGGCGTGCAGGGATGGAGGGACGACTAGGCAGAGCACAGAGGGTTTTGGAAACTGATCTGTATGATACTATCATGATGGGCACATGTCACCATACACTTGTCCAAACCCGTAGAATGTATAACAGCAAGAGCGAACCCTAACGTAAACCAGGGAGTTTGGGTGATAATGATGTGCCAATGTAGGCTCATTGATTGTAACAAATGTACCACTCTGGTGGGGGATGTTGCTAATAGGAGAGGCTGTGCCTGTGAAGGGGCAGGAAGCAGATGGCAATTCTCTGTACCTTCTGCTCAATTTTGCTGTGACCTAAAGCTACTCTACAAAATAAAGTCTATTTAAAAAATGCATGTTACATTGAAAATTGTAGGTGATTGATTATATTTGAGTGAATTAATGAACATTTGCTAAGATTGAGTCATGTGGTAATTGAGCTAGTAGTCTATAATCAGGCAAATAACCCAGGCTTTGAGTCCCTGGGGTCAAGAGTTCTTGAGTTGATTCATCTCCTTGTTCATGCACAGTGTTTAGAAGGTTTAGGTGAGGTGCTTTGGATAGAGGGAGTAGAGCCCAAGCCTCAGAACATTTCTGAGGTTGGTTTTCAAATTAGAACCATGAGGGAAAGGCTTGAAAGTGGGATGCGTGCACACTGGATGGATTTGTTCATGTTTGGATAGCAGCAGCTCAAATGTGCAAAGTGGCTTCGGTCCATGCTTGCTGGTCCCACCAGGAATGGAGGGCTCTTTCTTGGCTATGCACTTGTCAGCTCCCTGGGAAGGAGATTCTTTCCTGGAACATGGAGACTATCTGACATCTTGTCTGGAACTCCATGAAACTCTTGGCAGCACCTGGCCCAGCAGGGTGCACCCCAAAACACCACATTTATTTGATATTGGGATTGATATTTCTCTTTTACATTGTGGTTGGGACTCATTAACTCTCAATAAGGACCAACATTAAAGGAGGAGTTTCCTCCCTCTCAGGAAAAAAAAAAAAAAGCTTCCTTGGATGGGCCACAGCTCCTGTAACTGATTTGCTCTTCTGGCACAGGACATCATGTTGTGTGGTACCCTGAGGCTGGTGAGAAAGGGAACAGACTCAAAAATTCCTGGGTGGAAAGGCTCTTCCCTGCATTTACCACAATTGCTAAAATGCTAGGTTTAATAGCTCAAGGCTGGTCTATATTTGCATGGAAACTGTGTATGTGTGGAATTTTATTTTATTGTTTTACTTCAAGATGGTCATAATAAGAGCCAGACTGTTGATGAGTCTAACGATTAGAAGCAGCCTCTAAATTCCCCATACAATCACGTTGGGTTCAATTTTGAGATTTTATTCTAATAGTTCAAAATGTGTGGTGTTTATCTAGCAACCTCACTAAAGGACTCACATTCACTGGTGCCAAACATGTGCATTAGCCTTGCAGCCGCCCAGTGCAAAGACTGCCTCTATAACCAGCCACAGAGTTTAAGTAAAGCAGTCTGGAAGAGTGTTGGGAAGGTTCATGTCAGTAACTGCTATATTTATGTCCACCATATCACTGTTAAATTGGCAAGCACTGAGGCAGCCTTCAGCATGGCTGAGTGTGTACACTCACCATTCCTGGATGAGTTGCGTGCTTGGAAACAGGAGCACAAAGAGGGTGCTTGGCTTAGGGAACTTGGCTCGACATTTCTATCTCTTTGAGTTATGTCCACCATTACACCTGCGTCCTTTGGAGCCAAACTTACACATTACCACCATTACTCTTTCATAGCACTGAAATTGTACTCATCTATGAAATCTGCCTTTCTCTTTCTTACATTGCCACAGAACAGAATCTCTAGGAGTGTGTGGGGTATTGAAGAGGGGGAAGAATACATTCTGGGTCACTGCTTGAGAAATTTTTTTATTGTATTTGTTTTCAAGTGATTCTGGTAACCAAAGTATTACAGTTACAGGGCAAGCAAACATTTAAGCCAAAAAACAATCATATGGCAAAGGCCTCTGCTTTAATCTACTACATGAGAGGTCATTGTTACTCATTTCCAAAGCTGTTATAGACTTGGAATGTGGAATTGGAGAGGCTTTTCGAATGTAGTTAGTGGTGTTCACAAAAGAACCACTGCCTTTCAACTTGGACCCTAAGAATGAACTTATCACTTCCATTTAGAACTTATATAAGCAAAAATATCTGAAGGCAAATATCAAGCCATGTTTCCACACTCCCAAAGTATCTCATTTGTCATGAGCCATGAGTGTCACTTTTTAAACTCCTTCCCTGAATGCCCAATCAACAGGAAAGAAGCTGCAGAGCAAGGGCAGAAGAGTCTAGACCAGGTGTTGGGAACTATAGCTCACAGACTGGCCACTTGTTTTTGTTTGTTTGTTTGTTTGTTTGTTTTTGAGACAGTCTTACTCTGTCGCCCAGGCTGGAGTGCAATGGCATGATCTCGGCTCACTGCAACCTCCACCTCCCGGGTTCAAGTGATTCTCCTGCCTCAGCCTCCCAGGTAGCTGGGACTCCAGGCACCCACCGTCATGCCTGGCTAATTTTTGTACTTTTAGTAGAGATGGGGTTTCACTATGTTGACCAGGCTGGTCCCAAACTCCTAACCTCAGATGATCTGTCAGCCTCAGCCTCCCAGAGTGCTGGGATTACAGGCATGAGCCACCATGCCTGGCCTGTAAATAAAGTTTTACTGGAACACAGCCATGCTCTTCTGTTTACATCTTGTCTATGGCTGCTTTAGTGCTACAATGGCAGAGTTGGGTAGTTGGGACAGACACCATGTCTGTCTGTTGGTACAGACAACACAAACTCCAAAATATGTACTCTGTGGGTCTTTACTGAAAACTTTGCCGACCCTTGGTCTAGACAGATAGTCAGATGAGCTAACAGTTGGCTAAAGGTCCTCAACTCACAATGCCAAGAGAAGGACTGAGTTGGCTTTAGTTGTTGTCATGCACTGTGTAATTTAAAAAATCTTACAGGCCAGTACAACTAAAACTCCTATTTACCTTACTTTGGAGCAACAATATGGAAAGTAAAACTAGGTCTGAATATATTTTATATGTTACCTGGACTTCTAAAACATTGTTGATTGCTTAAATGTGCATAAGTCAATGTCATTTCTCAAAACGTTTAATAGATGCAACTGTTGGCGGCTGCTAAAGTACTGGTGTTATGCTTGTGCCTGTGTGAAATTCTACAGTGCTGAAAATCTCATGCACTCTAGCTATGAATGCAGGTCTACTTGAAGCAAAACTCTTCAATCTAATTGTTTTCTCAATCTTTGTAAACCAGTTTTAAGAGTCACCAGAAATCTGTAGTTTAAGGCACCAGATACATTTCTTGGCTGAGCCTTGTAGGACCAATATGCTGGACCAATTCGGTAAAATACACCATAAATTATGACTGCTTTATCTGAATGCATGGGACACTTGCTACGATGGCGGGAATTATTACCAGGAGTTTAGGAGCCAGACATGGGTTCTGTATTTTTCATACATTGGTGATCAATTCAAATCTCTTTCCTTTGCAGCCAGGTTTGGTCAGTCTGGCCAGGAGTGCAGATTATGACAAAGAACAAAGCTAAAAGACCTGAGCCATTAAGGTTACAGTCTCAATACCACCGAGTTAAACAACCTATTTAAATGCAAGACTATTGATTGGAATGATATTGGACAGACATGTCAGAAGTGATCTGAAGGCTTTGAAATGTCATTAAGGGTGGGACTTATTGTTGGATGTTGGCTGCAACGAAGGCTACTTCTTTTCTTCTCCTTTAAATATTAGGTAGATCATAAATAACAGATATTATTATGGATTCTACCTGCAAATGTGTCTTAGCAGATATGTGATGAATTGGAGTGGAAAAGCCATTCAGGAAACAGGAGGACTTGGGCTTCCTCTTGAAGCTCAGGTTTGACCACTGGGTTGTTTTCTATGTCTACAGGTTTAAATGGCTGAAATTCAGTTCTCTAATCACAACTCTCCTTTTATCTAGAAGAATTTACAAAGCTTGAGGTAATGACTTTGGGAAGAAATGATGTGTAGTGAAACTATCACTAAGAATTTAAATGTGATTTTTTAGACTTATATGGAGAATAAGACATATAAATCCACTTGATAAATTATAAGATCTATAAAAAAGACATAGGATATTAAATTTTTCTTCAGTTTCAAGTATGATAGAATCATACAGCTGAAGAAAACATCACCATTCTAGATTTTTATTAAAAAATAAACAAACATTAGTCCTACTTTTTGTCTCTAACGCTTCATGAATTTATGTGTCAGCCTTGTGCAGGGGCTGTGCTAATCTCTGCATTGTTCCTATTTTAGTACATGGGCTACTGAAACAAGCAGAGTCCTACTTCTTAAACTTCCTCTTCCTTACACGTAAAAAGCCCACCAGTCAAGGTCTTTTAATTTTGGTGTACACTATCACTGAATGCCATTTATAAATTCTAATTTTAAAGAGACCCTTAATTTTCAAAGGAGGACTTTGATAGCATTAGTTTTCAGAAAAGATGACTTGCAATTCTAACTTAGTACTTGAAAGGTGAGATTTTTATAGGGAGGCTTATAAAAGGTGTCTTAGAAAAAAAATGAGCGCTCTCAAACCTTTCTTTTGGGAGTGAGGTTGTGGGGCTGAAGTGACTTTTTAAAGTGAAGCAACTGACACTACCCGTGGGAGAAGCCACCTATGCGACCTGTGGCCAAACCGCAAATGTATGTTTCTGTGCAACATTCCTGCTAGAGCAGCCGGGCTCTGAGTAAGGTGTAGCTGGCTAGATAATCACTAGGGAGAGGTCCAGGGTGTGGGGAACACTCCAAATCACATTCCATGGAAATATTAGACTGTCAGAGCTTAGGAAGTCCCCGATTGTCCATAGACGCTGAGGTGGGGGAAAGGACTGAAATGAATGCTAGCACATGTTAGCTTATAAAAGAGCTGCTGACACAAATTGAACATGTGCAATTTTTTAAAAAGGTGGTATCGAATAACAGGCCAACAGCCATCCTTCTCAGCATTTAGACCTCTTTCTTCTCTCCACTTTGGCTCTTTGTTGAGTCACTTCCATCAGGCAAAGTTCCATAGGATAAGCTATGTGAATCTGGTTGTATTTTGTCCAACATTTGTTTCCCTGTGGAGATAATAATCATAGAGAATCTTTTGAGGTCTTACAGAAAAATAAGTCTTAATAATTTCTCCTCAATCTAGGCCACATTTTATCACCTCTCTTTTATACTATGTGGGCACTCTCTAAAGAGAAGAGATGAATATCAAGGAAGAAAAGGCCCTTGAAACGCCATGTCTGTAGCTATGTGATAGCGAATTGTCTGTGTCAGAGCCACTATCCCCACCCCACAGGATCTACATGCTGGCCATGGAAATCAGGTGGGTTTAGTCTGGAGATTCACATGAAGCATTCACTCACCTCCAAGCCTTTCTCTCTGGGGTTGTGTCTTCTTTTCCACGTCGAATGCATATAACAACATAGAAAAATAGCCTTTGATAGTGACTTCTAAAGCTACTACGGAGCCTATGCACTGAGCTTTGTGAAATAAAAAATAGAGTTAAAAATAATCAGGCTCGGTGCAGTGGCTCACACCTATCATCCCAGCACATTGGGAGGCCGAGGCAGGCGAATCATTTGAGGTCAGGAATTCGAGACCAGCCTGGCCAACATGGTGAAAACCCACCTCTGCTAAAAATACAAAAATTAGCCGGGCATGGTGGTGCCTACTCGGGAGGCTGAGACACGAGAATCACTTGAACCCGGGAGGGGGAGGCTGCAGTAAGCTGAGATTGTGCCACTGCACTCCAGCCTGGGCAACAGAGCAAGACTCCATCTCAAAAAAAAAAAAAAAAGTCAAACTTTATTTCCTATCAAAGAACCTCTAACCATATAAGGCTTCTATCACAAGCACCTTTGCCACTGATGCCAATTCTTTCATTGACTGCTCCCAGCAGATAAGATGGCTCGAATGGCAAAGAGAACACAGAATTCATTGCATGGGGCCATATTTCTCAGTCTTAGGGATGAGGCTTCCCTAGTTTTTGCTTCACAGGCATGGTGCTAACAGAATGGTGGAGAAAGCTGTGAGAATGTCTCCACTCCTGCCTGGAAACCTATAGGTCCCCCTACATCCCCAGTAAGGCTGGAGAGTGCTGAGGGCGGGTGGACAGGGGAAGAGGTGACACAGCAGACAGTTTCCTTTGTCCTGGACTTGGCTTTTGTTGTCTACATGACTAGGCGAGTTATTTCTCAGTGAGAGTGAGAACGGGAAAGAGTGTTTGCTCTCTGGGTAGGCGGGGTGAGGAAGGGGGAAGAAACTACTCATGTTTTGGTGACTGTCCTGAGCCACAGTGCACAGGCCACCTCAGGCTTCCCCCAAGACATGCTCCTTAGCTGCCTACCCTTTGTCCTTGGATGTTCCTTCAAGGCTCTCAAAGTGGCAGGGGTCTGCTGCTGGTAGTCATTGCTACTCTTTTCTCTACCCTTTTCCAATTTAAGGAAACCCAAAAAGGAAATCCTCCAAATCACCCAAATCGAGGAAACATGGTCAGTTCTTTTATATCCCCAGTTCTGTGCAAAACTGACATTCAATAAATTATTAGAAACATTTACACTGAAAATAGCACCTTTGGTTTCATTATTAAATGTACATTTTTTAGGATAAGAATTATGTTTTATATTAACTTACCACCCAAAATAATACCAATAACTATTCATTTATAAGGATCAAATTTTCCACTATAAAGAATATATGATTTTACCAGGAATATTTCCAAAATCAATATAAGACTGTTGCAGATGTTCCTTTTCTCGATTTCTTGTGACCAAAAATACACCAAGGAATGACAGAAAACACCTGTAAGGATAATATTAATAAAGAATACAAGAACACTGAAACAGACTCATGGTATTAAATAACTGAGCTCCATATTCTACATGATGACATAAATCCCATTGGTTTTGTTCTTCCAGTTTCTCATGGTAAGCTTCCTAGTACTTGTCTTAATTAGCACAGCCAATAGTTCTACCCAGAACCAAGACTTGGGCAGATTCCAGTAGATCTCTGGCCCAGGTTTTTACCATCTGGGGGCTAACTCAGGCTCAAAACCCTTGGGGACACCCTGTCTCATTTTCTGCCCATGCACGCCCAGATCCATTTCTGGCATGTGACACAAGAGAAAAAATAATTTATTCTTTAATTTTCTAAGAAATCTAGTTTTCCTTGGCCATAAGAGTAGTCATAATTTCCAGACCTCAGAAGTTTGGCCTTGCCCAATTATCTTATGAAATTGAATTTTCAAGATAGATGGCTTCCTACACCGAAAATAGCCTAGGCTCAAGTTTGCATAACAATGATCATGCTGACTACTAGATCAAGGAGCAGCTAAACATTTAATGAAGTGCCTCATGGAGTCATGGAAGCTCCTATACACTGGTGATATATTGTCAAAGTTCTGCTCTCTGTTTGCAAGCAATGCTAGCAATGATGCCCACCAAATCTCTAGGGAGAGCTCAAGCTGCACACTCTTAACACAAGAAAGGGATGCTACCAACCTGATATTATCATGACTAAAGCAAGGGATCTGCCCATCTTGGCCTTTTATTTTGGGCGACCCTAGAGGATCATGATTCTCTAATTTAGATCTAATCTAGGGGTTCCCAAGAGCGAAGTAGGTCTGATACAGTACAGAAAGGTCGTGCAGTAACTACAAGGGCCAGTGGATGTATCTTGTCTTTGGCCTGGAATTGGAAATCCCCAATGTTTCAGAACAGCAGAGATATACCTAAGTCACAAAGCCAAAGACGCTGAGCCCTGTTTAGGGCCTTAAGTTAAAAAATATGTTTCTTTTAGGAGCTCAGGAAACTGATGTTTCTTATATTATTTTCCAATTTTCTATACCTCCGGTACAATGCCGAAAATCCTACGTAAAAGTAATAGAATTTCACATGCTTTACCTCTGAGACATTTACTCACCCAAAAAGATATATAAATACAGTGAGAAAAGGAGCACCAAGGAATTCCTGATAAAATATGATACCTGTAACACAGGAAAAGAAGACAAAATTGATTTTGAAGTAAGGTTATTTATAATAGCTAAATATTGTTTGTAAAATTATGTTAATATGTTATTTTTTCAAAGTAAATTTAGTCATCCTTAAAATGCACATTCAGCAGTTTAGTTTAAGAAAATTTGCATGCCACACATTCTGAATTATTCCAAAAAGAACATAGATTTGTAAATCTGATATAATTATCATTATTATAAAAGAAACATAATTGACATATATTTGCAAGCAGAAATTTCTCATCCAGCCCAGGATTGCCCAACTGGAACATACAAGAAAACAACACTCTAGCAACTATTCCCCACCTGCAGTTTTAGGTCAGGGGTCAGCCAGCCTGGCCTGAGAGTCTGGGTAGACTCTGGGGCCTCTGACATGGCAGGTCCACCTCAGGCCAGCTGCTGCCACCCATGCTGTCACTCGTGGAGATGCCCAGTGATCTGTTGGTCTGGCCACATGGCGACTCAAGTGCCAAAGCACACTCTAGCAGCTGAAGTGCTACCTTAGCTCTACTTCCCACTGCCAAGCCCCCTCTCATCTTCTTCTGGTCTTCCAAAGGTAAACAAGGATGCATCATCTACTTTGATGAACTTTGCTTCTCTCCGTCTTGGTCTCAATGATTTCTTCTGTAAAGTTCCAAAGCCTTCATAGAGTTTTTGTTAAGATATCTTTAAGTTATATGTTGCCTGGAATTAATTTTTTATGTGTGTGGTGTTATCCTTGTTAGCCAGCCAACCAATATTTATTGAACGTCTGCTGTGCGTCAGCCACTGCTCTAGGTCTTGGAGAAATGACAAGACAGAGACCTATCCTCAAGGAGCTTTCTCATTCTTCACCTTATCTCCTTACCTAGGGAATGAACTTCTTACAGGAAGAAGCCATGTCCAGTTCTAATGAATATTTGTTGAATGAATGAAACTTTCTGAAGCACACTCCAGGTTATTACATACTTCCTTATAATCATTTTAATGTTTTCATGTTATTTTAAACGATATACCATAATATTCATTTCTTTAAGGGCATTTCAAGTTGGTTCTACATCTTTTTTCTCTTTTTTTTTTTTCAATTTTTTTCTTCAGTAAAGCAGCAATGTACTTCTTCGTACAGGTGTATCTTGGAGATATGTGGGTTTGGTTCCAGACCACATCACAATAAAGCTAATCTCTCAATAAAGCAAGTCACACTAAATTTTTGGTTTCCCAGTGTACATAAAAGTTATGTTTACACTGTACTGTAGTTTATCAAATGTGCAATAGCATTATGTCTAAAAAAAGTACATACCTTAATTAAAATACTTTATTGCTAAAAATGCTAATGATCATCTGAGCTTGCAGTGAGTCCTATCTTTTTGCTAGTTGTAGGGACTTTCCTCAGTGTTGATGGTTGTTGATTGATCAGGGTGGTGGTTGCTGAAGGTTGGGGTGGCTGTGGCAACTTCTTAAGATAAGACAATAATGAAGTTTGCCACATCGATTAACTCTTTCATGAAAGATTTCTTTGTAGCATGCCATACTGTTTGACAGCATTTGACTTGCAGTAGAAATTCTTTCAAAATCTCTACTTAATCTTCTCGAACACAGCTGCTGCTTTATCAACTAAGTTACTGAAATATTCTAAATCCTTTGTTTTCATTTCAACAATGTTCCTAGCATCTTCACCAAGAGTAGTTTCCACTTTAAGAAACCACTTTGTTTGCTCTTTTATAAAAAGCAACTCCTCATCCATTAAAGTTTGATTATGAAGTTGTAGCAGTTCAGTCACATCTTCAGGCTCCACTTCTAATTCTAGTTCTTTTCCTATTTCCATCACATCTGCAGTTACTGCCTTCTCTGAAGTCTTGAACCTTTCAAAATCATCCAGGAGGGTTAGAATAGACTTCTTCCAAACTCCTGTTAATGTGCATATTTTAGCCTCCTCCCATGAATCACAAAAGTTCTTAATGACATCAAGAAAATCAGAAAGTTTTCAATTTACTTTGCTAAGATCAATCGGCAGAATCATTATCTATGACAGCTACAGCCTTACAAAATGTATTTCTTAAATAATAAGACTTGAAAGTCAAAATTACTCATTGATCCATGGGCTGCAGAATGAATGTTGTGTTAGCAGGCATGAAAACAACATTCATCTCTTTGTACATCTCCACAAGAGCTCTTGGGTGATCAGGTTCATTGACAATAAGCAGTAATATTTTGAAAGGACTCTTTTTCCTGGTCAGTAGGTCTCAACAGTGGGTTTAAAATATTCAGTAACCCATGCCATAAACAGATGTGTTGTTATCCAGGCTTAGTTGTTTCATTTAAAGAGTGCAGGCAGAGTAGATTTAGCATAATTCTTAAGGGCCCTATGGTTTTCAGAATGGTTAATAAGCATTGGCTTCAAATTAAAGTGCCCAGCTGCATTATTCCTCACAAGAGAGTCAGCCTGTCCTTTGAAGCTTTGAAATCAGACATTTACTTCTCCTCTTTAGCCATGAAAGTCCTAGATGGTGTCTTCTTCTAATAGAAGGTGGTTTTGTCTACATTGAAAATCTGTATTTTAGTGTAGCCACCTTCATCAATGATCTTAGCTAGATGTTCCAGACAACTTGCTGCAGCTTTTACATCAGCACTTGCTGCTTCATCTTGTATTTATGATATGAGGATGGCTTCTTTCCTTAAACCTCATCAACCAACCTCTGATAGCTTCAAACTTTTCTTCTGTCATTTCTTCACCTCTCTTAGCCTTCATAGAATGAAAAGAGTTACGGCCTTGCTCTGGTTTAGGTGTTGGCTTAAGGGAATGTTGTGACTGGTTTGATCTGTCCAGACCACTCAAACTTCCTTTATATCAGTGATAAGGTTGCTTTACTTTCTTATCATTCATGTGATCACTGGAGTAGCATGTTAAATTTCCTTCAAAAAGTTTTTTTCTTTTTCTTTTTCTTTTCTTTTTTTTTTTTTTGAGACAGAGTTTCACTCTTGTTGCCCAGGCTGGAGTGCAATGGTGCCATCTTGGCTCACTGCAACCTCCGCCTCCTGGGTTCAAGCAATTCTCCTGCCTCAGCTTCCCAAGTAGCTGCGATTACAGTCATGTGCCACCATGCCCGGCTAATTTTGTATTTTTAGTAGAGACAGGGTTTCTCTGTGTTGGTCAGGCTGGTCTCGAACTCCCAACCTCAGGTGATCCGCCCGCCTCAGCCTCCCAAAGTGCTGGGATTACAGACATGAGACACTGCACCCGGCCCAAAAACTTTTTTCTTTTGCATTCACAACTTGGCTAAATGTTTGGTGCAGAAGGTCTACCTTTCAGCCTATCTTGGCTTTTGACATGCCTTCCTCACTAAGCTTAATCGTTTCTAGCTTTTGACTTAAGGGAAGGATTGTGGGATGCTTCCTTTCATCTGAACAGTTACAGGCCATTGTAGGGTTATTATATTTAATAATATAGTCAGATTTCAATATTATTGTGTCTCAGGGAATAAGGAGGCCCAAGGGGAAGGAGAGAGATGTGGGAACAGCTGGTCAGTGGAGCATCAGAACACATACATTTATTGATAAGTTGGCAGTCTTACACAGGTGCAGTTTGTGGTGTCTCAAAACAATTATGGTAGTAGCATTAAAGATCACTGATCACAGATCACCGTAACAGATATAATAATAACAAACTTGAAATAATGCAAGAATTACTAAAACGTGACACAGAGATATGAAGTGAGGACATGCTGTTGGAAAAATGATTCCAACAGACTTGTTCGATGCAGGATTATCACAAACCTTCAATTTGTAAAAAATGCAATATCTGCAGAGCACAATAAAATGCGGTATGCCTCATCAACACATTTTCCCAGGTATTTTATGAATTTTTGTGGGGTTTTTTAGAAGTGGAATTTCTGTTTCCAGAGATTTTCTTGGTCCTCCAAGAAAATCTTTATTTATTTATTTTTAACTTTTATTTATTTAGAGATAAGGTCCTGCTCCGTCACCCAGGCTGGAGAGTAGTGGCGTGATTATAGCTTACTGTAACCTTGAACTTCTAGGTCAAACAATCCTACCGCCTCAGCCTCCTGAGTAGCTGGGACTAAAGGTGTGCACTGCCACACCTGGCTATTTTTTCCCAATTTAGAAACGTTGTAGTAAAATATACATAACATAAAATTTACCATCTCGATCTTTTGTTTTCAGTGTATAGTTCAGTAGTGATAAGTAGGTTCATACTGTTTTGCAACCAATTTCCAGAACTTTTTCATCTTGCAAAACTAAAATTCTATTCCCATTATACAACTCATTTCCTCCTCCCCGCAGCCCTCATTCTACTTTTGTTTCCATAAATCTCACTACTCTAGATATCGCATATAAGTGGAATCATAGAATATTTTTATTTTTGTGACTGGCTTATTTCACTTACCATAATGTTCTCAAGGTTCATCTATGTTGTGGCATGTGTTATAATTTCCTTCCTTTTAAAAGCTGAATATATTCCATTGTATATATATACCACATTTTGTTTATTTATTCATCTGTTGATGGACATCTGGGTTGCTTCTACCTTCTGTCTATTGTGAATAATGCTGCTATGAACATACATATACAAATGTCTTTTCAAGACCTTGCTTTTAATTCTCTTGCCTAGAAGTGAAATTACTAGATCATATGGTAATTCCATTTTTAATTTTTTGAGGAACTGCCACACTGTTTTCCATAATGGCTGCACCATTTACATCCCCACCAATGGTGTACAAAAGTTCCAGTTGATCCACATCCTCACCACCATTTGTTGTTTTTTCTTGTTAATAGCAGCCATCCTATTGGGTGTGAGATTATATCTCATTGTGGTTTTGATTTGCATTTCCCTTATGATTAGAAGTGTTGAACATCTTTTCACATCTTTTGGCCATTTGTGTATCTTCTTTTCAAGAACATCTATTCAAGTTCTTTTCCCATTTTAAAATCAGGTTATTTGGGTTTTTGTTGTTGACTTGTAGAATCAAAGAGTAGAAATATTGTTAAGGCTTTTGATAAAAACTACAAAACTCAGTTCTAGGAGGGTGGCGGCATGTTACCTAGCCCATAAGAATGCCTGTGATACTGTAGCCTTATCAGCATTGGATATTGCAATAAAAAGAACAAACAAAACTTGACTAATTAGTAGGCAAAATACGGTCTCATCTTAATTGTAAGCTATGCTTTCTCATGGAGGCAGAGAGGAGAAGTAGTTGGCAAGCTCCACCACCATTCCACTCACCAATAACATCAGAGGGACTCTTATGACTCCCAAAAGGTCTTGCCATCCCACCGACTCATCAATTACTCTGTATGCTGAGTATTAAGACCCAGCCCTGTTGGTCCTCCTAGAAAATCTTTATTTATTTATTTTTAACTTTTATTTTTTTAGAGATGGGGTCCGGCTGTGTCACCCAGGCTTGAGAGCAGTGGTGTGACTATAGCTCACTGTAACCTCGAACTTCTGGGTTCAAGCGATCCTCCTGCCTTAGCCTCCTGAGTAGCTGGGAATACAGGTCCGTGCCACCATACCTGGCTGATTTTCCCCCTAATTTGTTAGAGATGACATCTTGCTATGTTCCCAGGCTGCAGAAAATCTTCCGATCAGGGCAACTATATTCTTTATGCACATTAATATTAACTATCAGGCTTATGTCATTTCTATGTCTCTTTTTGGCCTATTTTCCTTTTCCAATAATTCTAAGACACATCAATATGCAATCTTTTCTTAATTTATTAACTAGCTTAAAATACTAAAAAATTAGATGTCATGGGATAGAATATTTTCTTTAAATATTAAGTTTCAATTTTGGGAAACAGAAAATGCATTAATTACTTTAAAGAACTACCCACTGACAGTCACATTGTTTTCCATAAAATGAAAAAAAAATGTGCCAGTTAGGAAACAGACAATCCTCAGTTACTCCTCCAAATACATAAACTTTACATTGAGAAATGAACTCTCAAGATCAAGAAGGTGGTAAATACATCAGATAAGCCAATGAATGAGGGCATACCAGTACCAAATATAGAAATGGTATACTCAAATCAACTGTTTTTGGTTTGGACCGAGTTTCAAATTTATACTTTTAGTTTTAATGCTATCATGCCTGTCATATTTTAAAAAATGGTCCATACTAATAAAAGAACTGCAATAGTAGAAAAATAGAGGCCAGAATAGCAAAGGCAGTAGTTTCTATTCTTGTCTCTCAGGCTTGCCCTGGAACATTGAATTCAGTTTTGGATTGTACTGTCTGATCGAGCTGGTGAGGGGCATATAGGGAAGAGTTAGTAGAATTGGGCATGTATGGCCCAGAGACAAGACTCAAGAGGACCTTTCAGTTGCTTTGATGATCAGAAGGGCTGATATAGCTTGGATATCTGTCCCCTCCAAATCATATGTTGAAATGTGATCCCCAAATGCTGGAGGTGGGGCCTAGAGGAAGGTGTGTGGGTCCTGAGGGTGGATCCTTCACGAATGGTTTGGTGTCCTCTGTCAGTACTGAGTTCATATGAGATCTGGTTGTTAAAGAGACTGGGACCTACCCCTCTCCCTCGCCCCATCTCTTGCTATGTGACGTGTCTGTTCTCCCTTTGCCTTCTACCATGAGTAAAAGCTTCCTGAGGTCCTGACAAGAAGCAGATGCTGGCACCATGCTTCTGTACAGCCTGCAGAACCATGAGGCAAATAAACCTCTTTTAAAAATAAATTACTCCGTCTCAGGTATTCCTTTATAGCAACACAAAATGGACTAATCCAAGGGCTGGCAAGGGAAAGACTCCAACAAGAACAAAGATGAGTGTCTTAAATTTGCAAGGAAACTCATTTCAGCTCCAATATAAGAAAACACTTTCTACTTAGAAATCTCCAGAGAATGAGAGTGATCCAAAGCAGGACTGAGCTGACCCAGGAGGCAGAGAGCATTCACACAAAGTAGAGGAACCTCTCCTGGAAGATTGTCATAGGGGAAATTCAGACACCAGGTGGAGGCAACACAGATCCTTACAACCTAAAGATTTCTGGATTCTCTCATTTACTCTGGGAGAAACTTCATTTATGCTTGGAATCACCAATGTATAGAAAACCAAAACTCACCTGCAATGATGGCACTGATTGTAAAGAAAATATGATTAACTGGCACCACTGTTGTCGTATTGTAGAGTTTCGTGGCTTGATTCAGGAACCTAGGGCAGAAGGCACTTACTGGAGCTTTGGCTTTAGGAGACATTCAGCAATAAGTTAACAATAACTTCAAGAAACACGTGTTCTTTAGCTACAACTACAAAGGGAAAGGAGGTGCAGTGAAAGGGCATTTCCAATCAGCAGTCATAGCTTATATGCATCTGATGTATGAGATCAGATGTCAGGTTCTATGGTCTGTTTAAACCAACAACAGTAACAATGAAAAGCAATTAATCATATTCCGAGGCCACAGAAGTTTGAGTTGGAAGCGATTCAAGCTGCTGGACCAGTATCACACTGGGCCTGATTCATTAGGATAGACCCCAGAATCTGTTAAATATCATATCTGGGGAATAGTAGAGCTATCCATTGACATGCCACGTGCCAAGAAAGAAGATGGAGAAGTAAAGGAATGTTTAATGTTTCAAAAACAATGCTCAGTGCTCCAGCTGCAGAGCACATGTGGGAGCTCAGCTTCTCATTCTGGCCACCAACACAAATGCAGTTCCCACAACTGTGCTGTGCTGCCCTGCTAGGGACTAGATTGTTTTTTGAAGCAGTGAATTGCACTATCACCAGGGTGCTTTTAAAAAGCACTAATGCTTAGGTCCTACTCTAGAGAAATTGAAAAAAGTACTTTGTGGGTAGAGCCTGTGTGTGTGTGTGTGTGTGTGTGTGTGTGTGTACATACACATATGTAGGTATACGTAAATGCATGTATGTGCATGTATGCCTGCAAGTACATATACGTACAAAAGCCAGGTCATATACATGCATGTACATATGTATGTACAAAAACCAGGTCATTTTAATGGGCAACCAGGGCTGAGAACCACAGTCGTACAGTGTGATGGGTGCAGGAGACTGAGACAAGGGTGACAGGATGCAGTTTACCCCCAATTGTGTCTGCCTGTCAAATTTACAAAGTATGGTATGAAGATAATGCCACTAATCCCAAAAGATACTGTGGCAGTACCAATTAATTCAGAAGAAACAGATAAATGAAATAGCAAATGCAAGTATTAGAAACACAGGCTTATAAGGAGATGACAAACCAGTGACAAAACATTGGGTTTTTCCAGTAATTCTCCATAGACCTTGTAACAGGGCCTATCTTCAGCCCATAACAATTAGACGGTATTTCTCACACCTACAGAAGGAACCACTCTTGTACTGATTTTGAGCTCTGATTTCTTATCTGGGATGGTGCTTTTGCATAGCATTTTGGGGTGAACAGAAAACTTTCAGGTCAACTCAAGAAAGCCCAGCAGGCAAAGGCACAATCCCAATGTGAGAGATAGAGGGGAAGTGATTAGAGTTGATGGAGTGGGGGCAGGGAAGAGCAGAAATTAAAAACGTTCCATGTCACCACTATTAGGCCTCAAGAGAAACATAAAACAATCATTCCGCAATCCCATGGATACAAAGGAAATTCTGGCCAAAGATGCAAAATTTTGGGGAAAGGATTTCCCTCCCGGCCAAATGTCTGGTTTCGTCCTTCTCTGGGCAATTAGTGAGCATGAGCTAAGAAATGAAGGTGAAGGGTTCATGTGTGTCCTATATTTAGAATGAAAGCCTGGATGTGGACCTGCCCCTTTGATTTATTGCTAATGACAACCTGTGTACCACAGATATTAATTACAAGCAGAAGAGCATCAGGAAAGTATCAAAGTGCACTTAGCTGGATTAAGGCTGCGCTTTAGAACTCACAAGACATGAAGGCAACGCTTCATAAAAACTCATTATTGGATGCAAAGGAGGAAGCAAGGCATGTTGGCTGAGGACAAGCTACAGGCCCTTCACCCTTAGAAATCAGTTGTATCTCATTTTAATTATCATCTGAAGCCAGTAAAGATTAATGCCCAGAGAAGCACCGGAATGTTGAAAGATTAGTGAGTATGCAGAAGCTAACTTACTTGACTTGGAAAACACAAGATGCTATCATGATGATAAACATGATATAGAAAATGGGGTAAGTTAGTTGCATTTTATCCATCACAGAAAAAGTGATCATGCCTGAGACGGCCTTTACTGAAATAACAGTCAATGAGGCTGAAAAAGAAAACAAAAAACACAAATAAAGAACATATTTCAGATTGAATTAACAAATATCTTAAGCTTATGTAGTAGAGTAGCAAATATACCAATTATGGTTTAAGAATGAACACAGTTGTGAGAGGTGTAGGAAGGGATGTGACATTAGTAAGCAGTGGCCTTGTTGCTCGAGCCGTGCTGGATATCAAATTTGCTTAAATCAGCTAAAGATCTGCTGTGTGACTGTGTGTTTTTTTTTTTTATCTGTGGAGCAAGATGCTTCTTTTCCATCCCTAACTGTTGAAAGAATGCTGTGGAGGTTATAATTACTAGTAGATGGGAAAGGCAAAAACAATGGAGGGAGGAGATAAGAAAAGTCAGATTGTCCATGTGACATTAATGAGAAAATAACTATTAAACTATACTGAAAATTTAAAAACCAAGTAGATGAGAAGACTGGAAAGTGAAATGCAACTCACTTCTTGAGTTTACTTAGAGTTGTACTAAGTCATTGCTTCTCAGCCTTTTGGCTAAAATCAAGTGAGTTGTACTAAGTCTATATGTGAGCCCTTTTGTTAGGAGACACCTAGAAGTTTCATTAAGAATATTTTTGACAATGACAATAATTGGAAGCAGGAGCAGAGTTGAGTATTCATTTCTCAGGGTGGACCATCAATTTAAGGTTTACATAAGCAATAGCTATTTATGTTCTATGCTAAAGTGGAACTCATCCCTTATGAGAACAAACTTTTCGTAGGTTCCAAACAGCAATTAAGAAAAAGTAACTTGATAAGGTTATATCACTATGAAAGTAATGGAGCATTTTCTGGCAACATCATCTTTCTGTAAGGAAGAAAAGAATGCTTTCTGTCTTATGTCCCTCGAAGTTACTGTTGCAAATAATTCCATAATTTAGCTAAAACTCACTGAAAGTTCAAAAATAATTTTTACATGAAATAAAAAAACTATAAGTCAAAGGCAATGCGAAGGAGAAATACTCCTTTTGTTGCTGTTGATCTACTTGGTCATAATATATCTGAGTTTCCTTCATTTTATTTGAAAAGGTATTTTATGTATGTGTGTGTGTGTATATATATATATGTATGTATGTATGTATGTATTTGAAATATATATATATTTAAAACAGCAAGTGGTGGCCAGCCAAGAAAAGCCTCCCATAATATCGTTTTCCAAAAACTGAAAATATACTTTAACTTGAAGGGTACTAGGGCACACTTCCAAATTAGGCATTTTCTTTTAGTTAAAAATCATAATTGGCCGGGCGCGGTGGCTCACACCTGTAATCCCAGCACTTTGGGAGGCCAAGGCGGGCGGATCATGAGGTCAGGAGATCGAGACCATCCCCTGGCTAGCACAGTGAAACCCTGTCTCTACTAAAAATACAAAAAATTAGCTGGGCATGGTGGTGGATGCCTGTATTCCCAGCTACTCGGGAGGCTGAGGCAGGAGAATGGCGTGAACCCAGGAGGCGGAGTTCGCAGAGGGCCACTGCACTCCAGCCTGGGTGACAGACCGAGACTCTGTCTCAAAAAAAAAAAAAAAAGGAAAAAAAAATCATAATTGACAGAGGAGATCAGGTGATAAATTCTAAAAACAAACCCCACTTCTCAACAAAGAGGCCCTTACAATCAGGCCTTTCTCCATCTTAAGATGTCTTTTGACCTGATTCTTTTACATATTTCCTACTGATTATGCTAGTAGCCACATCTTAGCTAAACTAGGCATTTTAAATATCTATAGAGATCTGTGTGTCACTTGATGGTTTAAGTTTGTAGGTTAGCTCTTGAGGGACCTTGATTTCCTTCTAAACACTGCCTGAAATTAGAACACAGTGTGATTATGATCTTGTGGTCTGAACAGCCAGGTTTCCCAACGGGACAATTAATGGAGAAGGAGTTGAACGTACTGTTCCATTAGCCTCAGAACCTCAGAATTGCAAAGGACCTTAAAGGTCATCTGATTTAACCACTATCTGATTTTATATTATACTTAAACACAAGACAAAGACAAAACTAGAATTCTCTGTTATTGATAGCTAAACAAACTATCAATTTCTGTAGCCAATCGTTACATTTTCAAAGCATGCACAATTGTCAACTGATTAATCACTATTTTAACCTGTAAATTATTTCTAGGCTGGTGTTGAGTACTTCTAAGTATTTTTGGGGGGTGGTTGATGAGGATAGGTGGAAATACATAATTGTAATGCAGTGTTCTTCTAACATTATACTTAAAAATAGAAGGTACTTAGGTAAGCACAGAAAAAAAGATGAGAATAAACTACATCAAGATATTGTCAGTGGTTATCTCTAGCACTGGGATAATGAATTAACTTGAAATTCATTAAAAAAATCTACAAAAGTAAACATATTCATTTAAAAATTTTTGGAAAATGTGGGAAAGCCTGGAAAGGAAAATTAAAATTGCCTGTAGTTTCAGCACTCACCTCAAATCATTTTTGACATTTGGACATGTTGTTATTTTCCTATCTATAAGTATGAATAGGTTACAACATGTGAATCATAAGGTATATGCTACTTAGGAGCTCATTTTCCAAGTATATACCACTTAGGAACCTATTTACCTAAAGTATTTTCTATTTCATTAAGTATTCTTCTAAACCATGAATTTGTATGAATTTATTTTGGCAATTCCCTATTTTTGGATATTTAGGTTGTATCCATTTTTTTTTTAACTATTAAAAGCGGGGCTGTGATGAATATTCTTGAACGTAAGTCTTTGTTTATCACTCTGCCTATTTCCTTAGGAAAACCACCAAAGGGGAATTCCTGACTACAGCCACTGTGAAGGCTTGTGAAATATACTAGCAAACTGCCTTCCAGAGAGTACCAGTCACACTCTGTTGTACAGTGCTCAATTGCACAGATTTTTGTATTTTTCTTTGTATCTTTCTCTATTTTCGTAATTGTCAATAATTACCATGTATACTTTCATCATTAGAACAACACCATTTTTTCTAAACATGTGCTGACCTGTTTTTGAAATTTGGCCCTCTCAATTCCCTCTTAGATTTTCATCAATATACCTCCTTTCAAAAATTTTTCTAGGTTGCCATCAACATTTCCTTATGAGAGCCATAAACATTTTATTTACTAATTTGTCTCTGATAACCAAAGCATTCCATGGATAGAGAAGGACTTCCTGGCCTTCCTGGTTTCCTGATCAACCCAGAGGCGTTAGAGTACTTTTTTTTTTGATGTGGAGTTTTGCTCTTGTGGCCCAGGCTGGAGTGCAATGGTGCGATCTTGGCTCACTGCAATCTCCACCTCGTGGGTTCAAATAATTGTCCTGCCTCAGCCTCCTGAGTAGCTGAGATTACAGGCACCCACAACCACACCTGGCTAATTTTTGTATTTTTAGTAGAGCTGGGGTTTCACCATGTTGGCCAGGCTGGTCTCAAACTCCTGACCTTAGGTGATCCACCTGCCATGGCCTCCCAAAGTGCTGGGATTACAGGTGTGAGCCATCACACCAGGCCTGGAGTCCTTTAAGAATGATCACCACTACTGGCAAAGTGGGCCACTCGCCAGAAGCCAGGTTTCTTTCTTCTGACTACCCTCACTTGCTATTTTCTTTTTTTTAATTCCATTTTTTATCAATCACACAAGCAATATCATGTACTTTGTTACGTCTCATGGATACAACATGACTTTCATAATTACTTTTTTAAAACGTACTAATGCTCATTTACAATATTCAAGATGAGCACACAGTGCAGAGTGAGCATCTTGGTTCTCATTTCTTGCTGTAATGAGAACGCTTCTGGTATTTCACCAACAAGTTCTTTATCAGGAGTGCATATGAAACTTGATGAACTATATTAATGAATTTCTTAAAGAATCCTTCTTTCATTCCCATAGTTAATTAAATTCAAATGTTTACTGTGTGATTACTGTGCTCAATTCTACTTAAAGAATATATACTGTAAATAATAGACATGCTCTAATCTGGCCAGGAAGAGGGGCTCATAACAGCATATAAACATATAAGTAGAATATGTAAGTGCAAATTGTTGTAAGTGTTACAGAGAAGAACCAGTTTTATTAAGACCACTTGGGCCAGGTGTGGTGGCCCATGCCTGTAATCCTAGCACTTTGGGAAGGTGAGGCAGGAGGATTGCTTGAGCCTAGGAGTTTGCAACCAGCCCGGGCAGCATGGGGATACCCTGTCTCTCCAAAAAAAAAAAAAAAAAAAAAAATTAGCCAGGCATGATGCCACGCATCTGTAGTCCCAGCTACTCAGGAGGCTGAGGTAGGAGGATCACTTGAGGCTGGGAGTTTGAAGCCGCAGTGAGCTATGATTGTGCCACTATACTCCAGACTGGGTGACAGAGCAAGGCTCTGTCTCAAAACAAAACAAAGACCATTTTGTCACTGAGTATGATTTGCTCTGTTTTATTTGCTAATTTTTTTTTTTTGGATTTTTGTATCAATATTTAGCAGTGATATTAGTTCATAGTGTTTTTTGTTTGTCCTATTTTGTTTCCCATTTTGGGAGGTGAGTCTCATCTGATTATGTTTTCTAAAAAGTAAAAGCTTTCTTCTTATGTCCTCAAATAGTTGCAACAGCATCAGAATAATCTATTCCTTAAGGATTTGAAGATATTACCTTTGGAACTCTCTAGGCCTGGTTCTTTTTTAGGATATAGCTTTTTAACAACTCCTTTATTTCCTCCATAGTTATTTTCATTAAAAAATAAGCAATTCATTCAAATTTATATATATGCATATCTATCTATCATTTCTATTTTGGGGTATTTGTGGTTTTTCTTTTTTTCTGATGGAGGATCTATTTTATTAGTTGTCTTTTAAGAACATGTTGTGTTTAGTTATAAATCCATTACTTTTCTCTTTTCTATTTCATTAATTTTTGCCTTTTTAATTAATTTTAATTAATTCTTTCTGCTTTCCTTAGCTTTATTTCAGTATTTTTTCTAATTTCTTGAGTTGAATGCTTAATTGACTTACATTTAAAGCAATCAATCTCTCTGAATACAGCATTAGTCATGAACTCTAGGTTTAATATTAAGTGCTTTAATAATAATTTAAAAATATGCTGCAATTAAATCTTGGTTTGTACTTTGCACAGCTGCAGTTTAAGGGTAGTGTTAACATTTCCAGGTGGTAGGGTTTTACTGGTTTCTATTTTTGTTATTATTTTTCTGTTTTTATTTCACTGTGATCTGAGGATGTGGTCTGTATTCTTTCAACTTCCTGGAATTTATCAAGGATTTCTTTATGGCCAATTATAGGATCAACTTTTGTAAACGTTACACAGGCACTTGAAAGAAAGTTTATTCTCTGTTTTCAGGATTTAGAGTTCAATATTAGAGGTACCAGTTCATGATTAATTATTCAGATCCTCTGTCTTTATATGGGTTTCTGTCTAATTATCTTCCATGAGCTGAGAGAAGTCTCCTAACCCCCTTATATTTCTGTTAGTGTAGTTTTGCATTTTCTGCAGATTTTCTGTTGCATATTGGATATGATATTTTGTGGATTGTGCTCTTTTTGTCAGGATAAATTACCCCTTTTATCTCACTTAATATCTTCTGCCTTAATTTTCATTTAGTAATATCATGACCTCCTGCTTTGTTTTACTTTCAAGCTGATTTACCTTGTTTTAGATGAAAATTTATGCATGTAGCCAAAACACTTCGCAACCTGCAAGGGCCAATCAGAAAGGGTGCTGGCTGTGGCACTGCTGGAAGAGGGTCCTGGAGAACCCCTGTCTTAGTATTTATCATGACGGGGCTGGGGTTGAGAGGAGCAGATATTAGGGGAAGGAAGCATGGTGGCTGCTATTTGAATAATCCTTACAGCTGTACTAGTGCAAATTGGCTGAATCCAATTTCAGAATCATTTTCAAAATCAATCTGGAAGTTTCCCTGATGTCCAATTTGAGAATATTTCTTTTCTTTTTTTTACTAGGTAAACGTATTCCATTTACATTTATTATCATAACTGCTATGCATTATCTTAATTCTGTTATCTTACATTCCTATTTAAAGTTGGCTTCATTTTCATTATTTTCTTATATAAGGTACATTTTGTTTCTTAGTTGTCTGCTTTTGTTTTCCCTACTTGGTAATTTGGAAAGAAACAAATATAAAGTTCTCTTTCTGTTCTCTTGATCTATAGCATACCTGAATATAGCACAGAGTACATCTGTTTCTATAAGTAACTATCAAAAACACAAATTTTCTAGTACAAAGGAGAGAACTAGTTGATGAGATAGGAACATGAAAACCCAGCACCTCGTTAACATGGAGGCTGCATACTGCCCCAGGGGTATGAGTACAGCCTTCCAAGTCATGGCAAACAGCACATGATGTGTGGGCCATCTGACTGGCTAAGAGGAAATGAAGATTTACAAATACATTTTTTTAAAGGGAATTTCCTAAATGATTAGTGAGATCTCCTAGTGTTGGTATATATGAGTGAGAGAGAGAGAGAGAGAGAAAGTGTGTGTGTGTGTGTGTGTGTGTGTGTGTGTGTAGGGGTGGGGGAAAGAGAGAGAGAGAGAAAGAAAGAGACAGGGACAGAGAGACAGAAAGACACAGAAAAGGAGAAGGGAGGGAAGATACATTAAAAATACATAGTGGGCTTATCTAAGCACTCATTTTCAACTCTAACAAGGTGCCTCTGGAAAAACAAAGTAAATGGGTTGGTAAACAATGAATGAAAGAAATGTGATATTTAAGAAAATCATACTGCTTACATCTACATTTCGTATTAGTCATATTATAGAGTTTTTAAAGAAAATATAAATAGTATAGGTCTTGCTAACCAATTCCTGACACAAGAGTTTTAATTGGGATCATTAATTTGTTTCTCTTTTAAGATTTTCAATTACTTATTAACAAAATATCTTCAAATTATCAGGGAGCAAATAAAGTTATCAAGAAGCAAAAAATCCTTAAATGTATTTTTTAAAAATTAAATATATATCAATTGCAGTAATGGACAGGCAACATATAATTTTTATAATTTAGACTCAGTTTCTTCCTATAGATCAGAGCTGAAAAATATAAACCATGAGAAAGGAGTAGAATGCTTAAGTATTTTCCTTCAAACCTCATTTATGACTCAGCACAGCTCAATTAAAGAATAAGAAAACAAAATATGCCTTTACCTAGAATTGCCACCAGGGTTAGCAGAATCACCATATGCTTCATTCCTTTTCTTTTATAGAAATACAGGAGAATGCAGAAAATTAATATTTCTAAAATCTAGAAATGAAAAAGATGGAAAAGAGTAAGTTATTCTATGCAAAGTCTTCAAAATGTCACACTTCTCATTTTGATTTTGCAGCAATTCTCATATGAGCGTTGAGGGTGACTGAGGTTCCTAGGGATGACACAGGAGAGCAGTATAAGCACCTCGGCCATCCAGACCCAGAGCTCGAACGTCCCTCTCTGCCAGGGATGCCCAAATCTAGATCTCCAGTCCTAACCTCCCTGGAAGTTCAGCCTCATTTCCCCAAGTATCTATGAGACATTTCCACATGCATGTTTAATAGACACGCCACAATAATGTGGGTAACACCTCCCACTAGATTCCCTACCTTCCCAGCTTGTTCCTCCAGGGCCTTTGCCTGCCAGTTAGTGGCATTCCCACACTCCGTGTTGCACAAACCCCAAACCCCTTTCCCTCACTCCCTGCCTTCCTCTCTAGACAGCTGCATTTGCTTCTAACTCATCTCTGATTTTACTCTTGCCTCTCTATAATCCAGCCATTCCACAGCCAGAGGAATCATTTAAAAACACAATTTGGATAATGAAATATTTTATTCATAGAGAACATATATGATGCACATCAAAGGGATTTAGAGTAATATGACAGGCACTCACAGAGTCTCTACCCAACCTAAGAAACAGAACGTACCGACACCTCTGAAGTCTCTCATGTGCCCCTCTCCAGCTGCACTCCCCTCCTCCTTCAACCTCCCCAGGAACCACTACACGGAAAATCTGTGTTTATCATTCACTTTCTTTATGGTTTATCACATTTTTATATGTCCCTAAATGGTACCCAGTTTATTTTTGCATGTTTGGACTTTATACAAGTGGAATCATACTTGCTTTCACTTGCTTGCTTTTTTTCACCATGTATTATATTTGTGACATTCTTCCAGGATGATGCATGTAGTAAAAATATAAACTAGACCCATTCATTCCTTTGCTGAAACCTCCTGTGGTTTCCTATCACATTTAGAATAAAATCCAAACTCCCTCCTGGATCATAAAGTCATAGGCAACTCCCTGGACCTAATTTTGTACCACTCACTCCTGGATGGTCCACTCTGTGCCAGCCTCATGGCAATTTTTAAAAATTCTTTTTTTTTTTCCTAGTTCTTTGCAATCTTCAGATTGCTCCTGCCTGTGGGCCTTTGCACTAACTGTTCACTCTGCCTGGAATGCTCTTTCACTGATCTTTGCACAATGCCTCCTCCAAGTCACTCAGCTCACAGGTCAAATGCCACCTCTCTGAGAGTTCTTTTCTCACTCTTCTGATCTAACAGAGCCACTCATTATCCTGTCACACCCCCAGCTTCAGGTTGCTGTGGAGCATTTTGCCGTCATCATTTCTTGTTCATATGTTTATGTGTTTCTTGTCTGTCTTCCCTACTAGAATGCCAGCCCTAGAACAGGAATCTTACCTACTCTTTTTGCCACCCAATCTCTGGTGCCTGGCATACAGTCGGTCACTCAATGAGTACTGATGGAATTAATGAGTAAATCACACCTCAAATTTATTATGAATAAGTTGCCAAAAAAGACCTAATGTCTAATAAACTGTTCAATAAATATTAATTGACTGAAAGTCTAAAATTTTCCTGTCCTTAAGAACTTTAGTGTAATTTTGAGTTCTCAGTTTTATTTTTGTTTTAACATCTTTTTTTTTTTTTTGAGATGGAGTCTCACTCTGTTGCCCAGGCTGGAGTGTAATG